>NC_000010.11:21885000-22510000 GCF_000001405.40 Homo sapiens | reverse complement strand
AAGCAACTTCAGGAAAGTCTCAGGATACAAAATCAATGTGCAAAAATCACAAGCATTCCTATACACCAATAACAGACAAACAGAGAGCCAAATCATGAGTGAACTCCCATTCACAACTGCTACAAAGAGAATAAAATACCTAGGAATACAAGGGATTTATTCCTTGTAGAATACAAGGGATTTATTCCTTGTAGAATACAAGGGATTTATTCCTTGTATTATACAAGGGATGTGAAGGACCTCTTCACAGAAAACTACAAACCACTGCTCAAGGAAATAAAAGAGGACACAAACAAATGGAAGAACATTCCGTGCTCATGGATAGGAAGAATCAGTATTGTGAAAATGGCCATACTGCCCAAAGTAATGTATAGATTTAATGCTATCCCCATGAAGCTACCACAGACTTTCTTCACAGAATTGGAAAAAACTACTTTAAATTTCATATAGAACCAAAAAACAGCTTGCATAGTCAAGACAATCCTAAGCTAAAAGAACAAAGCTGGAGGTATCACCCTACCTGACTTCAAACTATACTACAAGGCTACAGTAACCAAAACAGCATGGTACTGGTACCAAAACAGATATATAGACCAATGGAAAAGAACAGAGGCCTCAGAAATAACATCACACATTTACAAGCATCTGATCTTTGACAAACCTGACAAAAACAAGCAATGGGGAAAGGATTCCCTGTTTAATAAATGGTGCTGGGAAAACTGGCTAGCCATAGGCAGAAAGCTGAAACTGGATCCCTTCTGTACACCTCATACAAAAATTAACTCAAGATGGATTAAAGACTTAAATGTAACACCCAAAACCATAAAAACCCTAGAGAAAACCTAGGCAATACTATTCAGAACATAGGCATGGGCAAGGTCTTCATGACTAAAACAGCAATAGCAATGGCAACAAAAGCCAAAATAGACAAATGGGATCTAATTAAACTAAAAAATTTCTGCACAGCAAGAGAAATTATCAGAGTGAACAGGCAATCTACAGAATGGGAGAAATTTTTTGCAATCTACCCATCTGACAAAGGGCTAATATCCAGACTCTACAAAGAACTTAAACAAATTTACAAAAAAAAAACGAACAACCCCATCAAAAAGTGGGCAAAGGATATGAACAGACACTTCTCAAAAGAAGACATTTATGCGGCCAACAAACTTATGAAAAAATGTACATCATCACTGGTCATTAGAGAAATGCAAATCAAAACCACAATGAGATACCATCTCACGCCACTTAGAATGGTGATCATTAAAAAGTCAGGAAACAACAGGTGCTGGAGAGGATGTGGAGAAATAGGAACACTTTTACATTGTTGGTGGGAGTGTAAATTAGTTCAACCATTGTAGATGACAGTGTGGCAACTCCCCAATGATCTAGAACTAGAAATACCATTTGACCCAGCAATCTCATTACTGGGTATATACCCAAAGGATTATAAATCATTCTACTATAAAGACACATGCACCCGCATGTTTATTGCAGCACTGTTCACAACAGCAAAGTCTTGGAACCAACCCAAATGCCCATCAGTGATAGACTGGATAAATAAAATGTGGCACATATACACCATGGAATACTATGCAGCCATAAAAAAGGATGAGTTCATGTCCTTTGCAGGGACATGGATGAAACTGGAAACCATCATTCTCAGCAAAGTAACACAAGAAGAGAAAACCAAACACCACATGTTCTCACTCATAAGTGGGAGCTGAACAATGAGAACACATGGACACACGGAGGGGACCATCACACACTGGGGCCTGTCAGGGGATGGGGGGCTGGGGGATGGATAGCATCAGGAGAAATACCTAATGTAAATGACGAATTGATGGGTGTAACAAACCTGCACATTGTGCACATGTACCACAGAACTTAAAGTATAATAAAAAAATAAAAATTAAAAAAATTTTTTTAAATTAGCCAGGAGGCTGAGGCAGGATACTCACTGGAGCCCATAGGGTTGAGGCTGCAGTGAGCCCTGTGCCACTGCACTCCAGCCTGGACAACTAAGCAAGATCCTGTATAATTAAAAAATTGTTGAAGGCCAAGAGTATTAGAAGGCTGAACATGATGAGGCAGCACACACTGGATCATGTCTGCAAATGACGGTACTCAATTTACTCCCTTGACATAGCAATGCCTTTGATAGGAATATATCTGACATACACACTCAAATACATGTGAAATAATGTCTGCACATTCACTGAAGCACTGTTTGTAATAGCAACTGTGGAAAGCAAATTCCATGTCTGGTAGAAGAAGACTGTTAAATAAATGAGATGTTATCCAAGAAAGAGGCAACCACACAGCCCTTAAAAAGAATGGGGATGGGCCGGATGCACTGGCTCATGCCTCTAATCCCAGCACTTTGGAAGGCCGAGGTGGGCAGATTGCTTGAGGTCAGGAGTTCATGACCAACCTAGCCAACATGGTGAAACCCCATTTCTACTAAAAATACCAAAAATTAGCCAGGTGTTGTGGCACACACCTGTAGACCCAGCTACTCAGGAGGCTAAGGCAGGAGAATCTCTTGAACCCAGGAGGCAGAGGTTGCATGAGCCAAGATTGTGCCACTGTACTCAAGCCTGGGCCACAGAGCGAGACTCTGTGTTGGACAATTAAAAAAAGAAAAAAAAAATGTGAGGATGTACATTTTAGTGTTAAATGTTAGAATGATCTGTCCAAAATTAACCAAAAAATGAGAAAAAAAAAATACCATGATGCCAAAGTGTACAGAGGACAAGTCAATGTGTGTTTCACATGTATACAGAGACATACAGACTGTAGATACATAGAGTATCTCGGGGAGAAAACACAGGAAACCAGTTTCAGTGATTGCCCCCGGGAAGGGAAGGAAACAGGTGGGAAGGAGACTTCCTCTCCATTATGTATCCTTTTGTACCTTTTGCATGTTATTTACCTAGTTCAGAATACAAATTAAATCATAACTCTTTTAAAAAGTGATGAGATTGAAATTGAGGTAAATACCTTTGACTTTTAAAATGTTATTTGTCATCACTTGGAGCACTCACTATCTCCCTTGTTCTGGGAATTTCTTTCCATCAATATAAAGAAGACAGTGAGGCTCGATGGTCAGGGGAGCCTGGAAGTTTCCTGGACTGCCCATCTCTAGAGCCTGCATTCCCTCCAAGGTGTGATTTCTCGGAGCCTGCTCTGGGATGGGGGAAATGGCCAACTGTTGATCCTTCAAAGGGCTCTCAAAAAGAAGAGAGGGCAGGAAGATGCCCACAAAGCAGCCCAAGCCCACAGTTAACTCTCCTTCTTCCTGGTGGTTTTGCTCCTGGAAATCTCTGCCTGTGTGTTAAGCAGAGAGAATAATGAGTTACATTCTCACTTCCACCTTCTCAGCACCCTGAAGCAGATCCCATAAATCTGGCAACGACCGGGTGATGATTGGTTGATTGGCTGGACATTCCCATGGCTGAATTGAATCATGAGCATCAGTGATGGTACCAGATGTCGACTCACCTCCTCATTACTCTTTGAGCAAATGTCCACTCAGAACTTACCACTTTACTTGTACAAAAGAGGATGTTGAATCTCCTCCCCTTGACTCTTCTTCCTCATTTTTATTTTCTCACTTATTTTCATTTATTTGTTATTCCCCAACCATAATTCTCACAGGGGCAAAAACAATCGAGACGTGTGAATCAGATGTCAACAGCAGCCCCGGTGTTAGTGCTGGGAGCAGCTCTAACAGTCAGCAGAGGAAGCGAGCGGGCTGTGTGGGCAGGCTGGGTTGAGCTGTCAGAGTAGGTGTCCCAGACGCCCATAAACCAGGGCTGCCACAGAGTCAGTGCTGCCAAGAAACAAGATCTCTAGATGAACAGACGGGGCAGACTTCCAAGACTTGATTATACAGAATTTATGTCATAATCTCATTGAGCAAACTTTTATTGGGTTCCTACTATGGGTTAAGCCTTGTGAGAGCCGCTGACAATGTAACAAGTCAATGAACTATGGCAGTTTACAGGCTAGCTTGGAAGACAACTGCAACATCATGCCAGCACTGGAGGACTGGGGGCACCCTCTCACTAAGGGTCTGGGCCTCTGGCCTCTGCTTGCTGCCTATAGATAGATATGTGTCTTCCCAACATACTCCAGATTCCAAGTGCAAAGCCTCATGTCTGTCCTTGCATATCCCAGAGTAAGGAAAGCAGAGACTTTAAAATCCTTTAAATCTGAAGTTGAATCCCAGCCCTTGCAGCATGACCCTGGGAAGGCTTCAGAGATTCAGTTTCCACATTACACGGTTGTTTTAGTGATTACCTGAGGTAACTTATGTTATGCACTAGTTTTAGGATGTAGCACATCCATTCAGGACTGTGGGTATTCATAAGGTTTTCCTATTAGACGGAATAATGGAAGCCATGTTCATACAACCATCTGCATTATAGACAGGTAGGGTATCACAGATGCTATAGAGTTATAGATACGTCAATGCTCTGTCTTTATGTCTCATTTTCGTTCCTTCCTATTTATGAACCATATTATCAGAACATTGTCCTTCCCTCTCAATCATTCTTTTAAACTTCCTTTCTTCTATCTTCATATGATGTTTCAGAGCAAGGTCAGCCATTTCTACTCTAATGTCAGCCCAAGGTCAATGTTTGGATGTTACGATTTGATTTGTATGTAAGACAAAGTTAAGTTCCAATGTCCATCACCAAGTAGGATCCGATCATACCCTAGAGGGAGTAATGTCTTTTCGGCAGTAACAGAAAGCAACACACTGATAAGAAGATTATAACTTTATGGAACCAATGGAATTCCTGAGGAACCCTGGGCTCTGACAAAAAGGAAGAGAAAACGGCAGGTAAGGCATTCTAGCTGACTGTTCAGCCTGCCGCCAGCTTTCCAAAAGGAGTTTCTCCTGGGCGGATCATGTTAGAGACTCTCACCTCCAGTGACAGAAAAACAGCTTCCCAGGACCTGATGTACACATTGCTGATGGGTTTTCTGTCAGGATTAGAGTTTTATCTGAAGCTGTCTAAACAACAGCCAAGATATGGTTTTCTTCATTCTCATGTTGCCTCGTAATCTAACATCTAGCCACTTGCTCAATATCTTCCTAAAACCTTTTCTGGCTGTTGGCTTCCACTCTGGTTTTTCTCTAAAGGTAAAATGTGTGCAGATCCTCTGTTGGAGTGTTCTTTAGATCTATTATACAACTCAGGAAAAATAAACTGTGTTCAAATAGAAATTCAAGGAAACCATGTTGATGGGTCTGCTCTGTCTTGGGGAGAGAGAGACATGAGGGGGTAGGAAGAATTCTTGTGTGAACATCCAGCTTCTTGGATGTTGTGAATAAATTATCCTTAGATGTTTCACTAAATTATAAAAGTTAAATAATACAAATTTCCTGGTCATGATGTAGCACACCTGTAGTCCCAGCTACTTGGGAGGCTGAGGCAGGAGGATCCCTTGAGCTCAGGAGTTTTGAGTCCAGCCTGGGCAACATAGCGAGACCCCATCTCTACAAAACCAACCAACCAAAAAAAAAAAAACTTCCTAAAAATATTTTTGAGGAGCAATGAAGAAGTTTAAAAAGCATAAGAAAAAAGGATGTTTATCCCATTAAACTATAAACAGAGCCAAAGTCACAAAGAAAAAACTCAACACAAATTCCAAAAGCTCCGTTTAATTGCTTGTGGCTTAAATCTTCTCACTTACAGAGGGTCCCTTTCCCACAGAGCCCCGGCAGACCCCCAAGAAGAATCCCACTTAGCAAAGGCCAAACCTATCCACAAAGGTGGACGCTGGTGTCCACCCCAACAACATGCAAAATACTCTTGTCAAAATTTCAAGTATAGATTAGGTAACAGCATGTTTCATCATCTAAAAATAAAAATTTAAATTTAAATAAAAGAAATTACTAGTCCTCCGGAATCAAATTTATCCGAAAACAAGAGTTCGCAGAATGTTTTTGCTAAGCTGCCTGGTGATAAATGACACCCGGGTACTGCAGTGTCCTCAGGGCTTTATGACTCACCAAAGAGCCACATAAATCATGGTTGGCTTGGTCTGTGTGGTGTGAATGTTATTGAGGCCTTTGAACACTTTTTTTTTGACATTAAGTAGTTCGTTTAGGGCATATTAATCAACTTAATCAGAAGTCCCCACTTCCCAATCATGGGGAGAGGGAAGAGAATCTACAAGAAAATGCAGTGACTGACCTTTCTTTGTGGCCACAAAACCTTTCACTCTGTCTCTCCAGTCATCCATCTATGCAACAAATCTTTATTAGTGCCTGCCCTAGGTACTGGGAGCTCCGAGATACTTGCAATTCCTCTATTCATCCAACACCTCCCCTGACCCATCCATCCTTTTCTTCTCCTCTGTTTAGAATCACCTTCTTGTCTGGTCATTTGTGACCAAAACTGTGAAATAAAGACAGGCCCGGTTTCCCCAAACTTCTCATAGGTGTGCAAATTTACTGTTAAATGCTTAGGTGTGCAAATTTACTATTAAATGCTTAAGACGAGACATTTGCTCAAATGCCCAACTTCCCATGAGAAATATTAGAGGTTTTAATGAAACAAAGTATTCCTTTATGCCCTGCTTCTAAAAAGTCAGGTTTTTATGGTGATTTTATGCTCTAAACCAAAGGCAGACATCACCTCATTTGACTGTCACGTGGGTTTCATATATTCACCCTTCAAGACAGAATTCTCAATCGGGTGCTAAGACCCTCTTCCAGACCAGAGCTGCTTAGAAGTTCCAACATCTATCAAGTGTTCTTTCAAAAATAAATGTACCAGAGAATCTCATTTTCCCTTCATAATTCCTCAAATTAGGAAAAAAGATTTATTGTGCATGAAATCTGAAATAATAGGATTACTTCCTAAGCAATTACATACTTAATCATTTTAACCCAAAGGATGGGAAACCCAGCCAAAAATGCCTCTTTTACATAGAAGGATATTTTAGCAAAGCGATATCTTAACTTCTTTGGATGGATACACTTCAGGTGAGCTTTAAAACAGCAATTTATCTGTAGAACATGAGGGCAAACTGCATAAATGTTCACACAGTTGCAAACCTTGTCTTTACTTTTGTTGTTTGTTTTGTTTTGTTTTTTAACTTAAAGTATCCCAACCCTCCTCTAACAGTGACCAGTGCTTTCTTCCTTTCAATGATATCACTACTTTTAATTTGCTTCTTTTGAAATCCCAGACTCCTAAAAAATGTACCCCATTCATCTGTGCTTACTTTGCCAGTGACTCCATGTTACTAGTCAGGACATGCTAGCTTGCCTTTTCATCTTTAAGGTTAGTCTTTTTCTCCCTGCTTCTTAATATATTTTGACTTGGAAAAACTGATCAGGTTATTTTAAGGCATTTTTAAAATGTAAGGTGTTATCATGGGGCAAATAAATAACTAAGATGAGGCTGAGCACGGTGGCTCATACCTGTAATCCCAGCACTTTGGGAGGCCAAGGCGGGCGGATCATCTAAGGTCAGGAGTTCAAGACCCAGCTTGGCCAACATGGTGAAACCTCGCCTCTACTAAAAATCCAAAAAAAAAACAAAACAAAAAACAAAAAAAAAAAAAACAAAAACTTAGCAGGCATGGTGGTGGGCTCCTGTAATCCCAACTACTTGGGAGGCCGAGGCAGGAGAATCACTTGAACCCAGGAGTCAGAGGTTGCAGTGAGCCAAGATCTCACCACTGCACTCCAGCCTGGGCAACAGAGTGAGGCTCCATCTCAAAATAATTAAATAACCAAGATTGGAGTCTGAAAAGAGCACTTAAATTATACTTAGACTCATTGTTCAAGGCCTCATGATGCAGGCTTACAGGATGGCTAGGGATAGTTTGCTTGGCAAGGCAACACCATCCCCTCAGGGAAATTACCTTCTTGCGCTTTCTGTATTTAGTTGCAACAGGACCATCTTGCCAATAAGCAGTAACTGTTGACTTCATTAATGATTTTTACTGACACGCTTTTCTCTGAATCTGGCCTCCTCCATGGCACTGGGGCTTAAAGTAATCCAAATATTGTTTTGGGTGGGAATCAATCTCTTCCAGGTTTTTTGGGAAACCCTTAATAAAGGCTCATAATGCTCCTGGGAGATGTGGTTTTCCCTAATCTCCAAACAGAGCAAATGAGATACACAAAGGTAACGTGTTTCTCCAACATCACACAAGGATTCTCTAGCTATGGTGAAGGCAAGAATTGTACCTAATTCTCAGTTTTTAAATCTTGCTAGGAGAACATGTTCCCTCCCTTTAGGCCAATAAGTCATATTAACCCAAGAATTGATGTTGCTATTCCAATCTAATAATAAAGGTCACTTCCAGTAATGGGAAAAGGACACATTTGCATATATCACTCACAGCCCATTGTCCTGAGAACAGAGCCTGGAGCCAAACAAAGCCTTCCTCACGCAGTAGAATCACAGGGGCCTTCAAAATTCTTATCTATCTCGATGGTCCTGAATATGTGGCCCATGTCACAATATAAAAATATGACTGTCAGCTCTAGACAGGTTGGTGTTAGTCTAAATGCCACAGGAAGGATGTGTGTGTGTGTGTGTGTGTATACGTGTGTGTTTCACCAAAGCTATTTACTAGAGACAATCATTTTTTTTCCCTATAGCCCTCTCTGTAATTCCTAATTTTAAGAGGGAGAGAGGAAACAAGATGACTTGTGTTGGCATCAATATGTGTGAAAAGTGCCAAGGTACATAACTGATTATTGTGAGCTGCAGGGTTGCATGTGGTTTTGTTTTTTAGCAGCTTATCCCTGTTGACAGAAAGAAACTCCTGACAGATGAGCAGATAAATGTCACTGAAAAACACCACAAACTTCTGTCTCCCTTCAGCTCTCGCAGTAATGAATTGAAGCATCTGCATCCTTTGCCCTGAAGCCTGGGAACACTGGACACTGAATTCATTCATCTTCCCTCCCGGCTTCCCTCACTCCGCATCTTTTGTAACATCTATTTCCTAACAGTCTCCAGGCCCGGTGTTAAACTTCAAATCTGGGAAAAAACTGGATTGGCTTCTGGCACTGGAAACTTTTCTCCATGAAGCCTTTTTATATGGTTTTGGCAGGCACATATAATACCAGTGGAGAGAGAAATCCCGCTGGCGAGAGAAAATAAAAACTTTAACATAACTGTAATGGCCCTGAGTGGTGTTTTACATGTTATGCTTGCTCAAGATTTATGTTAAAGTCAACCTTGCAAAAGAGGCTTTTTAAAAAATCTATCAAGCTGCCAAAGTTTAAACAGCTCTTTCTTTACTATCCAATGACAGTAGATTTTAACAACTTAAATGACCTGGGACAAACGCATTTCTCAGTATTCAATTTCACCCTGTAGTCTTTCAGTTACTTCACCAATGTCTGAGAACTTTTGTCCCTCTCTCCTCTTTCTTCTTTTTCTATATTTCTCTCTCCAAAATGTGAGAGGGATATAAGTGAAATGAAACTAATTAATCCAAAGTCACTGAAGTTAATATTTTTTTAAAGAGATGGAGTCTCACTCTGTCATCCAGGTGACAGTGGTGTAATCATAGCTCACTGCAGCCTCAAACTCTTGGGTTCAAGCAATCCTCCTGCCTCAGCCTCCCAATGAAATTAATTTTTTAATTTATGTATCTTTTTAATTAGAGATAGGATCTTGCTCTATCACCCAGACTGGAGTACCGTGGAGTGATCAAAGCTCACTGCAGCCTCAAACTCCTGGGCTCAAATGATCCTCCTGCCTCAGCCTCCAGAGTAACTGGGACTATAGATGCACACCACGATACCTGGCTCATTTTTTTTATTTTTTGTAGAGATGGGATCTTGCTATGTTGCCCAGGCCAGTCTTGAACTCCTGGCCTCAAGTGATCCTCCCAGCTGGGCCTCCCAAAGAGCTGGGATTACAGGTGTGAGCCACTGCACCTGGCAGAAATTGATGTTTAATTTGATGATCACATTCAGAAGTATTCTTTCCTGGCCCCAGAGTTATTCCCAGACATCTCTGCCAGACCTGAACATTGTCACTGTTCACTCTGGCACCACTAACTGCCAGGTGGTTTCTTCCTGAGCTTGCTGGTTGTCACTGTTCCACACACATGCTTCCCCAGGTCAGCTCCCACAGCCAGGCCAGTGTGCCCCTAGGGGCAGGGTCTCTGCCCAAAAGCCTTTGGCACCCCCGGCTCACTCCATGGAACCTACTCCCCTACACAGGACTTCTTCCATGTGGAAAGAGGAAACACCTCTGCACATGTGTAACTAAGCAAAATGGAAACACCGTCTGCCTGTAAATAAGCAATACTGATGTCTCCCTGAGCTGGCTGATCAATTCCCCTGGCAGCTTATAGTTTTTCAATCACTGCCTCTGACAATTCCTGACAAAAAGATATTTCCACTCATGAGCTCCTTTGTGTGGCTTAAATATACATGGCTGAAATGAGGATTGTGTCTCTAATAAGAAGCCAGTCTAACAACACACCAGAAGTGTTTTCTTTTTTTTTCTTTCCTTTTTTCTTTTTCCTTTTAAACATATTCATCCTGTAGAGGCCACCTGCTTCCAAGAAGGAGCTGAGGCAGCGGAACCAGGTGGGCAGGTAATGAGTTTTCATGCTGATGTGATACCTCAGGTGCCCAGTAAGTGACAAGGGGCAAAACCTATGGGTGAAAATGAGAAGGGACAGAATTCAAAAACCACCTTCAAGGAGGAAGGAGGTTGGCCAGCTGTTTTCAATTCCAAGTCAAGACAGGAGAGAAAAATAGGCTGGGGCAGTGAAGTGGAGAGAGAGAAAGACTTTCTAGTCAACTCAAGTCCTGGTCTGAGGCTGCACCCCCGCCCTTGAGAACCTCACCAGGGCATTAACCAGTCCCCACCACAAGGACCAGACAGAGGCCCCTCTGGCCACAAGATTCTGTGTAGGGACTCTGGAGCCATGTATAGCCTATGAATCCTTTCAAGTTTATTCGAACTTATAGTGTTTTATATTGGCTCTAATAGTTTAAACGCAAAGGGCAATGCTGGGAATGACCATCAAAATTTTAAAACCTCAGTGCTGCCCCAGCCACAGCTGCAGGCTGTGTCCACTGTCTAAGCCTGCTGCAAAGCCCACCTGGCCTCTGTGGGGGTCTTTGCAGAATGTTCTGCACACAGGACCCTCAGGTAGGGTGTTTCTACTGTGAGATGTGCGGTGACTATTCCCTGGGAATATGACCAGATCTGAAAGGAAGTATGTGTCTTTTGAAGACAGATAAAAATGCAAAAGTTGGCCAGCCACAGTGGCTCACACCTGTAATCCCAGCACTTTGGGAGGCCAAGGTAGGAGGATTGCTTGAGGACAGGGGTTTGAGAATAACGTGGGCAACATAGCAAGATCCTGTTTCTAGGAAAATAAAAAAATTAGCCAGGCGTGGTAGCACATGCCTGTAGTCCAGCTGGGAGGCTGAGGCAGGAGGACAGCTTGAGCTGAGGCATTCTAAACTAGAGGGAGCCATGATCATGCCACTACACTCCAGCTGTGATCATTCTACTGCACTCCAGCCTGGGCAACAGAGCAGACCCTGTCTCAAAGAAAAAGAAAAAAAGGCAATGGTGTAGAAGGCACCACTTGTCTTTTCCATTGAAATGACCCACCTTCACCCCTCTCAACCCCCATGCCAAGTCCCAGGGGGCCTGTACCACTTCTACCAAAAGAAGCTGTTAACCACTAAGTAGAACTTTGCACAAATTATCCCCTCAAGGGCCCTCTGACCTGCATACATAGAGTAGTCTTGGATGGTCATATTCATAATTTTACAATATGCCCAGTGACAGTCATGGTTCCCAGGTACCTAGGAACTGCCAGATATCTAGTAAATTCTAAATCACTATGCCAATGTTCATTTTTCTTATCTGATGGATATCGAGTATGGTCAAATAAAACTAGACTTGCCACACAAAAGCTTTGCTCCATCGGTGGTGGGGCCAGGGTAGAGAGAAAGCCATCCAACCTGAGAAGCCTCATGGCAGCTGTGAGCATCCTGAGGAAACATTCTTGTAGAGTGATGAACAGGACAGCTGCTAAAGGTGTGACCCATTTCTGGGGGGTCTAGGGGCACAGATAGCTGACACTAGCTAGCCCAGATGTCTGAGACGGCTTCTGAGCTGGCTCAGGCTCCCTGCCCTTTCTCCCATTTAGTTATGGAAATCGTTTTCTAAAATATTGAGCTCATCATTAAAAATAAATAGGTGAATGGCTCTGCCCCCACCTGCCTCCCAGCCCCTGACCTGTAAGGCAGAATTCAGTGTCCTCCCTCAAACATTCTAGCGCCTCCCCCAGTTGGTCACAGGCCCCTCTAATAAATGTGCCGCAGTCCTCCAACAGGGACCCTCTGCTGTAACCATGCTCTCACCTCAACTAGTGATTAACATCACCTTTCAGTTCCATGAGCATGAACTCTGCCACCAGAAACATCTTTCCCCCATTTCTCCATCCATGCAGCTGCTGCCATTCCTTCAGCATCCTCTCCAATCACACCTCCTCCCTATAGCTTTTTCTGGTCATTTCCCCCTCATTCCCCCTTCCCTGGAGTCTTCCACAGATCCTCAGAACCTCACCAAAGCACTCACACAGTGAGTGTTTGATATCCACCTTTAAATGAGCAAATGGCTTTGGTGGATGCAGAGTGCCTAAAGCCAAAACTTCAGTCCTGCTAAGGCCTGCTCGGTATTGCTTGTTCCTAGTCTGTGGCTGGATGGATCATTAGCTGTTCTGCAAATGAAGGCCAGAGCATCCATGGAGAGAGATGCACACATCCATTATTTGAAGAATGGTGGAGTACGCATTTTAATGGGGAATGAGTCCCCTCAATTAGAAGACATTTTAAAGTTGGGAGATTCATTTTTTTTATTTTTTTTTTGAGATAGGGTCTCACTCTGTCACCCAGGTTGGAGTGCAGTGGTGCAATCTCAGCTCACCGCAGCCTTGACCTCCTGGGCTCAAGCAATCCTCCTACCTCAGCCTCCCAAGTAGCTGGGACCACAGGCGCGCACCACTACATTTGGCTAATTTTGTTTAGTTTTTGTAGAGATGTGGTACTGGGATTCAAATACGTGGAAACTTCCTGCCTCTCCCCACTCCTAATACTGAACTTGGAGTTGAGAGGAGAAGGCAGGCAAAGACAGCAACAGCCACACTATAAGGATGGGTGTGCACAGGTACTGTTGGTGCCCGCTCTAGGGTGCCAGTGCAGCTTGAGAAGGGCAGGGGCCTCACACAGGAAGGTTGGTGACTTGAAACTGAGCATTCACCCATGAGACTGGAGAGGAGGGGCCACCTGAAGAAAAGGGCAATACACTTACAGGTGGGCTTCAAGGCCTCGTGTAATTCACTAGAGTGGCTAAAATTAAAAGATGGATGATACCAGATGTTGATGAGGATATGAAACAACCCTCAAGCACTAGTGGAGGGACTGTACAATGCTGCAGTCACCATGGAAACTAGTTTGCAACAGTCTTCTAAAGTTAAACATATACTTCTATACAATACAGGAATGGCATTTACCTGAGAGGAATTAAAGCATGTGCTTACTGCTGGGTGCAGTGGCTCACACCTGTAATCCCAGCACTTTGGGAGGCTAAGGCAGGAGGATTGCTTCAGGCCAACAGTTTGAGACCAGCCTGGAAAACATAGTAAGACCTCATCTCTACAAAATATTTTAAAATTAGCTGGACATGGTGGCATGTGCCTGTAGTCTCAGCCACTTGGGAGGCTGAGGTAAGGGGATCGCTTGAGCCTGGAGGTTCAAGGCTGCAATGAGCTATAATCATGCCACTGCACTCCAGTTTGGACAACAGAATGAGGCCCTGCCTCTTTTTGTAAAAAAAGGTGCTCACAGAGACATGTACATGAATGTTCCTGGCAGCTTTATTCAGAATATAAAAAACTGGAAAATAACACAAATGTCCACCAACTGGTGAAAGGATAGACTAATTGTGATTATGTCCCCACAATGGAATACTCATCAGCCAAAAAAATAAACAAAAAAAGAACAAACTTCTGATACACACATCATGAATAAATATCAAAAGCTTTATAGATGAAAACAAGCCAGACTACACAGACTACTACATACTCTATGATTCATTTATGTGAAATTCTAAAACAAAAAAATTTTTTAAATGACAAAAGTACAGTGACACAAAGCAGACCAATACTTTCCAGGGGCTGGAGACAAGGGGAAGGGATGGAAATGAAAGGGTGTGAGCAAATTCTTCTAGATCCTGATCATGGTGGCAGAGGTTCCATGGATAAATCCACTTGTCGACAATGATTGAACTATACTTGGGACATCAGTGCATTTTATTGTGCGTAAATTGTACCTCAATAAAGTTGATTATGAAAAGGAAAAAAAAAAGGCTAGTGTATCTGCTAAGGGGATGGACTTTATCCAGAAGGCGCAGGGAGTCAACACAGTCAACCTCAGCAGGGGAGTGACAAGAGGAGATTTGTGCTTTAGAAAGATGCTCTGGCAGTAGCAGAGGATGGCTTAGAGATGGCCCCACAGAAGGCAGTTAGGATCATGCTGCCCCTCCTCTGAGACACTGTCTGACCTCCAAGGGCACAGTGGGAGAATTTGCATGCATGGCCTCCCCGAAACTGAATGATGCTGTCCAACAGCCCCTCTGCCTGCTCTCCTTCTGGGGAACACACCTGGAGACAATGATGAAGGTGTACCCCAGCCTCCGAGCATCTGGGGTGCCGGCAACCAATGCATTGTGGGGACACATTCATTTATTTTTATGCTCCTCACCTGTTACCAGGGAAAAGCATTCCATGTCCATGCCCAAGCACAGAACCCTGAGGGCATGGTCTGCTTGGAGATCAGTTCTGAAAGCCAGAGGGGGTTTGAGAGGGGATATGATGTGGCCGTTATCTCCTCCTTCATCCCCTCCTTGGAATCTCCAAGAAGGGCAAATGGATTCAGCTACACATAAATCCTTGTTTTTAGCCATGGGGATACTATGTTTCAGAAACTCACTACAAGCTTCGGAATAGGATGCAACTGAAACACACATATACATGTGCCTTTACCTGGGGAAGGGAAAATGCCAGCACATGCCCCACAACCTGCCATGTCTTACTGGGTAACTCCTACTAATTAAATACTCAGGATAAATGTCAGCTAGATTTACTTTTCATGACAATGATTGCATTGTTTGATGAAAATCTTGAGCTATTTGGAATGATTATGATTTACACTGGTCTGTCTGCTGGTGGGGGTTCAGGCAGAGAGTAAGCGGGCACATACCTCCCTCAGCTACGATGGCAGAGGTGGTGCCTGCCAGCCATAGTGCTTAGGAGATACGGCTTTGAGTGGAGCAGTTATACAATAAAGCCTTGCTCTTTTGCACCTAGTTGAATAAATCTTTGGGCCACTGCTTTCCCATAATACAAATTCACAGGCATTCGAGGGGCAATGCTAAACTGTACTTTTAAAATTCAGTAAGAAGTCACTTAGATTTCTGCATTCATTGTTCATCACAGCTTTGGAAATAAACAGACTTCCAAGAATTTACAACCAAGCCTAGTGGGTTTGTCAGAATTTTGTAGCCAAACCTATCACACTTCACAGAATTTATAGCTGCAGCTTAGCTACCAGGCAGGGACTTTGCTCTGGGGGTATATTACTAAATAAAAGTACTTAATGCCCTCATGTAATGAGCTCTTATGTTATGTGGCCTTGGCCTTCGTTTTGAATAGAAGTTTAACTTTATCAGACCAGAAGCAAGGCTCAGTCACCTTTGACACAGTTTCCAGTTCTACTCCACACCCAAATGGTTTAAGCCAATGGCCAGAGATAAACACTTAAAAGCATCTCTCCCGCCTAGCAGGCTGGGCTCCCTACTTTCCCAACACTTCCTTTAAACTACCCATTGAGACATTTGCCAATGAACTTAAAGTGACCCATGCCCTATTCCTTTATACAGATGCTTCTTGACTTACGATGGGGCTATGGTCCCAATAAACCCATCATAAGTTGAAAATACCCTAAGTAGAAATGCATTGATACACCTAACCTATAGAACATCATAGCTCAGCCTAGCCTACCTTCATCATACTCAGAACACTTAACATTAGCCTAGAGTTAGGCAAAATCACCTAACACAAGTCCTATTTTATAATAAGCATTGAATGTCTCATGTAATTTATTGAACATGGTACTGAAAGTGAAAAATAGAATGGCTGTATGGGTCCTTGAAGTAGTTTCTACTGAATGCATATGGCTTTTGCACCACAGTAAAGTCCAGAAATTGGAAGTCAAACCACCACAGGTCAGGCACTTTCTGCACCGCTGGGTGCAGCATGCTGTTCATGCCTCTGCCTGACCCTTCATTCCTGCCACTGGTAACCCAGGGACAGAGGACTGCCCTCCCAGCTCATTGCACTCTCGTTGCCTAGAATCTGTAGATAAAAACCTTTCAATTTGTTCCATACTGTGGTGGTGTATTGAATTTGTGCCTTCCATCTGAAGGACCAGGGGCTGCCCCAGGCTGAGTTTTCCCCTCGGATGCCAGGGAGAACACAGGTCAGGCTCCCAGCACCAGAGCCATGGTCAGACAAGGGCATCTGCAAGTATAAACAAATTTCCCATATGAGGGACCCCTGGTCACAGGTAGACATTAAGCCATCCTCCAGGTAAAAGAAGGGTGCTGTGAAAGGCACATGTTAACCATCCCGATTCAGCTCCCCTTCATTTACCGTTGGGGCAGGGTTGCTAGCCGCCCTGGCACTGGAACCTCAGTTTAGCTGGGGGATCTCAAAGCACCTAATCTCTGGGACATTTCTTATTGGAGAAGAGGACTGAACTATCTACACCATTGCATGTGCTCATGAATGGTCAGTCCCTGGTTGCATCAATTAGTTTTGCTTATCTGAATGGCTCTAGCGGTCCTAATGGCAGTTGTGGTTTGCATATTTCTATTGCATATTTCTATAGAAATATTTCTATTTCTTTCTCCAGCAACTAATTTGCATAAGGTTTTAGCCTATGAAATATTGCTCCATGAACAGAGGATTAAAATGAGTTGGTTTTTTCAATAGCAAACTCAATGGACATTTTGAAAACAGCTAGGCACAGACCTCTATAATAGTTCCTCTCAGAAGATGTATTTAAGTTTGTCTTTCCTGCTCAACCTCTGTAAACTCCAATGTAGTGGCAGAATATCATCTGCTGTGATCTTAGTGCCTTCATTTATTAATGCATTCACTAGGCATTTGGCAGGACTATATTAGTTAAGGTCGCCAAGGTTCCAGTAACAAATAGACCCAAGACTTATTGTGATGCCAACACTCTAGAATTTATTTCTTGCTCAAGTTGTGGTCCCTGGTGGGTGTGCTTAGCTGCAAAGGTGGCCTTCCCCAATGTGATAGCTAGGGACCCAGGTTCCTTTCATGTGTAGCTCCATTATCTTCTACTCCTAAGTATCTGCAGCAAGCTGGTGGAGGAGATGGAGGAGGCACACCTACTTCTTAAAGGCCTTGACCCCAAGATGCCACACACCTGCTCACATTGTCTCTGTGAGGACCAGTCACATGAGGACTTTGTACCTGACTACAAAGGGGGCCAGGCAATGTAGCTTATGTTTGCACACTGCTTCCTAGCTATAGGTCTGTCCTACGGAGGGAGAGGATAGGCTTTGGCAGGCAGCTAACCATCTCTGTCACAAGGCCAGCTGCTTTCTTGATTGATACACAGCTTTCTTCCAAAACAGGTTGCAGGGGCCTGAAAGCTACTCTAAGCCTGGCACCATATTGGCTGCTGGAAAGCATTGCTGTAGTGAGATGATAATGCCCAGTTCTGGGGTTGCATGAAGGAGGGAAGGTGGAAGTCACCTTAAATAGGAAGGAAGTGGTCCCTGTGGCTTATGTGACACATACACCACAAGACAGGGTTCCTACCTCACGGCATCTAAACAGGATCTAGGCATTAGCAGGGTTTGCTAAGTATGTCTAGATGGTAAGACAGGGATCATGTGTTTACTTTGTAACACCTTATGTTTTCCAAATTATCTATAATAAAAATGTTTGACTTTCATATTCAGAGAAAACATCTTTTTAAGCAAAAGTATTATCAATAAATAAAACTAGCATCTAATTTACAAAAGAACTTGAAGAAATAAGATGAGCCCCTTAACTCTGCACCTAGATAGCGTGGCTCTAGAAAATCCCTCTTTGGCCCTCTGTAATGGTGCCATGCAACAGCACCTGTGAAACTCTGGCTGCCTTGTAGTCAGCAAGCAACTGGCCCCATGCATGTTGTTTCAGCCCACTGGCTGTCTGCTGGCATGCTGCCCCTTGGAAGCTGGAGGTTTGACAATCATAGTCATGTGGGTAATGAGATCAGAGACAGAGAATAAAGATCCAGAGACAAAAGCCTGCATCTCTGCAAACTGAGTGTCAGGGCAAACCAAAGAGACAAAGTAGATATGGGCACGCACAAAGGTCAGAGGTAGTGATTGAGAGATGAGCTAATGTCGGACAACTGTCCCACTTAAGTACAGAGAACCAACCCAAAAGTCACTACAGAGCTGAAGGTCAAAGCCAGGTTTGCAACCAGAGCAATGGTAGATTGCAGACACAGAAGATTTTGAGTTGGGAAAATGCTTCCTCAAGCATGAAACCTTGTATGATCTTCCTCTTGTTAGAAAAAGATGAAATATTTGCTGCAGTGCAACTGGATGCAAAAGGCAGATTGTGACATCCAACCAATCACTTAGATAGACCCATTCATTTAACTAATATTTACTGAGCACCTATGGCAGGATGGAGACTGTCAGGTGCTACAGATACAGAATAAGACAGCTAAGGCCTTGTCTTCATGTAACTTGAATTATGTTGGAATTTGTATGCTACCTTGGAAAAAGTAGCTCATTTGTAAAAATTTTGAGCATATTTGAATAGTCCATTTAGCAGCAAAAGTGCCATTATTTGTACAGCAATCTAAGTTGTACCAGGTTGTACAGCTGAAAAATAACTCAACCCATGGGATGTCCTACTGGGACACTAGATAAGCAATATGGAGGCTGCTGCTTGAACTTTCCATTCCAGTCCCCCTCCCCTGCAATTCAGCCTTTCTGTTGGTACATGAACTGGAACTCCCTAAAGATTTAACTCATCAGATAATGGCACAATAAGAAGTCTCTCTAGATGTTGATGTAATCGTCAGCTCTTCTCATTCTGCTCTGCCATGATGGTTGTATGTCAGTGATGACGGTGCTCTCAGGCTGACCTTAGAAGTAGGCGAGAATCAGTATCATAGGCTGGGTGTGGTGGCTCACTCCTGTAATCTCAACACTTTGGGAGGCCAAGGCTAGAGGATTTCTTAAGGCCAGGAGTTCAAGGTCAGCCTGGGCATCATAGTGAGACCCTTCCTCTACCAAAATAAAATTAGCTAAGCATGGTGGCATACACCTGTGGTCCCAGCCACTTGGGCCCAGGAACTTGAGGCTATGGTGAGCTATGATTGCATCACTATACTCCAGCCTGGGCAACAGAGTACCATCCCATCTCTAAAATAAATAAATAAATAATATATATATTATGTGTAGAGACACAGACACATATGATCATGAGTGCTTCTAGCTAAATCTGGGAGGTTTTGTTTTTTAAGAGAGGTGATACTTTAATCCTTGAGTTTCAGGTGTTTTTACTGGATTAGGTAACACTTTCCTTTTGTGAGGGGTTTAAAGTACTATGTACTCTCCCCTTCCTGGAACCAATCATAGTTACAATTTTACATTACTCTATGTGGTTATTCTATTACCGTCTCTTTCACCTAACAGACTAAGAGTCATAAAGAGAAGCACCATGACTGCTTTGTCTCACATTTCATGCCCTGAACCTAATATAGGGCCCAGGACATGGTACAAAACTTTGTGAAAGGCCAAATATGGTGGCTCATGCCTGTAATCTCAGCACTTTGAAGGCCAAGGCGGGAAGGTCGCTTGAGCCCAGGAGTTTGAGACCAGCCTGGGCAAGATGGCAAGACCCCATCTCTACAAGAAAATTAAAAAAAAAAAAAAAATTAGCCAACCATGGTGGCCTGTACCTGCAATCCCAATAAATGTTTGTCATCAGATAGATGGGTCATGAACAGGTTCCTTTATTCCATTTAGCATTTCTTTCCATCAGCATACTGTTTTCTTTACCTCTTCGCTGTTCTTTAGGCCTCTCAGAATACTTTGGCATATTTTTAGTATGGCAATTCTTACTTCCCCATTACACTGAACAAATAGTGATATACTTAGCAGACAGGGCCAGATCTGGGAAGTCTTGATGATAAAGAAACGAGTTGGGTCTGCCCTATCTGACTCATAATGTGTCTCCCAAGAGAAAAACCCTATACTACATGGAATGATGCAACTGGAGTAGACTTTCAAATGTATTTTACTTCCCATAAAAGACTCCCATGACAAGTACTCCTTTTCATAGGTAGAATCCACACAGCTTCCAAAATACCCTCAAATTGTGCGGCGTTGGTAGTATAGTGGTGAGCAGAGCTGCCTTCCAAAATACCCTCAAATTGTGTGGCGTTGGTAGTATAGTGGTGCGTATAGCTGCCTTCCAAAATACCCTCAAAATTGAAAGGAAACTTCTGTGCAGTCAAGTACATTTTTTTTTGAGATTTCATGGTGCACCCTCTTCTAGTCTTCTGAGACTGGCCCAGGAATGAATGCTGTGTATCAGAGCAGTCTGTTTCCAAAGTGACTCCTGGTTTCTCTGACAGGCTTTGTCATCTGGCCATCAGTGACAAGTTTGTTGAGGACATTAAACTGCAACTTTCCATGCTTCCTTGCCATTTGGAATTTGACAGTGAATTTGCTAATTTATTTTCCACGTAAAACACTTATTTGGTCTTTATGAGTCTTTACATGGACTTCATTTCTTTCAGGCTGGATTCTTGGAGGGATTAACAAACTGACAGTGATGTTTGATAGAGCTTCTCCACCTGCCAAGGTCTTCTTGAATTCTCTACAAGACAATTCAACATACCCTGAAACTATTCAGCCCTTTTCACCTCTGTGATTCCTCAAAAGTCATAAATGGTGTTCCTACGTTTAGCAAGTATGTATTAAAAAGGTACCATGTAGGTGGGTGCAGTGGCTCACACCTGTAATCCCAACACTTTCAGAGGCTAAGGCAGGAGGATTGCCTGAGGCCAGGAGTTTGAGACCAGCCTGGGCAACATAGTGAGAAAATTTTTAAAATTTGCTGGGCACTGTGGTACATGCCTTAGTCCCAGCCACCTGGGAGGCTGAGGCAGGAGGATCACTTGAGCCCAGGAGTTGGAGGCTGCAGTGAGCTATGATGGTGCCACTGTACTCCCACTGAGCAACAGAGAGAGACCCTGGTTCTAAAAAGAAAGAATGAATCATGTGAAAAGCACCAGGAAGGATACAAAAGAGGCCCTGCCCTCTTTCTCAAGAGGAAAACGTTAAGAAGCAATGTGCAGTGAAAGGTGTCAGTGGCTGTGCTTAGAAGTTCATGGAGGGAGAGAGCAGCATCGCCTGCGTGATCAGGGAGGACTTCTTAGAGGAGAGGTTAGTTAGCTTTATCTGAGCCCTGGGAAGATGCAAGGTATTACAGACTCAGACAGCTGGAACAATACATTTACAACAATTTAAAATTAAGGAGTGATGGCTTTATAAATAAACAGGCAACAACAGGGTTATCGATAATACAATCTAGCTGGGCACAGTGGCTCAGGCCGGTAATCCCAGCACTTTGGGAGTCTGAGGTGGGACTACTGCTTGAGTCCAGGAGTTTGAGACCAGCCTGGGCAACACGGCAAAATCCTGTCTCTACAAAAAAAAAAAAAAAATTTAAATTAGCTGGGTGGGGTGGCTCACACCTGTAACCCCAGCTGCTTACGAGGCTGAGGTGGTAGGATCACTTGAGCCCAGGAGGTTGAGGCTGCCATGAGCTGTGTTCATGTTACTGCACTCCAGCCTGAGTGACAGAGCAAGACCCTGTCTCAAAACAAAAAATAATACAATCTATGAAATAAACAGCCACAATCTAACAATAACGGCTATAAAGTGACTTGACTTCACACCTTTCATGATTTCTCCAGATTCAACCCTCTTATCTTTATTCCATTCTTGATATTATCTCAAAGGAGAACTTGTCAGGGACCTAAGGTGATTCCCGGCCATACGTGGACTTAGGCCAAGTAGGGCCAACCCCAGCTGTACTGTTACGGTTTCAGAGAGATAAACCATGTAAGGCTCAGCTTCCTGATGTTTGAAATAAAGATCATAATACCTACCTGAACAGATGGTTCAGAAGATTAAATAAAATTATGTGTGAAGAATCCTTAGCACAGAGCTCAACATGTGTTATGAACCCAAATAAATGCCAACTATTATTGCATGGTTTGATTCCTCTGGTTTAGTAAGCACAGAATGACAGGCAGATGTTCCTTCCAGTGGGGGCATGTGACAGGCACACAATAAATGTGTACCGAATTAATTACTGAATTAATTAAGCAAAGGTCCTTTCACTTCATTTAAGAGCTACTATCTATTAAATCAATATGGCATTCGTTTGATAGTCCAGTGACACTTGAGCTGTATTATTTTGAAGAAAATCTATGACAGGAAATCTCTTCCCTACTTGACCTCAGAGATGATGAGTAAATAGTTCTGGTCCTTTACAAAAATTGCAAAGAACTGTGGATGGGGTCTTCCATAAATGAGAGGAGCTAAAATGTAATCAGGAGACTGCAAGAACTATTTTGTACAACAAATAATGGGTACTGAATTCAAACTTGAAGAATTATGAGTTATCTCCCTTTTTCTTCCAGTAAGGGTTTTTCTGGGCCAGTAGGAGCCCAGGAGTTCGAGACCAGCCTCGGCAACATGATAAGACCCCACCTCTACAAAGAATCAAAACATTAGCTGGGCATGGTGGCATGCACCTATAGTCCCAGCTACTTGGGAGGCTGAGGTAGGAAGATTGCTTGAGCCCAAGAGTTTGAGGCTGCAGGGAGCTATGTTTGCAGCCACTGGAACAATAATTTGTAGGGAATGGTAAAGGGGAATTCAAGTAGGAAGAAGGCCAGGTGAATCTTTAAACATGTGAACAATGTTTGTTTCAAATAAATCTTAGAAAAAAGATTCACCACCCATCAGAGAACACAGTTTTCTAACTCCTCTTTCTCAAAAAAAGTACCTATAAATGGGTTTTATACATAAATGTTGAGATTTTAAGGAGATATTTCATGCCCTGGGCATACAGCCAGCTTGTTGGCATATTTCAGGAAGAAAAGTATCTGGAAATATGTCATAATTGGAGAAGGAAGGCCAAATGATAAATAGTTCATCTAGTACAGCAGATCAGAATATGTCAGAGAGAGAACATTGGCAGGAAAGCTGCCTCAGGACGGATTTCTTGGAATTCTGGACACCACATGGATCAAATTAACTTCATGGTTCAAGGATATCCTGTTTTCTGAAGCTACTGTGCTTTGAACAACTTTGTAGCATCTGTTGGAAGCAAAATATAATCTGTGGCAACTCATTTATATTTTCAGAACTTTGCCTTCAAAGTCCTGGGGAAGCTCCTCTGATGTTCTAAGAATATGTAACCCATTTTTGGTAGCAGAGCTTTGGTAAAAGTTAATGGTCTCCTAGAGAAACAAGGGGCTCCTTCCCGGCACTGAGAAGGAAAAGTGGCAACATTAACCATGGCCATTAAGACAACAGGGCAGTGGCCAGCTGCAGTGGCTCATGCATGTCATGCCAGAACTTTGGGAGATTGAGGCAGTAGGATCACTTGAGTCCAGGGAGTTCACAACTAGCCTGGGCAATATGGCAGCACCCTGTCTCTACAAAGTATTCTACCTCTACAAAAATAAAAATGAAAATGTTGGGGAAAAGAAAAAACAGGAAACAAAAAGACAACAGACCCATAACTGCCAGGCCCCTCACAAAGAGTTGGCACTATTCTGTAAACATTTTATTTTCTTGACTTCTTTTTATCCTTCGATTTTTCCTCTGCATATTTGCAGCAAAGAGATTTCCAAGATAGTCAAAGTCATGTATTCTCCTATATTAAAAAGGAAAAACTGAGGGATTGCCTAACTCAATGCAAAGCTCTAATTCACCAGAACTGATTCAGGGCTGGACACTTTACAAAACAGGAGTGTGTGAGTGTGTGTGTGTCTGTGTAATAAGGAGGAGGGGAAGCTTAGCAGGAGAGAGCAACACTTTTTAATCATGACATTCTCTCAACTAATGGGTGTGTTCCTGGTCCTTAAGGGTAGATAGATTAAAATTAAAACAAAAACAAAACAAAAAAAGGTGGGGCGAGGTAGCTCACCCTCTAATCCCAGCACTTTGGGAGGCCAAGGTGAGCATATTGCTTGAGTCCAGGAGTTTGAGACCAGCCTGGGTGACATGGCAAAACCCTGTCTCTAAAAAAATACAAAAATTAGCCAGGCATGGTGGAACATGCCTGTAGCCCCAGCTACTAGGGAGGCTGAAGGCTGAGGCAGGAGGATCACTCCAGCCCAGGAGACAGAGGTTGCAGTGAGCTGTGATCATGCCACTGCAATCCAGCCTGGGTGACAGAGTGAGACCCCATGGCCACCCCCCCACCCATAAAAACCTCCATGGGTGGACTGTAAAAGATTCAGTATGCGTGTGCATGTGTGTGTGTGTGTGTGTGCACGCACACGTGCATGCACATGAGAAAAATGCACAACTTTAGGGCATGTGGTCAGATACTGCACCTTAAATTAGAAAAAAAAAAAAAAACTGATATAAATGGTGTTTCCACCTCAGAAAACCTTTATAACTAGGGCAGAACAATCATGTGTAGTCGCCCAGAGGCTGTCTGCAAGACTACCTAGAAAGATCCAGAAAACTTTTTCTTTTCCATTTTGGGAAAGTACCAAGAAAAAAAAAAGTGAAAACTAAATCCGAGTTAATAACAAAATCTATCATTTCAGGTCACTCATGTGGACTTGAATGAAATATTATTTCTATTATTTGCTTGGAAATGTTTTTACAGGACTTGTATATTATTTCTATTCTTTGCTTGGAAATGTTTTTACAGCTAAACAGCAAAATCAGAGATGCCCATGTCAATTTCTGTTAAATATAACTTACTATTTTTAATGAAGAACATAAAGACTGCATAGGTCTACTTTAGTTACTTCCTTTTATTTAAGTATCTCTTACTTCAATGATAGAAAATGGCAGAAATTTATTCTCTTCTTGAGCGTGACTTGTTAGAGTTAAGGTAGTTTACTCCCTACTTCATACTCATCAACTTCAATTAGCTTTCATAAATATACTATATTATCAAAGTACCACTGAGTTATCTGGCAAGACTGCAAAATTGGTCACTTAAATTATTAAACTATTTTTTAAATGTAGTCTACCAAAACTTACAAGGCCAGAGAGTAGGATGGTATTTTAACCAGATATGAAAGACAAGATTATGTATAAGATATAAACAGATCATCCAAATTCATGAGAAAAACATTGTCACCAGTAGATAAATGGGCAAAGTGTATTAACTACAATTCACAGGTAAGAGGAAGGACAAATTAGCAAACATCTAATATATGTCTTCATTTGTAATCAAAGAAATATGCTTTTAAAACAACCCCAAGAAGCAATTTTATACTTGCCCATGTAGTATCTTTTTAAAGAAATCACACATCCGATGTTATCAAGGTTAAGGTAAAACTGGTTTTCTTGTTCAGTGCTAACAGAATTATACACTATCACAATCCCTACAGAAGGCAAAATGGCAGTACATAAACCATACGCATTTGTAAAGAAGAAATACTCAATCACTGTGCTGTCTAATCATTTACATCTACTTAATTCAAAGTAATTCCATCTTAAGATACCCTCCACTTCTATCAAACTAGCACTTTAGACGTTGACTCATTCTGGCATAGGTATATATTAGACCATTCAGAAGAAGCAAAGAGAAAATGTTGGAGTTACTTTAACCAGATATGGAAGTATAAAACATTTTTTGGAGTTAGAATATAACTTCTTAATGTAATTGGCTTTTTTTTTTAAATTTTACTAACAACCAAATGCACTAAAACAAGGACACAAATATACATTTTAGGAAACAAATATTCTGAGAACATTTCTAGCTAATTAACCAATTGGCCTGGATTTCAGTTTCTTGATCTGTAAAAGGGAGCTGATATCTCTAACTGAGGGCTGTCTGGGAAATAAGTAAAGAAATGTAGGTAAAGCACCAAGCTCGGTGCCTAGCACTGAAAAAACTACTTTAGTTTTTCTTCTGCAATCTCACCTGCCCATTTTCTGAGAAAGGATAATACATTTTCTCTCTCTCTTTTAATATAAGAAGAATAAATGAAATGATATGCATGGAAAAAGTGCTTTGAAAAGTAAAGAAGCACTCTAAAAACAGAGTATCATTACTAAAAGGTTTAGAGGACTAAGGGAAACACATATATGCCTAAAAACCATTGTGAACTGTTGGGATATCTTTAACAATTGCTGAAAACCAGATGATAGCTGGAGAGTCAAACAGTTCTTTATGAAAACCTTTAATTGCCATTGATTAAAAAAACTATTCATATATTAATCTAGTCGCTCTCATTCTCTTGCTCTCTCACTTCCAATGCTTGTACTTTTGGTTTCATTTCATTCACACCTACTTTCTCAGGTTTATTTCAGTTAGTTTTTATTCCTGTTTCTTTCCTCTGATTTAAAAGATAAATTAAAAAGCAGTGATATGACAAGCCATAATGAAGGGTGGGACAAAAAGAAAAGATCAGTAATAGTATTTTTAGTTAAAAAATGGACTATTTGTTGATCATGAATTTTTGTGTTAATTTTGATTTTTTAAAAAATATTGCATTAAAATATTTATCTAGGCCAGATGTGGTGGCTCATGCCTGTTATCCCAGCACTTTGGGAAGCCAAGGCGGGAGGATCGCTTGAGCTCAGGAGTTCAAGACCAGCCTGGGCAAAGTGGTGAAACCCTGCCTCTACAAAAAAAAAAAAAAAAAAAAAAAAAAAAAAAAAAAAAAAAAATTAGCCAAGGGTGATGGTGTGCCCCTGTAGTCCCAGCTACTCGGGAAGCTGAGGTGGGAGGATCACCTGAGCCCAGGAGGCAGACTGTGCAGCTGCGATTGTGCCACTGCACTCAGCCTGCACAACACAGTGAGACCCTGTCTCAAATGAAATAAAATATTTTGATTACTGAGAAATTTTTGGCAGCCCCTTAAATCTTGTGCCCAAGGCCAATGTTTTATTCACCTCATCCTAGTACCAGCCCTGTGAAAAGGGGAAGAGGTCAGAAAGCTGGAAATGCTCCTAATAGAGCTAATGGAAACTGACACCATGGTGAAGGGTCTGTACACACAGGAACCTGACTCCAGTCTTCCACTCATCAAATAACCTACATGTGACTGTTCCACATTCTGTGTTGCCGAAGACACACATCTCTTTATGGAGAAACTGCCCTGACAGTCTAGATTTGGTCTCCTGTCTGACTGTCACCCAAAAGGGAAAAAGGAGTGTTAGGTCAGAAGAGTAAGGAAAGCAGCTCTGAGTCATGCTTCCAGTTGGCTCCTGGATAGCAGGGTTTCCAAACCCTGATTCGGGGTGGGGAGAGGGAGGGCAGACAGGAAAAGAACGATTTGGGAAAAATGAATTGCAATGTGAGCCACCAGTACAAGTTGAAAGAAGGTGAAACCCCCTGTAGGAAAGCATCTGGGCAGGACTGCCCTCCTCCTTTTGATCCTGAGGTTGACGAGTTTGCATTTTCCTCCTTCAGAAGGCACAGTGAATCACTAGCTTCTATCTGGGGGCAGGCTGGCCTAACCTGGGATCTTTTTAACAAGGGAAGCAGCCTTTCATTCTGCAATTAGAGAGAAAGCCCCAAGTGCAAAGAGGAAACACCTAAAATGAGAGGCCATGAGTGAATTTTCTTTGTAGACTGTAAATACATGTAATTCATGTAAAAGGCACTATTGTTACTGACCTAAGAAGACACATCTAGTGTCAAATGGCTGGCAGCAGGAGTTTTCTAGTGCATGGCAGCCTAGCCAGACTCTGTCCAGGGCATTGCTGACTGACAGCTGTGTGGGACAGTAGGTTACAGGAGGAACTAAGGGCAACAAGTCATCCCATTTTTAACACTTGCCACCTTCCTCCAGGCATGGCCGCAGGAATCTCAGCTTATTCAGAGGAGCAAGAGGAAGAAAAAATAACTTGAAATGTGTTCTCTTGAAGACAGTAAAGACTAGGTGGGGCATGGTGGCTCACACCTGTAATCCCAGCACTTTGGGGAGCAGAGGTGGGAGGATCACTGGAGCTCAGGAGTTCAACACCAGCCTGGGCAACATGACAAAACCCCATCTCTACAAAAAAAAAAAAATTTTAGCCGAGCCTTGTGGCACACACCTGTAGTCCCAGTTACTTGGGGGCTGAGGTGAGAGGATCACTTGAGCCCGGGAGGCGGAGCTTGCAGTAAGCTGAGATCGAACCAAGATAATAAAGACTTACTTTCCAAATGAAGCCACTTGGCATTAGTGACTACAGCTTTGGTGAAGCCAGCTTCACCTATTTGGTTGATGGCTTGTGCTAACTCACAGGTGAACAGAATTTAGTCAAACCCCGACTCTGCTACTTGCCAGCACTGTTACAGAACATCTCTATGCCTCAGTTTCCTCACCTGTAAAATGGGTACACTCAGAGTACTTACCCCATATAGGGTTGCAGTGAAGATGAAATGAGGCAATAGGTGCTCAGAGTGCCCTGTACGCAGTGGGCGCTCATAAATGTCCACTATCATTATCAACCAGACTCACTGCTTTGGTGAATGGCAATTGAGCACTAATTTTCACACCTTTATAAGTAGTCAACAGAAATCTTTACTCCCCCAAAGGCTCATTAGGCCCAGATCTACCCATCAAAGGATGCCATCTTTTCTATAATACCTACCTAGTTCTTTCCAATATTTTCTATGACACCAAGCTTAGGACATGAGCAGCTCTAAGTAGCAAATATGAAAATCCAAGCAAAACAGAGAAAGACTGTATTCAATTATTGTAGATCCCAGTCTCATTTTCACAAGCTCTAACCAGGTGCGAAGTGTAGATGAGTGTTAGTTTTTATGAGCATGAGCGGTAGGTGTGTCTGGGTGTCTATGTTGTATAAAATCCAGTAGGTTGTACAAGTGTGAGATTGCTGAATGTCCAGGGCTGATAAATAACACATCCCGCAGCTTCTGAGGGCAAACAAAACTGTCCCAGTCCAGGCCTGCATTGCTAATTAAGGGCAATAGCCTGGGCCTGTGTCCAATCAGGGGCAGTGGCGGGAAGAGGAGAAACAGGATCTATGGCCACCACGGGGGTGGGTGTCAGGGACTCCTCCTGCTGCTGCTGCTATCTATATTTGTGAAGGGGGGCTTCTAGCTTATGCATGTCACATCCTCAGCTGGACACCTTTATCCTGCGGAAAGGCCTAGCTCCCACATGGGCCTTTGGTTCTGTGGCCTGGACTGCACCCGGTTTCTTGTCAGGCACTGTATTAGTCCATTCTCACACTGCTATAAAGAAATGCCTGCGATGGGGTAAAGTATAAAGGAAAGAGGCTTAATTGACTCACCATTCTGGATGGCTGGAGAGGCATCAGGAAACTTACAATCATGGTGGAAGGTAAAAAGGAAGCAGGCACCTTCTTCACAAGGTAGCAGGAGAGGGAAATGAAAGAGGGAAAACTGCCCCTTTTAAAACCATCAGATCTCGTGAGAACTCCCTCACTATAACGAGAACAGCATGGAGGAAACCACCCTCATGATCCACTCACTTTCCTCCCTTGACATATGAGGATTACAGATCCCTCCCTGGACAGAGGGGGATTACAGTTCGAGACGAGATTTGGGAAGGGACACAGACCCAAAGCATATCAGGCACCCACTGGTCCTTCTGCTGCTGACAGCTGTGTTTTGTGCACCTCCTGCCAAACACAGCAAAACACAGGGAAGATGCAATGTGAATTCCAGGACAAAACCATCTCTCCAAAAACCGATTATAGCCCAGTGTCTCCTGTTGACTCCATGGTGATGGTGATGGTGATGGGTGTGGTAGCAAAAGCCCCAAGACAGACACAGAAGACCCCCATTCTCTCTATGTGGCCTAAGCCTAATTGCTTAACCTCTCTCAGCCTTAGTTTCTTCATCTTTAAACGCAGATAATAAGGATTTGTCATAAGGAACCAGCAAAGATTCTGTCAGATCTGAAGTCCCATAACAACAAAGGGTGTTTCGTTGTGATTTCTGCAGCAGCTCCAGCTGTTGGGGGAAAATCACTCAGCAAAGCTCTTGTTTGGTCCAGTTCTCTGTGGCACCTCGAGGCAAGACTCAGCCAGCTGGTGACAGACACAGCAGCTTTCTGGGCCCTGTTCTAGTATTGCATCATCTGGGGAGGGGTAGGGTGAGGCTGAGCTAGCAGAATTCAAAAACAGCTTTCAGACTTTTACTGCCAGAGAAGACCAGGAGTTGTATGTACGGTTTCCAAGAGACTATTTGGTACGTGACTTTGATCTTTATCAAGCTAAAAAGGGTAATATAAAATACAAAAACAGCAGATTTGTGTGTATATGTGGGTGAGTGTAAGAGAGAGAAGAGAGACAAAGTTGGGTGGGCAGGGGGGGAGAGAGAGAGAGAGAGAGAGCACCCAGGATTGTCATTAGCAAAGAACAATTTTTAAACGCCTATCCCAGCCTTGTGCAACCCTTCTTGGTTGAGATGAAAGAGTTTCCAAGACATTCCAAGAAATACTCCCACTAGCTGATTTCCAGATGCCATCTTGTGCTCCAAAGGGACAGGAGGACTTTGTGGCTGCCTGGCTCCCACCACTGCCTGCCTCCCACACCAGAGCAGAAAGAAAAGTGGGACAGAACACATTTTACTCCATGCAAGCTCGAGGCCTGATTCTAAATGAAGTGGCTTAGCTCAACGGCCCTTTAGAGAAGGTCAACCCCACGTGGTCTTCATGTAGCTCTGGGTCCTTTAATACTTACTGAATAGCTGCTGGGTGCAGGTATAATAAGTAAAACCCATACCTGCCCAAATGCCCACTGCTGCCATCCTATTGTCTTGCTGCTCCTGCCCTCAATGACCCCCTCCTCCCAGGCGACCAACTTCTGCCCATCAGGCAGGCTCCTTCCCCACCCAGGTGACCTGAGTGCTAGACTTGGGGTTGGGCCGGGGAAGAAAAGCGAAGATGCAAACCACAGTGGTTTTATGAGAGCAGCACTGACCTGCCATCTGCCCACCAAAATGGCTGTCCCCAGCTCTGGGCCTCAGTTAACTATTTGCTGCCAGAGCCTTGAGCCTATGTTAATTATACAGGAAACTTTGATTTAGCAAAAAAGTTGATCTTGCCTCGAGTGACCTGCAGAAACTGCCCACAAGAGCTACAGTCTTGAAGTAGCCCAGGTGGATTTCTTGTTTCTCATGTCAGTAGAAGGTTAGCAATCATGAAACTCTGTGACCATCAGTCTGATCACTGGCAATTTCAGGTTGTGGAACGCTTAGTTTCTTTTAATTGGGTCTGCATTCTAAATTGAAACATAATTAGAGGTAATTTAACTTCTTTGGGTGCTTTACCTGAATCCTTATTTTGCAATTTGAACTTTCCTCTTGTAATTTAAGTGGAAATATATCAAGTAAACAGACAGTTATGTATTTAAATAACCATCATAATCCCCAGGAAGTAGACAGCACCTCTGCCTTGGGCAGCGGTTTGCGGGCACACAAGTCTCGAACTGAAATAAGCAGGCAAGACATAATTAGACAGCGCTTCTCAGCCTACAGTGGTGCCTTACGAGTCTGAGCGACCAGGTCTGCGCATGGAGAGCCCGGCCTTCTTAGGCGGCGACAGGTGTGTCCTCCGGACGGGCTCCTGGCCGTCTCCACCAGCTTTCTCGGGCTGAACGCGGCTGGGCTCCCCCAAGGCCTCCCCTTGCTGACGGCTCCACGCCTGCTGGACGAGAAGCGGCCTCCCCGGGGCGTCGCAAGCCCCTGGGACAAGAAGAGGAGCCGACATTGAGGGAGACCTGAGCAGTGGACGCAGGCAGCGTCAGCCTGGGCGTCCCCGGAGTCGCGGCGAGACCCTGGCTCCCCACCACCGCCCGGCTCTCAGCTTTGGCATCGCGTCTCCAGAGAGGGCGGTGGATGACGAGGAACTGCAGCAGTGTACGACCCCCGGGCTCCAGACGACCCTGGGGAGAGCGCGCAGAGTTCCTGGCTAGCGGCCCCCTCGCAGCCGGGCACCCCTTCTCGGCTGCGCGCAGCCACTTAGGGGCACAAGATAAGCCCCTGGGGAGGGAGCGGGCTGCAGGCGCGGTGGGGAAGAACGGCCCGGACGCAGCCGGGCACAGGGAAGGCCGGGCCTGCAGACTGGAGAGACGTGGGCTGCGGTGAAACCGTTAGGGCTGCTTTGCCGCGCACAGACGCGGAGGCCTTTACAAGGCCGGCAGGCCTCGCCCAGGGCCTGGGCCGCCGCAGGTGCCTTTGGGTCACACCCGGGGCGAATCCCACCCCCTCCTGGGGCCGCTTCTGTTTACCAAACCCCTCAGGCTATTGCGTTAGTTGTGCGGGGGAAGGATAGAGGCAGGGTCCTCTGGTGGAGGGGAGGGAACTGGGGACCCGGGGCTGCTGGGGACGCAGGCGACAGAATGAAAGGCGAAGAGGCGGCAGCTCGAATCTGTCTGGGGGTGATTTTAACCGGCGCAGAGGTGCAGCATATGCTTTCCAGGTTGGACTGCGGAATACAAAGAACGACTCTGAGCCCGGGGAGCCTCCTGACACCGAAACCAAACGATCCCGACCTAGGGGGGCTGAGTGGCAGGAGACTGGATTTTTTGTTGAGTTGCAATTAAAGGGAGATAATTAAGCCCGGAGCCGCGCAGCTTATTAATATTTATAGCCCGGAGCGACAGGGCCTGCGCTCGCTGGAAGCGGATTTGCAGGCCCAGGCGCGGAGCCGGTGTCTCCTGAGCCAGGGGCTTCGCAGACTCGGGAGGAGAAGGCTCGATGGGGAAATTGGGGAGCGTCCGCCTTCTGCGTTTCTCCTAATTACGCCAGCGGTCAAAGTCCGGCCGGGCCGGAACGTCCCGAAGGCCGGGAACCGCGCGATGCCCGAATGCGGGGCGACCCGGCCGCAGTATCCAGCATTTCGGAAGCCCAGTTAGGTCTCGTCTCTTTGTTAATTACCCAAACTGCATCTCGCAGTATGTTTCTGCCCACGGGGACAGACCGCGCGTTAAGGAAATGGCCCAATAATTAGGACTCGGGGTAGAATGTGTCTTATTTTCTTGGAGCATGTGGGGCAAAGGAGACAGTAGGTACATGCGGCCCTGGCTTTGGGGCAATTTTGCAAAAAAGAAAACGCCCTCCGGCCTCGAATTTCGTCCGCGGTCGGCCAGGCGCCGCGCTTTGGTTCCTTTCCCACTCCGCGGTCCCCGGGTGTGGGCCAAAGCCCGGACCGGCGGGAGGGGCTCCCGGTGCCCGCGTCGCTGGCCCGGCCTGGGGGATGCGCCCGAGCGGGCTGGAAGGAGGGGCTGCACAGGCGGCGCCCACAGGGTCGTAGCGCCCGGGCTGGGAGCCTGAGAGCGGTAGGTTCCCGGCCTGCGGCCGCGCGCTCAACTCCCGGAAAATGCGCGCGAAGCTTTTGCCGTTTGTACCGCACGCGGTTCTCGGATCTCTGCTTTTCGCGCACGGCCGGTGGGGGCGGGGAGGAAGCGCGGGTGGGAGTGGGCGGCCGCGGTTAGCTTCTCCTGTCCGAACGCAGGGTTTCACTGGGGCGCCGCTACGGTTCCTATGGCAACGCGGCTCCTCGACGCAGCCCAGGAGTCGCGGTCGCGGGAGGCTGCGCCGCGCACCGAGCTCTTCCCTGTGGCCGCCGCAGCCGCCAGCCTCTTCCTGCTCATGCTTTTCCTCATCTTCATCTCGGTCTGAGTGGGCTCTGGACCTCTCCACCAGCCTCTGCCCCAGAACTGTTAACTGCGGGGGGGAAAAAAGGAATTTGTCGTCGCAACGCGCGTTCCGATGGAGCCGCACGCCACAAAGGAAGACTCATGCTGCACCCCGCGGGGCAGATGCGGCGACACTGGACATCGCTGCACAGCTGGGTCTGCCCGTTTCCAGAGCTGCTTAGCGCCGACGCCCATAAATGAGGAGGACTCCCTGTGTATTAAAAGGGGGATCCGCAGGGTTTAATTTGATAAGGATTATAGCCTTCATAAAGGCATTTTTAACAAAAAGATGTAGGTGGCATGGTAATCGAGTATTATTTACGCATCTCTCCGCACACGCACTCATACCTGAAAACGTTTTGGCAGGCACAAAATGATTTTTTTGTGTATAAAGAATGTGTGTAACTCGTGGATGGTGGGGTTCAGCAGGACAGATTAGTGACATTAGATAATTTACAACGAGGATTATGTTTGTGCTGAAAATAAAAGCTATATTGTTTATTTAGTTCATTGCCATTTGCATGTGTCCAAGCCTTTTATTAACATTAACCAGCTAGAAAATAATGGCATAATGACCACCTAACCTGTTTTATCATGGGAAAGTAAATGTGATGAAAAAGTATTCAGCACCAATACCCAATAGATAAAAACATTTGCCCTTTGTGGCTAATTTACACATTGTTTGAAATAGATAATGTATACTGTTCTTTTAATGTTCACTTTCTTGACCTTCCTGCAGTATTTTCAGTGACTGTCACACTATTTTCTCTCTTGTCCTCCTTGTTTATATTTTTAAAAATACGCTTTTTGAAATTATAGAATAGTTTTAGGCTTACAGAAAAGTTGCATAGTTCTATACCCCACCTCCCGTTTCTCCTACTGTTAACATCTTAGTGTGGGACACGTCACAACTAATGAACCAATATTCACGCATTGTTACTAACCGAACTCCATATTTCATTTGGATTTCTTTATTTTTCACTTTTTCTGGTCTTGGATCTCATCCAGGATATCACATTTAATCCTCATGTCTCTTGGGAAGGCTGTGACAGCTTCTCTGGCTTTCCTTGTTTTTTATGACCTTGAGCGTTTTGGGGATTGTTTTTATTTTTAATGGAAGTATAATTTACATATAATGAAATGCAAAGATCTGAACTTAAAGTTGTAAGAGTTTCAACCATTGCATACTTTTGGTATCTACTTTTGCCCAGAAAACATCAAGTCTGATATTTGACATATTGTCACACAAATATTGCAGAAGTATTTATTTGTTAGTGTCTCCCATATATATACACATTGCAGTAAAAATTTTCCCATGACTTTTCAATTCTCAATATTTAACATTTTTCAATTTCAAACGTCGTTAAAGAGCTATTAACATAATGTAGCTTTATGAGTTGTTGATAGTTTACTTTCAACAGCCTTCTTTTGGACACAAGTTAAGCTACTGATTGTTTTTTATTCTAGAACATTTTCCTGTCTGTAGAGAGTACAGTCCAGGCATGCTCCTTAAGAAACCAGACAAACTGGGAGATAAGTTAATCTGGGAAGTTTATTGGAGTGGCTTTGAAATTTTAAAAACAGTTTCTTTGTTTTTTAGTTCTTAATATTAAAGCAATAATTAATGCATTTATTTGTGCACAGCTCTTGGAAGAAATGTTTTTCAGTATCACATTGGTAATTTTGCCATAAATAACTGAGTCTCCTAACTGTAAAAAAGCCTTCCATGTGTCCTTAAATCTTTGAGAATTTGACACATGGTGTAACCCCTAAAGATGTATTTTTAAGTAATGTTTAAAAACTTAGGACTGGTGCTTAACAATGAGGAAAAAGGAAAAAAAAAAGGTCTTAATATTATTGTGAACCAGACTATAACTGAAAGCTTGAGGCAGACACATTTTTTAAACAACTGAGTAAAGCACTAAATTAATAGAATCTAATTTCCTCTTCACTTCTGTGATGTTTTATATGAGTAGGCTCAGTGGATCACATTTTTATGGTTTGGTAATACAAAGTGGTGGACATCAGAGAGAAAAGGTAAAATTTAGGGTTGATGTTTTTCACCAACTATTTTAAAGAAACCCACAAGCCTGCCCAGTGTGGTGGAGACCTTCTGGCCACGTTTAGGTAAAGCTGGTCATCTGAGAACCCATCTGTTGGTAATTCCCAGAGCTGCCTTTTAAAAGTTTTTGGCTAAAATAGTTTTTAGAGTCAGGCCATATTCATGCCAACGTGATTCTGGCCCACGTTATACTTAATCTTTCTCAATCCACAAGTAAAAACCAAGCCAACTAGGGTAAAAACTGTTCCAAAGGTGTGGGTGGCTGTAGGCAGATGGTTTTCATTCTTTTGCCATGACAAGAAAAGATTCAAAAATCTGTATGTTTTAGCACTAAATATATTTTGCATCCATTCTTTAAAAAGCCTTAACTCCTACACAAATCAAGTAATATGAGCAAATATCTTCCAGAATGATAATTTTGAGATGGATGTTGAGGAGTAATGCCTTTGAGTGAAGTCTACCTTCAGTTACAGCTAAGAAAAGACATCATGTTAAACACACCTGAGCATATGTGATTATTTCAATTACTTGCCTGAATTTGAGTAAGCTAACTGTGACTATCAGAAAGGATGTCAGCAACAAAAATCCTGGTTTTTCTCTGCCTGCTACAAATCACATTTCAGCAGCTGTCTCTCACCGGCTGAGAGTTAGCTGAGTAGAGGATGACATAGATTTAGTCACGTGTGCACCGATTTCGGCGTAGTGATTAATGCATGTGGGCTCTGAAATTAGACAACCATGTCCATATCTGGTGCCATTACTGACTTGCGGTTGTTCTTAACCATGTCACTGAAGTCTTCTGGGTCCCAGTGCTCTCAAATGTTAAATAGAGATAATAATAATAATACTAACTTCATAAAACTGTTGTGAGGACTAAAGATATTCACATAATATTCAGAATAGGAAATACATAGCACATGGGAAGCACTCAAATGATAGCTCTTATTGTTTTTATTATTTACTGTTTTTAAATGCCTGCTATAACCAAGTATTATACTATACAATATGCTGAGGTTTTGGTAATATCGAAGAAACAGATGTTTTTCTACATCATAGAGCCTAAAAACTAAATCCTTAGGTTTGAGCCCCATTCAACCTGCCTGTTTTAATTTAAAAAGTGTATTTCTACAGTACTTTTGGAGGCTGAGGCAGGAGGATTGCTTGGGCCTATGAGTTCGAGACCAGACTGGGCAACATGGAGAAACCCCATCTCTACAAAAAAAAATACAAACACTAGCCAGGGGTGGTGGCGCACATCTGTAGTCCCAGCTACTCAGGAGGCTGAGGTGGGAGGATTGCTTCAACCCAGAAGTTCAAGGCTACAGTGAGCCGTGATCACGCCATTCCAGCTTGGGCAACAGAAAGAGACTCTGTTTCAGAAAACAAAACAAAACAAAACAAAACAAAGTTTATTTCTGACCTGTAATATTCATAACATTGTGCTAAATGCCATTGATTTTTCTGTGTTCTCATTCATTTTTGCAAAAGAGATGCAAACAAAAAAACAACTCGGACTTACCCAAAGCCCCAGATAGAGAAGCTGCATATTCACACTCAGATCCCTCAGGACAAGATTCCCCCAGTAACACAAAACACAGCACCAACTGCAAATCATCTTCCATTTACTCAACAGACAATGAGTATCAGCGATGTGTCGGGCATTGTTCAGAGCTGGCCATTCAAGGACAAAACACAGTCTTCAACCTCAAGAAGCTTATGGTGAATTGGAGGAAGAGACAAAATTAAATATGTAATCAGTGTACATGGGATAAGTTGCAGTGCAAAGATATAGGGCATCCTGCCAAGACTGAGGGGTGCAGGTGGACAAGAAAAGCCTCCCACAAAAGAGGCCAAGCATAGATGTTGAGAAAAACCATAGCATTAATCCAGGTGAGAAATAAGGAGAACCTGAGCCGAGAATGGGCTGTGCATGGAGAGAAGATTCCGGGGTAAAGGCAAATCCTGGTCACCATTTGGATGTGGGGAAGAAGGGAGAGGAGAGTGTGAAGGAAGGCCCCAGGTCTCTGTTTGGGGGACCAGAGGGGCATGTACCCAAAGAAGGGGTGGAGCAGACATGCTAATGGCTGTCCATGGTGGTCACATTGCAATTACCAGCTCTAGAAGGCACCATAGATACTCATCCCAAGGAGAGCACCAAGAATTGCACGTGAAGCCAGCCTATCTCTTGAGAGAAATCCCTGTAGCCGGGAAGAGAGAAGACAAAATAATAGGAAAATGGGGGGCAGGCACAGTGGCTAATGCCTGTAAACCTAGCATTTTGGGAGGCCAAGGTGGGAGGATTGCTTGATCCCAGAAGTTCAAGACCAGCCTGGGCAACATAGGGAGACAACGTCTGTACAAACATTTTTTAAAAAAAGAATTAAAATAAAAATTAGCCAAGTGCGACGGTGCATACCTGTAGTCCCAGCCACTTGGGAGGCTGAGGTAGGAGCATTGTTTGAGCCCAGGAGGTTGAGGCTGCAGTGAGCCATGATCACGCCACTGTACTCTAGCCTGGGCAACAGAGTGAGACATTATCTCAAAAAAAAAATAAAATAAATAAAGAAAAAGAAAAAAGAAAGAAAGAAAAGAAAAACAAAATGGGGTGAAGGGGAGATACTTGACCTAGAAACATTATTAAAGCCTGCTACAAGGTTTTCTAGGGTATGATCACTTTCCTCATCCTAACACCTTTAGGTCAGGATAATTTCCTGTGAAAAATAGACTTACGGCTTTAGCCAGCGGAAAAATCTCAAAGAAAAAATAGCATTCACTCTGTAGAAAGTCACTTTAGAGCCAAATTTGATGCATATTTCAATCTTAAAATAAAGTATGTACAGAATTATAGTTAGTTCCCTCATATAGGATTAAAGTGTTTAACCGTTATAAAATTTCTCAAGGAGTTTTAAGATTTGTGAAAATTGATTATTATAAATGTATTTCACGTAACCAATTCACTTGCTTATTCTTCTGGGAATACTAATGCCCAAATATAAAGCTCTAATTCATATAAACAAAGAAATCACTCTTACCGTATCACAGAGCCTGATTGGCATGAGTGTTGAAGGAGAAAGTACTCCTGTGGCTTAGAGAGGCAGTGTGGCATGGCAGACAAGAGCACAGGTGTAAGAGTAGCCAGGATAACGTGAGCCCTGCCAGGCTCTATCACTTGCTTGCTCTGTGACCTTGGGCAAGCAAATACCTCCAAGCCTCAGTTTTCTCCTCTAGAAACTGGACAGAGTGATAGTACTTGTCTTCCATGTAATGAAGATTAAATTAGGCAATTGCTGTGGTGGGAATGTCCATATCCCTCCAAAATTCATATGTTGAAACCTAATCCCCAATGCAACAGTATTAAGAGGTGGAGCAGAACCCTCATGAATGGGATTAATGCCCTTATAAAAGAGGTGAGAGCTTGTTTGTCTCTTCTGTCATGTGAAGATGCAGCAAGAAGGCACCAGAGAGGAAGCAGAAATTGAGCCCTCATCGGACACTGGATCTACGACTTGGTCTTGGACCTCCCAGACCCCAGAACCATGAGCAATACATTTCTGTTGTTTATAAGTTACCAGGTCTAAGATATTTTGTTATAGCAGCCTGAATAGACTAAGGCAGTCATCCATGTAATATGCTTAGCACAGTACCTGCAACATAGTAAGTCTCAGTATATTTATTTAGTGCTGGTAACCCACTTAACTATCTTGGTGCCAAGTTTTATTTACAGAGAGTTGTTATCTTTTAAATTATTTATTTCTCAAAGTCTGGTTCTTCCAACAAGTCATTCCAGGATTTGCTATTGTACATAGAATTATGCCTGCATTTAAAATGAATGATGCCAGAAGGAATGGCCTTATTTATTTCAAGAGCTGTATTTTTAAATTGATAAAAACAAATGTAAAGTTTTGAGTATCATTTCTTAGGTAAATTTGACACCTTACTCTGTGCGTCTCCTGAGCTATAATGGCAGCAACAAGGAAAAGCTGTTTCCTCTCTGATGAATGTAACACTTTCTGAATTTAGGTTTGGTTGACTCTTCTGTCAACTCTCCAAACATTCCTGAAAGAGGGCTGCAGGGTGACCTCCAGCAGACTGGATGAGGGAGGCTGGCTTTTGTGTCAACAACTTATGCAAGCATCAGGTACTTCCATTAAACACAAGCGAAGATGCTTCTTTGCTCTGAACCTGGCACTCTAAAACTCAGCTTTGAAAGGAAGCACAATATTCTTTTTTTTCTTTTCTTTGTGTTTTTGTTTATGTTTGTTTGTTGTTTGTTTGTTTGTTTGTTTGTTTGTTTTGAGACAGGGTCTTACTCTCTCACCCAGGCTGGGATGCAGTGGTGAGATCATGGCTCACTGCAGCCTCAGCCTTCTGAGCTCAACTGATCCTCCCATCTCAACCTCCTGGGTAGCTGGGACTATAGACGCGTGTTACCATGCCCAGCTAATTTTTTGTACAGACAAGATTTCGTCATGTTGCCCAGGCTGAATTCCTGGGCTCAAGCAATTCTGCTGCCTTGGCCTCTCAAAGTGCTGGGATTATAGGCATGAGCCACTGTGCCTGGCCTGAAATCACAATTTTCAATTTTGGTGCTGACAACGGGTCATATTTAACTTAGCAGAAAGTTTGCACCTAGCAATACTAGCAATTGGCCAATATCCAGCCTTCCCCCAACCAAGCAGAAAAAAGATCTGGGGGCAAATGCCTGTGAGAGGTTGTGCACAGTGTAAGACCAACACTCTCGTGTGCAGTCTCCATGGAGAGCCAGAGCCTCCCAGCATGGGTCAGGCTCAGGAGAGCACCACAGGGGTGTGGAGATCCCAGGAGGAATGGAGCATTTTGTTCTCAAGCTCTTGGGCACCAATATATCACCCAGGGACTGTGAGTGGGCAGCAGAGACGCTTCCCCTCCTGCTCACTCCAGAATCCTTCATTGTGACTTCTGTAGTACCAGACCTTTCTTTTGCTCTTAGTACACTTAATGTTCTAGTTGCCTGGTTATTTTCCTTGAGTTGAAAAAGAACTCTAGGGTGAGTGACCTCACCTAACCCTGGGGTTAGAAAGTGAAGGGTCCAAGAACCTGGAATAACACCCATGATTATTTTTTAGGCAGAAGAATAAATATTTATCAAATAAATATTGGTTGAATGCTCAGTCAATGCTGCCTAGACATGTGTTTGTATTTCCTAATCATTTAACATTGCAATGTCATATCTTCAACAATCTTCAACAACCTCATGGGGAAGACTCCTACATTGCCTCATTTTTGGTAGGTTAAAGTGAGCCATGCCAAAATAAGCAGTTTCTCAATGGTAGCAAAGAAGTCAGTTAGGTGAACTGGAATTTCAAATACCTTACTTCTGAGTTCTACCAACACACATACCTTTCAGTATCAAAAATACCATTTTTAGACTCTTTCTTGACAAAAGTGCAGAAAATAGGTGGTAGGTAACATATATGTCAAATGCTAAATTGTTTCCTGTGGTTTTTTTAAATGTTTTCCTATGCTTTTATAATAAGCAAAAAGAGCAAAGAAAATTACCAGAGTTCTGATTTTTTTTTTTACACAGTGCTTGCCCACCTAGAATTATTTCTATTTCCCAGGAAATATAGTTTCAACTATATAGAATACACAGTCACATTTTTAGAGAAATAATTTTCAATGTAATCCCAACACACATAGTATGAGATACTTTGAGTATTTGCTGTCACATGGAATAAAATATGGTAAAAAGCAAAAGCTGCAGGGCTGGCCAGGTGTGGTGGCTCATGCCTGTAATCCCAAAACTTTGTGAGGCCAAGGCCGGAGGATCACTTGAGGCTAGGAGTTAAGACCAGCCTGGGCAACATAGCAAGTCCCCCATCTCTAAAAATAATTAAAAACTTAAAAATAAAGAAGTACAAGCTCAAATAAGGACAACTGTCAAATCAATGTATAAGTCTGATTTTGTTATTAGCCTATTACATGCAGTAATGATATCTTCTGAGCCCAAACCTGGCATATGACCTGGTAAATGCAAGGGGGGGAAATGGGACAACTGTTTAAATTCAGAACAGTCTATGAGAATTAGATGGCCTTTATCACGGTACTATTAAGTGTGAGGAAAATATTTTGGAATGATTTGGAAACACTTGAACACTCTTAATATTGACTTTAATTGTTCCTTGAAGTTCTTATTGTGTGCGTTCACCTGTTACAAAACTAAAAATACTATTAGTAATGAGAATTCAACTTAAGAGTCTTAACTATGAAAACAATAAATATTAAGCTTCAGATAATATAGCACTAACTTGTTCCAAGTTAAACTCCAAAGACTATGTCTATAAAATCACTGGTTGGGCTTGGCTCGGTGGCTCACATCTGTAATCCCAGCACTTTGGGAGGCTGAAGCAGGTGGATCACTTGAGGCCAGGAGTTCGAGACCAGCCTGGCCAACATAGTGAAACCTCATTTCTACTAAAAATACAAAAACTAGCCAGGCTTGGTGGCGTGCACCTGTAATCTCAGCTACTTGGGTGGCTGAGGCACAAGAATTGCTTGAACCCGGGAAGTGGAGGTTGCAGTGACCTGAGATCACATCACTGCAAACCAGCCTGGGTGACAGAATGAGACTCTTTCTCAAAAAATAAAAATAAAAATAAAAATAAAATAAAGCCATTGGGAAATTGCACATTGAGCAATGTCAGTGTGGGCAGACATTGTGGAAAATCAATCAGAAAAGGATACCTTTTCTCTCAATTAAGAAATGTTAACTTTCCCTGAATTAAGTGGCTGCTTTGATCTATTCTGTATTTTAGTCATGGCCAGATACGTCATTGTTTGTTCAGTTTGAAAGAAAAATAAAAAGAACTCAGAGAACTGTATCTGGAAAAGCATATTTACTGAGTACTTACTGTGTACCAGTGTCAATGCTCAGATACAGAAAAAGAACAAACAGCCAAACCAACAAATGGCAAATTGGCTCCTGGCCTTAAGGAGCCTCTAAGGAAACAAACCAGTAAATAGATGACTGCAAAACAATGTGTCGAGGTTCTGACAGGGACAGCTAGCTATTCTACCTTGTCACACAGCCAGAAAGTGGTTGAGTGACATCATCTAACATGGCATCTACCTCCCAGAACCACTTCTCGGGGATCAAACCTCCCAAAAGTTTCCACTGAAGGAGACTTCTCAGGATTTAATAGAATATATGCAACGGTTGAAAATAGACTTTGAGAGGATTAAGATGGGTGGTCATTTTGAGGATAATCCTTAAATCACACAGTGGCTTCTTACAGGGATCTGCTCAATAAGATGTTAATGTCACGTCTGAAGAGTGGGTACACAAATGCAAAGCACGGGAAAGCATGCACCACTGACGAGTTTCAAGTCGTAACATAAATATGCAGCCCTTTCAATGGTAAGAGTAGGCCTGATTAGGAACTAAAAACAATGTGTTTGCTTATTTACATAACCGAAGTGTTTGATATCGGTCAAGTTACTAATCTCCCCAGGATGTATTTTCCTCATCTGTAAAATGGGATAATATTAGGACTGTTGTGGGGATTAAATGAGATAATCCATGTAAACTTGGAACTCTGCCTGCTACATAATGCTATATATTTTAAGCCAAAGCATAGTGTCTAAAGTCTATGCTACTTTAGTTTTTTTTTGTTTTTTGTTTTGAGACAGGGTCTCCCTCTGTCACCCAGGCTGGAGTGCAGTGGTGCAGTCATGGCTCACTGCAACCTTAATCTTCCAGACTCAAATGATTTTCCTACTTCAGCCTCCAGAGTAGCCGGGACCAGTGGTGCAGCCACCATGTCTGGCTAATTTTTAAATTTTTTTTGCATAAATGCGGGGGTCTCACTATGTTGCCCGGGCTGGTCTTGTACTCCTGGCCTCAAGCAATCCTCCCACCTCCACCTCCCAAAGTGCTGGGATTACAGACTCAAGCCACTGTACCCAGCAGGATATTTTAAAAAAGGGAATAGATGCAGTTTAAAAAATGTTTGGGGAGAAAGGCAGAAATTGTATTCTGAAATCTTCCTTCTTTCTCTTTTATTTATTACTTGTGTGAGAATCATTTGTTAAAAATAGAGTCCCTATCTCTTAGAGATTCATACTGAAGTATTTGTGGGTGGGTGAAATGATATGATATCCAGGATTTGTTTAAAACTAATACAGTGGGTGGGGGCTGGGGAATGAGCAAGTAGATCAATGAACCAAGCTTGGCCGTATGCTGATCACTATGGGAGCCGGGTGATAAGTACAAGGAGCATTGTTATACTATTCTCTCTACTTTTGTATGTGCTCGAAATGCATACTAAAATGTTAAAAAATAATAATAAAGGCAGAATGTGTAGCTACTATCTGCTTTTATGTATAAATTCTCTGGTGCAGATTGAATGTCCAATTTTTCTTTTCAAACCAGGCAAGCATGAATTTCTGTCAAGCTGAGGCAGAAATCATGTTGCTACGGCAACTCTTCACCACATTAAGTGGTTGTAGAGTCAAAATGGCAGCAGGTTTTTTTGTTGTGTTTTGCTTTTCCAGGAAATGATCCTCGTGTCAGAAAGAGAAATCCATCCCAAAGACCCCTGCCAGCCCCCATTCCCTAAATGAGACTCCCTGTCTTGCCCACCATAGCGGATGAGGGGTGTATGCTTCCACAGTTTTGAGCCAGGAAGAATAGAGGACCAGGAGTCCCTGGGGCAGACTCATGGGGGAAACCACCTAAGTTAGGGGTTCTGCTGACTCTGTTGGCTGGGGATTCACAGCTCAGGTAGGGCTGCTGGTGGACAAGCAAGGAGATCCCCTTATCAGGAAGGCGCCCCATCAGGAAACATCTGTTTCTTGCCTTTCATGCCCTTTCCTGACATATGCAACTGATCAATGAAAAGAAAGGGGGCCCAGTCCCCACTTCCTGAACATGGGACTCTGTTTCCATAGAGGCCCACTATGTGTCTTTAGAATTACAAGAAAACCATTCTTTGGCAGGGGATCTCGGGGTATCATTAAGTCCATCCCCTGCCTTCAGAGAGAAATCTCTAAATCATTCCATATGTTGACTCCAACGGCAACATGAGGGCAGAGGGAGCCCAAGCAAGAGCCATTAGGGTTAATTTCACAGCACAGAACAAACAGGCCCGCTTGGCTTTGCTCGCTGGAGAGATTAGATGGGGTGCCCACCCCTTGACTGTTTGCTGTATTATCCTGGGCAAGTAATTTAACCTCTGTGTGTTCAGTTATATAAGGCCAGGCACAGTGGCTCACCCCTATAATCCCAGCACTTTGGGAGGCCGGGGTGGAAGGATATCTTGAGCCCAGGAGTTTCAGACCAGTCTGAGCAACATAGCAGGACCTCATTTCTACAAAACATTTTTAAAACATGTTTTAAAACAGGTGCATGGTGGTGTGCACCTGTAGTCCCAGCCGCTCAGGAGCCTGAGGTGGGAAGGTCGCTTGAGCCCAGGAGTTTGAGGCTGCAGTGAGCTATGATCATGCCACTGCACTCAGCGTGAGCAACAGAGTGAAACCCTGTCTCTAAAAAAACTAAAATAACATGAAAAATTTTAAAAAGGGTTCCCTTGAGGTTGTGGTAAGAATGAAACAAGATGAAATATGAGGAAATGGCTTGAAGAATGCAGGGATGATTTGCTACTCATGTGAACAGGGAGGAAAGTTACAAAGCCACTCTGTCATTTATTTTTCCCCCTTTTCCTTTCTCCTTCCTTCCTCCCTTTCTCTCTCCATCTCTTTCTGTCTCTCTCTTTCTCTCTTCTTTCTTTCCTTCTTCCCCTCTCTTTTTATGTTTTGATTTTTAATTCCACAAACTAACCTGAGATTTATTTTTCTGGCATGTCCATAGAGACTGTCTCTTCATGTTTTCAACAGTTGGTTCATTTGTAGGCTTCTGGGTGTTGACAACAAGCACCTAGGACATTGCAGGCTAGTCTGTGGGTCCGATAATTCATCCAATACCCTAATAGCACCTATCACGCGATCTCACAGTGCTGGCTTTCTCCTTCCATCTCCCTCTAGCCAATCAAATTCAATACTTTATCACGCACACTATTATTGTTTCTGAAAATTTCCTGCACAGTACAATCCAGAAATCTGACTACCTGGAATTTCATGTACTCAGCCAAGAACTTGTCTTTATTATGAGCATAATGAAATGTTTATTTCAAGTGAATCAACATGTAGAGGGTTTTGTTTGTTTGTTTTTATGTTTTCCTGAAACTTGGTGCCAGCTACAAGAAGCCCTAGCATCCTGCTTGGCATCTGGGATTCAAAACATTTTTAAAGTGACAGGAAGTCTGTGCTGGCTTATATTTTCACACATCTCAGTGCTTTTGAACAGGCCATTTTTCACGAGGCTGCTTCTGTTCCCTGTGTTTTTTTGTTGTTGTTGTTTGGTTGGTTGTTTTTTGTTTGTTTGTTTTTACTTCAGGTAGAATTGCTGACAAAGGTAAACAGTCAGAGGTGGGCCTGCTGTAAGGGTTGCCATGTCTCTCTCTCTCTCTCTCTCTCTCTCTCTACTCTTAAAAACTGTAATACAAAGTCCCAGTTTTGGTTTTCGGAATGCTTGATGCTGCTCAGGCTGTGAACAGTGTGTTAGTTGTCAAGTGCTGGAGTGTGTCTTCGTTTAGTTTCCATAGGATGCCGTGTCTGGGAGGTGAAGCACATTTCTCCTCCTGAGCTCCCCCAGGGTGGAGGCCCCAGAGCATATGGGGCTGAGGCACGAAGAGCAGCACACAGCAAGGAGCCTGTGGGGCGGTGGTGGGAAGAGGAATGAGAGTGTGGAATGGAATCTCAGGTGGATCCAGAGCCATGGGGAGCCACTGTAAGGTCTAGAACAGGGTGATGCAGTCAGAGCCTTTGAAGGCCCATCTGTCTTGTGGCCTCCTTCTGGTTACTTTGGTAGTCTGTAACAATCACTTCAGGTCGTAAAGCAATCTACCTGATGGCAGAACAGCCAAATGGCCTAGATGGGGCTCAAACCCACTAAAACTAAGATGTGTCAATATTAGACAAAGGAACTAACAGATTGTGAACATAATCAATCAACTTTTAAAATGGCAGTGGAGGACAGGTGCAGTGGCTCATGCCTATAATCCCAGCACTCTGGGAGGCGAAGGGGGGAGGACCACTTGAGGCCGGGAGTTCAAGACCAGCCTAGGCAACATAGCAAGACCCCAATCTCTACAAAAAAGAAAAAATTAGCCTGGTGTGGTGGCACGCACCTGTAGTTCCAGCGACTCAGGCGACTGAGGCAGGAGGATCACTTGAGCCTAGGAGTTGAAGGCTGCAGTGAGCTATGATTGTGCCACTGCACTCCGACCTGGGGGATAAAGCAAGACCCTGTCTCAAACAAAAAGAAAAAGGCAGAGGAGCATCTTCCTCATTTTTAGGAAAAGTACAGATACCAAGGATTTGTTAAGGAGAGAGGCCCCAGGAATTAAAAAGCTTTAAAAAGAAGACCCTATCCCTTAGTAATGTTTGCCATCATCATAAAAAACAGATAAAAAGTTGACATTCATGCAACACTTTGCAAAATTCTTTACAAAGAAGCAAGTGAAGTCTTTGCGGAAAAGAACCTTCAACTCCAACTCAGAAAATACCCACATCAATGTGGAAAAGATACAAGACCCATCAGCCAAACAGACAGCTATTCATTCACTGTAAATGTAAGCAGTATTTCCCAGCCCACTCATTTGTGAGTAGAAATAGCATCTCATCAATAATCACGATTTCATATTTCTCAGTACACAGTATGACTCACTGGCAGTAACTCCCAGTCCTTTCTCAGATTCCCAGATTCCTCCCAAAGACTCCCAGGACTTCAGGGGAAGTGTTTGGCTAATGTGAAGAGTGGAAGTTGTCTCTCTTGGTTCTCATGCCATTGTGTAATTTTCTTCCTCTTCTGCCCAACTCACAGCAGGGTGTCATGTGTGGCCATGGAGTTGGGGGAGCAAGGAGCTGCAGGGCCTGCCTCAGTCACTCGGGGTTTACTAAGGCTCTGTATATAGGATGTCTCAACTGGGAATGGTGGCTCATGCCTGTAATCCCAACACTTTGGGAGGCTGAGGTGGGCAGATCACTTGAGGTCAGGTGTTCGAGAGCAGCCTGGCCATCATGGCAAAACCCCGTCTCTACTAAAAATACAAAAATTAGTTGGGCATAATGGCAGGCGCCTGTAGTTCCAGCTACTCTGAGGCTGAAGCGGAGAATTGCTTGAACCCAGGAGGCAGAGGTTGCAGTGAGCCAAGATCGAGCCACTGCACTCCAGCCTGGGCCACAGAGTGAGACTCCATCTCAAAAATAATAATAATAATAATTAGTTTGGAATGGTGATGTGTGCCTGTATTCCCAACTACTGTGGAGGTTGAGGCAGGAGGATCACTTGAGCCCAGGAATTGGAGGCTACAGTGAGATGTGATTGCACCACCGCGCTCCAGCCTGGGCGACAGAGTGAGACCCTGTCTCTAAAAAAATAGTAATAATAATGCCTCTGTCTTCATGGCCACCAAGAGTGCTGTTTTTGACTCCCATGTTCCATGGAAATGTTAAGGAAGCAGCTCTTAGTTTTTATTCCCTCCTATTTAATGGAAGACAGTCTACTCTATTATAAGCAAGGGATCTGAAGTCAGACAGACTTGGGATTTAGATTTTAGATACTCTTTCCTTTAGCTATGTGACCTAGGGCCAGTCATTGAGCCTCAGTTTTTCCAGCTATAAAATGGGGATGATCATAATAGTACCTCAGGACTAGGGATATCCTCAGGACTTAACTAACTGATCCATGTAAAACGCTTGCCACAGCGTCTGATCTTTGTTAAGCACTCAGTAAATATTGTTATTGTTGTCTTTGTTGTAGTCAATGTTATGTTACTGCTGTTCCTACTACTGTCCCCTTCATGTTGGGATTTAGCTATGAGTCCACTGGGACAAGGCAAGAGAATATCATGAGTGACAAGCACCAGGCTTTTATAAGAACCTTCAACCCTATAAAGCTCCTACACAATGCCTGGCACATAGCACCTTCTCAATAGGGCTGACTTCCCCTGTTGACACGGTCTTTCCCCTCTTTAAATAAATATGTATCTGTCACCCATGGTCTGAAAGCAACACTTGATTATATTTTCTCCGTGTGTGTGTGTGTGTGTGTGTGTGTGCTTTAAGCTTTTGGGATAGCTTTTAAGAGATATATCATTGTGGTTTGGGGGAGGAGTTGTATTTTGTTTTGTTTTATTTTTATCTTTATGTCCCTGGAGCTCCTAGCTAGGTTAACTGGTTCCCATTCCATCTCTTCAACAACTCCCCCCACTCCTGGAAACAGATCGGCTCAGCACTTCAGGAGTTCCCATTTTCCAGCTCTAGCGCTTCTTATAGGAAGTGTATAAAGTCCTGGGCCCAACGCTGCTGTCTGACCCACCACTTCAACATCGGCCAGCTCCAGCCGTTCTTCCTCCCAGATTCTGTTCTGCCCGAGAGCACACGTGCCCGGCTGGCCAAGAGTCTTCACTGACAGTAAAAGGAACCCTCAGACAATTTTAAATATTTCAAAAATTCTAACAACAATCAGAGCTGGGCCTGCTGTAAGGGTTGCCGTGTCTAATTAAAATGCCATGAGCCTTGGCATGTGGCTAGAAGTACATCAGCTCTTTGGGGGCAGTACTTGCCGGTCCTGCTGGTTAGATGCTCTGAGTGTCTAACAAAAGTGGAAAACCAATTAGTCATAACTTCCTTTTTCCCTTGATGGGGATTAGGAATAATAAAGACTTCTTGGTGGCAAAAGGCTGGATGCCTCTGCTCTAGTCAATTCCATTTTACCAGTATAAATTTTCATGAAAATCAAACCAAAGGTAGCAAAACAGTATACATGGGAATGTGAGGATATTATGAGCCCTTGTCACCTAATTGCACTGAGTCCATTTGCCCATGCGCAAGGAAAAGCCAAACACCAAAGCACCAGATTTTTGTAGAGAGAAAGGTTTATAGCGAGGTGGCTGTGCAAAGAGACAAGAGATGGGCTCAAATCCATCTCCTTGTACTGGTCTCAAAGCAGTATATGTAAAGGAGAAATTCTGGGGGAGGGGTTTTGGGGTTGGTGAATGATTGGAGGAAGGGGAGGGGAAGTTTGGAAAATCCCTTAAGTGGGTGCGGTTGTCTCTTTGTGCTTCTTTGTGGTTGTATGTGCAAATTTGGGGGGAATTGGTATGAACCATATGGTATGAATTCAGACTGTGACATCAAAAGGTCGCCCATCTGGCAAAGTAAGACCATTCTTCACAGACTGTAGCCAGCCATACTGGTTGCAATTAGTTTCAGCCAGTTTGGCTAGTTTTTTTTTTCTTTTGTTTTTTGTTGTTGTGCTTGTTTGTTTGAGACAAGTTCTTGTTCTGTCACCCAAGCTAGAGTCTGGAGTGCAGTGGTGAGATCACAGCTCACTGCAGCCTTGAATTTCTGGGCTCAAGTAATCTTCCCACGTCAGCCTCCCAAATAGCTGGGACTAAAGCATGGGCCACCATGCCTGGCTTTTCATTTGTTTGTTTTTGTAGAGATGAGGTCTTGCTATGTTGCCCAGGCTGGTCTCAAACTTCTAGGCTCAAGCAATCCTCCTGCCTTGGCTTCCCAAAGTGCTGGGATTAAAGGCCTGAGCCACTGCAACCGCCCCGTTGGCCAGTTTTGTTACAAGTGGAGGGGATTTTTACAAGCTGCTTCCTTATATGCCATCCTGTAAGACAGGCTCAAGAATTCCTGTTACCAACTTCTTTAACCCTTTGGGCACAGTTTCACCTTTAGGGTCGAATGCCTGATATTCCTGCGGCCCAAAAGTCTGGTCTCTTTTAGGCTGCAGGCACCGGGGCAAGCACTTGTTTTCATTGGTAAAATATGCTGTTGCTTTCCAAGAGAAGCATCACCCAAAACTCTTTTGAGATTTTTGACCACCTAGTTTGTAAAGGACAGAGACACAAGGAGGAATATTCCCTGGCTCTTTCCCCAGCCCTTCCTACACAGGACCACCCTGTGGTACTGTTGCCTATAAGTCCAGCTTTCCTATGCCCAGCTAGTTACAACAAATGCGTGGGAATCCTGTCCTTCTCCAGAGCCCTGCAGGTGGCAGATGGAGATCCTCACTCCTTATCCCTCTCTAAACCATAGAGCACAGGGTTAGCTAGTCTGTTCATACTGAAACCTTAAAAAATAAAATAAAATAAATTTTTAAAAAAACCTTTTTTTTTTCTTTTTTTCAGACAGGGTCTCGCTCTGTCACCCAGCTGAAGTATAGTGGCTCACTGCAGCCTCCAATGCCTGGGCTCAAGCAATCCTCTCACCTCAGCCTCCTGAGTAGCTGGGACTATAGGCACGCACCACCACACCCAGTTAATTTTTAAAACTTTTTGTAGAGACGGGGTCTCACTATGTTGCCCAGTCTGGTCTCGAACTCCTGGCTCAAGTGATTCTCCCACCTCAGCCTCCCAAAGTGCTGGGATTATAGGCGTGAGCCACTGTGCCTGGCCTCCCCCGTCCTTCTTTACATGTGTTTTCTGTGCCACGTAATTGATCATTTAAGATCTTGCATTCTCCTCTAACATCTCACGTGCTTTCATTTAAAAAAAATATTTATCTGGAGCAGATTTCACATACTTAACAAGACAAAAACCCATAGGAGGCATGTGATTACTTTATTATGCTCACTAATGTACTTCACGAACAAACCAGAGTTACAGCTACCCACGTCCCTTGCTGCGGGCCCTAGGGAACTTTGCAATGAGTGCTTCATGATCCAGCCAAATATGGAATAAAGGTGTGTTTGACAAATCTTAACTCACATTGCGTGACACACCAATGTTATGTTTGTGGCTTAGATGAGAGTTTGCTGCCTTGGTATTAGCGGAGCCAGCAACCTTGTGAGAAAAACTTGGAAGTGATGCAGCTGCCTCCTGAGCCTACATTTGGGATCATTCCCCTCGCCAAAGCTTCGCCCAAACTTGGTGCTCAGTGTTTGTCCCCAGACTGGATCCTGGCTCACATTAGACAAGTCCAACATTGGTGGCAGGCAAAGTACAGCAAGTGTCTATCAGGCAGGCAGGAGAACACATAATGAAAATTTAAAAGCTGTATAAATCTTCCGGGATTAGAAACACATGGAGCAGGAATCAGGCAAGGGTCGTGACAGAGACGGCAGAATGTCTCTAAATATTATTTCTGACAATACAAAATCAATTTACATTTAATACATTTTAAAACAGCCAACCTACCCATATGATTTGATATTACAAAGGAGAGCTGAAATGGAATCTTAATGTGGTTTGTAAGCATATTCAGCAGAGGTTTATTATTTCTAAAAATGCTTTGTGTAATCATAGTACTTTATCGTTGAAATTGCCAGGTTTTGTGATACAAATATATTAGATTCATAATTAAAATGCTGTTGTCTATTAATGCCGCCACAGCATTTTCCCCAGGCAGACACTTAAAAAAAAATCCTATATACTTTCAAGGATGAGTGATCTCCTCTTTTAGGAGAGATTCCTCCCTCCACATGCTTTATTTATTAATACGATCAATTCAGGGAAGAATAAAGCATCCTCAGAATGAGACTAATGAGGCCTAAGAGCACAAAATTGACAATAGTCATCACCTTGGCCCAATTGTGAAATAGTCTCTCCAGACTACCCACTCTTCTGTAGTTTTAAAGTGGTATTGATTTCTAAGGCTCATCAAACAGTGTTTTCAGAGTAATCATAGAAAAAAAAAATAAAGATACAATGAAAGTTATTGTTGTTGTTTTCTGGGCATGGTGGCTCACACTTATAATCCCAGCACTTTGGGAGGCTGAGGCAGGAGGATAGGTTGAGCCCAGGATTTTGAGATCAGCCTGGGCAACATAGCAAGGCCCTGTCTCTATAAAAAACAAAAAAATATTGCTGGGCATGGTGGCATGCTCCTGTAGTCCCAGCTACTCAGGAGGCTGCGGTGTGGGGTTATCGCTTGATCCCAGGAGTGCAAGGCTGCAGTGAGCTGTGATTGTGCCACTGCACTCCAGCCTGGGTGACAGAGCCAGACCCTGTCTTCAAAAAATAAAAAAACCTGAGATGAGGAGGTTGAAGAGGAGAGAAGCATCATCAGGGCAGGAAAGCAGCAGTTCAAAGGCCAGAGGCAGGATGCACTGGAGAGCAGGCCAGCCTGATAGAAGCAGAGCAGTGCAGACGTGGAGGGGGCACAGCTGGGAATTGCCTCAGATGTCTTAAGGCACTGAACAGCCACTGAAGGAGGGAGTGGGGCTGTCACTAGAAACACATTTTATACGCACATTAAAAAAAAATACTATAGTTGCTGTTGTAGTCTGTACCCTGTGTCATGTCCTGCTCTTCTCCTAGCTGTATATCAGAAACCTTTTCAATGTGTTCATCAGAGCCACTGTTAGTTACAAAATGGTAAGTCATTCAACCATTCCCTTATAATCAGATATTTAGACTTTGTTGAATAATTTTGATTATTATAGAGTAATGCAAGTAATTTTGTACTTAATACCCTTCTTCCTATTTAAGAATAATTCTGTGTCAGGATATGTTCCTAGATGTCACACCAGCCAGAAGTGACAATATCCATTTCCTTGACTATTTGATGGGTGAAAAAATCATTATCTTCTAGTTTCAGTTTACATTCCTTCAATGACTAGTAAAATTGAGTAGGTCTCCATATTTTGTGACAAGTATTATTAGGGCAAAAGATAAAGTTATAAAGTAATTTAGGGAACACATAAAGAGAATTTGGTATTTTATACCGCAGTAAACCTGTGGTATGTGCAGACCAGTGAAACCATTTTAGATTAGGCTACGGTTCTTTAATAAAGCTACATTTTTTAAAATCACTGTCTTCTCTAAAGGCTAAATAAATTGTTCTCTGAAAGAAAGGCATTAACAAGCTAATAAAGTATACCTATAGACATGGATGGAGAGTGAAATCCAGTATCTATATGGCTTAGATACCAGATTAATCTGTTTATATGGCGTAAGCACAAATCTATGCCCAAATCAGTGTCCAAGTATCCGCGAACCCGCCTAGTCTACCAATAGAAACACAGGCTCAACTTCTTTTTTATTGAGCTCAGGATGTATCTGTAATGATCTCATGGAGGGTGGCTTTTCAAGGAACTCCGGGTGGTTGTAAAATAGTGGCTTCACTGAACCACCCAACACAGGAAAGCTATGTTTTTCAGCCCATTAGGAAAAACCCCAAATCAATTTACAGCTGTATTCAGGAAAAGCTCAGAGCAAGATTGCTGAAGGAATTCACTTCAAAGGCCGAGTTCTAAGAGGGATCTTTTTCTCCCTCCAGCTGCCTCCAGGATAGGACCCTACTCTTAAAAGATTTGTTTGAAATTTACGTAAAATCTGGCTGGTTCTCCAGGCAATAATCACAGCCACTGAGGAGAGGTCAGGCCTCTGATGGAGCACACGCCTGAGGTCTGACTGCCTGTATAAAATGCAAAGATGACAAAAAAGGTTCTGGTATGAGTGGAACCATCCTTCTTTCTGAGGGTTGTTTCCGGAGGCCACCTGTGGAGGGCCAGCATTGGGAGGCCCCAGCAGAAGTAGAGGTGGCCCCTGGCCGGCACATCCAGTAGAACCCAGGGCTGAGGTTGGTGGTGGATACCTGTAGTTCTAGCTACATAGAAGGCTGAAGCAGGTGGATTCCTTGAGCCCAGGAGTTCAAGGCCGCAGTGATCTATGATTGCATCACTGCACTCCAGCCTGAGTGACAGAACAACATCCTGTCTCTAAAAATAAAAAAAAAAAAAAAGATAAAAATAACCAGTCTAGTGCCATCAATTCAATAGCTATTGAATACCCCTGTAAAAGCCAATCATTTAAGAACTAGTTTTAGAAAAGACTCAGAATTCTACATGTCTATGAAATAAACTGTGAGTTAGAGGGAATGAATTCAGGAAGGAAGGATCATTCCCTCATCTTTTGTATTACAGTATGTATAAGACAAGATTATCTTACGGCTGAACTGAGAAAGCTCTATGCTTATCTATAAGTGGAGTACAGACTCTTGGTCAAGATAAGGATGGGAGTGCTAATTTGGAATTTGCAATGTGCTGTTTAAAGCTTGAAACTTCTGGGGCTAGCCCCTGGGGCCAGCTTGCCTACACTGCTTAAGGATGTACAGATAGCTGGCTTATACCAAATTTAAACAGTTATGTAACCTGGTTTTAGCTATGTAACCAGTGCATAGAATCTGTGCAAACTTTTTCCCAAATTCCCCTGAAATAAAGATACTTCTCACCTAGCATGCCGGTTCATGATTAAAAAAAAGAAGAAGAATTCTATATGACACTCCACAGTGAAAGTAAAATGCTGAGGATAATGAGTCGTTTAAGCCCAGACAGTAAAAAGCCACCGGGAATAAGGTTTAGCCTCTTGGCCATAGTAGCCTGCCCTTCTCATGCTGGAGTCTTGCACATTACAACCTCTGTATGCATCCGATTGAAGAAGAGAGAGCATTTTGCCAAAACCTTCTACGTGGAAAGCCAGTGTGACCAGACAGACTGTCTTTGATTTCATTATGGTCTGAAGTTTAGTCACCAAGCCGAGCAGCCAGCATAGGACCCGAGAGGGGATGAAAAGGTCTCCACTGTTATTTTCTGCCTCAAGAAATAGGGACTGTTCACTTTTGGGGACTTACTGTTTTCTTCCGTGCTCCTGAAACTGGACACCACTCTGGTGAGCGAACGGTATGAAGAGCTGGGATGGTACAAAGAAAAGGATAATTAATCAGGTCATTCCTTGGCACTCAGCCATAGGTTCCTTGGCAACATGGATCCTTCAGCTGTCAGCAATCAGCCTACAGGCATCTTTCAATTATCAACGCTATTGGAGGGGGCAGTGATGTGGGTAATCCCAAACAGCAGATAATCCCTCCAAATCATTTAATTTATCTTTTGAATGATTTTCACATGTACACACATGATTTCTTCCTTCCTATTTGTGTTCTGCTTAGGCCAAAAATAAAACTGATGTGCATTCTTTGAGCACACACCAATGAATGAGAAGGGTGGCTGAAGGACACTGGTACTCAGATTAGACATTTTCTGTGGATCATCCACTCCTGGATGATCCAGGGTTTCATATATTGATTTCATAGACTCATAGCACTGGAAAGAACCAAGAGATCATTTCTTATTTCAAACCCTTTGTTTTGCAGATGAAGAAACTGAGTCACTGGCCTAAGACCATGTGGCTAGCTAAATAACCATCCAGCTGTTATTATTTTATCCACAAAACTTCTCCTGCCATTGACTGTTCCTTTAACCAGTTGTTCCCAATGAGGGAAAAGTCATACGAACCCAGGTGTAGCTTCTGCTCAATCGCTTCTCATGGGCTGCGTAGTAGGATGCTACAAAGCCAGGCCCCAGACCAGTGGCGCCCACTCTGGCAGCTCATTAGAATCACCCAAGGAGCATTTAAAAATCCCTGGCCAATTAAATTAGAATCTGGAATGGGCGTTGGGTGATTAGCGGGTGAGACCCAGGCATTCAAAGTACAATCAGCTGGGCACAGTGGCGCACGCCTGTAATCCCAACACTTTGGGAGGCGAGGTGGGAGGATTGCTTGAGCCCAGGAGTTTGAGACCAACCTGGGCAACATAAGAAGACCCTGTCTTTAGACAAATTTTTTATTTTTTATTTTTTTTATTTTTTTGAGACGGAGTCTCGCTCTGTCGCCCAGCCTGGAGTGCAGTGGCGCCATCTGGGCTTACTGCAGGCTCCGCCTCCGGGGTTCACGCCATTCTTCCGCTTCAGCCTCCCGAGTAGCTGGGACTACAGGCGTCCGCCACCACGGCTGACTAATTTTTTGTATTTTTAGTAGAGGCGGGGTTTCACTGTGTTAGCCAGGATGGTCTCGATCTCCTGACCTCGTGATCCTCCCACCTCGGCCTCCCAAAGTGCTGGGATTACAGGCGTGAGCCACCGCGCCCGGCCACAAAAAATTTTTTTTAAGTAGCCAGGCATGGTGGTGTGTGCCTGTGGTCCCAGCTACTTGGGAGTCTGAGAGAGGATCACTTGAGCCCAGGAAGTTGAAGCTGCTGTGAGCCATGATTGCACCACTGCACTCCAGTCTGGCTGACAAAGGGAGACCCTGTCTCAAAAACAAACAAAAATACCAAAGTGCAATCAAAGTCAAGAATTATTACCCTGAAGGCTGACTCCTTCCCTTACCAGCTGTATAGCCTCAGACAAACCCCCTCACCTCTCTGGGCCTCCGTTTTCTCTACAAAATGGAATAATGAGGATGGTAGTTTAATATTTGCCTTACTGGGTTGTTGGGAGGATTAAATGGTTTCATATATATAGAAAACACTAAAACAGTTCCTAATACATAGAAGGTGTTAGATAAATGTTAGCTGTTATATTTAGTACCACTACTACTGCCAGGACTATTACATGAGGGCCCTGTGGAAGAAGGAACATGCTGAGGGTTCTTGTTGAGACATTGGGCTAAATGGGGACTCATTTTGGGAAAACTGGCTTGGGGCCTTGAGTTTTAAGTTGACTTCTCCACTCAACAAAATATCCTAGGAGAGGTGGAAAGAAATAAATCAGCTCCTGAAAACAGATTTACCCTTCAACTTGGTGGGGAAGGAGGAGCATTTTAGTGGGTTATATTTGAGTGATATCTGTGTTTTTTAAACATACTTTATTATTTTTGTTTTTATTTTTTGTAAAGACGGGGTCTTGCCGTATTGCCCAGGCTGGTCTCAAACCCATAGGCTGAAGCGAGCCTCCCACCTTGGCCTCCCAAAGTGCTGGGATTATAAGCACGAGCCACTAGGCCCAACAGGATATCTGTGTCTTTTAAATTACCATAGCATTTGGCCACTGTTCACTTAATACTTATACCCATATTGATTATAAACATGCAACCACTACCAACAGAGTCTGAATTTAAAGCATTGTTGATCCCCCCTTTGCATTATAGCACGGCCCCCTTTGAGCCTCTGTGACACACCTTACATTGGGATGAATGTAGATTCCTAGGCCCACTGTGGTGGGGAACACTTTTGATATCAGTTTACTTGTGGTTTTAAGAACCTTTGTAGTATAACTTCACTGTGATGCCAGAAATTTTTCGATTCCCTATTGTTATGAACTAAATGCCTGTGTTCCCAACCCCACATTCATATGTTGAAATCCTAAGCCCCAAGGTGATGATATTAGGTGGTGGGACTCTTAGGAGAAATTAGGTCATGAGGGTGAAGCCCTTATGAATGGGATTAGCGCCCTCATAAAAGGGACAGGAGAGCGCTCTCTACTCTCTACTATGTAAAAATACGGTAAGAAAATGGCCACCTGCAACCTGGGAGAGGCTTTCACCAGAACCCAACCATGCGGGCACCCTGATCGTGGACGTCCAGCCTCCAGAACTGTGAGAAGTCAATTTCTGCTGTTTGTAAGCCACCCAGTCTATGGCATTCTGTTACTGCAGCCCAACTGAGACACCCAATTTTATTTTATTAGCAATCTGATGAATTAGAAATGATCGTTACTGGCCTTCAGAAATTGACCTACTTACTATTGCTTAACGAAGTAGCAACCAATTTTGTTCTAAGGAAGCAGACACACTATACAATTAGTTTCAGGCTAATTGTATGAAACAACCTCACATGCTTCTCACTAAATACTTATTATAAAGATGCTAGCAGATGGGCTTCCTTCTAAATAGACAACTATCATTTTACAGAAAAATGTTGAGACTAGTTATATTTAATAACACATAAGGCAAATGTTTGTATGCTACAAGATTTCAGAATTTATTTCTACTAGTAAAGAAATGATGTAGAAGTCAACTCGTGATATTTATTTATTTATTTATTTTTTACTTTTTGACACAGGGTCTTACTCTGTTGCCCAGGCTGGAGTACAGTCGTGCAAACATGGCTCACTGCAGCCTCAACCTCCTGGGCTCAGATGATTCTCCCACCTCAGCCTTCCAAGTAGCTGGGACTACAGGTGTGTGCTACCATGCCTGGCCAATTTTTTGTGTTTTTTTTTGTAGAGATGGGGATTCACCATGTTGCCCAGGCTGGTCTTGAACTCCTGGGCTCAAGTGATCTGCCTGCCTTGGCCTCCGAAAGTACTGGGATTACAGGCATGAACCACTGTGTCTGGCCTGCAACTCATGATTTTAAAGACTTCTTTTAACAAACAGGTTCCAAAGACCTCACTGTGTATCTTTTGTAAATTGTATTGAAGTATAACATACATATAGAAAAGTGAACCAATCATAAATACACAGCTTGATGAATTTTCACAAAGTGACAAATCCATGTAACGAATAACTTTATCAAAAAGCAGAGCATTACCAGCACCCCAGAATCCCGTAATGCCTAGTCACTGCTCCCACATAATTTTGATCCTGATTTCTAACACCATAGATTAATTTACCTTTAAAAATTGTTTTTTATATCTTAATACAAACATCTTGATTTTATGTAAGTAGAATCATACACTATGGACTCTCTTGTGTCTGGATTCTTTGCTCAGCCTTGTAAGATCCATGTATATTATTGCATGTAGCTGTAGTTTTTTCATGTCATTACTGTGTAGTATCCCACATATAAATATGCCACAGTTTATTCATTCTGCTATAGATGAACTTATTGTTTCCAGTTTGTGGTTAATAGGAATAGTGTTGCTATGAACATTCTAGTACATGTGTACATCGGTCCGTTGGCTATACACCTGGAATTGCTGGGCCTTGGGGTATATACATGTTTAGTTTTAGCAGATTCTCCCAGTTTTCCAAAGTGGTTTTACTACTTTTCCCTCCTATCAGCTGAGTGTAGTCATTCCAGTTGCTCCACATCCTCACCAACCTTTGATATTATATACCTTTTTCATTGTAGACACTCTTTCACCGAACATTTTAAGAAAATAAAAAATAGACATTACAAATCATGATACTGGAAAATGCTAAGCCTGTCCTCAGGACAGGACAGGTCTTTCAGTCTGCAGTAGAAGTGAGAAAAGGACCTGACGGGCATGACTGCAGAGCTACTGTCTCCACAGCTTTTCCAAGTTCCATGGCTGAGCTCCTTAGGCAGTGGGAAAAAAAATACCAGGAAGGAACATGGCCCTGTTTCTTGCCCAGGGTGCTCTCTTGACAATAGGAACTTGGTGATCCCTGGAACAGTTCATATATATTTACTGAGCAGCTCTCATATTGGAATCTTGTCAGGAACCAAGCCTTTGCCCTCAAAGAGCTTACAGTAACCTCAATGCTTTGGAGGGGTGACTCTGGCAGCCAGGCTGGGCATGTCAAACTAGAACAGGGAGGAACCGAGGCCAGGAGGTGCTACAAAGTCCAGAGACACAGAAGCAGGTACCAGAAACAATGGGGCAAATTCCCAATGATCTCATCTACTCAACACCTCCCTGGAAGTGTTTCCTTTATTGAAAATTCAGACATCTTAAAGTTAGTTTACCTTTGGCTTTTTACCCTGGCTTCTAAATGCTGAGTTTCTGCTAAAGAGGTCCTTGGGGGTCTTGGGCCAGCAATCCTCCAACTCCTTGGCCTGTCACCTTCTTAGTTGTCTCTAGATATTTCTAGAGCATGGCTCCTCAGAAACACTCTAAATGCTTACAAACTTTCGTCAAGGGGGCTTGTTAAACACAAATTCACCTTCCTAACACTACTAGTCACCCTCAGCTACCATTATCCCTGCCAGAACATGCCTGGGCTTTAGAGTTCAAGAGAAAGATCTTTTAGCTGAAAAATCCCATCTTCTCTAAGCCTCAGTTTCTTCATTTGGTTCTGGGAGGATTAGATAACTTATGTAAAATACTTATTAGTCCCCTGGCATATATTGGGCATGCAACAAATGGTAGATAATATTATTAGCTATTATTTAACGTCTCACCTGTCAAGTCACATGGCAGCTTGAGTGGGGAGCCTCATCTCTGATGAGATTGCACTGACACCATGAATATGGCCACATCAGAAAAATGTTCCTTCATGACCATAGGAATCAGGCAGGTGCCCATGGCCTGGGAAAGGGGTGCAGAGAGTCATCTGGTTGTGTTTTTCTCTCCAAAAATTCTGTCCTCTAAAACCATCAGGTGTTTTGACTTGATCCCAGGATTCTAGGAATTTTCTTCCACGGGTTGTTAGTTTCTCCACTTGTTCTGCAGCAAGACCACAGAGTAAAACCCAAAATGCATAAACTTTTCTGGTTAATTTATCATTTTCCAAATTTAAATCTCATTTTTTTCAACCTTGACCCCAGTCTTTGGCATCATTCCTTTTCTCCCGTTTCTTTGTGTAGTTTGAAGCCTGCAAATGTGTTCTCAAACATTTTTCTTAAATGATTACTCAATAATCATAGATGGTCAGTCCCAAAGGTGAGTTTAAAATATGTTGGCAAAGAGCTTTCAACTCCTGTCCTGAGCTGACACTTGGATGATTTGCTGAGATTTTCTAACAAACATTTATTAAATATCCACTTTAGTTAAGGAGTTGTGAAGTCCCCAAAGATTAATAGAAGGCTGCTCTTAAGGGGCTCACACAGGCTCGCATCTATGATCCCAGCACTTGGGAAGGCTGAGGCAGAAAGATCTCTTGAGCCCAGGAGTTCAAGACCAGCCTGGACAAGATGGAAAAACCCAATCTCTACAAAAAATTTTTAAAAAATTAGCTGGGTGTGGTGGCACACACCTGTAGTACCAGCTCTTTGGGAGGCTGAGGTGGGAGGATCGCTTGAGCCTAGGAATTTGAGGCAGCAGTGAGCTGTGCTGGTGCCACTGCACTCCAGCCTGAGTGACAAAGCAAGGCCCCACCTCTTAAAAAAAGAAGGGAGTGGGGTGTTCACAGTCTTGAAGAGAAAACGATTAATCAGAGTACAAGGAGGGAAAGAGTATAAACCAGGGTAATAGGCATCCAACTCCCTGCTCCCCCTGCTTACAAGCTGTGTGACCTTGGGCAAGTGTCTTATTTTCTCTGAGCCCTTCTTCACTATTTCGTGCAAAATGGAAATAGTAAAATTCTTCGTGACTGTGTATCAGGTGGGTTAAATGAAGCAACACCTGAAAAGCACTTAGCACATTAGCTGACAGAGTAGCCATTCAATAAAGCTTGGGTCTTAACCTTCTACACCTGCTTCCCAGTTATACAGCAACACACACATAGACATACGCCTGAAAAACTCAGATATATTTAGAACTAGGAAATATTTTTAATTAATCTAAAAACTTAAAACTTTTACATATGATACTGCTATTTCAACTAAACACTCATTTAATGACCACCATCAGTTACAAGGATCAATGGATTCAGAACATCCATACTCTTGGGGGTGGGTCAGGGGAGGCAGGGTACTGAGCCCGCATCCTCAGACTCCACTGGGCGAGTCCAAAAAAGAAACACAAGTTTTGACACACAATCTTTAGGTTTTGGAAAATATTTATCATAAAAAACAAAGGCAATGTTAAATTGAAGATACAAATGATAAAACATTTAATATTCTTTCTAAGTAACCCATGTTGTGTAAAATGATTCAGCGAAGCTTTTTTTTTTTTTTTTTCCAAAAGCACTGCCCATGTCAGTATCACCATACCTTGTTAAACCACACTGATAAGCACCCTTGGAAACCCACTGTTTAACTTACAGAACTTTGGACTTTGTGGAAGTGAACAAACTTCAAAATCTACTTATTGCTGACATTGTTGGTGATGGTGCTTAGAAACCGTTTCTCCAAATTTGCTTTGCACCTAAGAACTGCCTGCAATGAGTAATAATATTAAAATAAAGTAGCTTGCTAATTGATAGGTTATTATGTAGACATCACTTTGAAAAACACATGTTCCTAAATGGATTTACTTGTTTTTTTCTAAATGATGTCCCTTTGGGGAATATTTTAGCATATATATAAATACATTTTAAAAATTGCATATAACCATACATTAAACTTAAAAACTTTTTCACATTGAGGTGAGGAGTAATCATTTTAACTGTTATTAAAATACTATCAGAAAATGATTATTTTTGTTTTTAAACAACACAATAAAAATTTCAAGCATACATAACAATATTTATATAGTGACTCTTTGTATGCCGATCACTCAGCTGCAACAACTACCAATCCCAAGGCCAACCTTGCCTCATTCACACTCTTGTCCATTTCCTCCCTCCCTCATTATTTTGAAGCAAAATCCAGATATTATATCATTTCACCTGTAAATGTTTCATTACTTAACACTAAAATATAATGGCTACTCTCTTGTCAAAATAAGTATAACATCATCATCATCATGCTTAAAATAACTAAGTCTTTCATGTTATCAAATATCCAGTCAATGTTTAAATTTCTCATTGTCTCATAATGTCATAATTTACTTTCTTAAAAACCAGATCCAAATATAGTACATGCTTTGCAACTGATTGTTATGTCTTCTAAGTCTCTTTTTAATTATAGGCCATCTTCCATCTCTCTCTTTTTTTCCCTCTTTGTAATTTATTTTTCAGAAAACTGGGTTGTTTGTCCTAAAGAGTTTCCCCTCTTCGGGTTTTGCTGATTGCATTTTGGGGTGATGTTTTACATCTTTCTCTGCACTCTATTTTCTGCAAATTGATAGTTGGAAGCTTTATACATATGTAAGATTTTTAAGGGTTTTTTCTTTGGCTTTTATCTCCTTTCATTCATTCAACTTTTACTGAATACCTACTATGTGTCTGTTACTGTGGGTTGCTATGAAAACAAAAATGCCTCAGAAGCTTAGCTATGAGTGAAGGAAATGCATGCAAACAGAATTATAATCATTGTGTTTGGAGTTGAAGTTTAAAATAGCTGCTAAAATAGCCCTGAGAGGCAGAAACTAGCTTGCCTGGAGTTAAGGGAGCCTTCACTGATGAAGTGATTTTGAATTAGGCTTTGAAAAATAATGGGTAGGAGTTTTCCAGATGAGAACATAGGAAGAGAGGAAGTGCAGGCAATTTCCAGTCCAAGGGATCAGCACTGTGAAGGCAGAACATCTTGTAAGAAAATAAACACAGCTCAACGATCTAAGTAGAAACATTGATGACAGTGCCCCTGAACTGGATAAAAAGATCTTAAATTCTTTAGTTCCTGCCTCCTCAGTCTCTAGAGAAGTTTAAGGCTTTTAGAAAGAGTTGATCATCTCGTCCAAGGGGAGGAGAAGCAGTGTATGGAGCGGATTCCAAGAGCAGCAGAGAATGACAGCAGATGAGTGGTCAGGGAATCTGAGCACTCCATAACAGAGCTTCAGACAGAGCCCAGCTGGCCTGTTCCAGGACTGGGGTCTTTGGCATATCCAGTGACTGGCATGTTTTACACATGCACTCAAAAGCAGCCTTTGGTAAGATGGTCAGGTGAGCAAAGTTCATTCTTGTTATTTCCTCAGCCCCCTTGGCATACTCCTCTCATTTTCCCTGCTCCTGCTCCCATCACCTCCATCCCCAACAGCAATGACCCTGAACAATATAAGGAAAGAATCTGATTCTGCAAATATGAGAAGATGCCTGGGGGAAAAAGAAGGACCAAAGGGAAACGCAGGGTGGTGGGGGCGGGGGCAGTGAGAGAAGTAGAAAGGTCCTGGAACAGCCCTTCTGGAACAATGCTCCCAACTACTGGCTGCTCCGTGAGATGATGCTCCCATTTCTCTCCTTCTCCAGTTGGCAAACTACAACTCATCCTTCAAGGCCAGCTCAGGGGCCACTGTCCACTATCCCTGTGACTTTTCACCTTGCTGGATAAACGCTCCCATCACCGTGCTCTCACAGCACATGTGCAAATCTCTCAGTTCCCACATGCATCACTCTGTATTATAATCATCTACTTGTGTCCTCCCATCTCCTCCATGTGACTCCTTCCAAATAAGATTGTGGTCCACTCCTCTCTAAGTCCCTGTGCCTACTCTAGTGATGGCATATAAAGATATTCTGTATACATTTGCTTTTTGACAAATTGAAAGTATTTACTAGAAGCATTTGGCCTGCATCCTTTGCCACACTCCACCTCTTTTTTTCCCTCCCAGTTATAAGAGGGCATAGTAGATGGTAGTCAAGAAATAATGTCCTAACTTTGCTATTGTGGTGTCAGGCCTAAAAGTAAGGAGCAGTATTACTTGTCATCTGGGGAAAATCAAGAGGGCCTGCCTCAAATGAAAGCCTTCTTCCCTCTCCGTTCCAGCAGATAAGGTCCCCTAGCCAAGCTACCCTCCTCATCAAGTGGACCAGGTGGTGTTCCCGCTTATCCCTGAGTATTGGGTTTCAGTTCCCTGCCAGCCCATGGAATTGAAACAAGCCAATCACATCATCCTATAGGAAGCAGGGGGCACCCCACCCTCTTGTTACCACAAAGCCTGCCTCCCAAGCCCCTGCTTATTCATTCAGTTCCTGAGGACAATCTTCATTCACTCTTGTGTGCCGTATCCTTCTCCCCCTGGCTATGAGTACATGTGACTAATAAGCTGCTGTCAATCTCAAGTGTCCAGTGTCAGGTGCTGTGTGTCTGGCCAATGGCATAACCTTAGGGTGAGAATCCCTTCCTCACCAATGTGGTAAATAGGAGGTGACTAAAACCGTTAGTCCCACAGGAATAGCAGTGATGGTGGGGAAGTGGCAGCCAGCCAGGCAGGGATGTAGGAGACCTAGAAATTTTGGTTCATCTCTGTCATGAGTCTCATTTCATGCTGGGCTCCTGAGTTCCTAAGGTAGTACTGGTCACCTGTACATGATTGCCAATGTTGACTGAAAAACAAAAACTGGCAAAATGTGCATTTACCCAGGTAAAAAGTCTGCATGGGTAATGAATAATACCACATGTTGCGTAGTCCAGATATTTCAAAAAATGGCAGCCCCGAGAGTGGAAATATCGCTTTTTTAAAGGTCTTTAACTGAAATATTTGGGCCCAGACTAAGCTAAATTTTATAGGATTGCTGAGGTTAAACTCTAAGGGAGCCCTAAGCTGACTTCTTTACATTCCAGGTTGTTTTTCCCTTTTTAACCCAACTTAAAGCAAGGGGAATCCATTCGGTACCAAAGCACTAACCAGCTGGGGTTATCCAAACAAGAGTAGATATTTTCGGCCTGAATTATTTCCATAATTTCACCACTTTCCACTTGGCAGTAGAGTTATTATTCTGCAACTGTATTTCATGTTTGTGAAGGAGCAGACTCCTCCCAGCCTGCAACTATGAGACAAAAGCCACAACTCTTAGATGCAAATCAGCGTCCCAGCCCTCATTTAATAAAATGCTTATTATATAATCGTTTTAAGATACAGGTATTAGAAAAATGAGGAAGTAACAACAACCAAAACCAAAATGAAGAAAAACCCAATCTTCAGAAATGCATCAATGTTCTCTTGAAAAAAACTTTCCCTGCTGAATCATTCACTTTTCAAATATGACTTTGTGTTAGAAAAAAGTTCAGATTCCATCCAAAGTTCAAGTCCATTGTTCCCTACCTAGGTAATTGCCACAGATCAGCAGGGTATTACTCTCTGATGTCCCAGCAGCGAATCATTCAGCTGACAGCATTTTAACATCTGTTGTAGACATTTTTTAAAAAGCATCTTCGGCATCCAGAGGAATTAAATACATCTGATAAATGTCTGAGACTTTGGACAAGGCTCAAAGTCATTTTTTCTGAGTGAAGAAAGTACACTAAAAAGAGAGTAAACTGTATTCACTTTTTCAAATTCCCTAAATACTAACATTTGCATTTTACTATGGGTTGCTATACTATTTATTATTTCAACTCCATCTTACTCTATAGAGCACATTACAAAAGCTAGCAATAATTCTCACCTTACATGCCTGAAAGGTGGGTTTATTAATTTAGTAAAACCTAAGTAAATAATAACATTTCAATCATTCCATAACCCTCCTTGTCTTTTCCCATCAACACACTCCTAGGACACCGAAGATGGCACTGCCAGCCAAGATGTGTGGCATAGGTGCTCTTGTTTTCCCATGGTTTTCTATTTCTAAACATTGTTCCATTCACCTTTATTATAGACACTGACTCATGGAATAGTTACAGGAACGTGTCCATAGTCTCTCAGAACTAGGAACAGAGCACAGAAATCTCTGTTCTTGACTGTTTGTACTGACCCCTGGAAATTCTATGTGTTTCAGTGGGACACAGACCAGGGCATCCTTTTCCCTGATCCTGTTGAGGATGTGGAAGGAGTGACAGGAAGACTGTGGTCAGGAGTCTGGATTCCAGTCCTGCTTTTATCACCAACTAGTATCCTTTGGCAAGGTCTGCTTTCTGATCCTCACTTTCCTTATCTATATAATGAAGACATTGGATCACAGGATCATTTAAGGTCCCTTCAGATCTAACTTTTTATATGTGATAGATCATTTCTGATGGTGGTCATGAGAATCCTTCCTACCTCCTATTTTGTACCTTTTTTTAAAGGTACACTTTACCTAAAAGCTACAATAAAATGCATACATTTTGACAAATGTATACACTTGTATGTATACTGCCACAATCAAGGTACAAAACACTTCCATCATGCCAAAAAGCTCCCTCATGCCCTTTTGCTGGCAATCCCCATCCTCTAGCCTCAGGCCACCAGTGATCTGCTTTCTGTCACTATAGATTAGTTTGCCTTATCTAGAATTTCATATAACTAGCATAATATATATGCTCTTTTGTGTCTGGCTTCTTTCACTCAGCCTAACCACATTCTTTTTGTAATGTGCCTGTACCATCCTCCCATCAAGAGTAGAATCTGTTTTCCAGCTCCTTGAATCCAGAATGGCCCTCTGACTTGCTTTGACCAACAGAATACAATGAAAGTAATGCTGTGTGATTACTTCTACCCCTTGGTAAACCACTGCCATGTAAAAATGCCTGAGGTAGACTACTGAATTACTGAAGACCATGTGGAGTGAGAGGGAGGTACATGGAGGAGGACCAAGTTCCAGACTTGTGGATTAGGCCAACTTGGATCCTCCAGCCCCTTAAGATACCCCTAATCAAGACCACGTGGAGCAGAAAAGAGCCATCCTCCCTGACCCCCGCCTGTATTCCTAACCCAAAGAATTGTGAGTGAATAAAATGCTCTTGGTTTAAGCCACTAAATTTTTGGGTGGCTTGTAACAACCAAAACTAAAATGATGAGTCTTCTGCCCTGTCTTCCTTAAGGTCCAACAGAATCTCTTTCGGGCCCTAAGACTATTAGCTAACTATACAGGTGTTTTCCCTGAAATTTTTTCTACTTCTCTCTCTTTCCTTTTCATATTCTTCCTCCCTCGGGTGTCATAAATTGCATCTGAATTCTTGTAACTCTGTTTCATGAACTTGAAAACTGCAGTGTGTTTTTCTTCCATTTCACTTTACAGGGTTAAAGAGTATCAAATCTTTTCTCTCTTCCCTTCAGATCCAGTGTTCTGGCATTTGAATTACAGCATGTTCTAGAGAAAAATAGAGTGTGGGAGCCAAGAACCCTCATTTTATACCTAATGAGCTGTAAGGTTCTGGGCAAGTTTGAAAGCTTCCTACACCTGACTTTCTTCATGTAATCTCATGAGCTGGTGGAGAGAGCATAAACTGCAAAAACAGATGAGAAAGTCAGTCAAAAGCAAAGTACTCTTTATTTCCACAACTCGGACAAGTTTTCTGCAATGATATTTGCGTGCCCTCCGTGTGTCAAGTTCTCTGTCACAGGCTTGAACATGCAAGGTAAGGTTTGCCTATCACCAAGAAAACAAGATAAACACTATTTCTGCCTTATGGGCTTTTGCTGGAAGTGAGATCTCTCTCTTCCACTCTCTCTCTTGCTCTCTCTATGTGTGTGTGTGTGTGTGTGTGTTTTATGTTGCTGTTCTCCACAAACGTTTTGTTGTGGGCTACTGTAAGACTCGTTATGGTCAGGCAAAATCTGGATGAAACATTCTCATGGAAGGGTGAAAGGTGAGGTTTATATGAAAAAAAAATGCACAGGGCCTAAGACTTCTAGAAACTACCCCTAACAATAAAGGAATTATGGTAGTCCTCTTTTCCCAAATACAATTTTAAACGTAAAAATCACACTAAACCATAAAGGTAAAGAAGCTCGTTTCTAATTCGCACCTTGATAATTACTTCAAAGCTTTGTTTGAAATATCAAAATCTTTCTAATTTTTTTCTCTCATTTTTTTCTTGCATGTCTTTGTTTCTGTTGGTGTCTTGGAACAGAGAATCTCAAAAAATGATCCCTGAACCAGCAGCATCAGCATCACCTGTGAACTTGTTTGAAATGCTAATATGGGGGCTCTACCCCAAATCTACTGAATCATTAACTCAGCGGGTAGGGTCTAGCAATCTGTGTTTTAACAAGCCTTTCAGGTGATTCTGAAACACTTAAGTTTGACAATTACTGCCGAGGACAGATACTTGGGCTGCCTGTTGCAGTTTATCAAACTGGCTGTTCATTAGAATCTCCTGGGAAGCCTTATAAAATTATCAGTGCTGGGACTCCAATGCCGTAGATTCTAATTTATTTGGTCAGGGGTAGGCCAGGAAACCAGTATTTTTAAAGTCTCCTAAGTGATTCTAGTATGTCTACCAGCATTGAGTATCACTAGCATTTTAGGTAATCTGGCTTTGACTCCTAGGCTTGAGCAACTTGGGGGACAGAAGGGAGGAGCTCAGCATGCTTCCTCGGTTTAGGATGAAGAGGATAGGCAGGGAAGTAAGGATAGTTCAGAAGAATGTTTAAACAAGTCTGAAATAAGATACATTTAAATGTGAAATGTGGAAGGGGAAGAATTATAATTAAGCCATAGTCTTCAGGGAACATTTGAGGCAGTGAGCATTTTAGGCTGAGTAACAGGAAATAAGTTTAGAGAAAACCGGTGAAAGAGAGTCAGAGATAATACAACTGAGATAAATTAGGCTTGAATATTCCTTATGGGGCTGTGCTGTGCACTACAATCCCATAAGCTAACATTATTTACTCTTAAAAAAAATCCTGGGAAAGAACACCTCTATTTTTTAAAAAAATATGTTTAATTTTGCTATTCTCCACATTATTTTTTGTTGTATATTACTATAAAATTGGTTATGGTCAACCAAAGTCTTGTGAAGGAAACAGTCTCATGGAAGAGTGAAAGCTGATTTGATTATAATAGCTAATAGTAGGATTTGTGAAGTAATTTTCACTTACACAACACTCAACTGAAGAAAACCAGCAAGATCATTTTTAGGCTTTTTAAATATTACAGGCATAAAAAATAAACTTTTAGAAATGGATTCATTCTGGTTAAAAGTTTTTTTTAAAAGGATCTGACTTTTAAATTGTATTTCATCATATATTTTTGACATGTTCATATCTCAGATGAGTTGAGGGACTGAAGAAATGAGTTTTTAAAAAATTGGTGAATAAAGGGAACCAACTAGCAAAGAAGGTGGTTGTGGCAAATGTAAAAATAAGAAGAAAGATGTAGTGAAAGGATGAAAGGGCCCTGGGAGTGGAATAATATGAAAGAGGGGACTTTTGTGTTTTGTTCACTGCTGTATCTACAGCATCTAGAACAATGCCTGGCACATGAAAAATGCTCAACAAATACAGTGTACTTGTTGAATAAATGACCTCCAAGGATACCTCCAGTTTTGTGTACCAGGATGCGATAATTACTGGGTGATTGAGGAATACACTAAATTTTTAACTTTTTTATTTAGAGCTTTCCAGCAGTACTGACACAGGTGTTATAAACTTTCCCTGCCAAGATGTGGCCTTTTCCTAACGAAAAGTTCCAAAGGAATGGAGATTGAGACTGGAGTAGTTTCTTAGAGGAGGTGGCTACTCCGATCCTCTTCACTCCAAAATAAAGTGTACTCCCGCTCACTTCCCTCAAAACAAATCCACCACTTATAAATGTGCAACCTGTGGGGCCATTTTTGAAACGTGTAATAAATAGGAGGATGTGGCCAATTTTCAGCTGAAACACTCCCCAGATATGCCTCCAAGCACTGTGTACACCACCATCTTGTAGGTGTTCTGAATGTCCCCAAGCCCCATGTTTTGCTCACGAGGCATGCCACCCTAACTCCCTGCTGCTGGAAATGAGAATATGTCTGAGGGTAACAGATGAACAGTAATAAATGGCTTCCATTTTCTTCATACATTTTTGATGGGCTGACCTCAGAGAACCAATCCCTCTAATGAAGTGGAAGGCATCCTAGAAGTGAGAGCTCACTTGTTTCACTTTCTTATTTGGAAAATGGAATGCTGGCGTGACCCCTTCTTAGCTATTCCTAATGTATTACTGCTCCAAAACACAAAGAGCAGGTTCAGAGATAACTTCTCCTTGCATCATTCGCCTTTTGGTTTTATGTTTGTCTCACAATAACTTTAGATAATGTGCCCTGTTTCTTTTTTTTCCACTGATTCAGCAAGTATTTACAAAGCCCCCAGAACACTGCTAGGTACCCTGCTAGGCTCCAGGGAACAAAAAATTCCCTGCTCTCCAAAAGGAGATAAAAATCAAGTGGGCAGAGAAGCCAATAAACGTGTAAAATGCGTTATCATACCAGGAGGTTATAAATGCTACAAAGAGAAATAAAACAGGAGTATGGGAGATGGGCAGTAACAAAAAGCTCTAAATCCAAACTTTACTACGCTGCTGTCAAAAAAAAAAAATATTCTATGCTCCCCCCAACCCTGTTTTGTTTTTTGTTTTGTTTTGTTTTGCCCTTGCAGCTTGCCAGCTCTAACAATAGCTGCCTTTTAAATAGTAGTCACTCTGAGGGATGAGAAATTACCTAATGGGTCCAAAGGACACTATTTGGGTGGGGGCAGCACTGAAAGCCCAGACTTCACCACTCTGCAATACCTGGAAGCAACAAAGCTGCACTTCTACCTCCTGAATCTAAAAACAAAACTAAAATAAACAATAGATTCTTCACTGCTGACTCCAAGCCCCTTTCTTAGGTTCGGTTTCCTCCCGCTTCTCTGACCAGGCGCTTCCATGGGCTCTGCATAAAAATTCGAAGATGATGGGATCCCCAAATCAGCTAGCAGCCCCACAGCCCTCCCGCCTTCCTCCCCTCTCTCCACGCCTCCCCCAGGCCGGCGATGCCGTCAGGGCCCGTGTCTGAGGCGTCCGGTGGATTCAGCAGAACAAACATCATAAAAAGATTATTTGCGAGAGGAGAAGACGATGCTGTGAGAACTTGGTCCCAGAGACCGTCTCAGAGCAGCAGAAAAACCGCAGGAAACCTAAGGAGCACGACCCTGACGGCGACGGAGGGGGTGCGCGCGGACAGCACTGTCACCTCCCGCCGACGCCAGGGCTCAAATCGGAACGAAGACTGGGCGGCCACAAATGCCGGCTTCTCCTTTCTTTCGCTGAGGCGGAGAAATCGCCCAGCGGTGCCCGGCGCGCCTCCCGCGGAAAGCGGGCGGTGACCATTCCGACAGGCCGTCCGCAGCGCTCCCTTTCCGCAGACAAAGCTGCCTCGAAAGGCGCTCCGCGGCTCCCGAGTCACCACGTTCCATTCGGCAGAAGAAAGCGAAAGCGGCCGCTCCCTGTCAGGCAGCCAGACAATAGCGGCGGGCAGGCCGCTCCACGCCAGCATCTTTGTTTCCCTCGCGCCGGGAAACGAAGTCTCCGGATACCACAGAAACCAGAAGCCGATACCACAGAAACCAGAGGCCGCTCTTCCCGCTCGGACGTTTACAGCGGGCGGGAGCGTGGCGGCCACCTCCGTCTTGGGGAAGCGGCAGGTTGAGCCCCGCACCTTGCTGTGCCCTCTAGAGCGAGCGGAGGAAGCAGGCGAAAAGCTGCTGCGAGATGTTGCGGCCTTGCAGACGTCTCAGCTCCTCCCGGCACGGCGGCCTGGTAAGGCGGGAAGTAGCGCCGGCCCCGCGCGGAAGGAAACGTGCAGCGCGATGCGGCTTAGCGCGGCTTTATAGAGCCGAGGCTTTATAGAGCCGCGCCCCGGCGACCCCTGCGGTGACTGCTGTCGGTCCGCGTTGTGTGTGTTCTCTGTTTCGGCCTCCGCTGCCCGCTGCGGCCTTGCCCCTGCGCCTCGGAGTAGCCGCCGCGGGCCTGTCTGCTGGAGCAAGGAGACCCGGAGGCCGTCCCAGGGGCGAGGGGGTAGCGGCCCCGGCCTCTTGGGCCCTCGGCCTCGCGCCCACCGAGCCCTCTGCCCGGGTTTGGTTGGGTGTGGAGCTTGCGACGCGCCCACTTCCTGGGCTGTGCTTCTGCCCGAGCTGATGCCTCGCCGCGACGCCAGGCCCTATCTTGACAGCGGGTGCCAGCAGGTCCAGGCCTACTGACGGGCGGAAGTCGGCCCGGTGCCCCCTCACACGCCCACACGCCGGGCGTGCCTCAGTTTCCTCTATTGTGACAGAATAGAGATGAGACGATGCAGGTTAAAATTACCTACCGGCGCATAATGAGTTCTCCAGCATCTAGCTAGTTCTACCATAGGATTAATACCCAAAACCACGTGGGTGGAGCTGAAAAACACGATGCTGTGGGGGGAAGAACCCAAAAAGCCATAGTCGGTCTGATGTCCATTTATAGGACATTCTAGAAGAAGCAACAGTGGCGATGCAAAGCAGTTGCCTGGGAAAGGAGTGGAACAGGACAGAATGGAATGCACAGGAGCGGGGGAACTTTGGGGCAGTGGTGGGACAATTTCATATCTTAATAGGAGCGGCGGCAACATGACGTATACAGTCGCCCCAAATCATCAAACTGTAGTTTCTAAATGGGTACGGTTTATTAACATTCAAATTATAAGAAAAGTCATTTCCTCAAAAGTTTCGGGGTTGGGGGAAGAGTTAAAGAAGGTCGTGGCTAGGTGGTTGTTGAGGAATAAGGGAGAAAATCACAGTTTACAAAATCTGAGAGCTGAATCCGTGCTGTTTCTCGATTGAGAAGCAGTGGACATCAGCAGTAGGAATGGCTCAGGTCCAAGAAGGCTATGCCCTACCAGACCCGGTTGATGTGCTTCCCCGGATTTACTCTGTCCCACCGTCCACCTCCACCCCGGCCTGCACCTCTCGCTTAGGGTAGAGGCCTGGCCTCCAGTGCCATCTCCCGACAGCCTCCCCCAGGTGAAGGTCATGCTTCAGCACTGCCTCCCTGACAGAGGCTCTGATGATGGGATGCTCTGACTCAGACTCAGGTGAGAAATTTGAAGGAACAGAATGCTCTTGCCTAGCAGTTGCCGGGAGGGGTCAGGTGCTGCCCCCAGAGAAGTGGGAGAGTTAGAGGTCCGTGAGGCATACTTTCCCCAAAGGGGGCAGAAAGCATGAAGTGGTCAGCATAGAAACTCGTCTCCCTGCCATCCACACAGTCCCAAGGCATGCTGGTTCTACATGGCTTGTCTGGAAGCTGTCCTTGAATGTAAAGTTGTTTTCAGCTCAATAATGTATTTGCCTGCCTTCGCCTTTCCTTTCACCCTTACCACCTTGGAATTGTACCGCCTAATAAAATCTTCGCACTTAAACTTGGCCTCAGGCTCTGTTCATGTGAATCAATTTAGCAGCCTTTGGGCTTTAGATCTGTGCTTTTCTGAAAATTTGGCAACCACAACACAAAATTAGGATTTTTGTTTCCTCTGGGCTCTGGTTTACTGTCCCATTAAAGTGCTTCTGTAAAAGGCAACCCAATTGAGACCAATGCTGAATATATAAATTTTTATAGGTATGCCCCTGTTTGAAGTTGCTAGAGACAGTAAAAGTTTGGGCTTCCATTTATTGGTTCCTAGTGGTGTTTATTCTCAAGAGTAAATTCCTAGAGCATTAGCACTTAAATGCTTTAAAAATTTGGAAACTTAAACCTGAGATGCATGCAAATGCAAAACAAAATGCTTTCAAATAATGATCATAAAGCTGTTAGTCTGGGGAGGTCTACTTATGTTTTTGGTCATGTTCTAGCTTTCCTAAAGACATCAGGGGAGGATATGTTAAAGCCTTTTTAAGTGATTTCTGGTTCATAGTGCTTTGCAAAACAATTTTTCTTGACATTATTTTCTATATTAAATACTTCAGTAAGTGTTTTTAATGATAATGGCCACTGGCTTTGTGGCCTACTGTTTATTGCAATTTTGTCGGGCCTTATTCTAGGCTTCCCTTTCACCTGGGCTTCCCAACTATCTGTAACTTGATCAACAGTAATTTGGGATGGGAATGGCCAGGGTCATATGTTAAATAGGGCAGTTCCACTTTTCTGACCACAAAATCCTCCCCTTCCTGACCACTTAAAAACTGTTACATAATCTACAAACACATGGCTCTAATAAGTTCTACTACATACCTTGCCAAAGGTCACACCTGCAATCTACCTTTCTATTGGCACAATACATTTTATTAGAGAATATTTTTATCGCTTATAATTGTGGCCTATCAGAGCACTTAATTATTTTTAATAACACATTCTGCCTTCATCCACATCATCATAGTGAATTGGTTTTTGCAAGGAAAACTTGGTCATCCTAGCATGTGAACAGTTTTTAATCTTTTTTTGAAAAATGTTTCATCTGAGATTAATTTCTGTTGGGAGCAAAAATGAAGCCAGGCTGTACACATGATGTGTTTAAATACATTTTCACAAAAAGAAAAATATTAAGAATATCTTGGGTCATAGACATGCAGTATCAGAAGGCATCCCAATAAACAAAAGTGAGAGCTCCTCTTTAATTCCTAGCACTTGATTATTTCTAAATATATAAGGGCAGATAATGTTCAGCAAACGTGCAGGTTTTACAAATTGGCTCCTTCAGAGTAGGTCATAAGCTTGCTGCAATTGTGTTCCCATTACTCAAACATTTTTAGAATTCTTTAGAAATTTGCCACAAGAGTCTGAGTCACATTCTTTTAAATGACATCATCAGTGATAGCAAATCTTCCTCCTCGGAGAGCAGATTTTTAGAAATACTCAAGTCATTTGAAACCACACTGAGTTTAGTAACATCATTTGGCAGGGAAAAATTGAACTAGAAAGAGTAAAAATAAGTGAACTGATTAATGGTTTTTTAAAAATTAAACTCCAAGAAATGGAGGATTAGGGAAACTTTGGAGCAGAAATTAATGATTAGAAACAATGTTTTTGATCAACTCCAAAGGTAATTCTTTGGAAAAAGATCAAGAAAATGGAGAAATCGCTGATGAATCTATTTAAAAAAAAAAAAAAGAAAAGAAAATATAAAGGAGAAAGGAGATATAACAGATATGGATACTTTTTTTTTTTTTTTGAGACAATCTTGCTCTGTTGCCCAGGCTGGAGTGCAGTGGTGCAATCTCAGCTCACTACAAGCTCCACCTCCCAGGTTCACGCCATTCTCCTGCCTCAGCCTCCCAAGTAGCTGGGACTATAGGCGCCCGCCACCACACCCGGCTAATTTTTTGTATTTTTTAGTAGAGGCGGGGTTTCACTGCGTTAGCCAGGATGATCCTGATCTTCTGACCTCCTGATCTGCCATGGAGACTTTTTATAAATTATATGAGACTGCTATGTGAAATTAGCTATGTGCTAAACATTTTTTTCTGGAAAACCATAAATCACCCAAATTGAATCTAGGAGTAGAAAAACTAAGTAGATCAAAGCTAGGGGAGAAATTTTAAAACGCCTAAAGACCAAGAGAGGCTTTAGGCAAATTCTTGCAAATTTTGAAAGACATAAAATCCCCTTTCTAAATGAATAAAGACACTAAAATTTAAGTTTTTTGTGAGTGAAACCACTTTTATTATAAAACCTATCAAAAATGGTATACGCCAAGCATGATGGCTCACACCTGTAATCCCAGCACTTTGGGAAACTAAGGGGGGAAGATCGCTTGAGCCCAGGAGTTCCAAGAGACCCTATCTATACAAAGAGTAAAAAATTATCTGGGCCTGGCTGGTGGTAGGCTCCTGCAGTCCTAACTACTCGGAAAGATGAAGTGGGAGGATCATATGAGCTTGATAGGTCAAGGCTGCAGTGAGCCATGATCTCATCACTGTACTCCAGCCTGGGTAACAGAGCAAGACCCCGTCTCAAAAAAAAGAAAAAGAAAGGGCACTCAAAAAATAAAAGTTCACATAAGAAACTCAATGCCAGAATTCCCCCCAAAATACCAAAAATGCCAGCAAATTAAATTCAATAAAGTCAGTCATTTTAAACAATCAGGTAGATTTTATCCTAGAAATGCCAGGATATTTCAATACCAGGAAAATAGTTTATATAAAAATACATTTAGATTATATAAGAATAAAAACCTTATTATCTCGATAAGTGATAAAAATCTAGCACCTATTCCCAATTAAAACAACTATATTTTTTAAAAACTTTTAGTAAATGTTAAACTGATAGCCAACATCGTATCTTTTAATAAGATTTTATAAAAATAATAATGGTACTGGTAAGACAGCCAAATTAACTTTACACCTTCTCTCTGAAGGCCTCCTGAGTAGCTGGGATTACAGGTGCACGCCACCATGCCCAGCTAATTTTTGTATTTTTAGTAGAGAGGGGGTTCCGCCATGTTGGCCAGGCTGGTCTTGAACTCCTGACCTCAGGTGATCCACCCGCCTCGGCCTCCCAAAATGCTGGGATTACAGGTGTGAGCCACTGCACCTGGCCTGCTTTTTATTTTTTAATTTCATAAAGTACTTTGTACATCTTCCCACATCAGCACATATAGACCTACCAAAATTTTTCGTAGTGGTTAAGTACAGTTATATGAATGAACCGTGATTTTTCACTCACCTATTAGGGACCATTTAGACTATTTTCTTGTTTTCTGCAATTACATACATTTAGAGCATCCTTGAATGTCTTTGCCCATTGATGCAGGTGTACTTGTTGGATTAATGCCTAGCAATAGAATTGCAGATCAATATTTGGATAGCTATTTCCAAATTAATATTCAAAAGACTGCATTAATTTATAATTCCACTAAAAGTGTGTTCAAAAATGTTGATAATTGTTGAGGCTAGGTGAGAGGCACATTAGGCTTTCATTTACTTCTGTGTATATTTTTAAATTTCCATACTCAATGACAGACAGGCATTTTCATTAAAAGCAGGTATAAATATGCCTGCTTTCACCACTATTATTTAAAATTATGCTGAAGTCATTCTGTAATAAGACAAGAAACAGAAATACTAAGGAAAATATTGCAAAGCAGTAGAAAAATTGCATTTGCAGATACTTTTTGCCTAGAAAACTTAAGAAACTTGATTGAAAATCTATTATAAAATAATTATTAAAATCAATAACTTTCTACTGATCTAGCAATAACCTATTGGGAAATATAACTTTTTTGGGGTGTTGGAACCTGGGAACAAATATATGTCTTAAAAAGATTCTATTGACATATAAATAATATTGGCAAGAACTGAAAGGGATTTATACAAAGAAAAAGAGAAAAAAATGAAAGCAAAAGTATTTGAATAGATTGAGAAATATATTATGCTCCTAGACAAAGATATCTATCCCTTAATTTGCAATTGTAACTAAAATTCCAACGGGACATTTTTAGAAGTTGAAAAAATGTATTTCCATCTGGAGGAAAAAACAGAGTAGCCAGAATACTTTGAAAAGAAAGAATAATAACATGAGATTTACTCTACCAGATGTTAATACATATTATAAAGCCATAATAATTACAATAATATTGAACTACTGAGGAAAGATTGACAAATATTTCAGAACAGATAGCCCTGAAAGAAAACTCAATATTCCAATAAATGAAGCATCACTAATGGAGAAGACATGGATTATTCAATAACTGGCACTAGGAAAACTGGCCAACCATTTGGGAAAAAAAAATCAGATTACATGTTCATTTCATGCAGTCTACTGAAATACTTTCCAGATAAAAAGATAAATGTGAAAACTGAACTATAAAAGAAGTTAAAAAAAAAATCTAAATGGATAGCTAAGTGATTTTGGGATGGGAAAGAACTAACCACAAAACAATGGAAGAACTCATAGATTTATCTGCAATAATCATTTAAAGCATCTGTATACCAAAAATTATAACAATATCAAATTAGAAGTTGTGAAGTAGAAAGATATTTGTCATGACTATCATAAAGTGGAAGAGTTAGTATTTACATACAGGTCCTTAACAACCCTTTTGAAAGAAGAAATCCCAAAACCTTTTGGGCAACAACAGCATCATTGAGCTTAAATTCAGAGAACCACTTTGAGAGGAGAGCTCATTTGGAAGAATCACTAACTTACTGAATTTTTAGAATGTTAGGTTTTTATTGTATGTTTTGTTTTGTTTCTTCTCACCTCATTTCCTGTGTTCAAGGTAACATCTGGAAATGCTTTCTTCTCCAGTTTATTTTTCAAAAGCTTCCTAGAATATTATACTCCTTATATCCTTTGGAAGAAGTTCAGTTGATCTCATTACAACCCCAGGGGTAGATACTCTTACTATTCCCATTTTCCAGATTAGGAAGGAGGTATTTTTGTGGCTTTAAGCATAAGTAGGCGGCAAACTGAAAAAAGTTGACATAAACAAGTCATTCGAAATAAAGTCATTAAAGGAGAATCCAAGCCCAGTGAACACTATTTAGAGAAAGAGAAACAGCTGTTAAAAGTACCTGGCAATCCTCAAAAGACATGTGCTCAGCCAGGATCCCTACACCCGCCCTCATCCTTAGTTGTGACAGACCACGCCCAAGGGTTACAACCTAGCTTTCGCCTCGAGCTAGAGAGAGATGAGCCTGTGAGGGGGTTACACCGACTTCAAGGGGGAAACACCGTCTGATCCCTGCACTTGTACTAGCACTTACTGGGGGCTTAAAACTGAAACTGTCCTAATCATGTTCTGACCTCATAATATGCATGAATCCTCTCACGTAACCATCACCAAACAACCCCAGGATTTAAGTACATTTATGATCCCCATTTTCCACTTTATGGAACTGAAGTTCCACAGAAAAGTTACATAGCTTGCTGAAGTTCACACAGCTAGCAAGTTGTATAAGCTGTATTTGAGCCAGGCAGGTAGCTGGGGCTGGAGCAGAAGCTCCTTGGCTATGTGAAGCCAGTAGCTATGTACAAAGCCCTTTCATACACAAGAGCTCATTTGACCTTCACAACTTCTTTGTGATGAGGTCAGGAAATATTCTCCCCAATTTACACTAAGACAACGGGAAGCTAGAAATGTGTTATTGGAATTAATCACCTTTTAAAAAAAATATCTGAAAGAGACAGAGAGCAGGGCATGGATAGACACGTGGTAAGGAATGACTGGAGGGAAAACAAGGCTTAAAAAGCTTGAATCACAGAAAAAAAAAGTGCCCTGAACTTTAAATAGATTAAACACAAGCTGCATTGAAGGGAAGGGAGCTGGGGAACAGGCAGGGGAAGGTTATCCTGAGCACAGCAAGAATGAAAATCATACCAGTTCATGAGCCAGCAAGGGGTTTAATAATACTAGATAATAAACATTGAGAAAAATCACACCCATAGCATTTCCATTATTTGGAAGCTATCTACCTTCCTGAAATACTAACTCCTAGTCCATGTCACTGTTTAAGACTCATGCTGTTAATTTATGTCTGTTTATTTACATGACCTTTGTTAGTTTAGATAACAAGACCGGAAGTTGTGTACAAACCACTAAGATGAAGTTCCCACTGAGCAATAGGATTTTCACCTAGCTTTTAAATACCATCATGGTAATAAAGTTTGTACAAATACTTTTAGAATTTGTTCACATAGAACTAAAACAACATCCGTTAACCTCTGAACTTGTTGCTTGTTTTTTCGATCACATTTTTTTTTATTCTGAAATACTGTGAGTACAAAGGAACTTCACAAGAAACATGCATGTTCTGAGAAACTTACTTTTATAAAATGATTCATGCTAAACCCACTAGCACTCCATCTGTTTAAAAGTAGGAAAATAAAGAATCCTTTTGCTATGACTTATGACCTCCTCATTTATCGGATTTTGTTTAAGTCCAGTTTGACGGGTATCAGAACAGATGCATATATATTCTATACTTAGTTCACAATGTTTAGTTCTTTGGAATTTAAAATCAATATGCATCATCAACTATAAGGGAAATTCTTTTATCTACCGTAAATGACAGCATTCCCAAGTTGGATGAAATGTTACTTGGTAGCATAGGATTTATCATAAGAACCTTGTCTGTGTGGTATTCGTATTCAATTCAACATTTTTTAAATAAGTGTCCATCTAAATCCTCTCTCAAAAGTGAACACATTTCCTATAATCAGCCCTTCTTGACCTTCCTTGCCTTCTTCAAATACGTATTCTTTCCTTCTATAATTCTGTCCCATCAAAATCCTTCAGTGAGACCTGTAGCAACCAAACAGGTTTTCAGTATGTGATCTCAAATAGTTTTAAAAAAAATTGGAGGATTGTTCAGACTGAAATATTTTGGCTATGCCTCCAGGGGAAAAAAAAAAGGCACTCTTAATCCATGGTTATAACAACATTGTTCTGTTTTTTTTTTTAATTGCCAGTGTTGGCATGAATGAAATATAGGATGACTCATCCAATGAGAATTTGAATGCTGGCGTAAAACCATAGAGAAAATCCAGGTGAGTTGAAGGAGAAAGAGATCAGGGACTTGTGAAGAAAATGCAGTCAAAAAACAAAAAGAGAGTGTCTATGAATGCAGGAAAACAAACAGCAGGTTTGAACTCTAATAGTTAAATCCTGCTAAAGGCTACTGACATACGACACCAGGATGGGAGAAAAGCCAAAGGGTGAAAAGTTTCTAAGCTGACTATTAAATAGATGTAACTCACTGACGAGTGTGCCCATGTGGGATTTTAATTACTCAGACATCTGTTTGGCAAGTGTACTACTAAATAGGGATCAAATACAGAGATCAAATTACATGGGGCAGGGAGTGGAGATGACATTCATGAGTCAGAAAGGAGAGCTATCGGCCAGGGGAAAATCAATCCCGGCTTTACATCTCACCAACAGAGAAGCAATTATTTTAGATGTGGGGCTGGTTAGCATCCTAGGTCATGAATTTAATTAAATAACCCTCGAGTGGCAGAAAACAGAACAAACCACTGTATTTAACTGTCAGTAAGACATGCTGCAAATAAATGGTCCAAATTCCTCCTTTTTTCCTTCCCTCCTCCCACATAGATTTGTTGTAGTTTTTCTTAAATTCACAACTCTCTTCCCTTTCCTAATGTAGCCTTCTCAGTGGCATCCAATAAATTCATTTACATACATGGCTTGAATCAGAGGCAGGGTTTGTCTCCAAAATTCCCACAATGGGATACTTGGGAAGGGGCAGGAGGGGAGAAAGGCACGAATTAAATCACCATTTGAATTCCTTCCTTAGGTTCAATAAAAAGGCTAATAATTCACAGAAATATCCTGGGATCAAAGAGAAGACCCTGTGGCCTCATTGGACATTAGTAGGTGCCTTGGAAGAAGCAGAGGCAGGAGACACAAAGGACTTCAAGTGATTGGAACAAGAACTGTAGAAGACATACCTAAGCACAGGAGAGGGGAAAGAGAGCGTTCAATTGCTTTTGAAATGAGTATTTAAAAACCAGCCTCACTCAGGGTGGCCCCTTGCAGTCCTCTGCTGAGTCAACTCTCTGCTTGGCAGCCTCTTGTCCATAGCTGACTCAGGGCAGAAAGGTGATTGATTGCCTTAAGAGCCTTCCCCTGACCTCTCCACTCGGCTCTCCTTCCTCCACCCCACCATTCTTCCAGAGCCCAGCTCAGATCCACAGGTTTCTCCAAAATGCCTTTCTTCCATTTGCAGATAACAAAAACCAGTTGGAAAGAATATAGGTAAAAGAGTAAATTTACTGGAGGGAAGCGTCTTACAAGGAAGAGTTGAACAACTTAACCTCCCTCAGGGAGAAGTAGCCCAGGGCAGTTCCCAGGACCTCAGAGGCTGAAAATCACAAGTGCCTCCAAAGGGTTCGCTGCCATTAATGATTTAGCTACCAACTCCCAACCACTGTCTCTCTGCGCAAATCTAAAATTCCTGGGAGAATCTGATTGGCACATATACACATGCACTCACACACACACACACACACACACACACACACACGCACAGTATGTATTCAAGCTCAAGCTGTTAAATAAACTCAGAAAATCATCCTACAATGTGGCTCATTCCTTCTAAACTGGTCTTTTTGCTACCATTTTAAAGTTCTAAGAAGAACTACCTCAGATACCGTTAACCTGAGTTGAGCAGGTGTGGAGGATGGTAGAGCCAGATTCCCATGCCCAATGAAAACAAAGTGGCAGCGGTCCTGACAGAGTAGATCTTGAAAAGAGCTTTTTCTTACTTGGGCAAGCTACACTTTTAAAGTGTCTTGCCCAAATTCCCCTCAAGGGTTGCCAGCAACCAGGATGGCTCGTGGAACTTTGCAGCCTCATTCATTTATTCAATAATTATTTCTTGATCTCCTGCTGCGCACTAGGCAACTATGCTAAGTGTTGTGCTGGACACAAAGATGAATCAAGCATGGTTCCCGTTCTCATGGTGCATAAACATAGACCTGCATCTCTTGTGTGAGCAACAATCTTAAGGCCTTCTAAGAATAATTTTTCATATGAATACTGATTTTTAAATCCCCCCCCCCCCCGCCTTGGATGAGAAACCTAAAAATTGTGCCTGAACTGTGAGGCAAGGTCATTTGTTAAGGTTAAGATTTCACTCTTGGTATTCAGAGCCTTCATTAGGCTACATCAGATGAGAACTGAGATGGCTTCACAATTAACCACAGACAGGCATCATTTATTTTTACCATGTAACTTGGAGGGTATGATGGTGCTGGGTGTGGAACTACCTTTTGAAAAACCACTAATGTTTTCTTTCACCTCTGAACCAAATAGATAACTGAGCATAAGTTAATTTTTAAAAATTCTAGCCATTTACCTTACCTTCATTTGGGAGCACAATTGGGAAGATGCTTGGCAGCTAAGCTCCCAGAGGCAATACAGGAGCTTCTAATTAGCAAGGACTGCTAAGGCCACAGAGAGTCTACCCGGGCTATATATGCGAAGTGTCTGAACTTCTGGTTTGGATTCACATCTGAGAAAATTTGATGTTCTGGTTTGGTTGGATTCCAGTTTGAACCAGTTGCCTATGTGTTCTCAAATTTGGGGTGGGGGTGCTCAAATTATGGTGTCAATTTTAAGATTTAGCAAATTATTAAGACTCATTCTGGTTGTGGGTTGAGGATTTAATTCAGCTCATATTTGTGGTTAAGGATATAAAACGTGTGACCAAAAATCACAGCAGTTGGAGGATGGGTTTGTTGGCCCTTGGTCCTAAAGAGGAGATATGGGTGGAGCACTAGAGTATTATGGGCCACCCTTTGTGCTACTCAGATCCACTTGCCGCTTGGGGTAAGTTCATCCACCCAGTACTCGACAATTCCAGGATTCTCATTGGCCTTTATTACTGGGGAAACTTATAAGGTTAATCAGCAAACTATAGTCAGTGCAGCTGCAATAGATCTCAAGCCTGAGGTAACTGACATTTCACCCTTTTCTCTACCCTGTCCTCATTCTAGAATTGCCTCAGCCACTGCCAGCAGCCATGTGGTCTAGGCAGACTGTCTGATGGGGTGACCCAGACCCTTGACTCCAAGATTCTGAGTCCCTGGTCCCCATGTCTATCCCAGCCCTAGCTTCTGTTCTTGTCTGCTTACTGTTAAAACTAGATATGAGAGCATCAGGAAACATCCCATCAGATCACCTGTGTGCCAAACATTCTTCCCTGTGTTCTGTGACAAAGTTCTACCTCCTCCTGATGATCAGGGTCAATGGTCTTGCTAGTTTAGTGACTCTTTTTCCACTGGTCTCTTGGCATAAGGAGACTGAAGTGACTGAGTGGCAGCTGTAGTGTGAAGTACAATGGGACTTTGTGTCCACTGATGAAGTATTACCCCAGTGAAAGCCAAGAACACTTGACCCACAGAATCTAAAGTTTTGGGGACAGGAAGCACAAATTCCCCAAATGTACCACAGGAAATGACAGTAAGCAGAGCCATGCCTACTTCCCCCTTCTCCCTATAGTTTCTGGACCTATGTATTCTACCTACTGGGGACATAGCACCATATAATGGCATTGATTTAGGGTGGTATCTCAACCTTGTGGGGGTATGTTCTCCAAGCTGGAGCCTCAGTTGCATCTTTAAGAGGACAGTCCACCATTCTATCATACCAGTAGCTCAGGAATGGTGCAATATGTGTGATAGGACCAGTGGACTCTGACCCAAGGCAGTATCATATGGAATCTAATACCAGTGGATCAAGCATTCTTAAGTCCTTGGGTAGTGGTACTGGCTGAGGTCCTATGGATAGGAAAGGCAAATTCATGCCAGAATATACAACAATCCCAATCAAGATGAATTCTTGCCCTTTCCAGGGTGGAAGAAGTTGAAGTCAACTTACCTCCAAATGGTTGGTTGGTCTCTTTGAGGGATACTACATTGGGGTTTCTGTTATTGACAGGTTAGACATTTGGCAGCATCAGTGGCAGTAGCTGGATCAGATTTGGTGAATGGAAGTCCATGCTGTTGGATCTATTCATAGCCACCATCCCTGCTACCGTGGCTACTCACTCCATTCATGTGCCCATTATGCCAGCACTACAGTAGCCAACGAGAGAGGCTGCTTCATGCATGGCTGAGTCATGAATGTTGTTTGGTGCCTTTTGGTAGTGGCTGCTTTGATGTGCATTAATATATGACACAAAGTTCTTCACACCTTATATCCATACCAATCCTTCTGCTTCTAAGCCCCTGACCAAACTACCACCCCATTCACCACTGTCCATGAGCCTGCATATGTTCTTTACCTTGAACCACTCTTCTTTTCACACAAAGTGGATGACCAAGTGCATCCTGTGGAACTTTGCCTATTGGAAGGATTTCTCCCTCACCACCCTCTTTTAAGATCACCCTAAGTAGGGCTGTAGTGCAGCAGCATCCATTTTTGGCTTGCACTCTTATGCTGAGCCAGCCAGCTATGAATGAAGGTCAGCACTTTTCTTCCTCCATCAGCTGGTCACAAGGGACACCTCCTTGCAGCCGTGGTTATGAGCTGAGATAGTTGTGAACACCATAGTTATAAACACCAGTGCAACAGGAGTGGATGACATGCAGGTCTGGGCCACCAACTGGTACAACTTACTTGTGTCCTCTGGCCCAGCTCATGCCCAATCCTGTATCTGCCACTTCCATTTTGTGATAAATTGCCACCAGGCCCATCCAACTTTATAACTTGGTGGGTCTGACAGAGCCAGCTGATGATGAATATCTCAGGTTCCATAGTTACTTGATGTCTCAGGGTCAGGTGCTTCATTTCAATCAGGGCCCAGGGGTCTGCAAGAATTTCCTTTATTTATTTATTTTTTTGAGATAAGGTCTGTCTCTGATGTCCAGACTGGAATGCAGTGGTGTGATCATGGCTCACTGCATCCTTGGCCTCCAGGGCCCAAGTGATCCTCCCACCTCAGCCTCCCAAGCAGCTAGGACTACAGACACACATCACTACACTCAATATTTTTGTATTTTTTGTAGAGATGAGTTCTCTCTAAGTTGCCAAAGCTGGTCTTGAACTCCTGGGCTCAAGCGATCCTCCTGCTTCGGCCTCCCAAAGTGCTGGGATTACAGGTGTGAGCCACCACAACCAGCCAAGAACTTTAGAATGGTATATTGTTGTTTACTACAGATAATATGGCCCTTCTCCAGAATCCTAGGGGGTCTATGCTGTGATTCTCTTATTGAGATTGATCACCAGCAACTATCCCCAGCATTCTTTCCCACCACAGATTCCTGTAATACCATAGGGTCTGTTGAAGGATATAGCAGGGCTTCTTGTACTGCTGTCGAGACCTACTACAGAGCTCCATCATCTGGTAAAAGGGTTGGAACAATATTCTGAAGTGCTGGAGAAATAATTACTAAATATACTTGCTCAGGTGCTTTAGGTTCTGTTGTCATAAAGATCATCCTCTCCTTCACCCAGTGGGTCCCAGATCTGAGATCTGACTCAGGTTTGGGAACTGAGCTAGTGACTGACTTTTTACCATGACAGCTGCCCTCAGCCTCATATTTTTATTTTAGAAATTGATACTTGTCGACTGCTCATTTATCTTGCCTCTAGGAAATTCTATTAAGCATTTTCATAGCTCTCTGTAGAATGGGCCCCTGGATGCCACATCAATCTTGCCACTCATTGCAAAAACTGTGCACACCTTGCTTCTGACAGTTAAGTCTTACTACTTGGCCTCTGTTATTTCAGGATCCTATCAGCCTTATTTCTGTTAAGGAGCCCAGTTCTGTAGTAGTGTCTCCTCCAGTCAACCCTGGCATAGACAAGAGTGCCTCCACTAAGATTCTCAGTGACTATAACCCTCTTAACAATGCATTTCTTATCATCTTACTGAAGAAAAATATGGGAAAACGTTGACATTCCCTTTGGCACTTTACTCGCTTGTATTGTTTGTATGACTTAAACTATACACGCAAACAGAAATAAAAAAACAGAACACTCAATATAGGTTACAATAGTTTTCATAGAGTTGGACTTCTTTATATCCAAAATGTGCTTTGGTTTTGCATACATACAATGTGGCCCCAAATTTGGTAAATGGTATGTCCTCCGGGACATACCATCAGCTGGTGGGTTTTCCATCCCCACATAGGCTATGTACTCCAGCATGCCCACCTCTCTGAGTCACTTGACACCTCTTCCAGTTGGCCCTGGCAATTATGGCATTTCCACTTCACTTGCCATGGGCTGTTGCTGCTTTCTCCAAGCTTCCAAGAGTCATCTTATCACCCTTGCCAGAGTGATAAATCCTGTGTCCTGGGAGAGTGCTCCCGTTATCAATAAACTCTCCTTTATCCAACTTTGGTCAGTCTTCTCCATGACTGTACAGCTAGCTATGAAAATGAGCCAAATATTTCCTTTTGTGTTCAAAATGGTACTATGATATCCCTTCATTAAGGACTGTCTGGCTAGAAGAGAGGGACACCTGTTATGTCCCAACCCAGGTTCTGAGATGAAGAAAATGAAGCCCAGAAGTGTCGCTTTCCGGAGATCTGCCATCTTGCAGTGATGATACATTATTAATATAATATTTTTTATTCAATTTTTAAAGTCAAGATGAAAAGGCCATATGGGTTATTCCAAAATGTGCTTTGGTTTTGCATACATACAATGTGGCCCCAAATTTGGTCTCACATACAGTGTTTATAAATGCAAGAATAATGGCTTAATTAGCATCTCTGCTAACTTAGATTGCAGGTTTTATTGCAGAGCACACTTTTCTGTGGGGGAAGGGGGAAGTGAGGGAAGTAGTGGGCAAAAATGTTTCCAGGTGTTGCAACAAAATGCTGATTCTTTTTATTGATATTAACTTTGACTCTGATTTTTTAAAATAAATTTCTTCATCCAGTATCATTGTTTATCTGAAACTCTTTTGGAAATCCATTACAAAAGTGAAAAGAAGAGTAGCAAATATGATTTATCAAGCACTTATGTGCATGGTCACACAGGTTGTGTACTTCACAAGGGCACCAGCACTTCTCAGGGGGCACAGTTCACATATTAGACATCACAGATTTCCATATTTATAAAGATAATTTTCCAGCAGATGGCAGTAAAGTGTGTTGCTCTAACAAAATAAGACTATTACAATAATTTCTGCCAGATGGAAATAAACTATCTTGAGGACTGGGCACCTTTTATATTATACAAAGATATATAGAGTAACGGTGGCACCATTTACTACATGCCACACCTTCTGCTGGCTCATCCTCATTTAATCCTCAGAATCTGATGTAGTGGGTGCTATTAGCAACTTGCCAAGGCCACTGACTGGGGTGGTAGTTTTGACATTCTTATACGGGTCTACTAAGGCCTAGAGACTTGAGGAGACTTGCTGTGGTCAGAGCTAGCGTGACCTAAGGTCAACCAGAAGCCTAGAGGCTCTTACTCTCAGTCCAACCTGCTGCTGGTTCTCCTGTGTGCTCATCACAGTGCTGGGTGACACTGGGGACTGAGAACAGGACACATTTCACTCATCTAAGTAAAAGGTCATCTTCAGTTAGTGAAGAAAAATATGGGAAAATGTTGACATTCCCTTTGGCACTTTACTCGCTTGTATTGTTTGTATGACTTAAACTATACATGCAGACAGAAATAAAAAAACAGAACACTCAATATAGGTTACAATAGTTTTCATAGAGTTGGACTTCTTTATATCCAAAAATACTTTGAGTAAATCATTTACTATCAGTAATGCATAAATTTTAGCAAGAGTGGGCCAGGCGCGGTGGCTCACGCCTGTAATCCCAGCACTTTGGGAGGCCGACGCGGGTGGATCACGAGGTCAGGAGATCCAGACCATCCTGGCTAACACGGTGAAACCCCATCTCTACTAAAAATACAAAAAAATTAGCCGGGCGTGATGGCATGCGCCTGTAGTCCCTGCTACTAGGGAGGCTGAGGCAGGAGAATGGCGTGAACCCAGGAGGCGGAGCTTGCAGTGAGCCGAGATCATACCACTACACTCCAGCCTGGGTGACAGAGCGAGACTCCATCTCAAAAAAAAACAAAAAAATTAGCGAGAGTGTATTACCACAAATTCTATATACGTGAGGAAATTTAGAGGCTTTATTTAATGTATAAATATCCATACCAAATCACTTTGCAATAATGATATATATTGATATAATATTCTTTATCCAGCATTCAGTTTAAATCTACTTCAGAAAATGTATCAATCATGAATAACAGAAGCCCATTTATAAATATTTTGTATTGACCTCTAACTTAATCCCCAAGGAAATATTTTTCCCTAAACCCACTAAAATTAAAAACAAAGTGAAAACTCTATCTTCCACGAAACAAGCAAACTGCAGTAACTTTTGTTTTTAATTTTAAAATAACATGTGTAGCATGAATACATTTTTCCGGAATTTTTCTAGCCGTACAAAGGTTTGGAGAGCTATTTGGAACTATCTCAGCTTGTTAATGACAATTCTGTTTTGGGTTGTGAGATCTGGAGTCATATTTTTGCTTCTTTCTTTATCCATTCATATACTGCCTAATTTTTTTTTAAAAATTAACTTATTGATACCTAAAAAACAATAAAACCCACCATTCTCTAAAGTAATATCACTGAATATGCATCTAATTTTATGGCCTACCAAGGCCTTGTAAAAACAAAACAATGTAAGTATTTATGTTACTAGAAAAATAAGTGCATGAACAAATTTAATTTTAAAAGTCAAAAGTCTCTTAAACAACTGGTAAATGTAATAATTATAGGACAGCCACTTGATCCTTTTAATCACCTGAAAGAAGCAGAAGAGCTACAAATCAACATTTTCTAAACAGTGAATTCTGTGGCAGAATAAGCCACAGTGTACATAAACCTCAACATTTGGTAGCACCTATCTTAATCAAAGAATTGGCTATTTGAAAACACAACAGAAAAATTCTTCATTCTTTCAAGGTTGGTTTCTAAACTTGACATCTGGGATGGGAGATGGGCCTCACCCAGGAATTTAAGGTCAGGGTTTATGTTAAGCAGGACCTCAAATCAAGTTTAGAAACAAGCAAACCTTTCATCCTTTCTTTAAGGAAAAGGGTTTTCTTTGAGAGGAAGGGGTTAGAAAAACAGGTCAATATCCTGTAAATATGGGGTTGTCATTTGTTTTTCCATACTACATTAAATATGCCTGCTTTGTGTTTAGTGTCTTGTGCGTATTCCACTGCCTCTGTCTCGGCAAATGTGTTTATATTAGAAAACTCCATGAGGGCAGGAAATGTAGGGGTTTTTTTAATCATAAATCATCTGGTTTGAACTACACTTATCTAAGAGTGTGGGGCCTGGGGAATATTGCACAATTGCTGGCTAAAATATGTAATCTGTCATTGACTATTAGGTTTTCCATTAATCACATGTCGAGTTTGTATAAAATGGATTTGTTTATAACATTGTTATTTTCACCATTGCAGGTTATTTTCATAAGCTTCTTATGAGTAAGCTGAGCAACTATTATCACCCTTACTATAATACTTAACAGAGAGAGACTAGAACCTATGTTTCCAACATCTCTTTTCAGGTACCACTGATTTCACCTATTTCCACAACAGGTGAAAGGACTGAATCTATAATAATAAGGTCCAAGTAATTCTATTCCTGAACTGAAGTCCTAAAAATAGTTGTTCATGTAAGTTGAGAATTCCTAAGAACAGGGGAATTTTAAATAAACTCCTGGGGCTGGGGGTGGGTAGGGAGCAGTGGGACAGGGGTTTGCACAGGGAATTAGAATTGACAAAATTCAAATGAGGGGTGAAAAATATCAGTGAATTATCATTAATAACAGACATTATTTTTGCCCTATGACAAATGAAAAAGATTTTGTTTTTATATATATTTTTTAAATCTCACAACATACTTTTCAAAAAGTAAAGCTTCATTTTGTTTAAAGAGTTTTATGTCAAGAAACATTTCATAGCATAAATTTTCCACAATGCATATGATCAAATTATAACACCCATCTGAACACTATTAAGTATTTTATTACTTTGTTTAGTGCTGTTTGATAAGTATGAAATTATCTATGAAGTGAAAATTTTCAACTAGGAAATTTGACATTCCAACAATATCTGAGGTGGTTTTAACCCAGATAAACTAATTTCTGTCATTACCAACACATCTAAGAAAAACAGCCCTAATGAAGAAAGATAAAAACTACTTTTATTTTCTCCAATTAAAAGATTCATAAGACAAGCTGTGTAGGCATGAAAGAAAGAAAGGAAAGCTACAAAACTGGGAATACAAATTACATTTTCCTATTCAACAGGTCAAAGAAATTGCTGCAAGGAAACAAAACAGGCCCAAGGAAGTATTAAAAAAAAATGAAATAACCAACAATCTTAGCCGGATATAAGGCAAAACAAAATGAGGTAATCTCGGGTATTATGAAGTTTTAAAAGACACAACAAAGTTATGCACTGTTAGGAAATAATGATGACAGAGATGAATCCAGAAAATACAAAAAACAAACGGGTAGCTCCTTTTGCATGAAAAAAATAAAAAAAGAGAGAGAGAGTCAAAGAAGGAAACCTGAAAACAGAGTCAGACTGGAAACACTGTGGCCTAGGGGCTGTGTGGGTTATCATTCACCTCCTCCAGGAGAGAGCAGCAGAAGTAACATCCCTTTAAAGCAAAAGACACATACACAGCAACTAACCAAGACCCATAAATCCAATCACATATTCCCCAAGGTCAGCAACACACTGGATAGGAAAAATGAAAAGGACAATTCTAATGCTGTTTTTATTTAAAATTTTATTGAAACCCTCTTTCACCCGTTTACCACTTCCTAAGTAAAAATGCATGTAAACTCTGAGCCTGATGGTATTAGCTTCAAACTATTCCTTAAATACCTGAAAATGTGACTTTTGAAACTTGGGAAAGTGACGTTAGGACAAGGATCCATTTTACATGCCTGCTTCTTTGTTCATTCATGAGCAGAGCTAGACTAAGAAACCTTTCAATGAGAGGGAGAGCATGTATGCAGGAGTATAACTCTCTATTCTGAATTCTACCCTCGCTGGGCCCATGAAAGGTAAGGAACACTTTAGATAGGGTGGGGAAGGAGGTTTGGAAAACTTGTGATAAAGAGGAGTAAATTTTTCCTAAATTCTTAGTAAAACCTAACAGGTTACCCACAGAGTCCGTGTCTTAAGTTAATGCACTTATATAACTAGCATCAGAGTCTCCTTCAAGTGCCCTGTATATCTGTCATCAGTTTCCTCCTTCAAAGATTTCTCTTGTGTATACTACTATATAGTTAGCAAGGCCAGCTTTCCTTGCCTATGCCTATGACAAATTGGCTAGAATAATTTAGGGTTTTTGAATGCCATCTCTTAACTATATCTCATTGGAGGTGTCTGCATGTACGAGTGTGTGTGGTTTTTAACAGAATAACAAAATGCCTTAAGGCCCTTTAACGTGTTTTTAAAATCTACCTGTAGAACAAATCCTATGCATGCGAATGACCATGAATAGTTCCTCACATATTCAAGCTACGAATGTTTAAAGTATTACATAAATTTAGAAAATATTATCTAAAGGTATTTCCCATTAAATAAATCTAGAATATACTTAGTTCAAATATTTAGAAGGATTTAATTACTGTTACTCAAAACTACTCTGCTGTGAATTTGAGTATCACAATATAACTTTGCTCAGTTATTAAGTGGTTGATAGCTGTCCACCCTCTGCAGAAGTGTATCTGAATATCCAGGGGAATAATACCTGAAAAAGAAAATACACTATTAAATGCTGGTGAAACGATCAACACAGCAGGCACATAAGATTCAATATAGGGGATTTATCTGAAATAATCCTGTGAGTGAAATCTCAAATACACTCTGAATAATTATGCTCCAGTAATGCTTTGTGCATAAAGTTAGAGGCTATCCAGGAGGAAAATACGAATTCATAAAACTGTGCTACAGAAGTAGCAAAACATTTAAGGGATATAAATGTAATGGCAAAGGGGACATTTTCCAAACAAGAATCTTCAATCCACTGACAATATTTTATTACAGAGACTTCATTTTAATCACATCAAGTGGCTAATGTTGCTTTAAGGATCCTAGCTAATAGATTTTTTTTTTCATAAGTTAGACTACACAGTCTATTGTTACTAATCAACTTCTGCATTCTAACTGCCTTAGAGATCATTCTCAGCATGGGTTTTAATCAGATCTGGTCACCTAGGAAAACAAAAATTTCTGGAAGTATAATTCATATTGAAAAACTATTTAATAAAATATAATTTAGTATTGAAAAACTATTTACAAATACTTGTATCATAGAAACCTAGGAAATTAATCATTTTTACTATTAATAGTTCTTGGGCATCTATAGTACTATACATTTACATTCATAAATTGAACATTTTATACAAGATTTAGTATAAAAGTATTAAATATGTTGATCAGTGCATTGTGAGATGCTTAATACGTCATGGAAATAACTTACATGCAGATAAATGAATGTCAAATAAAATTTAGCAGGCATTCTAGAATAATTTTTTAAATCTATGGAAGTATAATTCAAAAATTCTCAAAACACTCAAAATAATTAAGCTTCTGAAGGCATTTTCTCCAGATAAAACCTAATATTAGAGACTTGCTTTGCCTTTTGTTAGTTATCTTTATCTATGCCCAGATGCTTGACCTAAAAACTCATAATTTATATTACACTAAAATTCCTTCCACAATTTATCAAGCTAAGGTGGACCAAAAAATACAGCCATATTTTCTTAGTAGTGAGTAGTGTGCTTACAGGCATCCATAGTTAAACAGCTACTTATGTACACACCCAAAAAGCTACCTTAAAGAATGTTTCTCCCCTAACAGCCTCTTACTCTTGAAAAAATTGTCTTTCAACAGTGGGTTTCTTCGAAGTATTCTTACACTGAGAAATTCACAACTGCTTCTTCTCTGAGTTAGTCAAAAATTTTAAAGCAGGCTTTACCTTCCTAGGCCTTCAAATGTATCGGACACCAGATAATATGAATTCAAGAGGTAGATTTTTAAATATCTTTAAAATTTTAACCTTTTAATTTAAATATTAATAAATTTTATATTTTAATGTAATAAATATTTAATTTACCATATTAACATATTAATATTTTACTTATTTAATAATATAGTATTCTTAGTATTGATATAATGATGTTATCATTGATATTAGATTAATAATAATTGTTATTACCATGTTAAATATGGGAGCCACCAGCTATATGTAGACTGAATGGGAGCCACCAGCTACTGAGGACTAGAAAAATGGCTGGTATGGGCCGGGTGCAGTGGCCCACACCTGTAATCCCAGCACTTTGGGAGGCTGAGGAGGGTGGAACACCTGAGGTCAGGAGTTCAAGACCAGCCTGACCAACATGGCGAAACCTCGTCCGTGCTAAAAATACAAAATTAGCTGGGCATGGTGGCGCATGCCTGTAATCCCAGCTACTCAGGAGGCTGAGGCAGGAGAATTGCTTGAACCCCAGAGGTGGCAGTTGCAGTGAGCCGAGATCACGCCATTGAACTCCAGTCTGGGCAACAAGAGTGAAACTCCGTCTCAAAAAAATTAATTAATTTAAGAAAATGGCTAGTATGTCTGTATTTAGATTACATAAAATTTGCAAGTGGTTCCAAACATATCTAAAAGTTTTCCAATAACTGAATCAAGTGTCAGTTTATAAATTTTAAATTCAATATTAAAAATTCAGTTTAACAGACATACTAGCCATTTTTCTAGTCCTCAGTAGCCACATGTAGCCCTTTGGCTAAGCATTTTCTCATTTAATTCTAACTATGAAATAGGTAATTATCTTTAACCACCTTGTACAGATGCAGAAACTGTGGCTAAAGGGGTTAACTATTACCTTCAAGGTAATAGTTAGTTATAGTAAGTAGTTATAACTGAGAGAGGAATTAAGGTCTGTTTGACACCTAAGCCTGAGCTCTTAGCGTACTCCTTCGGAAAGAACCAATATGAGCCTCCAGATAAGACCAGGAAATTCCTTCCCTCTGGCCAGCAACCACAGCTATCCCAACTTACCTCTAAATGTCCTTTAAGAATGTAAGCGAATTAACCTTATCCTAGACCCACAGAGAATTGGGGTTATTATTATATTGTTATGATACCAGAATTATGCTGAATGGCAGACTGTGTCCATGTCTCCCTCCCCAAATTAGATGTTGCCCCAAAGCTGCTTCCCCACCCCAGCTGAGGCAGAGATTTTGAAGAAAAAGGAATTCAAAAACACCTTATGGCTGTGGAGTAAGCCAGGCCCAGAACTTAGGTCTTCTAATGTCTAGTCCAGACCCCTTTCCTCTCATTTACCTACCTTTCTTCATTAAAAAAATTTAAAGATTACTAAATCGGAAGGCAGTATGAAATAAATATTTAGGTTAGTAACAGATGAATGTATCAGTTGATAAACTGTCTTACAAAGGATAATTAATTCTAAAATAGTTATCACCAAGTGATTCTTGAGAATTATGTAATTGTAAAAATGAAACTATTTTGAGATTATATTTGTCTATTTTTATAGAAAGACAACATTTCCAAGATTTCTATAAAATACGATTTTATAGAACCTAATGCTTTAAAACATAACTGAGGTTTTCCTACTTGCCCTGTGTGGGTGAAATATATATATATATATATATCAGAAATTTGAAAACATTAGTCAGGTAACCAAAATTCTTTATAATAATTAGCCAATTTTAAAAATGAAATCCCAGCCCACAGAATTGGGGAAGTGGAGAAGTTAAAAATTTACAATGGTATTTTGACAAAGCACTAGATTAATTTTTTTTTTTTGTGAGACGGAGTCTCCCTCTGTCACCCAGGCCGGAGTGCAGTGGCACAATCTCGGCTCACTGCAAGCTCCGCCTCCCAGGTTCACGCCATTCTCCTGCCTCAGCCTTCTGAGTAGCTGGGACTACAGGCGCCCGCCACCATGCCAGGCTAATTTTTTGTATTTTTAGTAGAGACGGGGTTTCACCGTGTTAGCCAGGACGGTCTCGATCTCCTGACCTCGTGATCCCCACGCCTCGGCCTCCCAAAGTGCTGAGATTACAGGCATGAGCCACTGAGCCTGGCCAGCACTAGATTAATTTCTAATGTGATGCAGTTTGTAGTTTTTCCTGGTGCTCAATTAAAATATGCCTTCAAAAAAGTGGAAAAAAAAAAAAACTTCTCTTCAATAAAGTACCTTACCATTGGTTGATTCTAATAGGTCATTCATTCTGGGGACACTTTAGTTCTTTTTTTTTTTTTTTTTTTTTTGCATCTTTCTGTAACTTTGTAACAAAATTGCATTGAAAGTTACCTTAAACTTATATAAAATACCATTCTTCGTGAAGGGACACATATTCCACGTATAAAAATTAATTTTGTTTTCTTCAAAAAAGATTTTAATATTTCCTTTATTTAACGGTTTTACACATTTTATGTTATACAAACTTTTAAAATATAAATTTGTGGCCGGGTATGGTGGCTCACACCTGTAATCCCAGCACTTTGGGAGGCCAAGGTGGGCGGATCACAAGGTCAAGAGATCTAGACCATCCTGGCCAACATGGTGAAACCCTGTCTCTACTAAAACTACAAAACATTAGCTGGGAGTGGTAGCGTGTGCCTGTAGTCCCAGCTACTTGGGAGGCTGAGGCAGGAGAATAGCTTGAACCCGGGAGGCGGAGATGGCAGTTGAGCCAAGATCGCGCTACTGCACTCCAGCCTGGAGACAGAGTGTTATATGTAGACTAATTATACATGTTATGATATATCACTGCTTTGATGTATCATATATATTAATATTTCAAAGCTTACCTATTGGAACTCTTTTGGTCAAGGAGTTCTCATAAACTTCCTAAAAAGTGCACAAACTTGCAACTCTGGAAAGAATTTACTGGGTAAAAATATGTGGATAGAAAACAAATTTTAATCTTAAAATTGCTTTTGTGCTTTTAAAATTAATGTTACCATACGTATTAAACACCATTGATATTAAACAGGAAGAATTAACAGACATGTTGCAACTTGCGTAAGTATATGTTACAGCATGTAAGTTTTAAAAATTAGAATTTATATTTTCCAATATTAATCAAAGAAAATAAGAAATAAATGTAGGATTAGAAAATACAGATAAATATGCCTTTATCCTGCATGCCTTGGGGGCATTTTTAAAGATTCAGTTGTTTGGCCGGGCGGTCGCGGTGGCTCACGCCTGTAATCCCAGCACTCTGGGAGGCCTAGGCGGGCGGATCACGACGTCAGGATATCGAGACCAACCTGGCTAACACGGTGAAACCCCGTCTCTACTAAAAATACAAAAAAATTAGCTGGGCGTGATGGCGGGCGTCTGTAGTACCAGCTACTCGGGAGGCCGACGCAGGAGAACGGCGTGAACCTGGGAGGTGGAGCTTGCAGTGAGCCGAAATCGCGCCACTGCACTCCAGCCTGGACGACAGAGCAAGACTCTGTCTCAAAAAAAAAAAAAAAAAAAAAAAAAAGATTCAGTTGTTTAAATCATTCTCTTTTTTTGCTTTTATTTATTTAGAGTTTAGTGGAATAGTTCTCCATTAGGCTTACAAGGACCGAGGCTTAGGTTGAATGCTCTGCAAATCAACTTCATTTAAAAATGAATCTTTTTTATTAATCCTGAAAATAGCATCTTGCTATATTACTCTGAAGTACCTGTAAATAATAAACATCATTTTGGGGTTTTTTTGCATTTAGATAATAACTTTTTTGTTGTTACTCAACATCTCTTTTCTACCTGTGATAGTCTCATTAATGTAAATGTGAGCTTAAGGTAGAATAGTAATATGCAGGGAACTATGAAACTCAGAATCTATAGGCCTTTTATAATCAGGTATTCACAATTTAAAAACTGGTTACTTTGAACTCTATATTTGGGTACTCTTTAGTAAAGCACATGTTAAATTAGTACAAAAATGTCTTAAATGACATTCCAGTTTGAATTGGAAATGTGCGTGTCAGTCAGATCATTAATTAATTTGGCAGGGGGAAGAGATCAAGAGAGAAATAAAGGTACATATTGGCCTCACATCGTATTTCAAAGTCCACATTTTGACACAGTGGATATAAAACCTAGATGTGAAAACAGAAAAACTACATTCTAATATTGAACGTTTCAAAGTCCATTTTCCCCACCTCACTATTTCCTCGGGGTAACAACTGTTAATACTGTTGATGTATTCTTGAAGGAGAGAACCAGGTTCTGCTTTTATCTCTTGAACTTTTTTAAGGCCACCACTTGTTACAAAAAGTCGTCGAGCTTTGCTATCATGCGGCAGCACCTTGCAAAGTGAAGCACATAAAATGTCAGCTTTTCTTTTCCAAGTTAGATTATTACTATTGAAAAGCAATACTGTATGTGAGAAAATGTAAAAGAGAATTTATACCCAATATACCTATAACATAATGAGCCAAATCTGCTGCTAATTTGAAGTGAAATGTGCTTTTTAGAATGTGTTAATTTTTAGGTTGAAGAAATGAAATAAAGGCAATGAACATGGGCAAAGGCAATGGAGATCCACTCACAGATGTAAAATATAAAGCTTACACCATTCAAGGTCTCTTTGCTCCCTAAGAATTTAAAGGCAAGCTCCTTAACAAGGCACAAAGGGTCCTCTGGGACCCAGCTCCTAAATACCTCTCCAGCCACCACTAATCTCCATCCTAAATATTGTTTCAGTAACATCACAGCATGCATGCTGTGTCATCTCTTGCCTTTGCCCACGCTGCTACCTCTTCCTAAAATGGCTTTCCACACTCCACAAACCTCTCCCCTTATGCTTGGTTAACTCTTAGTCATCTTTTAAGACTTAGCTCAAGTGTCACCTCCTTTAAGAATCCTTCTCTGGAAGCCCCTATCCCCTTATCCCAGGATGAGTTGAGTCCTTTTCTTCTGTCAGCATTCTGTCAAACCACCATCCACGTGCTTACCACATAATACCTAAATACCACATAATATTTTAATTTTAATTTTTAATTATCCATTATATGTCTGTCACAATGTCACTGAAGGCAGAAACTATACTTGAGTTCATTCATTCATTTCCCTCGTGCCTGGTACCTAACAGAGGTTCAACAAATGTTTAACAAATGAATGAATATACTAAAGAGTAGGCATAGAAAGGGGACTGAAATGTTAGAGAGACAGAAGATCAGAAACGTAAGGAATCAATAAATCCAAGAGAAGGTTTCTTAAAGCAACCAATGAAAACTAAAAAACAAGTCACTGGATCTGACAGTGAAGAGAAGGTGCTGAAGACTTGACTAAAGGCAGCTGTGTGTGGAGGGGAGGTTGAGGAAGGCAGGCTATCAGCAGCTGAGGAAAGTGTCCCAAGTAAGGAAGTCAAGGCAAACTTTAAAGTTTCAGAAAGAGAAAACAGGGTATCAGTAGACCACGGTAGGATAGAACTAAAGGCTAAAGATGTTGCAGGTTTTGATCTTAGGATCAGGGAGACTTGAGCACGTTTGCAGGTTGACAGGAAAAAGCCAGTGGAAATGAAGAAATTTATTATGAGAGACAAAAAAAAAGACTGACCAGACTAGGAAGGTCCTGGGGAAGGGGTGGGGTCACAATGTGGGAAGTCCTGCTCTCTTCCTTAGTCACTGCTACTATCCCTCTGACCGAAACGCTCTTTTTTTCTGATCTTGTTCCTTCTGCAAGGACCAGCTCTTTTCACTTGTCCTTCCTCCATTGAAGCCCTATCTGAAGACTTCAGACTATATTCACTCATTCCTTCTTTTAAAAAAAGTTTATCTCCAAGTCTAGTACATTGAAATGTTTTCTAATTGTTTTGTCTGCTCTCCTCAGCTAGATTATAAAGTTCCCTGAAGAACAACTTAATCTTTTTTGTCTGTTCCCCAATGCTCAACAGAGAGCTGGGTACATGTAGGCATTTAACAAATAATTAAAACCACAAAAGGATCTTGCTAATAGAGCAATAATATAAATCAGCTGGACAACAGAAGATTGCACTAGTATATATTTGTAAAAAATGTAATATTCTATAAATATATTGGTTTTACATATTTCATTTGGCCTGGAGAATTTTCATTACTTCCTATCTCTGTCCCCAGCCACTTCAGTATCTTTTCACCTTCTACCTTGCTTTATCATCTCTTTTTAGTGCTTTGGTATCTTTAGATTAAGAAAATATTCATGGGAGGTAGGAGCCAAGATGGCCGAATAGGAACAGCTCCGGTCTACAGCTCCCAGCGTGAGCCATGAAGAGGACGGGTGATTTCTGCATTTCCATCTGAGGTACCAGGTTCATCTCACTAGGGAGTGCCAGACAGTGGGCGCAGGTCAGTGGGTGCGCGAGCCGAAGCAGGGCGAGGCATTGCCTCACTCGGGAAGCGCAAGGGGTCAGGGAGTTCCCTTTCCTAGTCAAAGAAAGGGGTGACAGACGGCACCTGGAAAATCGGGTCACTCCCACCCAAATACTGTGCTTTTCCAATCGGCTTAAAAAACGGAGCACCAGGAGATTATATCCCACACATGGCTCGGAGGGTCCTACCCCCACAGAGTCTCGCTGATTGCTAGCACAGCAGTCTGAGATCAAACTGAAAGGCGGCAGCGAGGCTGGGGGAGGGGCGCCCGCCATTGCCCAGGCTTGCTTAGGTAAACAAAGCAGCTGGGAAGCTCCAACTGGGTGCAGCCCACCACAGCTCAAGGAGGCCTGCCTGCCTCTGTAGGCTCCACCTCTGGGGGCAGGGCACAGACAAACAAAAAGACAGCAGTAACCTCTGCAGACTTAAGTGTCCCTGTCTGACAGCTTTGAAGAGAGCAGTGGTTCTCCCAGCACGCAGCTGGAGATCTGAGAACCGGCAGACTGCCTCCTCAAGTGGGTCCCTGACCCCTGACCCCCGAGCAGCCTAACTGGGAGGCACCCCCCAGCAGGGGCACACTGACACCTCACACGGCAGGGTATTCCAACAGACCTGCAGCTGAGGGTCCTGTCTGTTAGAAGGAAAACTAACAAACAGAAAGGACATCCACACCGAAAACCCATCATCATCATCAACATCATCAAAGACCAAAAGTAGATAAAACCACAAAGATGGGGAAAAAACAGAACAGAAAAACTGGAAACTCTAAAAAGCAGAGCGCCTCTCCTCCAAAGGAATGCAGTTCCTCACCAGCAACGGAACAAAGCTGGATGGAGAATGACTTTGACGAGCTGAGAGAAGAAGGCTTCAGGCGATCAAATTACTCTGAGCTACGGGAGGACATTCAAACCAAAGGCAAAGAAGTTGAAAACTTTGAAAAAAATTTAGAAGAATGTATAACTAGAATAACCAATACAGAGAAGTGCTTAAAGGAGCTGATGGAGCTGAAAACCAAGGCTCGAGAACTACGTGAAGAATGCAGAAGCCTCAGGAGCCAATGCGATCAACTGGAAGAAAGGGTATCAGCAATGGAAGATGAAATGAATGAAATGAAGCGAGAAAGGAAGGTTAGAGAAAAAAGAATAAAAAGAAATGAGCAAAGCCTCCAAGAAATATGGGACTATGTGAAAAGACCAAATCTACGTCTGATTGGTGTACCTGAAAGTGACGGGGAGAATGGAACCAAGTTGGAAAACATTCTGCAGGATATTATCCAGGAGAACTTCCCCAATCTAGCAAGGCAGGCCAACATTGAGATTCAGGAAATACAGAGAACGCCACAAAGATACTCCTCGAGAAGAGCAACTCCAAGACACATAATTGTCAGATTCACCAAAGTTGAAATGAAGGAAAAAATGTTAAGGGCAGCCAGAGAGAAAGGTCAGGTTACCCACAAAGGGAAGCCCATCAGACTAACAGCTGATCTCTCGGCAGAAACTCTATAAGCCAGAAGAGAGTGGGGGCCAATATTCAACATTCTTAAAGAAAAGAATTTTCAACCCAGAATTTCATATCCAGCCAAACTAAGCTTCATAAGTGAAGGAGAAATAAAATACTTTACAGACAAGCAAATGCTGAGAGATTTTGTCACCACCAGGCCTGCCCTAAAAGAGCTCCTGAAGGAAGCGCTAAACATGGAAAGAAACAACCGATACCAGCTGCTGCAAAATCATGCCAAAATGTAAAGACCATCGAGACTAGGAAGAAACTGCATCAACTAACGAGCAAAATCACCAGCTAACATCATAATGACAGGATCAAATTCACACATAACAATATTAACTTTAAATGTAAATGGACTAAATTCTTCAATTAAAAGACACAGACTGGCAAATTGGATAAAGAGTCAAGACACATCAGTGTGCTATATTCAGGAAACCCATCTCACGTGCAGAGACACACATAGGCTCAAAATAAAAGGATGGAGGAAGATCTACCAAGCAAATGGAAAACAAAAAAAGGTAGGGGTTGCAATCCTAGTCTCTGATAAAACAGACTTTAAACCAACAAAGATCAAAAGAGACAAAGAAGGCCATTACATAATGGTAAAGGGATCAATTCAACAAGAAGAGCTAACTATCCTAAATATATATGCACCCAATACAGGAGCACCAAGATTCATAAAGCAAGTCCTGAGTGACCTACAAAGAGACTTAGACTCCCACACAATAATAATGGGAGACTTTAACACCCCACTGTCAACACAGACAGATCAACGAGACAGAAAGTAAACAAGGAAACCCAGGAATTGAACTCAGCACTGCACCAAGCAGACCTAATAGACATCTACAGAACTCTCCACCCCAAATCAACAGAATATACATTTTTTTCAGCACCACACCACACCTATTCCAAAATTGATCACATACTTGGAAGTAAAGCTCTCCTCAGCAAATGTAAAACAACAGAAATTATAACAAACTGTCTCTCAGACCACAGTGCAATCAAACTAGAACTCAGGATTAAGAATCTTACTCAAAACCGCTCAACTACATGGAAACTGAACAACCTGCTCCTGAATAACTACTGGATACATAACGAAATGAAGGCAGAAATAAAGATGTTCTTTGAAACCAACGAGAACAAAGACACAACATACCAGAATCTCTGGGACGCATTCAAAGCAGTGTGTAGAGGGAAATTTATAGCACTAAATGCCCACAAGAGAAAGCAGGAAAGATCCAAAATTGACACCCTAACATCACAATTAAAAGAACTAAAGAAGCAAGAGCAAACACATTCACAAGCTAGCAGAAGGCAAGAAATAACTAAAATCAGAGCAGAACTGAAGGAAATAGAGACACAAAAAACCCTTCAAAAAATTAACGAATCCAGGAGCTGGTTTTTTGAAAAGATCCACAAAATTGATAGACCGCTAGCAAGACTAATAAAGAAAAAAAGAGAGAAGAATCAGATAGACGCAATAAAAAATGATAAAGGGGATATCACCACCGATCCCACAGAAATACAAACTACCATCAGAGAATACTATAAACACCTCTACGCAAATAAACTAGAAAATCTAGAAGAAATGGATAAATTCCTCGACACATACACTCTCCCAACACTAAACCAGGAAGAAGTTGAATCTCTGAATAGTCCAATAACAGGATCTGAAATTGTGGCAATAATCAATAGCTTACGAACCAAAAAGAGTCCAAGACCAGATGGATTCACAGCCGAATTCTACCAGACGTACAAGGAGGAGCTGGTACCATTCCTTCTGAAACTATTCCAATCAATAGAAAAAGAGGGAATCCTCCCTAACTCATTTTATGAGGCCAGCATCATCCTGATACCAAAGCCGGGCAGAGACACAACCAAAAAAGAGAATTTTAGACCAATATCCTTGATGAACATTGATGCAAAAATCCTCAATAAAATACTGGCAAACCGAATCCAGCAGCACATCAAAAAGCTTATCCACCATGATCAAGTGGGCTTCATCCCTGGGATGCAAGGCTGGTTCAATATATGCAAATCAATAAATGTAATCCAGCATATAAACAGAACCAAAGACAAAAACCACATGATTATCTCAATAGATGCAGAAAAGGCCTTTGACAAAATTCAACAACTCTTCATGTTAAAAACTCTCAATAAATTAGGTATTGATGGGACATATCTCAAAATAATAAGAGCTATCTATGACAAACCCACAGCCAATATCATACTGAATGGGCAAAAACTGGAAGCATTCCCTTTGAAAACTGGCACAAGACAGGGATGCCCTCTCTCACCACTCCTATTCAACATTGTGTTGGAAGTTCTGGCCAGGGCAATTAGGCAGGAGAAGGAAATAAAGGGTATTCAGTTAGGAAAAGAAGAAGTCAAACTGTCCCTGTTTGCAGACGACATGATTGTATATCTAGAAAACCCCATTGTCTCAGCCCAAAATCTCTTTAAGCTGATAAGCAACTTCAGCAAAGTCTCAGGATACAAAATCAATGTACAAAAATCACAAGCATTCTTATACACCAACAACAGACAAACAGCCAAATCATGAGTGAACTCCCATTCACAATTGCTTCAAAGAGAATAAAATACCTAGGAATCCAACTTACAAGGGATGTGAATGAAGGACCTCTTCAAGGAGAACTACAAACCACTGCTCAAGGAAATAAAAGAGGATACAAACAAATGGAAGAACATTCCATGCTCATGGGTAGGAAGAATCAATATTGTGAAAATGGCCATACTGCCCAAGGTAATTTACAGATTCAATGCCATCCCCATCAAGCTACCAATGACTTTCTTCACAGAATTGGAAAAAACTACTTTAAAGTTCATATGGAACCAAAAAAGAGCCCGCATTGCCAAGTCAATCCTAAGCCAAAAGAACAAAGCTGGAGGCATCACGCTACCTGACTTCAAACTATACTACAAGGCTACAGTAACCAAAACAGCATGGTACTGGTACCAAAACAGAGATATAGATCAATGGAACAGAACAGAGCCCTCAGAAATAACGCCGCATATCTACAACTATCTGATCTTTGACAAACCTGAGAAAAACAAGCAATGGGGAAAGGATTCCCTATTTAATAAATGGTGCTGGGAAAACTGGCTAGCCATATGTAGAAAGCTGAAACTGGATCCCTTCCTTACACCTTATACAAAAATCAATTCAAGATGGATTAAAGACTTAAACATTAGACCTAAAACCATAAAAACCCTAGAAGAAAACCTAGGCATTACCATTCAGGACATAGGCATGGGCAAGGACTTCATGTCTAAAACACCAAAAGCAATGGCAACAAAAGCCAAAATTGACAAATGGGATCTCATTAAACTAAAGAGCTTCTGCACAGCAAAAGAAACTACCATCAGAGTGAACAGGCAACCTACAAAATGGGAGAAAATTTTCGCAACCTACTCATCTGACAAAGGGCTAATATCCAGAATCTACAATGAACTCAAACAAATTTACAAGAAAAAAACAAACAACCCCATCAAAAAGTGGGCGAAGGACATGAAGAGACACTTCTCAAAAGAAGACATTTATGCAGCCAAACAACACATGAAAAAATGCTCACCATCACTGGCCATCAGAGAAATGCAAATCAAAACCACAATGAGATACCATCTCACACCAGTTAGAATGGCGATCATTAAAAAGTCAGGAAACAACAGGTGCTGGAGAGGATGTGGAGAAATAGGAACACTTTTACACTGTTGGTGGGACTGTAAACTAGTTCAACCATTGTGGAAGTCAGTGTGGCGATTCCTCAGGGATCTAGAACTAGAAATACCATTTGACCCAGCCATCCCATTACTGGGTATATACCCAAAGGACTATAAATCATGCTGCTATAAAGACACATGCACACGTATGTTTATTGTGGCACTATTCACAATAGCAAAGACTTGGAACCAACCCAAATGTCCAACAGTGATACACTGGATTAAGAAAATGTGGCACATATACACCATGGAATAGTATGAAGCCATAAAAAATGATGAGTTCACATCCTTTGTAGAGACATGGATGAAACTGGAAATCATCATTCTCAGTAAACTATCGCAAGAACAAAAAACCAAACACCGCATATTCTCACTCATAGGTGGGAATTGAACAATGAGAACACATGGACACAGGAAGGAGAACATCACACTCTGGGGACTGTTGTGGGATGGGGGTTGGGGGGAGGGATAGCATTGGGAGATATACCTCATGCTAGATGACGAGTTAGTGGGTGCAACGCACCAGCACGGCACATGTATACATATGTAGCTAACCTGCACATTGTGCACATGTACCCTAAAACTTAAAGTATAATAATAATAAATTTAAAAAAAAAAGAAAATATTCCTGAAGGCACATTTATAAGTGTATATGATACAGTACTGTATTTATTTTATCTTGGGGCTGTCTAACTTCCACACATCCCACTGGTTTTATGTATTTTGAACTCTTAATGTAGGTTAGTGTTTACTTTCATAGCTACTTCAATAAAATCAGAATATCTCACTCACTAGCCTAAAAGATTAAACTACAAAATGAAACTTTCAGAAATAATGTCAATTACCCAGTTCAAGAACAGATAACTCTGTCTGTAGATGATCTACTCAGCCCCTTACCCCTTATCACTCTTAGAGGACCAAATTAGCTGGTCACCTTCTTAGCACCCAAAAGTATACAAAAAATAAAGAAATGGATCAATTTCCCTTGCAGTAATTTAGTCTTTTCTCTGCATTATTTGGTTATTTAGTTGGTTTTTCAAGAGGGCATGCCATTATATTCCTCACATCCCATATAACTAAGAGGGGCAGTTTATTTTATTGGAAGGAGGAAGAAAGGACATAGGTGTTTGATACACAGAACTGTATCCTGCCTGGGTGAGTGGCTTCAGCAATGTGAAACTTCTACTTTCCTGTGGCTCTGGCACTTGACGGCCAGTCATACTGTTGGAGGTCATGAACAGAGTTGAGAGAACTGAAGGCTGTTAGCAGACTCTATCTTTCAGATGAAGACCTAAAACTAGGCAAACTTATCTGTAGGGACTACTTTAAAAGTTATAACAATACATAGTTTTTGTTCATTATTTGTAGAAACATAGTGTATGAAGAGTAATATCTCATTTATATAGCATTATAACTGACTATTCAAATGAATTTGCCACACCCCATTCATTTTTTTTTAAATCTTTTAAATTAGCCTGACCCGCTTGCATGTTTTATTTCTTAAATACAACTCTTTGGTTGTTTTTGTTCTTTTGCGTGCTTAATATGTGCCTGGGATTGAGCTAAATGCTTAGCATACAATATCTCATTTACTCTTTACAATGACCCTATGAAATAAGTACTCTAATTATTTACATTTTATGGGTAACCAAACTAAGGTTTAGAGAGGTCAACATTTTGTTAAAGAATTACAGAGCTGGTAAGTGGGAACTCCAGGTACTCCAATTCAGAACCGAGCTCATAACCACCATGGGCTACTACTTGTACAGACCCCATTTTCCTAAGTCAAATTCACTGAGCATAATTTAGCCAGCTCTTGATAGCTTAGGGTCACCATCCTGACTATCAGTGTCTGTGGTAACAGAGTCATTCTCTTTTATCCTTTGCTATTGGTAATCAGCTCTGCTGGCTGTGCCCACTTATAGCAGCTTGACCTTTCTACCTTACTACCATTTACTATCATTTAATCTGCAACAATCTAAGAAATATGACAGCTATATTTGTTAAAATTGTTCACAAAATAAGTCGATATGCTCCAAATGACTGTCTGAGAACATCTCCAGTAAAGTACATGGACTTCATGAAAGATATTTCGGTGGCTCAGAAACCTTTTTCCTTTTCTCTTTATGATCTTTGCCATATTCCCAGGTGAGTGAAATGAAAGACACTAGAAAGATTACTAAAAGTCACTTATCAATATAAATTATCTATATTATGAGAGCTTTCTTTTCTGGGAACACTTAAAAAGACAGTAGAGACTCTAAGGAAAATGTGAGGATGAAGAAAGTGTTTTATTTACATGTGAATTTTATTAAGGTAACTTCTCTGTCCATACAGATTGGTGAGAGTTAAGCAGTAAAACCATGACCCCGTGTTACAGAAAAAGCTACTGACCCAACAGAAAAAAAAAATAACAACAAATCATTTTAATTTTCTTCCTCCCCTTAGAGGCTGGCATTTCTTACCTTACTGAACTGTCCAACCACATGTTTCAGAATATTGGGAGGAGCATCATATAGAAATGGTTCAAGGGCTGGTAAGTAGGTACATTTTTGCAGGATATTCTTTATGGCTTTTTTACTCTAGAAATACAAAGCAGAATGTATACATAAGTAAGTAATCAATGAAACCTTGACAAGAATTCAAATCTGACATTCCTGGAATTTCAAAATAAAATCAATTTCCTGGTCTAAGCTGCAGTTGTTTCATTTTTTAAAATTGTTGTCCAAAAAAAACTCCTGCTTGGATTGATTTTATCATAGAATATCCTACAAGTTGTCTTTGTGTTAAGCCTTAAAATGTAAAGTGTATTACTGAGCTCTTAAAATACCTAGAAGAAAATTAAAATTATAAAGCACAAAGTTACAGACTATAAATTAATATGTACTATATTAGAGTAAAAATTTGTATACAGGAAACTGAGATAACTAATATATCCCATTTCTACTTATCAACAAATACGAGAAAATAATTTGGTTTTTTGAAGAATGTCATTATCAGGCATTCTATATTCTCCATGACTTCATGGCTTATACATATGCAGTCAGAAGTGGCTACAGTGTGCATTATTCAATGAGCATTTGCAGAGGTGCTGCTATAGCTCGTAGGTAGACATTTCCCCATTCACAGAAGCAAAACAGATAGGATCTACTCAACTACAGATCTTCTCAACACAGGGAGTGTATCACCCACAAGCAGAAGAATACGTACCATATGTACCATTTCTACCCCCTCCTGCACTCCGTATTTCAAGGTGACATCAGGTGGTGCTGACCCTTGCTACAAGTGGAGAAGGACCCTGATGGGGCTGCAGCACATCACAGCAGCCAGCCCTCAGGCCATGGCTGGTTGTGATTCATTTTCTTTTTCTTAAAGGCTGTCCCCTTCAGTTTGGAAAGCTTCACAACAATTGGGTTTGTCTCCAGCTATTTTCCACTAGAATTCCACATCTGCTTGTCTGAGGTTTTGTGCTTCAGTGCTCCCTTATGGCTTTTCTCTTCACTTATTCTCTCTCTGAGGCCTTACCCAACCTGGTCTTCTGGGATCACCACACTGTTTTGCTATTGAGTGTTTTGCAGTGCTCTTGAAATGTCAAGGAGCATTGTGATTTTCACATCATGAACTTTATAATTGGTAAATCTATTCAGCAAAACTTTACCACAGGTGTGTTGTTAGTAAAGAATCTCTTGAATTTAAGGTTTCCTGGAGACCCAGGCTAAGCAGTCTTGCATAGCCTCTTATTGCTTGACACATTTATCCTCAAACACTGTTTTATAAATTAGATTAAATAAAACAAGGAATGTAAAATATGCAGCCCAGCTTTTTCCCACAAGTAGTATAATGTAAGTTGGAATTAAACTCTCAATTCCCAACATACTTGGGAACTATCTTAAATCGTGATAATCTTAGCAAGCTAACAAATTTAACTTCACTGTTATCAGTGAAAAGGTTCTTGAACAGTGTAGTAGAAATCACATACACTGTACAATAAAGACAGCCTTATTCTAGTAGTTCTAAGTTGATGTATTGTCAAGTTATTAATCAAGAACTGTAGAAAAGAGTCTAATGACACTAGAAATTCACTGAGCTTTACTATCTTTCATGTGGAAGAAATATAATCAGCTTATGATTATATTCTTCTAGATAGAAATGTATATCATAATTAATAATCAGCTATATTATCCAGCATGATAGAAATCCTAGTTACTTAAGACTTTCTTTGCATGTCTATTTGACAATGAAAAGGAATGAAGTACTGACACATGCAACAACATGAATGAACCTCACAAATGTTACCCTTAGTGAAAGAGGCCAGGCACAAAAGTTCATATATTGTATAATTTCATTTATATGGATTGTCCAGAAAAGTCAAATTCAGAAACACAGAAAGTAGATTAATAGTTGTCTGGAGCTGGTGGGTATAATTGAGAGGAGGAAGAGGGAGTGACTACAAATGGGCATGAGGCTTCCTTCTGGGATGATGAAAATATTCTGAAATTTGATTGTGAAGATGGTTGCACAATTCTGTAAATTTACTAAAAATCATTAAATTGTATACCTAAAATGAGTGAATTTATGGTATGTAAATTATATCTCAATAAAGTTGTTAAAAAGACTTAAACTCAGCCAGGCGCGGTGGCTCAGGCCTGTAATCCCAGCACTTTGGGAGGCCAAGGGAGATGGATCACCTGAGGTCAGGAGTTCGAGACCAGCCTAGACAACACGGTGAAACCCTGTGTCTATTGAAAATACAAAAATTAGCCAGGTATGGTGGTGGGTGCCTGTAGTCCCAGCTACTCAGGAGGCTGAGGCAGGAGAATCGCTTGAACCCAGGAGGCGGAGGTTGCGGTAAGCTGAGATTGTGCCATTGCACTCCAGCCTGGGCAACAGAGTGAGACTCTGTCTCAAAAAAAAAAATAATAATACTTAAACTCCTTTCTTGAATTGCAAATATTTTCTCCAAGTTTGTGTGGCTTGTCTTTTCATTTTCTTAATGTTAACCTTTTCTTTTTTAAAGACAGGATCTCACTTTGTTACCCAGGCTACAGTGTAGTGTCAGGATCATAGCTCACTGCAGCCTCAAATTCTTGGGCTCAAGCAATACTCCTGCCTTAGCCTCCCAAATAGCTAGGACTACAGGGATGTACTACCACACTCTGCTAGTTTTGTTTTGTTTTTTGTAGAGATAGGGTCTCACTATGTTGCCCATGTTGGTCTCAAAACGCCTAACCTCAAGTGATCCTCTTGCCTTGTCCTCCAAAGTGTTGGGATTATAGGCATAAGCCATGTGCCCAGGCTTAATGGTGTCTTTTGAAGCATAAGAGGATTTTTTTTTATCTTGATGAAATATAATTTATCAATTTTTAAAATCACTTGTGTTTAGGTAAAATATCTAAAAAATAATTGCCTAACCTGAGGTAACACATATTTATTCCCAGGTTTCTTCTAAGAGTTTATAATCTTAACACTTATATTTAGATCTAAGATCCATTTTGAGATAACTCTGGTATATGGTATGAGATAAGGGTCCAAATTGATATTTTTACTTGAGGATACAATTGTCCCATCACCTTTGTTGAAAAGACTATTCTTTCCACATTAAATTGCCTTGGCATCTTTGTGAAAAATCAATTGATGATAAAAAGGGTTTATTTCAGATTCTCAATTCAATTCCATTGATACATACATATGTCTTTCTGTAAGCAAGTACCACATTATCTTGATTACTATAGCTTTGTGGTACATTTTGAAATTGGGGAGTGTTAAGTTCTTCTTTTTCAAGATTGTTTTGCTAGTCTGGGTTCTTTTCATTTCCACATGAATTTTCAGATAAGCTTCTCAATTTCTGGGGGAAAAAAAAGCCAGCTAGGATTTTGATAGAGATTATGTTAAATATATAGATCAATTTGGAGTATTGCCAGTTTATCAATATTGAGTCTTCCAGTCCATGAACATGGAATGTCTCATAATTTATTTTTTAAGTAATGTTTTATAGTTTTCAGTGTACTAGTCTTAAACTTTTGTTAATTTATATGTATTTAATGCTTGATGTTATTATGAATAACATTATTTTCTTAACTTCATATTTGAATTGTTTATTACCTGTACATGAAAATACAATTGAGAGACCAGCAGCAGTGGCTCACACCTCTAATCCCAGCCACTTTGGGAGGCCGAGGCAGGTGGATCATTTGAGCTCAGGAGTTCAAGACAAGCCTGGCCAACATGGCAAAACCCTGTCTCTACTAAAAATACCAAAAAAATTAGCCAGGCATGGTGGTACATGCCTGTAATCCCAACTACTCAGGAGGCTGAGGCACAAGAATCACTTGAACCTGGGAGGTGGAGGTTGCAGTAAGCTGAGATTGCACCACTGCAATCCAGCCTGGGCAGCAGCCCAGCCTGGGCAACAGAGTGAGACCCTGTCTCAAAAAAGAAAATACAAATGATTTCTGTATATTGATCTTGTATCCCATGACTTTGTTGAACTCTTATTAGTTCTATGATTTGTGTGTGTGCGTGTGTGTGTGTGTCTGTGTGTGTGAATTCCTTAGGATTTTTTTACATACAAGATCATGTCACACGTTGGTTTTAAGATTCATTACCTTCTAGAAGATATGCATTATGATTGGTTGTTTATGGCTGTGAGCAAAATAAAATAGCCCTTACAACTCCATACCATGAATTGTACAGAAATTTTATGGGGTCAAAAAAACTCTCCTATTTACCTAGTTCAGTAAATCAAGTAATATCTTACCTTGAGCTAATGAATAACAGATTATAAATTTTCCTAATTGTCATTGCATTTAGTAGTTAATGTTTATCCTTAGATACAATATATGACGATGTCAGAGAAGGAATCCTGGGCTATCTATTGAGGGCATTCTGAGGGTTTGGGCCTGGTTTACCTATTAACTAGCATAGCATCTACAGTTCTAACTTCATTCATTTTTCCGTCATTTCTAAAAACTGACTGTATCCTCCCTGATTAGGGCTATTGGAAAAACCACAGTAAGTAACAACACTATTTTTTTTACCTCTTAACACTACACATAAAAATAGCAATTAACAAAATAAAATTGACAATACTATGGGAAACCAATACAATTTCAATTGTTTTTCACTAAAAATTGGAAGAATACCAAAAATTACTAATTGTTGCTTTCCTTAGTGGATTATTGATATGGCTTGCTCTCAGTGTTGGAGAGTAAACATAGTAGAGTTTGTATTGGTCTGTTTTCATGCAGCTGATAAAGACATACCCGACATGGGGAAGAAAAAGAGGTTTAATTGGAGTTACAGTTCCACATGGCTGGGGAGGCCTCAGAATCACAGCAGGAGGCAAAAGGCACTCTTACATGGCAGCAGCAAGAGAAAATGAGAAAGATGCAAAAGTGGAAACCCCTGATAAAACCATCCACTATCATGAGACTTAATCCCTACCACAAGAACAGTATGGGGGAAACCACACCCATGATTCAAATTATCTCCCACCAGGTCCCTCCCACAACACGTGGGAATTATGGGAGTACAATTCAAGATGAGATTTGGCTGGGGACACAGAGCCAAACTATATCAGAGTTCTCATGAGATCTGCTTGTTTCAAAGCATGTAGCACCTCCCCCTTCGCTCCCTCTCTCCTGCTCTGCCATGTGAAGACATTCTTATTGCCCCTTTGCCTTCTGCCATGATTGTAAGTTTCATGAGGCTTCCCAGCCATGCTTCCTGTACAGCATGCAGAACTGTGAGTCAATTAAACTTCTTCATCAATTACCCAGTCTCAGGTAGTTATTTACAGCAGTGTGAGAACAAACAAATACAATTATCTTGAATGAAAACTGCTGAAAAATTTTTAAAAATTCTTTTCAGAAAGTTATTTTTGTTCTGAAAGCATTGTGGTCCAAAGAGTAATAGCTATTAAAATGAAGAGGAACATAGGAGTAAATCTTTATGACCTTTGGTTAGACAAAGCCTTCTTAGATACAACACAAAAAGCATATGCAATTGAATTTCATTAAAATTTAAAACTTTTGTGCTGCAGACAATATCATCAAGAAAATAAGATAACCCACAGAATGTGAGAAAATACTTGTAAATCATACATCTGATAAGATCTTGCATCCAGAATATACAAAGAACTCTTACAACTCAATAATAAAAAGATAAATAACCCAGTTTAAAATGAGCAAAGGGTCTGAATAGACATCTCTCTAAAGAAGACGTATGAACAGCCAATAAACATATGAAAAGATTTTCAACATCATTAGCCATTTGACAAATGCAAACCAAAACCACAATGAGATACCAATTCAAACCCACTAGGATGACTACAATCAAAAATAAAGATAATAACAAGAGTTGACAAAGATGTGGAAAAAGTGGAACCATCATACCTTGCTGGTAGTACAATGGAAAACAGTTGGGCAGTTTCTCGAGATGTTAAACAGAGTTATCTATTGACCCAGCAGTTTCATCCCTGGGTAAATACCCAAGAGAAATGAAAACATACATCCACACGAAAACTTGTTACAATAATGTTTATAACAGCATTATTCATAATAGTCAAGAGTAGAAATAATCCAACGTCCATCAGCTGGTAAATGGATAAACAAAATGTGACATATTAATACAATAGAATATTATTTGGCAATAGAAAGGAACAAAATACTGATATATGCCACAACATGGACGAACTGTGAAACTTCAAGTAAGTAGTAAAGAAGGCAGGCACATGGCTAGGTGTGGTGGCTCACACCTCTTATCCCAGTGCTTTGGGAGGTCAAGGTGGGGGACTGCTTGAGGCCAGGAGTTCAAGACCAGCCTGGGCAACACAGTGAGACCCTGTCTCTCCAAAAAAAGAAAAAATTAATTAGCCAGATGTGGCAGTACACACTTGTAGTCTTAGCTACTTGGGAGGCTAAGGCAGGAGGATCACTTGGGCCCAGGAGTTCAAGGCTTCAATGAGTTGATTATGCCACTGCACTCCAGTCTGCAACAGAAAGAAACCCTATCTCTAAAAAGGTTATATATGTTGTATGACTCCATTTAAATGAAATGTCCAAAAGAGACAAATCCATAGAGACAGAAAGTAAATTAATGGTTGCCTGGGGCTAGGCAGAGGGGATACAGAATCACAGCTAATGGGTAGCATTTCTTTTATGGGGAATAAAAATATTCTAAAATTAGATAGTGGTGATGGTTTCATAATTCTGTAAACATACCCAAAACCATTCAATGGTACACTTTAAATGGATAAAGGTATGGCATGTGAACTATAGCTCAATAAAGCTGCTAAAAAATGAAGGGGGAACAACTATTACCGTAAGAACACAATAATTAAATAATTATCTTAAACATAGTTTTATAACTAGAATGAGCTGATTCAAATGCCAAAGTAAGATGAAACATTTCAATATGATGCCTCTAAATCCAAACAAATAAAGGTATAACTGCCTGAATATTTTCAAAACATGTAGATAAGCTTATTAGAAAAAAACTTCTTTTCCATTTTTATTAAGAGATTTGGAATAACATGGGAGCAAATAGTAAGAAAATCTATAGAATGTGAGAAAGTATTTACAAATCATACATTTCATAAGAACTTGTACCCAGAATATACAAAGAACTCTTACAATTCAATAATAAAAAGATAAGTAACCCAATTTAAAATGAGCAAAGGGTCTCAATAGATATTTCTCCAAAGAAAACATGAGAGAAATTCCAAAAGATTGCTCATTCGTTCTCCTGCATGGAAACCAATTAGAGAATGCTTACAGAAGCTGACATGCCTTTGGGACAAAATGAACTTCAACATGGGCTTATAATTTGAAACCTGCCATAGAGTAACAAATGAGAAATACCATTAGACAGTTCTTGACACTCTTGGATACACTTTTCCCTACTGAGATGGTGTCAAATCGAACAGGCTTGAATGGACTTTTATTCTACACCCTTTAAAATAACAACTGAGAGAATTCACGAGACCGTGGGGAAAGAAAAAAGAATGATCAAATCCCTACAATAATAAAATATTTGGATGGGCTCGAAGCCTTTAAAAGATTGTTGATGGAATAATGATTGGTAAAGATCCCACTTTTTCACTTACTACTCAGTGTATTTCCTGAAAGTAACACTGTACTAAATATAGGCAGAAGGAAGTTAATTTCTATTAGTTAACCTAAAAACACCACTTGTTAAACACAATGAAATTTATCTTACTTCAAAAAGTGAAGTTTTCAAATTTATTTTTCTCCAGTGATATGTATACAACATAATATCATAATAATTTATTAAAAGGCAAGATATATAAGGTAGTAGTATATAAAAAGTACATACTCTTACCTAAGGGACTATTTGCAAGGGCTTCTCAAGCTGAAATTACTATTGAGTCCACTATTAATGATTTATGCTCTAGCTCATACATCCCTTTACTTTATTTCCAAAACTTAAGAGGAAACTCAGGAGGGTGGCAGGAGAGGGTGGAAGAGGAGAAGGAAAGGAGGAGGAGAAAAACAACAATGATAATGGGTTAAAGAAATACGAAGCCAAAAGAGGACTACAGATATAGGTTACAATTATATACACGTATACATGTATATCAGCTGTGCTTGGACAACTTAAAGCTAGGAATAGAGTTTTGGTTTCTCACCAGAAAGTTAAAGAGACCTGCTAAACTAGAAAAGACCTTACATTGTTAATCTTTCTCTCTTTACCAAGCATTGCCAAAGAATGCACATGTGAGAGACATATGAGGGAAGTTCTAAATCTATTAAATAATTGTTGGTCTAGAAAGCCTTATAAAAACTGAAAAAAAAAGTTAAATCTTAGAAACCAATTTCTCTCAATGCATTAGTAGAGAAATAATATGCAAACATGACCAAATATACATAAATTTACTTTTATAAAATTTACAAGTCAAATAGATAATTCACTATACATAACTTTCAGAGTCCCTTAAGTGTATACTTCAAGAAAACTTCCCATCTCATTATGCCATCTAAAGTTAAGTTTCACCAAATTGTTTTCCTATTTGTTTACTGTTTTAATTAAAATTTAAATGTAATTTAATTTACTGTTAAATTATTGTCTGTTCTGTGAACTTCCCTCAAACCAAGTCAATTTTACAAGCTGCTTTCAAAAACTTACAAGTTTTCCTAATAGGAACTATGCTGGAAAACATTTTATTTCTTTTTTTTTAAATTATAAAATCATTAAATAATCCATCCTTCTTCATATTCATGTTTTGTGAAGCATTTTAGTAGCTAGTAATATTTCAGAAAATCTGCCTTTTAAAAATGCATGATTTAAAAATATTTAATTTAGTGAGTCTTATAGACAATTTTTTAAAGAAACAAATATAAGACATATAATTAAAAGGTCAGGTGACCTTGGAATTAAAGAGGTAAATTATGGGTTCAAAAATGCCCTCTGACTAGTTATATGATACATTTGAAAGGTACCTTAAATTCTTTTGGATTTCACTTTTAAATGTAAAATGAACTAGAGGTCTCTCCAGCAAATTCAAACTAAAAAATTCTATTATTCTTCAATTCCCACTACATAAGAAGAGTCAACAGGAATGTAGACTGCATTAACCATTCATTTTACAAACAACTTTGCACCCATAGAGAATTTTCTCTAAAATATATCACTGATTTTTAGAGACAGGGTAACTCATTTTCAAAGAAGAGTGAAGTCAGTTCTGATAAATTTGTATTTCTTGACTCATAAAACAATATTGTCCATGATGAAAACAAAGAGATTTGAAATGACATATTTTTTAAATGAGCCAAAATCTTCATAAAACAGAATTAAGCACTTACTTTTACTTGGAGATCCTCAGAACTTTCTGTTGACATGTACAAAGAAAGCAGAACTGGCAAAGTATTTGTGACTGCAACAGCCCGTGCGTGTTCAGGAGTGTGTCTTCCAATCTGTCCTAAGGCCCAAGCAGCTGCAGCCTTAATATGATCTTCCGGTTCTTCTGACAAGCAGACTGACAACTGGGGTACACCCTGCAGCGTGGATCAAAAGAGCAAGTGTTATGAATCTAGAGCAGGATTAAAGAGTCTTCCATGTCTCTCAAACATGAGAAGAAATCACTTCGGCCTTGATCCTTTTTTTCTTAAATGGTTCAATAAATGAGCACATCACAGGGGCTGTCATTTCTTAAGTCAATAACATGACTAGAACTAAATTACCTTAATTATCGGTAACGATTCAACTAAACCAAGAATTTCTCTACTAGCTTTTACCCCCCAAATAGAGAGGTATTTAACCAGACAACAGATGTCACAGACTAGGAAATAGGCAAAGCCAGATTTTACTGTGACTAAATAAAAATGTTTAGAATTTTAAAATCATTTATTTTCCTTTGTTAAAAAGTTTAGAATCTTTAAAGAAATTGTCTTTTCACCAAATATAATAAACCTGATATAATAAGCCTGAGAATAAAATAAATCAGTAAGAATCCTAAGTACCTTGTCAGCGGAATATATTCACTAACACCTTTCCTGAAACAGTACATAAATAACTTTCCATCAATTATGGTCAACTTTTAAATTATAGTTCTTTCCACTTTAACATGACTGAATGTCAAAACAACGACTACTTTTGTTACACAGCACATGCTTACATTTTGCATCTTATGCTTCAATTTTATCTAAACAATAAAAACAGAATAAACTAAAGAGCCTCAAATACATTACATTTTGTATACCCAAGGAACAATTTTAAAAAATCAAATTCTAATTCCAAATTCTGTACAGGTGTAATTTTCTGACTAATTTGAGATTATGGTAATCACCTTAAATTTGGTACCACAAAAAAAGATCACATGGTTATGCTACCACAGCAAAGGCCAGAATCATCATATATACTTTTATTCTTTGCTTTTTAATTTGGTTATTAAGACCAATTTCCTGAAGAGGTCAGCTATATTTCTTCATTGGCTTCTTTCCTACAACTAAAAATGTATGTCTGCCAATATTAAAGGTCAGACCTGTCTTCAGAATGAAGCAACTTTCCAGAAAGCCCACATGTCCAGGATGTAACAAGACTGAAGAAACAGGAGGAAAAGGAGACAGTGCCTCTACTCCATCCCTGAAGCTCTGACTTGTTGGCCTCAATTATAATGAATAACAAATAAGATAAGGAATGCAAATTTGCTTTAAAATTACTATTTAAATGTAAAGTATTATTGTTAGTCTTTATAGTACCACACAGGAAAAGCAGAGAGTGCTACCATACTATGTGGCTTGCCCGAAACTGCTGGAGTTTCAGCAAGCAACACCTTGATCTCTATCTGAAAAACAAACCAAGTGGGAAAGGCCAGCAGCAACCTTAGACCAAAGAAGGGGAGAGCTCCCTGGTTAATTTCAGGAAGGCATATGGGAAGCAACGGCAATTGCTTCTTCTTTCATCATTCTTCCCATGCATAAGCTTCATGACTATCCACAAAAGAACCAAGGATCAAAAACCTAGTAACATCCTTACCGTGACCCTTCAGAAAGCACCACTATTGCTCTAGTCACTATCACAGTCTGTGGTAGTAGAAGAACAAAAGGAAAAGAGCAGGATAAAAGGGAGTAAAGCAAAGAATTATCAAGAAATAGGTAGAAAATAAAGATCTGAGGCTCCTTTTTATTCTGAGGATTAGTAAGGGATAAAAAAAATCCACATTTCTGTTTAACATACAGCAGCAGGTTTTCTATGCTGATAAGAAACCCACACCCCAGAGGGTCACCGCACACACTGTAAGCACACAGGCTTTGAAGCATTCGTCCAGAGATCAATATTTATTCATTAGCACACATTTCGTAAGCACCTACTATGTGCCAGGGCTGCACTAGATGAGGGGTTCTTACAAAATTGTGAACTGAGATAAAGCAAAAGCCCTAGAGCAAGGAAACAAAAACACTGACATGTGCTCTGAATTGCCTAAATCTAAGAAGAGAAATAGTTAATAAAAGCTGAAGAAGAGAAAGTGGATAAAAAGGGATGTCCTAGCCATTGTCATCTCCCACTGAAGTGGCAGGAAATGGAGGGGTATATAGACCTCCCAGAATACTGAAAATGACTACTGGGCATGTCATTTACAAATAGGTGTTTCTAACCAAGGTAAGCTTTACATGTTTGTAGATATGTACAATTAATCCTTCAAGATACAAATAAACTTAATATTTAAATACAGATAATACTAATGCTCAAAATAGTTGATATCCTGTTGATGAGAAACGCTGAGTAAAACTTTAAACTTCCCATTACCTTGCTAATAAAACTTGCTAATAAGCATTGAAACAATCAAAATTTTTTTCAGGTAATTTTTTTGCTCCAGTCAGTTATATTTTGTATTCTGTTGGAGAACATTAATCTGTGGTTCTGTCTTAGAATTTCTTACTGCAACTGGAAGAAAACGAAGCAAGAACAAACCTTAGAAATGATGACTGCCATTGCTAGGTTCTCAGAATGAGCTGCTACATAACCAAGCATCATGATGCCAGGCAGCCGTGTGTTCCCTTTGCAGGACCCAATGCAGTCAATCACGGCAGCAACCCCTCCTGCGTTAACTACCAGCTGTGAAAGCTAAGCGATGGGAACAAGAGTTAGATCACCAGGACCCTATGATGGTCTTTAAATACAGTTTAATATTGCCACACTCTATTTAGAACCTAAAAACAACTGGTGAAATTGAATTATCATTTAGTGAAATTATTATATTTATTAAAGAAATATACAAGTACAATAAACCTGCTAGTTCAAATGCACAAACTGTGAGGAGCTTTACTCTGTGGTTCAATTTTTCATGCATCGATGGCACAACTTTTATCCCTATTATAATGGATGTCAAAATTCCTCATGTAGACTCTAAGCCTAGGGCTGGTTCATAACTAACTACTGAAACCCCCCCATCACAATGGGTGAGTATGAAGCAGATTAATCACTGAATGGTGAAAGACAATGTCGGACTTGAAATATTCTAACCTAATTATTCCCCCTTTGCTAGTAATGATTACTAGCTGAGTGCACTTTAATTTTGAAAAATCTCAAGCAAATAAAGATGTTAGATGAAATAAACAATGAGGACTTAAAGTTTAATGAAATAAAAATTGATTAGTCAAAATATACACAGAAAAAAGATACTTCAGAATCAACACAGGCTTGCTTTCTCTCTATTTCTTTCCCATCTAGGAACTCAGGGCGGGAAATCACCATGTAAGAGCAGCTACTGGAGTGGTCACAGTAGGCCAGGGGACCTTTGTGATTTCTCCCAACCTGGAGCTATAATAGTGTTCTCACTACTCCCAGCTGACATAAAATTGTAAGGATGGCAAAGTTCCATTGTCCTCACAATCTACAAATGGAAAGTTGGAAATGACTAGAAACAGATTTCAAGCTCAAACTCTGCTAATATAACCCAGTGTTCTCAACTGGAGGCAGTTTTGCTCCCTGAGGAACACATGGCAAAGTATGGAGACATTTTTGATTGTCACCACTTGCGGGAGAAGGGTGCTTTTGGCATCTAGTGGGCAGAGGTTAGGGATCCTGCTAAACATCCGTCCTACAATGTGCAGGACCAGCTCCCCACAACAAAGAACTACCCAGTCCAAAACATCAGTAGAAGACGAGAAATCCTGACTCAACTAGATCATGTGCCACAACCCCTAGGCCCTATAAACAAATTGATGTTTTATTTAAAAACTAAAACTAACTACTACATATTATTGTGCCTTGAAGTTTCTTTTCACCTCGGGTGTATGTTTTGCAATCTCTCTAATTAAAGTAGAAGCATTTTTCTTCACGTATTCATCCTTGTCCTTCAGACAGGTAAGTACAACTGGAAAAATCTCTGCTTCAACAACCATTTCTGCCAGATCCACGGAATGTTTTGAAACCTGACTGAGAGCTGAAAGGATCTGATGCTGTGAAGCAAAAAAAAAACAACAACAACAAAACACTATATAGCATCCACTACAGAGTTCAGATGTAATGTAAACAGTTTTATATATATTCAAATTCCTTTATAAAAGGAAAAAAATGTACATGCCTAAACAGCCTAAGATTTCTGAGTCTTGAGACATTCACATTCAAGTCTTATACCCAAGTTCTAAAAATTCCTAATTTCCAAATTAGTTCTCAATATTTTGAAACTCTATCTATTACAGATGATTAAATAACATGACCTCTGGATGAATACCACTTCTTAATTATGCAACACTGAAATTGCTAATTTATGAGACAGGTGATCATTTAGTACAAAAATCATCAAGCAGAACAATATCTTTGACATGATGCTGATACCATTTCAAAGAATGTTCCATTGCTTAGTTAATGTTAACAATTTTAAAACATTATAGGATATAACTATTAGAATATAAAAGTATAATTGGTGACTATTAACTAAAAATCAGATTTTAGAAAGCTATAAAAAAGGCTAAGATAAATATTGCAATTTCCATAAGAAACAATATTATAGTGGTGGGTTCAAAAATCTTTAGGTCTTTTCCAAACCAGGATTTAATTATTATGTGATTCTGTATTTTAATTATTAATGTTAACACTGTTGTTACTTCTGATCTTGTACATAGTTTCCCCAATCACATCTTTATCTAATCCTTACAGTATTATTTTCACATATTAAGAGACCAAATACATAATATATTCATATCTGTTTTCAATGATAATTTGCTAATTATTTTTAGATGCAAAATATTCACGTGTACACATTTCCATTTTCTTACATTATAAGAAGGCTGATGTATTTTTCAACCTTATTTTGAAATACCTTCAATTTAGCATCAGGGTTCAGGATCATCTGGGCTAAATGAGCAACAGCTCCTGCATCCACTACTGTCTGTGCTAACTCTGGAGAATGCTTTGCAATATCACTGAGGGCCGAAGCAGCAATCCTTTTCAAAGCAATTTCTGGCTCCTGGATACAGAGTACTAAAAGAGGAACAGCTCCTGCATCCACCACAGCTTGTGACAGTTCTGTGGGTCCAAGAAAAGTAATTAAGTGAGTATGGGTGACTGACCCTTGTGCAAGCCATTTTTCACCCTGACAGATACAGCAAAGAAAAAAGGGGAGGGTGTACTTCACTCTCTCAACATCTGCATTTCAAATCAGGCTTCCTGGTTTCATAAACCATGTGGACCAATCCTGAGCTGAAAAGAATACAGGTCAATAGATGGACCTCCATTTACATGAACACATTTGAGGTAGATTAGGCTGAAATGGCTTGTTATTCTTTTTTTTTTTTTTAAGAGAGTAAGCAGATGTCAGCTGTTTAAGCTCTGACAATTCTGCACTTCTCAATAGACAAGCATTTTATGCATGGTTTACAATAACAGAGAAAATTTAAGTACCAAAAATTTACCAACCACACTAATTAGGCAGTATTTTGTGCTATTTACGTGAGTAAACATTAACATCAATCTTGTGCCAATAATGTCAATTTTTAAATTCCTTTTATCTTGTAGTACTTTTAAAAGATTTTTTAAAAATTTCATACAAAATAGAAAGCTGCCTTTTCATTGTACATATAAAAATACTTTCAAAAATGAGACCTACTACTAATCAATAAACTTTTGTATATAAATGCTAATGTTTAGATACAAGAATAAATTTATCTTACTCTTGTCAGAAATCAAGTACATATCTTTTGAACATACATGTTGATTTACTTGTATGTCCAAGAATAACAGCTACAAAAATAGCACACTTTAAATTACAGATAATGGGAGACAGGCAAGCAGACCCATATAATATCATGAAAAAACTGCCTTTTGAGAAGCATAAAGCACCACACACAGTTACAGATTCTACTCACATTGTATTCACGGCCCCTCTTACTGAATCACAGACACCCATTTCTGGAATCTCTTCCTTTCAAAATATGTTCTTATTTTCCCAGATGTGTAGTGCCTTAGTTATATATAAATGTCTTAACTGTCAAGCTAAGAGCTCTATTTAGCATATCACTTAAAGTCTTTAATTTGAAGATAATACAGTGTTTGATTTTTCAAAGTATTGGTAATATCACAACCTCTAAAAGAAAATGTTAGCAAATACAGGTTAGTGTCCAATATTTGCTTTCCTTAAATTATCATAATTATCTTAGAAGTCCCAATATTGTATAAACAGTTCATTCATTCTTCCATTAAACAAGTATTAATGGAAGGCTATTAAGTGACAGGCTCATTCAGCTCGGCGCCAATGACACACTTCTGCAAATTACCACTACATTCGTTGGCAAAGGTATGTTTCAATTTTTAAAATTTGGTGTAAAAGCTAGTATACTATGGGAAGTTCTTATGTAATCTCAAGAACGAGAGGCAGATGACAGGAATATATTTTGTTTTGCTCTGTTTTTAAAATAGAAGACAATAGCCAACAGACTGCAGTATCAATCTAGCAATACAACAGGTTCCTCAGAAACAGCCTCTGGGATGCTACTGCAATAGACTGAAGACCATGAAGACAGCAGGTGACACAGGTGGTCACTGTTTCTCTTCCCCCACCACACCCCCACACCCATCCAAAGGAAATGGGAAAAAAATATAAAATGTTATATTACATATAATTTCTAAATAAAATACTCATTTTCTGATAATTAACATTCTGCTTAAGAATTCGACTCTATCCAAATTATACAAGTGTCATATAGTAATAATTCATATGTCCCTATTTAAGCACACCTGGAATATATATATCTAGTGGGCTGAATATTTTGTTTTGATGTATTTTCACTTTTATATCCAGTTTCTACGAGTAAAGAATATGTAGCAAACTACAACGGTTTAAAAGTACTATTAACAAAAACTCAAGATGCTTTTTAAAAAAACATCTATTATCTATCTTTATAATTCCCATTCATTTGACCTGTTCCTTGAGTAATTCTTGAGTGCAATGTCCTTCTTCCTTAGAATAACATAATGTTAAAAAGAAAGCAAATTCTGTTCTTCTAACTTGTTGCCCAAGTTTTCTATTCTCTCCAGAGTAGCAATGTTAAATGTGGGGAAGGCCGGGGATGGCAGTGGAAAAAGATTTGCCATGAAGCTAAAGAAGTTTCCAAGGACCTAAAGTGGGCCTAGCAATTTTGTACTTGCAATTTCATATAGTTTACATCCCCAAATGTATATGGTTCTACTGCTCTTGAGTAGCACACTTTTTACTTAGAAGTATTGTTCTCCTAGCTTCAAACATATGTTAATATTAAATATCAGATAGTGAATGTATATACAGATAAGAATACAATAGGCCTAAATAATGTAGACTCTACATATTACACATCCAACAGGCTATTTCATTCTGACCTATCACTACTCTTTTTCCCATTATTGTTTCCTCTATTGTTTCTATGCCAGCCACTGTTGGTGTCTACCCGATAGCCATCGTCAGCTAGGGCATAGGCTTGTGAGCCAATCCTAGACCTAAGCAGAAGTCAGCTGGAAGCAACTGTGAAAGCTCTGTAATAAACTGAGATACACAGCAGAAAATACCACCTCTTCTTTGTTGGACATGGTCATGTCTGCAAATAGCATCTGGAACTCCTACATCCATCTTGCAACTATAATGGAAGAAATCACCAATATGCTGAGGATGGCTGAGTACAAAAATGAAAAACATCTGGGTACTCCATGACATTGTTCAGCTGCAAAACCAGCTTTGGAACTGCCCTTACTCTGAACTTTGTGTCATGTGAATTTAAAAAATGTCCCTATTGCTTGAGCCACTTGTAGTTTACATGCTACAACTTACAGCTAAAAACATCCTGATATAATTCCTTCCTCTCTTATGCTTGGTGTCTGTACATGGTTTTCTCTCCTCTTTCACTCACTGAATGTTCATTAAGTGCTTACTATGTGCTGCACACTTGGCTAGATCTTGGGGAAAGGGAATAAAAACATTGTTCTGTTCTAGAAAACCCTGCTCAGAGTGAATACATGAACAGGCCACTACAAGTACAGAGCAGAGCCAGGAATCAGGTCTGTGGAGTGTTCAGGGAAAATGTATACAGAAGTATCATTTCAGGAAGTGCTTCCAACCTTCCTTCCTTCTCCTCTTTTCTTCTTTCTTTCTGTATTTTCTTTCTTTCTTTTTTTTTGAGATGGAGTCTTGCTCTGTTGCCCAGGCTGGAGTGCAGTGGTGTGATCTTGGCTCACTGCAACCTCTGCCTCCTGGGTTCAAGCAATTCTCTGCCTCAGCCTCTCGAGTAGCTGGGATTACAGGCAACTGCCACCACGCCCAGCTAATTTTTTGTATTTTTAGTGGAGACAGGGTTTCACCATCTTGGCCAGGCTGGTCTTGAACTCCTGACCTCATGATCCACCCACCTCAGCCTCCTAAAGTGCTGGGATTACAGGTGTGAGCCACTGCGCCCAGGTTTTTCTGTATTTTCTACTCGAAAAAAACCAGCAGCAACCAAAACACATACAAAACTCTGCACACCTAAAGATCACTTCCCATAGGAGAAATCTCATGAAGTTCATTTTAAACTCAAACATGGAAATGAGTTTTTAGATGTCCAATTATCACATTATGAAATCAAAGATTGATATGTACCAACTTAGATGCTCAAAAAAGGTTGACCAAAAAAAGCAGTGAGCCAAGAAATTTATCTTCAGTCCCTGAAAATATCATTGCCTCATTTCAAATTTTAAGTAAATCTTCAAAAAATTTTTATAATATATCTTCCATTACACAATAATATGTGACATATCCTATACTGTTACATAACAAACAAGATTAAAAACTGGTTATACCTATGTCTAAAAATGCAAAGAGAAAAGGCTACATGTTATATCAACATGCTAACAGCATTTATACTGGGTTGATGGTACTATGGGTGGTATCTTTTTTCTCTGTTTGCCAAATTTTCTTCAATATGAGTTTTAAAAAAGTAAATATAAGCATGTCTCTTGCCCATACATATAGCTACTGCTGGGCCTAACTGTACTAACATTATTGTTACAAAGAAATAAACAAATGTAAAATTTTTAGCTTAATTTTTAATATAGCAGAAAGTTTCTTATTTTAAAAGATGGTGGAATATATGTCTTCTTTAATAAGGCACACCTAAATAATGCACATCATACATACTACACATCCAACAGGCTACTTCATCCTGCCTCTATCACTATTTTTAAAATAAATTATATGAAAGGAGTGTATCATTCTTCTTCAAAGAATTAATAATATATACTAGAAATAATATTCATTTACTTTTTCACACTTACCCTGCTGCCTTAATTCAGACCCTTATTAAAGTTAAAATATTACATTTTTTAAACATTAGGGGTTATTTATCTTTAACCTTTTTTTTGACTGCAAACTGTCAGAGGAAACTATCCAATAGCACCTTCCTTATTCATGAATAATAATTAAAGCTGTTTATTGCATATATGTAGATAAAAATGTACAGTCGCCAAATCTGATGATCAGTTGTTTTTTAGTAAAGGAATAACTAGTTTTATGTGGCTTAGGAGTAGCTCATTTTGAGTGAAGAAACTGAGGCAGCCTCCTCTGTGGTACTGTGACAAGCGAGGGGGAAGCGTAATCTTTTCACACTTCTCTGCCTCTCTCAGTTTTTCCATAATTCTTTCCAACAACATTTATGAGGGTATGTGCATACAATTTTTTGATCCGTAAAAACTTGGGGTGACAAGACTTTGCTTCTCACACAGTTGCATTTTCTTAAGAATTTCATTCTGTGCTGTTCTTGGAATCTGGGTTTTTGGTTTGTTTGGTTTTTTCCTAACGAAGGGCTAAGCTTGCAGTGATCTGTCAGTAACAGGCATGAGAAGTGTTGCAATTTAAGTGGATCAAAATCTTCAACTTAGAATAATCAAAAACCTCAGTATGACTTTAGGTTTAAGTTTAAAACAAAAAGAGAACGTAAATTAAAAGGAGGACTTTTAAGATCAACAACATTCATAAGATTAGTACTATCTAAAGCTGCATGAGTGGAACATTAGAAATAACTCTATGTTGACTGGAAGGGAAGAGAGCAGACAGGAATGCCCCTTAGCATAGTATAAGTATGGTTGTTACTAGGTAAATAAGACAAAAGTAATCTTGCTTTAATAGTGCCCCAGTGACTGCAACCTCTCTCAATTATGTCACGGCTAGTTGTCTGTTTAGATCAGAAGTGGTCAATGCAAATGCCCACAGGGCCCGGGAAAGTAACTAAAATAAATGAAGCCAGAGGACATTTAAAAAAAAAAAAAAAAGGTCGGGGAGTGGGAGAGCAGTAGTGAAGTGCAAAAGCCTAGGGACCATCTACAAGGGGCAGCAGTTTCTTAATTTCAGCCCAGTGTTGCTATGTAGGAATATAGGCCTACTGTTGTCAGGACTTTTTTTTTTTAATGTGAAATTATCTGGTTTTTAAGTGTTGGCAATTTTTTTTTTTTAAGAACACTGTGTGAGACAACATAGTGCTGGCCAAATAAAACACACCCCTCTGTGGGCCTGCTACGGCCTGAACCACCCCATTTTACAACCATAGGCTTAAATCTTACACCCTCTAAAACAGCCTGTGGGGGGCTTTCTGGGTATGGAAAGGTGATGTTCTTTCTACTTTTAATTTTTGAAGTCATGTTTGGGGTCACAGAGGAAGAACCACTATTGTGGTTACGTAAGAAAATTCAGAGAATTCTAAGAAATTAATAAAAACCTAAAAATTGACTCTTAAGAAAGGATTACTCTAAACATATGATACTCGAATAATCTTTCAGCTCATAGTGGAGATGTGAGACAGAAGAATTTGAGCAAACAAGTGATCATGAGGACTCATAAAAAGAATTCAAAATGAAGAGGTTCTCCAAAAAGAAAAAAGAAAAAAATATGTATCCAGCACACTAATTAAAAAAAACTCCTCTGGAACTTAATCTCTTTAAACTTTATTGCTTTTTAATTTTTTTTCAAACACTGCTTTTAACTATCTCTAAGCCCTACCAAAGTTATATTTTGTTTCATTAAAAAATACAACAAAGTTATAAATTAATCATTTCTTTGCAGTTAGGTGGCCCTATTTATCAGTTTGAAGATGGGCTGGTTTTTGCCATAAAAATATACAGCTGTATCACTTCAAAAGCTTTTTGAAATAAAGCAGGTCTAAAAAAAAAAATCTACATTTTGCCTGGGTACAGTGGCTCATGCCTGTAATCCTAGCACTTTGGGAGCCTGAGGCAGGCAGATTGCTTGAAGCCAGGAGTTCAAAACCAGCTTGGACAACAGGGCAAAACCCCGTCTCTACAAAAAACAAAAAAAACACAAAAATTAGCCAGGCATGGTGGCAAGCACCTGTAGCTACTCGGGAGGCTGAGGTGGGAGGACCCCTTGAACCCAGGAGGCAGAAGTTTCTGTGAGCCAAGATCACGTTGCTTCACTTCAGCCTGGGCAAAAGAGCAAGACCCTGTCTCAAAACAAACAAACAAACAAACAAACAAAACCTACATTTAAAATTGGCTGCCACTTATATGATATTAATGTTATGTTAATAATAATTCCTCATCCCATTCAACCAAATTTTTCATGATTGGGTGAAATTATAATAACAAATATGTTGCTGCAATTACCAAAGCTGGTTACTTACTGGTAACTCCAGCATGATTTTGGTAATAGCACTTCCAAAGTAAAAGAAATCTGTTGGCCAGGCGCAGTGCCTCACTCCGGTAGTCCCAGCACTTTGGGAGGCCAAGGTGGGAGGACTGCTTGCATCCAGGGGTTCAAGACCAGCATGGGAAACAGAGAGAGACCCTGTCTCCAAAAAAAATCAAAACTTAGCTGGACATGGTGGCACGTGCCTGTAGTCTCAGCTACTCGGGAGGCTGAAGTGGGAGGATTGCTTGAGCCCAGGAGGTCAAGGCTACAGTGAGGTGTGATCATGCCACTGTACTCAGCCTAGGCAACAGAGCAACACCCTGTCTCAAAGAAAAATCTCTTTAGGTTTTGGTCTAACCCAGCTGTTTACAACTGGTTTAGTTATCTACTGCTATGTAACATCACACCAAATTTAGCAGCTTAAAACAGCAAACATTTATTATCTCATAGTTTCTGTAGGTCAAGAATCTAGGAGTGGCTTACCTGCCAGGTTCAGGCTCAAGACCTATCACTAGGCTACAATCAAGAAGTCAACTGGGGCTGTAGTCAATTGAGGATATGTGTCCAGGCACACTCGTGGGAGGGTTAAAGGGAATCTTTAGTTCTGTGCCCTATGGGCCTCTACATAGGCTGCTCATGATGAGGCTTCCTCCAAAGTGAGTGATTCAAAAGAGAGGACCCAAGTGATTCAAAAGAGAAGACTCAAGATTATAAAAGACATTTCAGTCTTTTATAATCTAAGCCTGGACGTGGCATAGCATTGCCTCTGCTATAGTGCATTGGTGCAACGGGGGAGGGGACTACACAAGGATGTGAATAAGAGGAGGCAGGCATCATGGAGGCTGCTACCACAAAAAGCTTTGTTCTACACCAACACATCTGCAAGACAACATCCCTCCATAGGCAACAGTGACTCACTAGAGCTATCATTCTCAGCTGAGAGATTGACATCTCCAATTGCAGGTGGAAGTGAGAAAAGCATAAAGGGGGAATTTGCATATTACTATGTAAAAGTCTCGAGTGATTTTTATTTCTCACACACACACAAATGTCATTTTTCCTACTCTCATCATTTCTATCTTTCTTGCCTCCACCCAATCGTCAGAGCCATTAGTTTAACCCTAACACATGGGTTGAGTGTTTGAGAGCTTAAGGGTTAACATACATACATACATTTGCTTTAAAGGCGAAATAATTCTGGCTCCTTTAAAAAGTCAAGTGAGTCAAATAAGCCATTGATCTGGAGTTAACAGGGCTTTAGTAAGAAATTACAATCAGCTGGGAGGGAAGGCAGCTCTCACAGGACTCAAGTAAAAAGCAGCTTCAAAACATGGTAAGAAAAAGTCAAGAAGTGGAGACCAGACAAAAGGAAAGTGAGAAAAAAAACAAAACAAAAACACTTGGTTATAGCCTTGAACAACAATAGGCTGAGGAAATTTGAAGTCATTTTAGCTCCCATCCCCACCACTAATTTAGCATTAGACCTTTAACAGCTGAGACCAAGCTGAATCGAGTAACGCAAAACTACAGAGAGGGTCTGGAGTGTCCCGGTAAAGAAGAAAATAGCTAAAATAAATGGAATTACATCTTTACAAAGTAATGCTTTTTGAATCTAGAAGTTGTTTCATTTGTTTTCCACCTGCTTTATATAGCATTTGCAACCATAGTTGTGGTTTCACTCTACCTATAACTTTGCATTTTGCTTAAAAAAAAAAAAAAAAAACCTGCCCAGACTTCACCACTATGCAATGTATGCATGTAAGAAATCTGTACTCATGGCCAGACGCACTGGCTCACGCCTGTAATCCCAGAACTTAGGGAGGCCGAAGTGGGCAGATCACCTAAGGTCAGGAGTTCAAGACTAACCTGGCCAACATAGTGAAACCCCGTCTCTACTAAAAATACAAAAATTAGCCAGGCGTGGTGGCATGCACCTGCAATCCCAGCTACTCGAGAGGCTGAGGTGGGTGAATCGTTTGAACCCAGGAGGCGGAGGTTGCAGAGAGCTGAGATTGCACCGCTGCACTCCAGTCTGGGTGACAGAGTCAGACTCTGTCTCAAAAAGAAAAAAAAAAAAAAAAAAAAGAAAAGAAAAGAAAAAAAGATCTGTACTTGTACCCCGTAAATACATAACAATTTTTTAATTAATATACAAAAATAATTTTTAAAATAAATAATAGAAACAGTTTTAAAAACCATGGAAAATGCATGTTATTATTCAAACTTCAAAGGTATTCACTCCTTGCTCCAGCCCAGTGCTAGGTAAGAAGTCCCTGTCTTCAAGGAGCACAATCTGATGGAGAAGGCTAGACAGCAAAAGGCCACAGGTACCCTGATGGGATTCTCTAGAACAGGTAAAGGAGAGAAAACAGAAAGAGGAAATAAAAATAAAACATTGGGAGGGTAATATGTAGATGTCATGTTTTTATAAACGTGGTCCCTGGTCAGCAGTGCTTGCTGTGACTCCCCTGAGTGGTTCTCACACCCTCATGGGTTTCCACTGGCTACTTTTATTCCTGAGGATTCAGCTAACCCAACATTTTTAACAGTTGCCTAATATCCCACTGAGCAAATATGCCATCATTTACTTAACCAGTTTCCCACTTGAGGACATTTAATTAATTTTTGGTTTGGTTTGGTTTGGTTGTTTGCTATTATACAGTATAATGAACCTCTTTTGCATTCAGATTACATATTAGTTATCTATTGTCATGTAACACACAATCCCAAACTGAGCAGCTTAAAACAACATCACTTATTATTTCAGAGTTTCTGCGGGTCAAGAACTCAGGAGCAGCTTAGCTAGGTGGTTGTGGCTCAGAATTACAAAGTTGCTGTCCAGTTGTCAGCTGGGGCAGTCGCCTGAAGGCCCACCTTGGGGAGGATCTGCTTCCAGCTCAATCTCGTCATTGCTGGGAAGCCTCCATTCCTTGCTGGCTGCTGGAAACCTCAGTTCTTCACCATGTGAACCTTTCCATAGGCCACCTAAGTGTCCACGTAACAGCTTCCCCTAGAGCAAGTGGCCCAAGAAAGACAGAGTGCCCAAGACAGAAGCACTGATTTTTTTTTTTTTCTCCAGAGGCAGGATCTCACTCTGTCACCCAGGCCAGAGTGCAGTGGCGCCATCATAGCTTACTGCAGCCGGAAACTCCTGCTCAAGTGACCCTCCTCATCCTCCCAAGTAGCTGTACACCACTATACTCAGCTAATTTTTTTTTTTAAGAGATGAGATCTCGCTATGTTGCCCAGGCTAGTCTTGAACTCCCGGCCTTAAGCAATCCTCCCACCTTGGCCTCCCAAAGTGCTGGGACTATAGGCATAAGACACTGTGCCTGGCCTCTTATCTTTTATAACTTGTTCTCAGGAAGTGACATACCATGACTTCTGCTGGCCACACAGACCAGCCCTGGTATAAGACAGGAGAAGACTAAACAAGGGTCTGAAAACCAGGACACACGATGTGGGAGGCTGGCTACTACAGGTCATACACACACACACACACACATGTCCACAAGTATACGCACATGCATGTATGTATACTGGTATACATGTATGTTTGTATACACGTATGTATAAACAAAAATAACACATGTCTTTTTAAGACCACAGAATTACTAGCACATTGCCTTTTAACAAATATCTACAAAGCACAGACACAGTAATTTTATGTGCTACCCAATAGAAATATTATCTACATAATGTAATTTAAAACTCGAAATTAGCCACACTTTAAAAGTAAAAAGAAATAGGTGAAAATAATTTTAATATGCTTTAACACAATATATCTCAAATATAATTTCAACATGCAATCAATATTTTAAACATTTAGTGAGATATTTTACATTTTTTCACACTAAGCCTTGGAATCTAGTGTGTATTTTGCACTTACAGCATTTCTCAATTCAGCCACTAAATTTTCATCAAAAATGCTCAATAAGTATTTAGATTTCAAAAAGTTTACAGTTGAAAAGGTAGAGTCACATACCCAAGTTGCTCCAATTATACCTACAAATTTTTAAATAACTAAGTTGAGTATCAATTTTTAAATTTACATTAATTAAATGGCAATAAAATAAAAAATGTAGCTCCTCAATGTGCACTAGCCTCAGTTCAAGTGTGCAAAAGTCTCATGTGAATAGAGGCTACCATACTGCGAACACTGTAGTGTGAGATCAAAAGGGATACAGAGAAATGGTCTGTGGCTAGTTATAGCACAGTGACACCAAAAACGCTAGAGGTCCTATCTTCAAAAATCCTTTGAGGTGGCCGGGCACAATGGCTCACACCTGTAGTCCCAGCACTTTGGGAGGCCAAGGCGGGAGGATGACAAGGTCAGGAGTTTGAGACGAGCCTGGTCAACACGGTGAAACCCCATGTCTACTAAAAATACAAAAATTAGCCAGGCATGGTGGCAGGCGCCTGTAATCGCAGCTACTTGGGAGTCTGAGGCAGGAGAATCGCTTGAACCTGGGAGGGGGAAGTTGCCGAGATCACACCATTGCACTCCAACATGGGCAACGAGAGCAAAACTCCATCTCAAAAAAAAAAAAAAAAAGAAAATCCTTTGAGGCAATTAACTTATTCCACACTTTTAGAGCAAACTAGTTCATTCATCTAAAACCCTGATAAGAGCAAACCAAGCTCCAAAAATTAACTGTGCAAAATCAGTCAGCTAACATGATGAGAATACAGCTCCTATTTTCCTGTAGACTGTGGATTTAAAAATCTATGGGAAAACAAGATGATGAACATGTCTTATCTCAAGGTACAATTCTTATGCTAACCAACTCCTGAGCTTCTAATAGCAAACTCTCTTGTAGATGTTTGTGAAATGCTCAATTGGAGCACTTTCAAATTTCAGTCAAGTATATTTTGCTTCATGTATTTCTAGAAATTCAAATGTAAATAAAAGTGGGCTCCTCCCCCCAATATCAAAAAGGTATTAGGCAGATTTATACGCCAGTGACTGGAAAACAAACTAAGTTCAAGAAACAATAGAGAAACATGTCATGGTGCATTGTTCAAACTTGGTTTATTTCCAAACCACCAGTACACAAAATATCCTTCTCTTTATCCATTTAGCACACATACACTTAATCACATTTCTCCCACAGGTATTTGCATAAAGCCAAAAACAAAGATTTAAACTAAAAGAATTGTAGGCGTTATCAAGTAGAGCAGGTATTTTGTGGGACAAAGCACTTTCCTTCCTCTTACTACTGCATGTATCACTTCCTCCTGTTATTTCTACGCCAAGGACTGTTCAGTTGTTATCTGGATGTAACAAAGTTCTTGAGAAAGTAAAGATTCCTCTTTTTTGCCACTGTACAAAAAAGGTAACTCAAAATTCATCTTTTTTTTTTTTGAGACAGGGTCTCACTCTGTTGCCCAGGCTGGAGTTCAGTGGCACAATCATAGCTCACTGCAGCCTCAACCTCCTGGGCTCAAGTGATCCTCCCACTTCAGCCTCCCAAATAGTTGAGACCACAGGTGCACACCACAACATCTGGTGAATTTTTTTTTTTTTTTTTTTTTTTTACATACAGGGTTTCACTATGTTTCACAGACTAGTCTTGAATTCCTGGGCTCAAGTGATCCTCCCACCTCAGCCTCCCAAAGTACTAGGATTACAGGCACGTGCCACTCTGCCCAGTTATAATTCATCTTTCATTTACTCTAATGTATAGTCACTCAATGCATTATATATGCTTTTAATACAGTATTGTACATTGTGTCAGTGTTTGCCTAGCTGTCTAGATGACCTGCATGCTCATCTGTATTAATTTTTCTGCCTTAGATTATAAAGTCCCACACACGAGGTCTTAGTCAATTTATTGTACTTCATATAGTGGGAAAGATATGGGAACACAGACATAAATGCCTCAAGTACATTTTGATGATTACCATGATGATGACATTGTTAAATAAATGAATTGCTAGCCTCATATAAAAAGTCAGAGGCATGAGTAACTTAGGAATCTGAGCTTATATATTACATTCTGTTGCTCTAGATTCTAAGTTAAAAAAAATTAGAAGATTTTATTAGCCAAGAGTTCCCAACTAAAAATGTTACAAGAAATAAAAACACAAAAGAATCACAACATTTTTTACCAGCACACAAAGTGAACCCTAAAAATAACCAACCAATTAGGTAACTACCAAGTAAAACAAGGTTATAATTAATTAAAATGTTGTTTTGTTTAGCACATTTGGCCTCTATGCCCAAAAAACATAGAGGGATATTTATTTTCACTTTATATTTTTTTCACTAGCACCTAAAAAATACAAAGATATTTGTGAAAATAAGTGCTAGGGTCAAAATAAATGAAATATATAATATATGTTATCCCACATACCTCATTTGCCTCTATGTTTGTGTTCCTCAACCCCCTACAATAGAAAAAAAGGTATGAAAAGAAAGATAAAGAAGCAAAAGATGTTACTGGAACCAACCGAAATCTATAGGCGTCAGTAAAGACGGCTGTCTGCAGGGCCTTTAAAATAATTTTTAATTACCAGGTTGTAGTCCCTTCTCCCCATCCATTCCCCCTCTAAGAAAAACCATTCAAAGTCCTTAGCTCTTATCTCTGATATTTGTCATTAATATTTGGGTTTTTAAAAAGTTAATTACTTTGAAAATTGCTAAGACTATATTTTGTGTTCTCACCATAAATAAGTAGGTGAGATTTTTTAATTAATTACTGCTTCCTAAGCCTGTTCTGCACTATTTAAGCTATTGATATTTGTACATGGGTGGCATAAGAAGAATATTCAAAAGAATTCTGAATTTTAAACTTTTCATTTTATCATTTCATCATTCAATACAAGATAGAAAACAATCGGGCTGCCAGCTCATCTTGAGACCTTGCTTACATTATCTATCTAGTAAAGAGGATACAATGGACTCAATGTTTCCGTCACGTCCACATCAGCCAGACCCTGCAAGCGCTGCTCATCTCTGGCGCAGCAAGCTCATCTCCCAACTGCCACAGAGCTGGACAGAAATCAGGTCCACAAGAGAAAGAAGAGTCAACCGGGTGGAAAGCGGCCAACGGAGATTAGAAACAGAGGTATCTGGCAAGACTTTCAGATATTACAAGGAGCTAAAAAAGAATGATGAGATCTTGTACACATTCCTCCCTCACAGTGTAAAATGCAAGAATCTCTGGAAGTGTTGAGCAGTTGCCAAGCAGTTCCACCGTAAATTGCTGTGTAACCAGAATAAATCCTTTAACCTCTCTACTTCAGTCTGCTCATCTATGTGACAACTATATCAATAATTTAAAAGTTGTAGAATGTCTAATCAAATGTATTCCTCTTTGCCAGGCTTGAGATAAGCCAAAGTTTACCACAAAGAAACACTTTTTTTTTTTTTTTTAGCTAAAGCTCCCAAAATAAACACTTAAAACTCATTTTTGAGCCCAAATGTGGAAGACTATTCACACAAAACACTTCCGCACACTTGCAGCCAGGCTGCTGCTCCCACCTCAGTCCCAAGTGCTCTCATTGCGGCCACTGTCTCCACAGACGGCCATTCATTGGAAGCACCCTCCACAGAGCCACAGGACTTCAGTCACAAGGCCTGAGGGAGGCTGCTGGGGACCAGGGGAGGAGGGCCTGGAGCCTCCTGCAGCGGCCTCCCTCACCCACCTCCCAGTGGCTGAGCCATCAGCTGAGGAAGCCCGGCGGCTGGGGAATCCCACCATCCCTCCTACCTTGCCCATCATGCTTCCAGCTGGCACAGGCTCTCCAGGCACCCTTTCCAAAAGCAAGACTATTCCTTGGAAACAGTGACAGATTTCATATTGGTTGAATAAATAAATATGTTAATAGAATAACTATATATCCATGTACAAAACTGCACTTGTGCCCCTTAAATTTATACAAACTTTTTAAAGTTTAATTTATAAAGCGGGCATGGTAAGAGATTAACAACAATAGCTAATAATAAAAGAGAACAATTATAACAACAGACTAAAAAAAAGTTGTGTAAATGAGGAAACAAAAGAAGAATTCTGCAGAGTGGGAAAGGGTTACAAAAAGTAAGAAAAACGAAAGCCTATCTGAGAAGAATTCTACCTCAGCTGTCACTAAGGAGCAGGAAAAACTAGAAAGAAATCACTTATTTATCTGCAAAGTCAGAGGTAAACATTACCATGTGTATTCAATAACTGGTGATTCAATCATAAAACTTAATGATATGATTTGTACACAGTTGGAAAAAAAAAACCCCACCATTTCTGGTTGTCAGCCCCAAGTTCCCTTTGGCTGTCTGTAAAATGCTTTAAAATCTTTACATAGAAATAAGTTTTAGAAGTTGTATTTTTCAAACAAGGAAAAGTCAGGTAATGCCCATCGGCTTCTCTCTATGCTTATTTTAATTTTGTTTCCTGTACACAGAACTTTTTCCTTCTATTGCCCTTAAAAGTATATATTATTTCTTTTGCATCTCAATTTAAGATTTATATTTCTTAAACTGTCTAACCAAACAGTTTTTCACTAATATTCATTAATCTCAATATATTTTGCTTTTAGGAAATCATTAAGAAATCAGGTTATTTTCAAAAAACAAACAAAACAAACAAACAAAAGCCGGACGCAGTAGCTCACGCCTGTAATCCAGCACTTTGGGAGGCCGAGGCGGGCGGATTACAAGGTGAGGAGTTCGAGACCAGCCTGACCAACATGGTGAAACCCCGTCTCTACTAAAAATACAAAAATTAGCTGGGCATGGTGGGGTGTGCCTGTAATCCCAGCTATTTAGGAAGCTGAAGCAGGAGAATCACTTGAACCCGGGAGGTGGAGGTTGCAGCGAGCTGAGATTGCACCACTGCACTCCAGCCTGGGCGACAGAGCAAGACTCCATCTCAAAAAAAAAGAAATCAGGTTATTTGGAGGTAAATCCTCCATTTTCATTGATATGGATGTGAGTGATAACTTTTATGGTTTACTAGGTAACAATTCCCTTTCCTTCTGAGAAATCTATGCAATAATCTCTTCTGGGAGCTTCTGGGTCCCAGGCCCCTAACTACTGTGAAATATTGAAATTACAGTGGAAATTCCATGTGGGAGCCAGATTATACCAAGAATTTGGAATGGAACCCCTAAGACAGATCCTGTTTATGAACTATAATCATTTTGCCCCAGACTCAACAAAATGAAGGGATGGAAATGTTATCTGTGGGGCACCTGCCTGAGAGAGTATCTATACAGTTGTCCCTCAAAGCTCTTTTCCAACACTCATGTTATAATCTGTAATGTGTCCCTCTGACTTAAAAAAAAACTTACTAAATATACTCATGTAGTTTCCCATGATAACCAGCTTTTGATTGAAAACCCTGCTGTAGTTTTGTCAATCAACATGTACTAAACAATAGTCTTAAGGTGAACCTTTTTGGAAAATCAAAATCTAGATTTAAGAAAATAATTTAATAATTTGTAATTTAATTCTGAATAATTCTAAGCATGACAAGAGTTGTCTTTTTCAACTTGCCTTTTATACTGTTTTATTTCTATTTTGTCTGTAATAATGTCACCATTTTAAGAACCAAATTAAATATAACCATAGGAAAGCCTCTTCCTGTTTCTGTTTTGAAGTTTTTCTTCAATACTGTTTCAGGAAGTATTTAGTGAAGCTGTATGGTATAGTAGTTAACAAAGGCTTTACAGTCAGACAGTTAGACTCAAATTCCAGTTCCACCATTAACATAATTTTGGATATCCTTTCTAAAGTCCACTTTATTTCTCCATTTAACAGGGAGAGTAATGCCCACCCAAGGGTAGCTGCAATCAAAATGAGATAATGTGTCTGAAGCACACAGCACAGAGCCAGGCATATACTAATTACTCACTACACAGCAGCTAATATTTTAGACATAGACACACACTGAAAATCTGGAACATGAAGAAAAAATTCCTTAATTTTACCACCTTAGGAATACAAACATGATTTTTTTGTAATTATATCCACATAAAAACTTATGTTTACATTATTGTAATTGTAATATACAATTTTATATCTTTTTTAACATTATAATCACTTTTCCATGTTACCATGTAGGTTCATAATTACCTTTTAAATTTGTTGCCTCAGATTTCATTAAGTTCCATAATTTATCCACTAAATTTCTGTCAAATATTTGAGGGGTTTACAAATCATGCTATAATAACATTTGCATGAATATAGCTTTTCCATCCTGTGGAATTCTTTCCTTAGGATGAATTCTCAAAGCAGGCTTTTTTAGGGCAATGACTTTAATAGTTTTGTCAAACTGCTCTCCACCAGTTTATACAATTTGTAGTTCCTCCACCAATGTGCACACGTCATATCGTCCACTCTGACATTCATTATTAATACTAATATGTTACATTTACTGAGTATTGCCATATGTCAAAGCACCGACCTAAGTGCTTTACATGTATTGTGTCATCATCCTCACAACAAATCTCTGATGTAACCACTATTAGTCATCCTCTTCCACAGATGAGGAAGCTAAGGTTCAGAAGGTTTATAAGCCATGTCCGAGGTCACACAGCAACTAAATGGTAGTATCTAAACTAAACTCAGACCCTGTCTAATGCCACAGTGCTCTTAATCACCTGGCTATATTGCTGCTTTACTCTTCTGCCACCACCCCCCACTCAAATAACAGGTTAAAAAGATCTTCATTGATGTTTTCGTATAGAATTTGTTGATTACTAGCAAAGTTGATCATTTTTACATATGTTTATTTTAAAACTGTATTTTCTTCTTATGTTATTTGTTCATAAGCAACTTCTATAAAGTGACGGGGAAAATTATGTTCCTCATGTACTTTTTACCAATTGGGTGAGTCAACACAATCCTCTCACAAGAGGCCCAGGTCCCCTCTTGATGACCCCACTGAGCTGTCAGTTTATAGGAGAACATGCTCCTTCTCTTCTTCCTGCCCAGTATGAGTTGAATACCAATATTTTCCAGGAAGTTATGTCCATATCTCCTCAACATCACTCACTCGTGCTATGTCTCCTGGTTGGTTTGGAACTCCCTATCATGAATGGGCAGGAAGACCAAATGACCCCAAGAGGGTGACTAACTAAAATAATTTATTAGGTTAATGCAAAAGTAATTGGGGTTTTTGCCATTAATGGCAAAACCACTTATGCACCAACCTAATAACTGAACCAATTTACCAAGGCCTTTGAGACTCAAGCCTACTCTCCCACCCGCTGCCACCCCTCTCTCCTTTTCTCCACCTCTTCAAATTTCCCTTCTGCTAAGATAAAGACTGAAATATATAGGGTTTTTTTTTGTGAATATATGATCCAAACAACTTGGCCATCATTCAAAACGTACTTCTCATCACATACAGAAACATCATTAAAACCCCACCTATGTTTTACTAAGCAAAACTGGATTTACCTAATAAATCTGAATTGTAATAATCCTATTTTAAAATATGCTCCTGCATATTTTAAATTACCTGCATTATGTCTTGCAATATATCTAAGTGCCCAGGCTGCAGCCTCCTTGACTCCAGGGTCAAAATCTTCCAAGCATATGACCAGCGTATCCAGTGCTCCACAATCGACTATTGCCTGAGCTAGCTGGGGAGAATGTTTACCAACTGCTCGTAACACAAAGGCAGCTGCTTTCTTGTAGAAGCGCTACAAGGGTCAAACAGACAAAACTCAAAATGAATTGAGTACTTAGAAAACCAAAATCTAAAATAGACCAAAACTACATAAAAATAACATTACTATAAATAAAGCTCAACAGCTTTTGAATATAAAAGATGAAAAACATCCTGCAAAATAATTTTGATTATTTGATGTGCCCTCATTGCTTCTGTTCAGTAACTCAACTGAAAACAAGGTAGGTTTTACATTGTATTTCAAATGTTTTACCCTGAAGCCTGCATTTGGAAATTGTATAAAATTATAAACATACTTTCCACAAATTCATAAAATAACGAGATTTTATGTATCTGCATTACACCAAAATGTATTGTTTGACCCTTGGGAACTCTTAGATTGTTAGCATGTGCAACTAAGCTCACTGTCAACTGACTAATTCATTTCCTTTACTTGCCCTCAGTCTTTAAGCATGGTAGGCCTTTCATGACCTCAACTAATCTTTCTGGTGTCCTAAATTATTCTGAAGTAACAACCATGTTCTAAAATGTGCTTACAATCATCAAATAAACATAAAGGCAAAACATTCATGACACATTTTAAAACTTTTCCTGGCAAATAAATCAGCCAAACAATGGGATATAAGTTATTTTCTCTAGAAATGCTTTTTTTTTAAGATAAAAGCAAATTACTTACCATTTTGTAAATTTTAAATACTGCTTCATATTTATATTTCCTATAGATGCATTGTTTCTCACTAAGGAATGAGTAAATGAAACTGAAACACAAGACTAACATGTTTCTCTTCATATCGCTAAAAAAATTAAATGTATAGGAAATATGTGGCTGTGACACTCACTATGGTTTTATGGTTAGCATAATGACACAGTGATGGTCTCCTAACTCTTTCTGTTATTAATAAAACCCAATTAAACCCCTATTTTACATTCTAAGTTTCTATTTCTTCACAGTGACTAATGAAAAGTGACTAGTTGACTACAGCACCTGTTTTGAAAGCATTCTGTTCACTTAGACTATAATATTGATACAATGAAAATTACAGGAGAAAAAAACACATCAAGTACATCTTAAACATAGTATATCTTAAAAATCAGTATATGTTGCTAATATAAGAAATATGCTATATTAGTACTGATGTTTTTGATTTGACATATTTTCTTTAGTTTCTTAAATTATATAAGTAACCAAATTTCTACTAATTTACTCTAAATATTAGAATAGAGTTTTGAAGTAGGTTTCCATAGATTATTTTCTTACAAATGTGGGGAAAAAATGGTGATACATTTATTTTCATTACCTTAGCTAACTTGACTTTTTATACTGCAGAATTGTCAAATTTACAGAACATTTATGGGTATCAATAGTCACTATTAATTCCAGTGCCTATAACTAACACTTTCTGATCTCATTCCCTCTTTCTCCTAATTTTCACTTCCCCCAAATTCCTAACACTCTTCTCTTCCATTCCTCATTAAAAGAAATGCCAAAAAAAAAAAACCCAGCAAAACCACAGGACTTTGTACCTCATAAAGAGGAGATTAAATCTCCTGTGAGAAATGACTTAAAGGCTGGGAGGTGAGGGAGACAGAAGCTTGTGCAAAGGCTTCGTGTTTTCACTGCCTCCTCACTTTTCTGCTGTAGTGCTTTTTTGTCTCTCTACAACTAATTAACATTTATTCAACTTAGAAAACTTCTACTGAAAATCTTCTACGTGGGATACCAGAATACAGACTCTGCTCTCAAAAGAAAGAGCTAAGAGTCCAAGAGGAAGAAAGCCCAACAGTATTTGATGATAGAAGGAATATCCACAAGAAAAATAAAATTTCTGTGACTCCTTGTAGAGCTATAACAAGCATTAGTAAGTGACTCTCTCATCTATAAATATAAGGAAAATTTCTGCACCATTAGGATTTATTTTTATTCTGGCAAAATACACATAACATGAAATTTACCATTTTAACCATTTTAAAGTATACAATTTAGTGGCATTTAGTGCATTCACAATGTTGCACAACCATCACCACTATATAGTTCTAGACTATTATCATCAACCCAACAAGAAACTTCTTACAAATAAAGCAGTCAATTCCCATTCCCTTCTCCTTCCAGCCCCTGGCAACCACTAATCTGCTTCTGTCTCTATGGATTTACATATTCTGGATAGTTCATATAAATGGAACCATACAATCTGTGGCCTTTTGTGTCTGGCTTCTTGCACTTAGCATATGTTTTTATGGGTCATCCATGGTGTAGCATTTATCAGTACTTTATTCCTTTTATGACTAATAATCCATTGTATGGATACACAACATTTTGTTTACCCGTTCATCTGTTGATTGGATTAGGTTGCTTTCACCTTTTGGCTATTGTGGATGCTGCTGCTATGAATATTTCTGTGCAGGCTTTGCTGGAGCATCTGTTTTCAATTCTTTTGGATATATAGCTAGGAATAGAATTGCTGAGTCACGTGGTAACAAATGTTTCACTGACTGCGGACCTGCCAAAGTGTTCTCACAGTGGTTTCCCCCATTTTACATTCCTACCAGCAATGTATGAAAGTTCCAATTTCTCCATGCCCTCACCAACACTTGTTATTTTCTTTTTATTTTTTATTATGGCCACCCTAAAAGGTATGAAGTGATACCTCATTGTGGTTTTGATTTGCATTTCTTAATGACTAATGCTGTGGAGCATCTTTTCACATGCTTCTTGGCCATTTTTATATATTCTTTGGAGAAATGTCTATTTAATTCCTTTGTCGATTTTTCAATTGGCTTGTCTTTTTGTTACACAAATAGGAATTTAATCCCAAAGATATGTCAAGAAAGCTCTATCCCTAGGTTATGATAAACTAACAGAATAGAATGAACAGTCCAAAACCTACCTACAAGTGGTCCTTAACTACTGTGAAAACCAAATAGCTGGCATTGTATAGAAAAAGAAAGTGGTACCAGATAGGAGGGGGAAAAAAACAGGGCAATTTCAGATAGTGCTTAACAGAGTTGGCATGCCTATAACTTGGTAAAAAAAGATTTATCAAACCTTCCATTACACATACTTATTCTCTTCCTCTTTTTGGTTGCTTCTCTACCCCTTGCCTCAAGGCTGTCTCTCACTATTTCCCTTAACTTGGTTTCACCAGCATATAAGGACTGCTGAGATCAACTATTTGCCTAGGGTCTACATACTTCCCTAAGACAGATCCGATAGCTTTGTTTAAAACTCTCATATATAGAAATACTGCTTTATGTATAATTCTGCCTAAAAAAATCTATTTTCTCCTTATATTATCAATAATAGATAAATGGTGGTTATCAGCACCAAAGCAAAATACCCTGAAAATATGATTACATGCAGCTCAGATAATTGAAGATTGTGTTAACCCCCTAATAATTTTATGCCTACAGGCTTGCAACTGTATCCAAACTGTCACATTTTTAAAAATCTAAAACAAAAAAACATATAACTAGTTTTTTTTAATTCTTACATTCTGTTCTGCCAATGAATAAACAAGCTGTGGAAGAATGTCGCACTTCACAACAGCTTCTGCTAGGTCATCATTATAATTGGCCAGTCTCCCAAGAGCCAAAGCAGCAGTCTGTTGAATTGTTGGGACCACGTCCAGAAGAAGAGTTCTCAGCAAAGACATTACACCTGAGTTAAATTATGAAAGAACAGAAATCAGGAAAATTTAAATTAAAAAGCAAAAATACAATTCAGTATATATGCAGACAGTAAAATTAAAGGGAAAAAATCAGTAAAAATAAAACTATTCACCATAAACTAATGGAAATTTAGAAGTACCTAACTGGCCAAGACACAGAATAATACAAGCGATCATTGTTAAACATGCAGTAGAGCATGGAAATAAGAAAGGCTTTGGATTTAGGTAAGAATCCCTGATTCAGCAAGTCCTGTCTATATTACCTGATAGGGTTAATTATGAGGCATGCAGAGAAAGGTTGTAGAGTATGCTATGATGCCTAACACAAAAAAGATAGGGCTTCCCCCCAGACTTTGCAAATCTTATATTTCAAGGCTCGCTTCAAGGCCTCACCTGCGTATTATCTCCAAATAAATGTCTTGGAGATGAGGAAGTGTACTACTAGTGCTCATCATATTCATCCAAGGGTTGAATGCATAGTAGGTATATCATCATCATCACCACAACAGCAACAATAGTAAAAGTAGCTCATATTTATCAAGGACTTATTATATGCAAGCACTGTTCTAAGGACTTTTTTCCATAAAAACTCATTTAACTTTTATAACAAAACTATGAAGCAGGCCCTACTATTATGTCTATTTTACAGATGAGAAAATTGAGGCTGAGAAAGGTTAATTGTCACACAACTAATGAATGGTAAAGTAAGGTTATAATTTATACATTTTTCATTGATAATTGTTAAAAAATACATATTGAAAACTGAGGAGGTGGGAAGAGAGACACCAATAGTATTTGCATTGTGGTCATTTTACTGGATATTCCAGCTCTTTCTATTAACTTTGCCTTACTGTAAATTCTGCAAAAGAGTCGACTGCTATTTCTGTTTTAATGATGCTGTTTTAGTCTAAGATTACAAGAAATGTAATGACAGAATTCAAAATATAACAAAGTACCCGTTGACTTTCTACACTTTAATTTACACCAGTCTACTCAATTAGATATCATTAAATCTTTTCTTTAAAAATATATCCTAGTTATACACAAAAGCAAATATTACCAGTATTCTTTTATAGTATTATATGCAGAAACATTTGAAATAGAGCAAAAAGAAAACATTTACAATAACACCTAAACACTTGATCTTAGCCAAAGGTCGAGAAGCCATTATAGTAACACTTAGGATTAGACCAAAATAAAAGAGTACTAGCAAATAACCTAAGCAGAGAGCGGTGATGCTTATCACAGACACATTTAATGATGTGACCTATGGATTTTCCTAGTTTCTGGTTTTACTTAGTCATTAGTTTCGTGCCTAAGTTGGCTAGGTTAGATCATCTTCTATCACCGTTGCAGGTGTGAATCCCACGAAGGCTGGTAAGCGCTGCAGGCACACAGAGCCCCTGCCCACACTTGGGTCATAGCTCATGTTCAACAAATCCAGTGTTCATGGGTGTTGCTTATATATTATTATCTATACTGTTTGATAGAGATAATTTCTGAAATATCCACAACAAAAGTTTAAAGCACAGAACAAGGTATTAGCATGACTACTCAATGTTAACACAGGTTATTTCAGGAAAGGTGGATTTAAAAAAATTGTCCATCTCTTTGTAATTTGCTTTATTAGTTGATTCATTGTTGTTGGTTTCTTAGTGAGTAAAATACAAATAAAATAAAAATTACCATTTTAACCATTTTTAAGTTTACAGTTCAGTTGAGTTAAGTACATCCAAAATGTTGCGTGAACATCACCACTAAGAATTGCCAAACTGTTTTCCACAGCAGCTGAGCCATTTTACATTCCCATCATTTTACGAGGATTCCAATTTTTCCACATCCTAACCAGCACTTGTAATTTTCCAATTTAAAAAAATAACAGCTATCCGAATATGGATGAGCTGGTGTCTCATTGTGATTTTGATTTGCATTTCCATAGCACTAATAATGTTGAGCATCTTATGTGCTCATTGGCCATTTGTACATCTTCTTTGAAGAAATGTCAGGCCAAGCCCTGTGACCATTTTTGAATTGGGCACAGGGCTTGGGCTGACATTGTATTGTCATTATCGTCGAGCATTACGTTCTTATTTTTTGTTTTTTTGGGTTGTTTTGAAACAGAATTTTGCTCTGTTGCCTAGGCTGGAGTGCAGGGTGCAATCATGGCTCACTGCAGCCTCAACCTCTCAGGTTCAAGCAATCCTCCCACTCAGCCTCACAAATAACTGAGTTCACTGCACCTGACTAATTTTTTTCATTTTTTTGTAGAGATGGGGGTCTCACTATGTTGCCCAGGTTGGTCTCAAACTTCTGGGCTCAAGAGATCCTCCCATCTTGTCCTCCCACAGTGCTGGAATTACAGGCATGAGCCACTGTGCCTGGCCTTACTTCATATTTTTTATAATAAATATGCACTATTTTAATTAAAATAAGTCAATGCTCTAAAAAAGAAAAGCTAAATTTGTTAACATATATTTAAAGTTTCATAATAAATGCATTAATGAGGCAAAACAAGTATGCTTAGAATAGCTTTAAAGAATCACAATTAAGTTTCATGTTATTTTTTCCTGATTATTCTGGGCTTTTTATTTTGTTTTGGGGGGGAAATATATAGATATATACATATATACATATATATCAAGTGGACACATAAATATAAATATATTTTTATATATTTATATAAAATAAATATATATACATAAAATAAATATATAAAATACATATATTTATATATATTTACATCGAATATATAAAATAAATATATATTTATATATACTTATATAGAATAAATATATAAAATAATATATCTATATATTTATATAAAATAAATATATGAAATAAATATATATATTTATTTATGTGCCCACTTGATATATTATGTAAAGGCAGTGGTTTATCATCTTTTGAAATTTTTCATATTGAATTATATTTTGAATTAAATCTAAAGAGCTTTGAACACATATTAAGGATTTAAGAATGAAATAATTTACCTGGCACTCTAATATTTAATTTTAAGTGTTTATTATAGTATTTAATCTATCACAAATCTCCTGATTTTAAAAAATTTTAGTTTATAATTTAGAAGTAAAATATTTTGCCCACTCAAAAAGGTATTAACTATTCCATATACCCAAGGGAACTTTTTTTTCTTTTGAGACGGAGTCTCACTTACTCTGTCACCCAGGCTGGCACCATCTTGGCTCACTGCAATCTCTGCCTTCCAGGTTCCAGTGATTCTTCTGCCTCAGCCATTTAAGTAGCTGAGATTACAGGCATGCACCACCATGCCCAGCCAATTTTTGTATTTTTAGTAGAGATGAGGTTTCCCCATGTTGGCCAAGCTGGTCTCAAAGTCCTGAGCTCAAGTGATTTACTCACCTTGGCCTCCCAAAGTGCTGGGATTACAGGCATGAGCCACCACACCTGGCTGGAATTCTCTTTTTTATATATTTTCTCCATGTTTCTATTGCATCTGGCTCACTGAATATTAATATAAGGCCAATAAAATGACTCACAATTCTCTTCCTTCTATTTCTATATCCAATGTCAAAATTAGGCTTATATGCGATGTTTCTGCTCTATTATAATTTTCCTATATTGTTTAGTTTAGACAGTAGCACAAAGAGAATTTTGAAAAAATTTCAAATCTACAAATTTATATTAATAAAAGCTAAAGTGTCCATTTGAAATATCTGTTGGAATAACCTTATTGGAAAAGAAAATAGTCAAAAATAGTACCCCAAATTTCTAGTCCTTAAATTGCCTCTTAGTGCTTCATAATTATCAGTCCCCATGTGCTTCTCTTCCTCTAAAGAGACATGTTTTTACCTCTTACACATATTAAACATGGAGACTTTGTTATTCTAACTACAAGTTTCTCTTAAAACTACAGATAAATATGCAAGGAAACTGCATAAAAATGGTGACAATGGAAGGAAGGAAGGAAGGAAGGAAATAAAAAGAAATTTTTCTTACCTGCCTGTCCATTAGGTATCCAGAGATCCATGGTGAGTGAATGCATGGAAATTTAGAGTTCACAAATTAAAGCAGTCTGAATAGTTGCCACAATATCTGATAAACAAGGCCTCTAGTAAGGAGCAAACGACATCACTGGGGCTCACTTGAAGGACCCAACATATACTATGTAATATTATATCCAATACTAAAAATAACAATTCACATATTAAACTCAATTATCCATAAAACAATTGTCTGCTCTATAAAAACTGATTAAATTGTGTGAAAATATTTTTGAAATTTAACTTAAAGATAAATCTATACAATGCTCCCATACACATAATTTATAGCTTTGAGTTCCTTGCCTATTTTTCTTATTCTAGTGCTATACTGAAAACACTACCTTTTTTTTTTTTTTTTGTGACATGGTTTTGCCTTGTTGCCCAGGCTGGTCTTGAACTCCTGGACTCCCAAAGTATTGGGATTACAGGTGTGAGCCACTGTACCTGGCCTGAAAACACTGCTTTTAATTCCCACATTGCAATCCAGTTATGAAAAAAAAAAACAAACAAAAACAAGAAGACACTCAAAAATTTAAAAAAAAAAATAGCCACACTGATCCTGTCCACAGTCATTCATTCAAAAAAGATATCAGGGTTAACCACATAGCAAGCAATAGGGATACATATATGACTTAAGTTTTCTTGACACCTACTGTCAAGAAACTAATAGTCTAGTGAAGGAGATTATAAAATAGCCTCAAGACAATCACAACTCTTTCATTTAATTTGTTATAACACAATGCAGGCCAAATTATTTTATTTTGCATGCCAGTGACATATAGAAATCATCAGGAAGAAAATGTCAAGTTTTTCCAATGACAAAAAACACCTCATTCATTCTTACATTAAAGCATATAATTTATATACATATTACATCAGTCTGCTGTCTTACAAAGACATTTAACATTGCAACTTTGTTCTTTTAAAAACAAGTATCCCCCCCAACAACGTTTACCTATGTAACAAACCTGCACATGTACCCCTGAACTCAAAATAAAAGTTAAATGAAAAATAAAACAAAAAGTTTCTGCAAACTGGGCCTTCAGTCCACTTATGTCATAGTAAAGTTATCTTGTTGCCTTGGTTACCTCTAACCTGCTTTTAAAATTTTTTTATTGTGGCAAAATATACATAACAAAATTTATCAATTAAACCATTTTAAGTGTACAATTAAGTGGCATTGAGTACATTTACAGTGTTGTGCAACCACCACCACTATCCATGTCCAGAACTTTTTCATTATCCCTAACAAAAACTCCATACCCAGCTGGGTGCTGTGACTCATACCTTTAATCCCAGCACTTTGGGAGACTGAGGCAGGAGAATCACTTGATCCGGGGAGGTGGAGGCTGCAGTGGGCAAGGATGGTGCCACTGCACTCCAGCCTGGGTGACAGAGTGAATGAGACTCCATCTCAAAAAAAAATCATAAATTTATAAAATATGTTAGATATTTGTTACCATAAATTTTACAAAGCTTTAAAAATTCAAATTCCAACAGTATGCTTCATTTTAATCTAAAGCTACATTCTATGTAACCACTTACTATGACACTACTACTATAGTTCATTCAAGTTTTACAACAAGTGATTTTTGCACAAAATTAACCAATTACACAGTAAAGGATTCACCTTTCACTGTCAATATTACCATCTGACTCAGGCATTCTTTCTGGGGTCCAATAAGAAATAATATAATAGAAACTTCATGCTTTACAAATAGAAGGAAGGTTACATGACTGTCCATGTTGAGAGGCAACAGAGTAAGGTGGTAAAAAGCATGAATCTAGAGGAAAACTAATTGGGTTCAAATCTGGACTCTGCCACTTCCTAGCTGAGGGACCTTGGCAAGACTACTTAACATCTCTGTGCCTCAGTTCCCTCAAATTCTAGGACTACTCACAAAGTTACTGTGAGAATTAGATAAAATTTCTAAAGTTCTAGGAAGATTAGAACAAAATAAACACCATCAAGTGCTTGATAAATAAAAATGCTAAAGAAATCAGTTCTCGAAAACTGGCTAGCCATATGTAGAAAGCTGAAACTGGATCCCTTCCTTACTCCTTATACAAAAATTAATTCAAGATGGATTAAAGACTTAAACGTTAGACCTAAAACCATAAAAACCCTAGAAGAAAACCTAGGCATTACCATTCAGGACATAGGCATGGGCAAGGACTTCATGTCTAAAACACCAAAAGCAATGGCAACAAAAGCCAAAATTGACAAATGGGATCTCATTAAACTAAAGAGCTTCTGCACAGCAAAAGAAACTACCATCAGAGTGAACAGGCAACCTATAAAATGGGAGAAAATTTTCGCAACCTACTCATCTGACAAAGGGCTAATATCCAGAATCTACAATGAACTCAAACAAATTTACAAGAAAAAAACAACCCCATCAAAAAGTGGGCGAAGGATATGAACAGACACTTCTCAAAAGAAGACATTTATGCAGCCAAAAAACACATGAAAAAATGCTCACCATCACTGGCCATCAGAGAAATGCAAATCAAAACCACAATGAGATACCATCTCACACCAGTTAGAATGGCGATCATTAAAAAGTCAAGAAACAACAGGTGCTGGAGAGGATGTGGAGAAATAGGAACACTTTTACACTGTTGGTGGGACTGTAAACTAGTTCAACCATTGTTGAAGTCAGTGTGGCGATTCCTCAGGGATCTAGAACTAGAAATACCATTTGACCCAGCCATCCCATTACTGGGTATATACCCAAAGGACTATAAATCATGCTGCTATAAAGACACATGCACACGTATGTTTATTGCGACACTATTCACCATAGCAAAGACTTGGAACCAACCCAAATGTCCAACAATGAGAGACTGGATTAAGAAAATGTGGCACATATACACCATGGAATAGTATGCAGCCATAAAAAATGATGAGCTCAGGTCCTTTGTAGGGACATGGATGAAGCTGGAAATCATCATTCTCAGTAAACTATCGCAAGAACAAAAAACCAAACACTGCATATTCTCACTCATAGGTGGGAACTGAACAATGAGAACACATGGACACAGGAAGGGGAACATCACACTCTGGGGACTGTTGTGGGGTGGGGGGAGGGGGGAGGGATAGCTTTAGGAGATATACCTAATGCTAAATGATGAGTTAATGGGTGCAGCACACCAGCACGGCACATGTATACATATGTGACAAACCTGCACATTGTGCACATGTACCCTAAAACTTAAAGTATAATAATAATTAAAAAAAGAGAAAAAAATCAGTTCCCTAAATTTACTATATTTTCATCCACATAATTTTATTATTAGTGAATGACTCATTAATTAATACCATCCATTGTAATTAAGAACTATTAAAGGTTCAATGGTCCCATAGTTAGAGGCTTTTTTTGCCATACATTTTTGAATTACTCTTGAATGAGTAATTCATTCAAGATATATCTATCAAGAATATACACAGTATTAAAAACACAATTGTCCTTGACCTCAAGGAACTTCTAAACGGGTTGTGACAGATAATCCCAACATGCTATGATGTATGCCACTATAGGAGAAGTAGAGAGAGCTCTGCAAACATACAACAGAGCATCTAACCCAGGCTTGGAGGGACATGGGGAGGCAACACAGGGGAAAGTGACACTGAAGTTGAGATCTGAAGGCTCTCAGGCAGACTTTGCCTGCCTGCTGAAAAACTGGAGGGGATGGAGAGAAAGGATTGAATAGTATTGCACCCAGAAGGAATGGTATAAACAAAGAGCAAAAAGAGTTTCATATGTTGACAAAACTGAGAATGCAGTGTGACTATAGTGCAAGAAGGGAGACAGGAAGCTGGAGAAAAAGGCTAAGAGATAAATAGAGACAAAAGTCCTGAAGTATCCAATAAACGATTTTAAGTATTTTGAACTTTATCTGAACATTGATGTCAGTGCAGTGACAGGATCAAAGTCACAGTTTGTAAAGAAGGATCACTCTGATTACAGTAGGGAAAAAGGATGACAAGGGACAAGATGAGAGGCAGGGAAGACCACTTAGGAAACTATCATAGTTACCGAGCCAGATATGAAGATAGCCTGGAGAATGGTAATGGCAAAAAGAAAGGTGAAAGTGAAAGGTCTAAGGAGATATTCAGAAGACAAACTGATTATTGGAAAGGAATCAGTGATATTTCCAAGTTTCTGGTTTGGTCAAAGGATGTATAGTTGTTGCCCACTGTTGAAGAAGCCTCAATAAATTCATACTGGCTTGAAACATAAAATGGGAGGAGTGAGGTAGCAAGAGATAAAGCTAAGAAGTTTACTTGGGGTCAGATCAAATTTGGCTGTAGGCCAAACTAAGATTTTCTGATTTTATTTTAAGGGGAAAGGAAAGTCACTGGGGAGCTTTACTGTTTGCCCCACTTACTCTCAGGGAAATTAATAAAAATGAAAACTTTGAATAATTCCAGGTCCACCATGTATAGCTGTGCAGGATGCGTACTGCACAAATCGAAGGAATGCCGTTCACATAGATTGATATAAATGGCACCCCTGAAGTTGTGCAAAGCACAGCACAGCAGCCATCCTTGACACAGCATGTTAAATGGTTCTCTAGTTTGTGTGAATAAATGTCTTATATCCTCAGTAAAATAATAAACCTCTCTAGGCCAGAGCTTGTTTTAAACTTCTTTTCTATTCTTCAAGTGACCTAGCATAGGTAATTTGTAATTTGTTCTCAATATACAGCTAGCCCAACACTTGTGCTAATGGACCTAGAAACTACCATCCACTTTGATTTTAATACTACAACCATTACATATTCTCCTGTTACAGTGTAAGTCTAATTATACTTATCATCCTTACTCTAATAGATTTTTTAATATTTCTGTAACAAATTATGATATTTATATGATGATTTTTACTGAACCAAGTTTCACAACACTGATGAATTGTATAACATGTTCTCATTTCCTTCACTGGTCATTTTTTATTTAAAATTATTTGTGTTCCTCCCCTGCCTTTTTTTAGAATAAGAATTTTCAGGCCTTGATTTGGTTTCTCCCAGCCTTTATTGATTATATACCTCTGGCCATTGTTCCTGCATTTGATTAAGAAATTACAAATTTTGGTATCACATATCTGTTTGCCTTGTTTTCTTGAAATACTTTTTCAGACATAAAGTCAATTGTGATTTAGGGTGTTATCCCTTATAACACACAAAAAGTCTTGTAATTTATCTAAAGTGTCAGATTGAATCACAAAAAGTATGGCCTTTTTACATAGAATTCAATTGTAATAGTAAATAATTCAAGAAACTATTATGAGCAAGAATAATCTGTTTTCTCCTTTGAAATTTATTCTCATTAGCTATAGTATCTTCCAAGTTTTGTTTGGTGATTCAGTGTTGATTCAGTTGTTTGTGAGTAAAGGACTACCATATCTGATATATCATTTTTTAGTGGAAGGGCTGAGAGGAAGGTGGGATGGGGACCAGCACATCATAAATTCATTCACTTATTTAGCAAACACTTATATAGCATTTCCCATGTGCCAGGTACCTCTCTAAGAAATTTACAAATAGTAACCCATGTAACCCTCATTACAATCCAATGAGGTAGATGCTCTTCATGGCTCGCGTCTATGCTCTCCGGTTTCTCCTCCCTACTGTCTATTACAGCCCATTTGCCAAGAAAAACTGGCCTATGTGCCAGGTTTGGAATGTATACCAAAGGGTATATAGTCTGTTGAATTCACATTATTTCTACCATTAGCATTAATCATAACTGTCTTCCATTGTTACTGTATGAAACCAAAATTTAATTCATTTTTCTAGTGCAACTGTCTGACTCTTTTTTTTTTTTTTTGAGACGGAGTCTCGTTCTGTTGCCCAGGCTGGAGTGCAGTGGCGTGATCTCAACTCACAGCAACCTCCGCTTCCCGGATGCCTCAGCCTCCCGAGTAGCTGGGATTACAGGCGCCTGCCACCACACCTGGCTAATTTTTGTATTTTTAGTAGAGATGGGGTTTACCATGTTGGCCAGGCTGGTCTCGAACTCCTAACTTCAGGTGTTCCACCCAACTCAGCCTCCCAAAATGCTGGGTTACAGGCGTGAGCCACCGTGCCTAGCCAGCTGTCCCTTGATTAGGTCCCAGCCACCACCATCTGTCTGTGAGATTCTCAACTGAGTGAGAATGTAGAACATGAAAGCTATGCGAAGTTGGATTTGCATTATACTCCAGATAAAATGATTGGAACTTAACATATTTACAATTACATGAGGAAATATAAAATGGGCTTTTAATATAGTTTTCAAATTAACATGTTAGTTCCACATATCCAAATCTTTCTTTCCAGCTATCTGTCTCCTGAGCCCTAGCACTCTACATCACCACAGTCACTGACGCATGGATATCTCAGACACGCTTCAACCACTGAAGAGTAAAATCACAATTTCTCTCTGCTCTTTGCATCCTTTCTCTACAGATGAATGGTGCTAATGTGTCCAAGCAACCAGAAGTCCAGGAGGCATCTTGAAGTCATCTCTCGCCTTACCTGCCCCAACCCCTACTCCTAAGTCACCAAGTCCTGCAGATGTTACCCCTTTAACATTTCTTATCAAACATGACTGCTATAGCAAAAATGAGCACCCAGTCTCCTGATCCTGATTTAATCCCCTCTTATCTACTCTCCAAAAGACTGCTAAAATTGCCTTTCTAAAACACAAAGTGGATCCCATGACTCTTCCAATTAAAACACTTCAATGGCTTTCCATCAATTCCAGGAGAAATCTAAACTTCATACGAGGCCCTTCATAATTAGACTTGTTTCTTCTCCAACCATGACTGACTCTCCTCTCCTTGCCCTATTACCCTGAGCTCCAGTCATAACTAAACATTGGCCTTTTCCATGAGTACCACCTTTTCTCTTGTCTTTGTGCCTTTACACATAACGTTCCCTCTACCTGAATGCCATTTTATCTGGCTAACTCCTAGGAAATTCAGCACAGTATCTGTGTGATTATATACCTCCTCCTAGATGTCTCCCTTGAACGATATCCCTCATTCCCAAATCTTGAGTAAGGTGCCCTTCGAATAAACAATAATTTATTTATATGTCTTTCCATTAGCAAATAAGCCACTTAAGCACAGGGACTATGCCTCCGATTTTTGCATGGTCCGCATCTAAACATCCATCTGATACTTGGACACTCAATAAATGTGAATAGAATAATGAATAAACCAGCTGTGGAAATTAATGTGCAATTTTCTCTCTTTTCAGGTAAATTTTAGTTAAAATAAAAGCAAAATGGGTAATATTGTGTTCACAGTTGTTTTCTTTTTAGGTACAAGAAGTCAGGTACGTGCGTAGCACTTTAACATAAATTCATAAAGTTTTAAGGAACTCAAGTGGGTCATTCAAACTGTTTCCTCACCTAAAATCACCCCACACCATATAGACAAAACTCTATTTTAATTTGAAAGTCTTTTTAGAGAGCTGCCAATGTTGAATTAGTCCTGCCTTCTCTAACTAATGTGTTTTCTCTTTTACAGTAAATACCTAATTACATCCATCTGTTTGCAGAAGACTGCAATCAGGAATGGGGCAGCACAAAGAATAAACAGGACAGTACTAACAGGATTATCTGCTCCAAGAGTTTTCATAGGTAACATGTGAAGAGAAAATGTATGGAAAGCAATCAGTTTGAAAATCTATCTTTAGATAGAATTAATGTTTTATTTTATTCACACTTCACTACTGTAAAATATTTGAAATAGTTTACTCCAAAATATTAATATATGTATACAAAGGTACAGTCCCACCTCCCCTATGTAGTGGGAAGGAGAACTGATATTTTATCAGAAATGTAGGTTGAAGATAGCTGCTGCAACTGAGTTCTGAACAGAGCACTGAGTTTCCTGGCAGCAAAAGTAAAAAGGAGAACACTTTGTGAAATAAAAATAAGCAGGAACTTTTTTTTCCTGAAATTTCATATCTAGCACCTATATATTATATATTATACCTATACCATGTAATAATAAATATTTTGTTGCTGGGTGCGGTGGCTCATGCCTGTAATCCCAGCACTTTGGGAGGCCGAGGCGGGTGGATCACCTGAGGTCAGGAGTTCAAGACCAGCCTGGTGAAACCTCGTCTCTACTAAAAATACAAAAATTAGCTGGGCGTGGTGGCACATGCCAGTAATCCCAGCTACTAGGAAGGCTGAGGCAGGAGAATCACTTGAACCTGGGTGGTGGAGGTTGCAGTGATCAGAGATCTCACCACTGCACACCAGCCTGGGCAACAAGAGTGAAACTCCGTCTCAAATAAATAAACAAATAAATATTTGTTGAATATGCAAGTTTATCTTCATATTAAGAATTTAACAAGACAGAAAATGTCTTCACAGATTTATAGCAGTTACTGGAAAATCTAAGCATCTATTTTTTTTAAGTAATCCCTCAATTTTTTTTAAAAAAAGGGTGATATATTATTAAACTAAGTCTACAAAGACATTTATATGGGAAACTAATATAATCTAGCCTATGAATATACTTTAATAGTGATTCTAACTTGACGCAGGTATAGAACACAGAATATTTAGAAAAGTGAATAGAGATCATTTCATTCAGACACACACACACACACATACACGCACACACACATATCACTTGTTTTCAGCATGACTTTTTTTTTTTTAGACGGAGTCTCGCTCTGTCGCCCAGGCTGGAGCACAGTGGAGCGATCTCGGGTCACTGCAAGCTCCGCCTCCGAAATTCACGCCATTCTCCTGCCTCAGCCTCTCCGAGTAGCTGGGACTGCAGGCACCCGCCACCACGCCCGGCTAATTTTTTGTATTTTTAGTAGAGACGGGGTTTCACCGTGGTCTCAATCTCCTGACCTCGTGATTCACCCACCTCGGCCTCCCAAAGTGCTGGGATTACAAGCGTGAGACCCCACACCCAGCCACAGCAAGACTTTTAACAGAAACTAAATAAACAATAAATTTTAAGTTGAGCCATCCTTATGAAAGAAAGCATGGATCATATGGGAAAATCAAGATTTCACTTTGAAAATTAGGGAGGCCTGACTTGTATTCACACAGGCCATTCCACGCACTACAAGACAAGGCCAAATTTTTTATCAAGATGTAGCCCTGAATTTCTCCTAAGGCTAGTACAACCACTCAATAGAAATCCCAAAGTTCTGCCCCCGTGAACAAAAAGTACTTTACACAAAGCATGATTAAAAAGCAAGAAATGTTAAGTATATACTCACATCAATCAATCAACAAACACCAAGTGACTCCCACTTCACTGTATTCTACCCCTGGGTGTTTTCAAAAGCCCAGGAGAGCAGTCAGTAAGTCACAGGCAGCTGACAGCCCAGGGCTCTGAAAAATTCTCCTCTAGCCTGCACTTCATGCAGACAGGGTCTCAGTCCAAGGTAGTCTCTGCAGGACTACCTCGGTTCCCAACTTCCAGTGGATTACAAACTTTCCTCTGCGTGCGTTTAAAGAGCTCCTGGTTTGATTAAGATTCTAATTAGAAGCCCAAGGAAGCCTTAAGGCCCTCTAGAGTTCTGAGGCCAGCTTAAACACTAAATACTACTCCCACTCCCTCAAACCTGGAGGAATTTATCAATTAAAGTTAGCCCTCTGCATCTGGCCTCCACTCAAACTCCACGATAGTCCTCAAAGAGACCTCCAAAGCCACCAAATTTTCCAGTTATTGGACAGCCATTGGTACTCAAATACCTAAAGACAGGACTTGTTTCAACAGTTAAAACCAAGGTTTATTAGGAATTCCTAGAATCACATAAAACAGTTTACTAATACGTACAAGTTAAAGTAGAAAGAGCACAAAATGAGGCAGTATTAAAAATGAGTTCTAGTTCCAGTTTGGGGCCTAACTCACTTTGTGAAGAGAACAATTATCCAAACTGTGGATGTGAAAACAATTACTACTTCCAAAAACTTTTCTTCCTCATTCAGTTACTCCTTCCTTCATCCTATTTAATAATTTTGATTATGCTATGCATGGAATTTATGCATAGCATAATGGAGTTAGTGGGTTTAGTGGGGAAAACAAAAATACTGGGAGCAAGGGTACCATAAACCAAGAGATTTAATTTACTGTGAGGGCTCAGGCAAGATTTCCTTGAGGCATCAACACCAAAACAGAGCCATAAAGACTGAGTAGAAATTAGTTAGTCAAATAAGTATAGGGAAAGATTTCAGGCAGAAGTGCAAAGGTCCTGAAACCTCATTCGAATGTAAAGTAGGATTATGGCATACCTAAATAACTTTTCAAAAACTTTTGAAAATATCAAAACTTTAATCTGTAAAATTTAACCTATGAAATTTGCTATTTGTAAGCCTTCTTATAGGCTCATCTACAGCTTAGTTTTTTTTAATTGTCCATTTTTTTTCTAAGGAAACAATTAGAGCCTAACCCTGACTCTATTATTTTCTACTATGTACCAATGCTCAGCTAACAAAACAGATCAATGTCCATGTAGGAACAGTGGTTTGGAACACAGAATAAAATTCTGACTAAGCTTTTGTTTTTAGAACTTATTGTTTGGTGCATATACAAAGACAGAATGTGTATAGCTCCTTGGCATATTTTCCACTTAAGCATATGTAGCAAACCTCTCTATCCCTATCTTTTAAGAAGAAGTCAGTGTTTTGAGTTCATTATCGTTCATATTCACAACTGCTAAGACTCCTTCTATACCAAAAAAAAAAAAAGTCAAATTTAAATAGCATGATTGGTTAAATTTTTTGTAGTTGCTTTGTTAATTTTCTTTTCAGTTTCAATATCCTTTGAAACAGCAGGTTTGTAAGAGGATCATAGCACATGTACATATCAAGGTATGTCTTAAATACATGATAAATGCTTACTCAGGGCTTTTCCTTCTCATAGCATATTAAGAGGTACTAGATAGTTAATCTGGAGCTTTTACCCTGCTCCAGATACATGTAATCTAAAATCACTTTATGTCAACAGCATATTTGACTTATTTTCTTGAATTCTGAACCCATTAAGTTGCCTCAATCTGAAAATTAGCTTCATACAGGTGCACATTTAAAGTGTTACGCAAACTTATTTATTCCTACTCTTCTGAAAATGTGCATAACTACTGATTTGCTATGTTCTACTATAGGTTGTAATATGTAAAATTTTGAGTAATATTTTAAACTTTACCCCACTTATATAAATAGCTGGTTCAGGAAAAGTGTATTTTATATAGCTAAGTTTAAAAGTCATTTTCTTGGAGCTTCTATTAGTGTATTTCAAAAGACCTCCTAAACAGAACTAAAAGTGGCCTGGTGTTCCAGTAAGCCACAAAACATGTTTCTTATATTTTATAACTAACAAAACACCTCCAATTGCTGAAATTTTACAATTGGTAGAAGTAACAATGTATTATCTCTACTATTACAGTCATGTGTTACTAATTATTCAGACGGGAAGTATCAAAATTTGTTTTTAAATAGCTGCAAGAGGTAATGGTTCAAACATATAGAATTTGAGAGTACATAAAGAAATTTTATAACAGACATTAAACTTTTTAATTGTTCATATGAGTTCTTTTAATTTAGAGGAATAAAACCTCAGTGAGGAAAAAAAAAAACACCTCAAGGTTATAGATGCTTTGTACACCGTTCTTTCTAGTAATAATTTTGTTTAGAAATCAAACTTACTACCCAGGCGTGGCGGCTCAGGCCTTTAATCCCAGCACTTTGGGAGGCTGAGGCGGGTGGATCCTTTGAGGTCAGGAGTTCGAGACCAGCCTGGCTAAACATGGTGAAAACCCTTCTCTATTAAAAAAACAAAACAAAACAAAACAAAAATTAGCCAGGTGTGGTGGTACGCACCTATAATCCCAGCTACTCAGGAGGCTGAGGCAGGAGAATCACTTGAGCCTGGGAGGCAGAGGTTGCATTGAGCTGAGATAGCACCACTGCACTCCAGTCTGGGCGACAGAGTGAAACCCTGTCTCGAAAACAAAAAAGAAGGAAATCAAACTTAATCTTTTCCAAATAACTCTGAAGAAAAGATCTTGCAACATACTTTGTCTGCTTTGGCAATTACTTTGGACATATTTAATAAAGCAAATTCTCTTATTAGTGTATAAAAAACACAATAAAAAAGATTGGAGACTTAAAATGAAATAAAAACTCCATTGACAATTTTCACCTTTAATATTCCTTTCACATAGAATAAATTCAAAAATTCTTAACAAGGGAATTACTGGTTTGATCATGATACCCATATGGAAAATATTTTTTACATTATCTTGGATCCATGATATATATTTACTTAGCATATTGGAGGGAAAAATGAGAAAACAAACAAAATCTTCCAGGTATGTAGACAGTATGTCAAAGTCAGGAGTAATATGCATTGGTATCTGAAGCTACCAAATGAAGGCATTTGACTGAAAAAAAGTTTGACCATAATGTATAATTGATTTACACATACTGAGGCTCATTCTAAAGCCCTTTTTTAAAATTGTAATTTTTTAAAAGAACAAATCATTTGAATGGTTAAGTAAACTGACTATTAAGAAAGAAAACTGGCCGGGCGCAATCCCAGTGCTTTGGGAGGCCAAGGCGGGTGGATCACAAGGTCAAGTGATCGAGACCATCCTGGCCAACATGCTGGAACCCCGTCTCTACTAAAAGTACAAAAATTAGCTGGGCATGGTGGCGCACACCTGTAGTCTCAGCTACTCAGGAGGCTGAGGCAGGAGAATCGCTTGAACCTGGGAGGCGGAGGTTGTAGTGAGCCGAGATCATGCCACTGCACTCTAGCCTGGCAACAGAGCAAGACTCTGTCTCAAAGAAAGAAAGAAAAGTTTTCATAACAAAGTTTACAGGTTCTTTTTTAATCAAAAGAATAAATACATTGAATATTCATTATGTCTGTATTTAAAATTGCTAAAGGAATGCTTGAATTGAATCTCGATAACATGAAATTTGTTAAAAATAAGTCCCTCAGGAAAAGAAACATTTTAGCATGCTACCCAGATATTAGTCAAGTGCAGAGAATTTCAAAACATAAAGTTATATTCCTTTCGTATTCATCTTTCCTAAGCCAGACCATAAGTGTAGAATCTTATATCTAAGCCACTTATACAGTCAATTTGGATTAAGTTCCATTGTGAAGTCTACATTGCACTCTTATGGGAGGAGCTAACCTGCCACTACTCACTAAAACATGATACTCCGTATCTTAAAAGTTATGTATACTTTAACATCTCAGTATTAAAATTTGAAAATAATATCAATTATTTTCCCATTTTAAAAGTTTTAGTTTGGCTATATTCATATTGTCCAGAAACTAAATCTTTGTTAAGTAGTAAATGTCCATTCACAAAGGTCATTGAGAGGGACTGAGAGAAAAAACTTTAAAAGTTTACACTTTAAAATTACTTTTAAATACACTTCTAAAATGTAACATGTTCTAATACCTTAGTCTGTGTTAGTCTGTGTATATGAAATACTGTGTGCCCAGTATTGTTCTGGGTACTTGGAGGAGTACGGGTGCATACACACACACAGAATACAGAAAATCAACCCATATAAAACAACTATAGAACAAAGGATTATCAATTCTGAAATGACAAAATTTTAGAAATGGAGAAGAGATTAGTGGTTGTCCAGGGTTAGGGATAGCAGGAGGTGTGTGTGGCTATAAAAGGGCAAGAGAGAGGATCCTTGTGACAATGAAAGTGTTCTGTATCTTGACTGTGCTGGTGGTGGATACGCACGGAATAAAATTCTATAGGACAAAACACACACACACACGAACAATTAAAAGGAGGAAACCTATATAAGATCAACGAATTTTTATCAATGTCAATGTCCTCCTTGTGATATTGCACTACAGTTTTGAAAAATGTTACCATTGGGGAAACTGAGAAAAGGGTACACGGGATCTCTCTGTATTATCCCTTACAGTTGTGAATCTACAATTATTTCAAACTAAAATGCGTTTAGAAGATTATAAAATATACTTTATTGTAAATACATGCCCCCCAATAAAAACACACAAGGAATAAATGCCAAAAATCCTAGTGACAAAACGAAGTATCACATAGGTGCAGTAGTAATTCCCCTCAAAGAAACCCAGAGTAATCATTACACTTAAGTATTCTTGCTGTCAACATGTTAATTGTTTAAATTATGTGTTAGTTTTAAAGATCACATCCTATAAACTGAAGATTTCTCATGACACAGTAGTGATAAAATGCTACCTTACAGTTCAGATGGTGGTAGAATCATCCAAAAAAAAAGAAGAAGAAAGAAGAAAGAAGAAAAGAAGAAGAAGAAGAGGAAGAAGAAGAAGAAAGAAGAAGAAGAAGAAGAAGAAGAAGAAGAAGAAGAAGAAGAAGAAGAAGAAGAAGAAGAAGAAGAACCATTTTCTCTTATCAGTTTATGTTATGAGATAAGAAGATCTCTCTCCCTCCCTCTCCCCCTCTCTCCCCCTCTCACATCTGCAAGAGTCCGGACTGAGGAGTAGAAGGAACGCGCCATAAGGATTTCGCAAAGTCTGGTCTCTACCTACTTGGAATTTCTTGGAAAAGATTCAAGCATATCATTCCCCTTTCACTAAAGCAAGACGAGAAATCACGTCTAAACCACTGGAATTGCTTTGCTGTGAGGAAGTCGAAGGTGATCAAAGGCAGGGTGGCATGCAAAATGGCACTTGGATAAAATGGGTCTCATTAGGGTAGAGTCCCATTCACGTAAAATGACTCCAGGCAATTCCTAGGGCCTCGACTTTCAACCTGACACTTGCCTGTGTGCAATGAAGATGGAAACAGGGACAACGCGCACCTCCCACAACCATCTGGAAGCTTCACCCTCTCGGCCTGACCCCCAAAGACCCGCTGAAAAGAATGGATGCTTTTGCGAACTCCGGTCCCCACACTGCGGCTCCCCAAGAGCTCCACGGGCAGGGCAGCGGGGCGGAGGCGTCGGGGACTCAGTGCGCGGGGGGCGACGGGGGTTCGGGCTCCGGGCTCACCCGCGTTCTGCAGCGTCTCGATGTTTTGGGGTCTAGTCGCCAGCTCCGCCACCATCTGCACGAACTGGGTCCTGGCCTTCTGGTATTGCTCGAACACTGCGGGAGAGAGAGTCGGTGGAGCCCACCGCACCCGGGTCTCCTCGGCGCCAGCTAGTTAGGGCACCTGCCCGCCTCGGCCCTACCTTGCAGCACCTGCCTCTGACTCATGGCGCCCCCGCCGCCGTCTGCCCTCCTCGAGCTCTGCGGGGAAGCCGCTCGGCCTGCGAGTCCACCAAGGGGGCGATCGTGGCGACGACTCGGCCTCCGACGGGAGCCGCTTCTCTGTGTACCCGCGTCTCCCGGGCAACCTACCGGAACCGGAACGCGGCCGTCTTGCTGCAACGGCCAGTCCCGGGCGTGACGTCACGGCCGCGGTGCCTGGGCGCACTGAGCGGGGCGGCGGCGCGAAGACGCCCGAGCTCGAGGACTCGGACTGCTGGGGCTCTCAGCGCGCCAGGCTCGCGGAGCCGCCGGGACATCGCGCGCCGTCGAGTATCCCTGCACTGCCCGGAGGTCGGAGCTCCTTACAAAGCGACCCCAGATTGCCGTGGTATCCTGACTGCGGCGCGGGTCGGGACCAAGCGCCGGGAGAGCCCCACGCGCCAAGGGAGCCTGGTTCGAGGGCAGCCAGACGAGTAAATTGCAGCCCTGGAGTTGTCTGAGCTTCGACGGTCCCGAGAAATCTCACACGTCACATTGTACAATCCGATCAACACATGAATGTCAATGCAACTTAAGTGTTGCATTGACATTTAACACTGCACTGACAGTAAAACACTGATTTAGGAATCCGTGTTTTCTTTTGTAACCCGCTGTTATATACCTGGCATTCCTGGTTTCAAGATTCCTGGAGGAGCATGACAACCATGTTCACACACTTAATTACACTGTATTGAAAGCATTTAATGAGCACTCAGAGACTCAGTGAGGAAAGCAGATGAGGAAAGGATGTGATGAATGTCCTGTCTTCCCTGGCTTTCTCCTAATGACTACTAATTTTGCTGTTTCCTCACTTTTATGTGATTTGTAAATATTTTGTCTTAGTCTTTTAAATTTAGGCTTCGTTATGTTGATGAATGACATCTCCAACAGAAAAAGAGAGAGAACCTTTACCTGGAAAACCAGACTTCCCTATCTTATATAACTTGAACCCTTTACCCAGTTTCTTTTAACAAAATTGAAGTACTTAGTCTATTACTGGTTTCTAGCTTGTCTTTGAAAACTATATACCAGTTGTTTCAATGACAGTTGTCAACTTTAAATGTTCCTCCATCAAAAACTACAATTTCACCAGATGTCAAGTGGATACATAGCCGCAGCTGCTGCTAAGTAGTGCCAAGACAGGAAACCCCTTGATATTTCTTCAACAGAAGGGAGCATGCAAACTTAACTGGTTCTATATTTGGAATGAGTCCTCTATATTTATCTTTGAGATCTCACCCTTCACTGAGCTCTTGATGAAGTCCTGATACTTTGTGGAGCTCCAAATAGTTGGGGAATGGTCCAGCAATCAGAGAGAAGAATAAGTGTGTTTAGTCGGGTCCCTAATACCCCCGAAGGGCAGGTACATGTCTTCTGCTTCTGCAGCTCAAAAGCCAGTGATGGCCACAATCTTTTTACTTAATTCAAAGTCGTAAGTTTTACAGTGATATCTATATTTCCCTATGGGAATATGTCCTTTAAAATTAAAGTTATGCGTTCCCATTTAGAGACGTGGGAGGAAACAGATTGAGTAAATAATTAAGATTGCAAATAAGCCTTGTAATTTTCAGTTCCTTGTTGAATGATGAAAAAAAATCCCCTTAAAAGTTTTTATATTTGGTTTCAGTCCTTAAACAAACAATTCAAACTCTTAAGCTACTCCAACTGCCATTTTTAGCAACTGCTTTACTATTTGTTTTCCATTTTAAAAGTGTTAAGAGCTCAATAGAGGGGGAGAGGTCTAAACCTATAAACATAACACAGTATGGGATGCTACTAAGTTCTTTGAAAACATACGTTCAAAAGCTATGTAAATTACTTTAGAGTCTGAGTATCTGTTATTAACAATATCTTTTAGTTAAATTGTATTATTCCTGATAAAACATAATATAGGATGCCTACTTCATATCTGAAATTGGACATATTAAAGAAGCTTGATCTTTGCTCTTTATTTTAGGTTCCTTCTTAAAAAAATCTTAAAAACTAAATGGAGAAATGTATGTAACACAGAGTGATTACAATATGCATATAAGTGAAATTATTAGTAATTCAAGCATAAAATATGGCAGATTACTTTTACTGACAAGAAAACCAATCTGTATTTTCTGACCCATTTTTCAATGTACTAACTCTAAAACAAAATACTATTCTGTTTTCTAAAGTTAAATGAATGTCCCATGATCACATACACACCTCTAAACTAACAGTTAAGCAATGAAAAAGAAAACAATTCAAAGGGATACTTCGGTATTTTAAAAAGTATTACAGGAAGATTACTGTTCTTAAAGTACCAGCTGACTTTAGAGATATACAATGTAACTGGCACATAAGACTATACATTTGATTGAGAATGAACCATTAGCTGAACAACTTGCAAAAAAGTGTTTCCATGAAAGGTTTGTTTGGAAGCCTTTGGCTACTTTTGTAAAACGCTAATCATAATATGTAACTTCAAAATCACTTTTTCAAATATTTCCTCCTTTATTTATGAAAATGAGACTGAAAATGACAACAAAATAAAGCCAGTTTTAAAATCTTGTTGTTTCTCTTTGCATACCTCCTTTGAGAATTCAGAAAATCCTATTATCATGGGAATATATGCTATACATACCTAAAAGAAGCTTTGCTAATTTTAACACCCATGTATTTTTTCTTCAGTTCCTAGCTGAATTTTAAAATTTAAAGATTTATATATGCTAATTAGATATTAATATCTGCATTTTAAAACTGTCATTGAGTTGAATCAAGTGTTTATATATATTCTGCATCAAGCCTAACACGTATTCATTATTAATGTGTGTCAAACACCTTGCTAATAACAGAATGTGCCTTTCTTCCAGGACATGAAGTCTAGTAGCAGATAGACATCACTTCATTCTACCAGCATATATACCGCAGCCTGCATTCATTCAATGGGCATGTACTGCAGTCTGCCACTGTTTTAAGGGCTGTAATTGCTCTAAGTGCTATTAGTGTTTTGGGGGCAAAGATGAGGGACTTATGGTAAAGTAGGCGAAGAAGTGAGAATACCTAAAACATCATTTAAATAACAAAAGGCTTCTTGTTTTTAATAAAAATTAGCTGAGTTCTATGCAGCTATGAAATTTCCCTCCCCTAAAATAATTTTTTCCCCAAAATCATTGTTAGCATTTAAGAAGGCATTCAACGGGCAATTGCATGTAATTACTGAAGTTATGAGACTACATTAATCATTTTGCAAACACTAAATTTAAAATTACTAAAATAATTCATAGTTACATACTGGAATTAAAAATAAAGGCATTACTTAGTCCATAACCAAGTTGGTGGAACAGAAATATTACCTATAATGATGAAAGTAAACATGACTATCTTAAATGGTGCATCGCGCCTCTTTTGGGAAATAATGTCAGGATTTTAGGTCTGAGCCGACCACCCAGTTATTTCATCAAGTTTGTCAGCAGAGCAGAAGAGACTTGCACACTTCCATCCGGGAAGGGAAGATTGAAATTTCTATGCATGTTTTGTGTTTATGCCTTACTCCCTATTCTTCGCTTTTCAAACCTTTTAAAGTCAACTCTTTGCATTTTAAAGTTTTTCTTTTTAGTATTAAGGTCAATGTCAAGATGACAGTGGTTTAACTGGCCCCAAACTCCTAAATATATACCTGTACCTGTCTTCCTTTCCAGTAATTCAGAGGATGAAGAGATGGAACTAATCTTTTCCACTTCCAAAGAAACCCGTGATTGGGGGATTCCACACACGAATAATTTTGCTTCCCCAAAAGGCACCATGTAGTGCAAAGTGATTGATACTAAAAATGGGGGCTTTCAATGTATAAGTCCGAAATGCAGCATGCCGTTTTCTAAGGCGGTGGTGACATGCATAAAAACAAATTATTGGAGCTTGGTGTGTGAGTGTGATATAAATATCTTCCGTTTGGACTTGCGTGCGTTTTCTTAAGTAATTCAAAACTGTGCCCAAAGCCTGCATCACGAGCTGGAAAACACTAAGCGCCCTGCTCCAGATGCCGGTCAGCCCTCCCGCTCAATACCTCCCACCCCTTTAAAATGTTGGCGTTGTTGGACTTGTGTCAGAGAAGGTCCGTACTATCTTCTCCACCCTTTAATCAGTGCAGGACACAGCAGACAAAGACAGAAAGTGCCACATAAGAAACGACTCTAGAGAGCCCACCAAGCCCGCGTCCGGGTCACGCATCCCCTAGGTGCGTGTCCCGTGGGGATTGCGCCCCGGCTGGCCGCCCGCCTCGAGCCGAAGCCGGACGCCGGCAGGTCCCCAAGCGGGGTGTCCACCGGGTCGGCTCTCCTGGGCGCTGGCAGGCTGCCGCGTCCAATGTGGACAGGAGTGTCGGGCCGAGGGCAAGGGAAGAACGTGGTCCTCCCCGACTTCCTCGGCTTTTCCCATTCTTCCTAAGTTTCTCCAACTCCAAAGAGCAGCTTCGCGGTGTCTGCGAAGTTTCTAACGGGGGAGGCGGCGCTGGGAGCAGGCCGGGAGCGCGGGCGGGGGCCCAGCGGGTGTAGCGGGAGGAAGGGGCGGGGGCGCGCGGCCCCAAGGCGTCAGTGCGGAAGCGCCCAGCGGGCCGGGGGTTCCCTCCCGCGGGGCCTCCCGGGGCGGACCCGGGTGCGGCGGCCGAGATGCGGGCGGTGGAGGGGGCAGGCCCCGACTCTTTCGCTCCCTCCGCGCCGCGGGCCGCCGGCCTGAGCTGGGAAAGGCGCGGCGGGCGGCTGGCGAGGAAGGAGGCCTCTGTCCTTTCACTTTGCTTCCCGGGCCAGGCCTCCAGCTGGAGCCGCACTGCCGCTCGGGGGCCGGGGCGAAGGTCCCTGCCGGAGCCTCCCGGAGGAGCGGCTGCCCCGCGGGCGGGGGAACGGTGCGGCCAACTCGCGGGGGCGAGCCCGGAGCCGGCGGAGACCGGAACCCGGGAACCCAGGCCCCGCGGCGCTAGCGCTGCCAGAAAACTCGCTGCGGCCGCGCCGGTCGGCCTACTTCGCCCCGGCTGTCCGCGCGCGGGACGTAGAAGAGCGCCCTGGCCGGGAAAGGTGGGGAGGGGCTTCAGGCTCTTTCTTGCTGGAGTAGGGTGCGGAATCCCGTACCGCTTTACAGCTGCTGGCCCCCTAGGACCCCGCGGCGCAGGCCGGATCCCAGAGGCGGGGATAGGAGCCAATAGCTGATACAGACAAAAAAATAAAAAGCAGCTGTACCTCATTGCGCATGTGCGAGCTTCGTTTTTTTTTTTAATTTTTTGACGTCATTTCGCGATATCAAGTCCCAAGCCAAAATGTCTTGTGCGTTGGTTACTCTGAAGAATAATGGACTGTATGTTCTGACTCCTGGAAATTACTGCAAAAGTACCGAGAGATGGTTTTCAAGTTTTCTCAAACGTTTGAAAAAAAAAAATAGTGTTTCCTGTTTAACCACTCTATCTGTCCGTTTTTTCCCCAGAGATTATCTGAGCCGAGAGTGAGCTCCGCTAAAACGTAGGCTAAATTCGAGGACACGGTGGCACTACATCTCATTCTTTCAGAGGAGATGCTTGCACTACAGTTTGGACCCTTGCTTTTTGACATTTCAGAGAAAACATCTAAATATTGCTAAAGCTGGATTACTTTACCTCCTACTCCAATATTACCTAATTTTTTTACGGTGAAAAAATAAAAGTTCCTATATGAACGATATAAAAGATGAACTGCCTATATGAAGAAAATACTAATACTTTTCCCATCAGTAAGACAAATCTGGTCTTAAGGAATTGAATTATAAAGAAATGCTTTTTATTCAAGGAATGCTTTTTTTTTTTGCCCTAGTGAAATAATATGCAATTGCTTATCATTTTACTTATAAGTCAAGGGTAACAGTCTTAGAAATTTACAAGTAAAGCTGAACGTATGCAAATAATTTCAATATATATATGGTCATATCCCAAAGAGAAACAATTTACTAATAATTCCTGGCTTAAAGAGTGTCTTGCAATACTAAAAACACACAATGGGTAAATGAAAATAGAGATCTCTTGTAGCCCAACTGAATAGAAAAACATTGAATTTTTTTTAAAATGTGGTTTATGTGTAATGCCTTAAATGTATGGCAGAAGTTTAAGAGAGAAACCAAGTAACTGAATCAGTTCTCTTTCTGGGAAAGGATATTCCCAGAACCCACTGCAGACCATGATAATGTAATAGACTTTTGTTGCACTAGAGTCTCTTTTTAGGTTTAGAGAGGCTATATAAATTGTGTATATTAAAGTTCAGGAAAATGCAGTTTCCTAAGTCTATTTTAAAGGTTGCTTGCAGAATTCAATGACAAGCTTACTTTATTGTAATGAATTTCCTAAAAAGTGTTCTCCAAACTGATAAGCATTGTAATAAGAATTATTTGAGCAGAGTGATCACTTGGTGAAAGTGAGGGGGAGTTCCACTGAATCTAGTAACTTCCATCTCCTTAGAAAATGATGGGACAGTTTGAGGAAAACCCCAATGAAAATGTCTTAAGAAAATTGTCATGAGGCATATTTAGAAAGAAACAGCTGGTAAACACATTTTCCCAAGCTTACTGTAACTGAGTTCTTCAGTTACCCTAGAAAAACTGTAATGTATCATGTTCAAAACAAAAACACTCTCCTGAGGTAATTACTGATAACATTAATTTGTCTGATTCATGAACAGCTATTAATAAAAGCTTCTGAAACATCACTGTATCTTCTCAGTACAATTTACTCATAAGTTTTTTGGAAGTGTACTTGCCGAACTTAGGAGTTTTGTTGAGAAGGTTGGAAAGAAGTCAAAAATTGAGTGGTAATAAGATTCTATAGAAATGTAACCGATTCCAATAAAAAGTCCTCTGTACGGAAGTACATTATGGAAATGACGTGGTTGTCAGACCTAATTGCTTGGCTTTTGAGTTCTCAGAGAAGAAATTCTACAGCCTTAGGGGTGTAGCCTCAAAAGCAGCAGCGTTCCTGGTTTCAGTTTAAATAAAACAATGAAATCCATCATTATTCAAGTCAATAGCGATAATTCACATGAATATGAATGCACTTTGATCTTATCCTTCAATTCATTGAAAGACAGTCGTAATGAAAAAGGGAGATAATCTCTTTAACTTGGTCCAAAGCAAGTTGTTGGAGCTTTTCTTTCCTGAAAGACCGTAGCAAGGAACTTTTCACTAAAGCCTTGCTTTCCTATTTTTAAGGTGCTGATGGGGGTGGTTTGGCAAGCTACAGGTCGTTATGCTCCCTCTAGGAACCAAGCAGTGCTTTCTTCTTTTAGGTAAACTGTCTTATTTAATGAACTTGATATTTTGTGAAGCTTAAAGGTGAACCTCTTTTAATAATATACCTAAGAGTCATTTCAGGAGGCATTAATTTGAGTTTACCATCACTTGTGATTGAGACATACTATTTTCAGTATGCTTTAAAGCTTATTTAAATTAAAGAGGATATTTCAAGGTGCCTTGTCTTAGTAGATTTGCAATATCCAACGCTAGATCCTTAAGCATTCCTGTCCAGCTGTAAAGACAGTTAATGACATGTCTGTGCTATCAGAAAGTATGAAAGCACTTTAAAGTTGCACCTTACTTGTGGCTATTTAACCAAATTTTTAGACACTAGATGAGAAATTAGCAGTTTCAAGTTCTTATGTACAATTTGTCATTCTCCTTAGAATCCTGAAAACATGTGTCAGATATTTTAACATACAATCTATGGCATTTGAAATATAATTAAGTTAAATATTCATGAATGAGAATATCTGATAATGCTACCAGCTTGGAAATTGTTTAGCTTTTCATTGAGTTCATTAAAGATATCCAAGCTTTCTGCTAGTTATCAGTAAGTTAGTTTTTTTCCTAATAAGAGTTGTTGAGACTTCTGAAATTCCCTGGAAGTCCGACAAATATTTGTTATGTTCAAAGGACTCTGACGCTTACAAAGATGAATAAGGCAGGTGCTTATCCTCAGGGAGCTTTAAACTTGGAAATTTCAGCACATTTGTGATTTACAAGAAATTTTAACCCATTAAGACCACTCAGCTAACAAAGCCGGGACAATTATTAAGAGCGAAGAAATTTGGCAATGCACATATTTCCCGAGTTATCCTAGTAGCTAAATAAAAGACTTAGCTAGATACTCTAAGGACTTTTCTTCAATAAAACCTGCTTAAAACATTAACAAGAGTTCTCTTGTTAAAAAAAGTTAAATTGGTGTTCTAGAGCCACAGAAAAAGTAGATCCTCAAGGGTTAATACCAGTCGTTTTCTTTATGTTTCAAACCACGCAGTCCACACTGCCAAGGGTTGATGCGGATCATCCAATGAAATGGAAAAAAAAGTGTTCCATCCACTGATAAATAACTAGTATCCAGATGCAACAGTTAAGTCAACGCAAATGGTTACATTCTGGATTTCATGCAAAATATTCATGGTAGGCGAAGAAGAAAGATAGCAGCGGGTGCTTGTGCCTGTGGCTCTAACCCAGAGGAAAGCCACTGTTACCAAGCGCAGACGCAACCATGAGCTCTTCTTTGTGTCGATGTTATTAGAAAGGGAGTGGGCGTTTGACTTCTTTCTTTGGCACCACCCTTATTTCTGATGTCAAGAAAAGCTTTCTAATTGGCCACTGAAAAAGAATTGCTGATCAACTCCGCGAAGAGGGCACCTGGGGCTGAGACTCAGCGACGCGCCCGGATTTGGGGGCTCAGGTGCCCGCTGCTCGCGGCGCGCGCCGCCCTGTGCGCTCCCAGCCGCTCCTATTGTCTGCGGTGGGGGCAGGGCCCAGCCGGGGGCGCTGGCTTTTGAGCAGAGCTGAGGATTTTGGAGACTGAGGACTGGAGGTGGGGGCGGGAGATGTCACCGAAGGCAACCCCCAGGGTTTCAAATGCTCGAGCCCGAGGTGTAGGAGGAGGCAGAGGTACCAGCGGCTGCGGCGGCGGCCCTGGCTGCAAATCGCCGTCGTGTGGTTGCTACTGGCAACCGAGCCTCTGCCGAGCGCGCAGCCCCGCAGCCCCTGGAACGAAGGTGGCAAGGGAAGCGGCTGCCGCGGCGCGGCCGCGCCGGCTTGGCAGCCCACAGGGCTCTCGCTCCCGCCCGCGTCCCGCAGTCCCTCCGGGCCTTGACTGCAGCTGTGCGGCAAAGACGGCCGAAGGGCTCTCAGGTTGGGGGCTTCGCTGTCTCGGAAGCGTCAAGTGACTGGCGGCCTCCGCGAAGGCAACATGGCAGCTCGGGCTCCAAGAATGGGATCCCTGCGGTCGCCTGCGGGGCGGGGGTGGCGGGCTCCAGTTTCTAGGCCGGGAGTGAGCCCTGCCCGCGCCCCCGACTCCCAGCTAGGTCGAGCCAAGGGAGCCGCGCGCGCTGCCTCGCCTCGCCTTCGGCCCTCGGCCCTTTGTTCTCCACTGGGCGGGCGCCTCACGCTTCGGGGGCTTTTCATGAAAACCTCGAAGCCTCGGCCACCCGAGGTGGTGACACCGGCCCTGCTAGCACTCAACAGAAATGACTGGCATTCCCCGTCCCCGGTGGGGACCGGGCAGAGCAGGAGGCGCTAGGGCGGGATTCCAACCGACCCTCCCCGCGGAGCCCTCTCGTCGGGTAGGCTCCTTCCCGCCAGGCCTAAGCTCGCCGTTTCCCCTCCTCACCTCGCAGAGGGGTGAGGCGGGAGACCGGGGAACGGACACGCGGGGCCAAAAGACAGTGCCCGTCACCCTCACCACCCCAAGGAAATGAGATTCTCCCCGAGAGGGAGAGGAAAGCTGCTGGCTCAGAGAGTCGTCCTAGTCTCGAAAAATCGGGGTGTCAAGCGTGCTTTAGGTCTGCGCTGGATTCCACCAGGCTTTGGCGCGGGCAGAAGCCGCGGGGAAGGCGCCTCGCAGAAAGTACCCCCGGCCCTCCCCGGGTCTCGGGCCGCGGGGGCTGCACCACCCGAGGGACGAGCCGCGCCCCGGAGCCGTCCACCCGGAGCGCCGAGGGGGGTCGACGGCCGCGGAGGAGGAAGGCCAGGGGGAAATTTGCATTTCGTAAAACCGCGGTTAAGAAATGACGATGCCACGTAGACAAGCCAGTTGTGACGTTCAGCACAACGTGCTACTGAACTACCGAGATCCGCCACCAAATGGCGGCTCCGGCAGCCTGCTGCACTGATAAAGAGGACTCGCCCGCCGTCGCCCATTTTAGGCCGCTTTCACTTCTCCGCTGTTTCCCCAGTCCCTTTTCCCAAGTCGTCCCTTCCTCTCCTGGTTTTAGGGCGCACGGGGAGCTCCCATGTCCGAGAAGCTTCTGTGTTCTGGGGATCCGGCAGGCGCAGGCTCTGCAGGAAGCCGCCGCGTCCCGGCAGCTTTCGGAGGCGATGTCCCAGCCTCGGCCCACCCGCTCCTCTGCCCGGCCGGGGGCGCCGGCACTCCCAGGGTCGCCTTGTCCGGGGACCCATTTTGGCGTCGACTTCGCGTCCCGAGACGCGAGCCTTTGCCCAGATCTTGAGATTCCCGCCGCGCAGCCACCCCTCCTCAGCCCTGTCACCCAGTCAAGGCTCTTTCCCAGGGGATTCGAGCGCGTTCTATTAAACGAGCCCAGCGGGAGGACCCTCTCCTCTAGGCCTTTCCAGTCACAGACATGAAGTCGCCTTCGGGAACCTTCAGGGTGGCCACTTTATAACTTAATAATTTTATTTAAAATCATCCAACAAAACCTCAAACTCCAAGGACACCTCGTTCATTAAGGAGAAAGGGCATTGATTGGACTCGAAGAGGGAGGAGGACAAAGAAAGGCGATTATCCGGCCTGGCTCCTAGCAGGGCGCGCTCCCGTGGGCTCTGCCCGCGAAGCCGCTGCCTCCCCGGGTGCAGGTCGTTTTCCCGCCCGCGCTGAACTCGGGGTACAGGGACACGTCGCTGCGCCTCGGCCTGCCGCTGTGGAGGGCTTCGGCGGGAAAAGGGAGCACCTCGGGAGGCAGCGAGCACCCGGCTGTCGCCGCCGCTCGCCACGGGGTCCAACTTTGGAGAGCGGCGTCGTTCCCCCGCCCCTCAAGCCCCTCAGGGCCTGACAATCTCGCGTTCAAATTTGGCGGGATCCGAGTCCGCAGAGCCGAGGGCGGCGCGAGGCGAGCAGCGCACGCGCAAAATGGCCTCCCGGTGCCCCGCGGCCTTGGCTCGCGCGCCCAGCAGGGCCGAACTGGGGTGGCGCAGTTTTGAGCAGGGGACTGGGCTGTAGCTGTTTCCACTCCTCTGTAAGATGCTAATTAGAAAATAAGGAAAAGGAGAGAGGCTGTTTCTTCTTTAAGGTGTCTTTTGGTAAAGGACCCCCTTACCAGAGAGGCAGCGTTGGTAAGGGGGCCTTTACCAAAGGAGAAGTCAGGTGATTTCCCCCAGGCCGGTGTACTGTGCCCTTTCCACCGGGCACTAGAACCTAAGAAACCTGTTTTTTGGAAAGCAGTGGAGTTTCCCACCCCAATCACCCTCGCCCGGGCGTTATGCTCCACGCCGTGCGGTGCGCCCCGCTCTCCGGCTTAGTTGGAAGATCTTCCGCTCCTGAGGACTTCGGACCTGTGACTTGGGCTTTTGGACCTACTTCTCCACCTGCACTAACCTCGGTGTCGGTCTCGGCCACCATCCCATTCCTGGCATCCCACTTTCCGACGCGCTTCCCTATCACCTGGGTCTGCAGCCTCCCAAGTCTCTTATCTCAACTTGAGTTCTGGCTAATTGAGGACAGAGTTGGACATCTCCAAATCCGCACCAACGTTGAAATCACGTCCACGGTGAAGTTTGCATTCCATGATGACCTGACAATCAGAGCAAGAAGTAGCATTTTACTGAAATGTAGGGAACAACACCTGCTATTTATGAAAGTGACTTCGGATAGTCCCGGAAGGGACATTTTTAAAGGCTAGGGGCTGAAGAATGAGAGTAGTTCTAACTCCTTTGTTGGAAGTTTTTATTGAGCGCTTACTATTTATTTGGAGGGCTAAAGCGACTTCCGAATGAGTTTTCCACTTGAACTTCTCCAGAACTCTTCTCACAAGAGTGCTACAGCGGAGTCTTTCCAGTGATAAATATAACATGACTTCTGATGTCGTCGACTTGATGAAGACAGAGTTGATAGTGAAGTTCTTCATGTGAGACCTCTAGAAATTGCACACTAAGAAAAAGAAACTGGTGCAAATAAAGGAAATCCGTTTCAAGAACCAAAAGAAGAAAAAAACGTTAAAAAAAATTAACTGCGGAAACAGGAAACACTCAACTGTGTAAACATTTTCGAAGACTTTCATAATCAAAACTGGGCGATCTTGAGATTTGCAGGGAGATCGGCTGGCTCAAGGTCTTCGCGGTGGGTATTTGCAAATCTGATTCTCTGCAAGGCTGGAATATATGGATATCTCCTTCTATTCCTTGTAAAGAACTCGGCTCCTCGCTTTGAAGTTTGTGGTCCTAATTTAGTTCAAGGGCTTTTTTTTGAGGAGTCAATTTTTTTAGAGCAACCTTAGAAATTATCACCTGTGTTTGTGTTCATTTTGTACATGAAGAAACATCCTAAAGTGAAATCATGTATCTCAAGAGCTTTAAGTTGGAGCTGGGTTCAGTGATCTTTGCACCAAATTAGTGTCTTAGAGGCATAGACGGTTTTTGAAAGGTTTTAATTAGTATACTGTTAGATGCAGCACAGATCTAAAATGATGTCTAGTCGTTTTTCATGTAATTTGATCAAGACCTTTTTGTTTTGGATAAAATGCAATGAAGACTGTGTGGGGAAAACAGCCAAAGTATTTTAAAAATCTTATGGGGCCTCCATTCTGACTAAGTACTAAACTAAATCAGAATTTCCAACTATCATTCTTCGTGTATTAGGAAGAAAAAGATCTAAATCATTTATCAAACCTTTAAAATACAAAGAGAAATGGAAAAATTAACAATTGCTTCACCCCAGGATTTTAAGAGACTGGATTCCATGTGTAGATTGTTTCTAAAAGTAAATCCTATCCCCTCAAAAGATACCATAAAATAAACTATTTTAAAATACCAAACGTCCTCCTTTCGTGTTGGTCAATGCAAGGCGCATTTCACATGGGTATTTAAGTTCCTATTGTTTTCATAACAAAACCTTAATAGGCCCATACAATGAGTGTAACAAGACTTCACAAATTAACTGCACCTTCAAAATATTCGGAAAAGAGGAAAGGATGAAGGAAAGTTCCTACCAGCTTACTCTGCCTGTTGCATTTTCCCTCCAGAGGTCCAAATATTATCACGTATGGATATGGAAATAGCAATATGGTTGGAAGGTTGAGACAACTGAAGGGCAGTTGTTTTTTCAATGCAGTGCAATTAACGGCCGGCAATTTTAAAAGCAAAAAGTACTTGTAAAATGGTATGCATGTGTAAAGCAAGATAGATCACTATTTACACAACAGCAACCAGCCTCATTTTTCTCTTTGCATTTAAGCTAAAAATCTGTAAAATCAATTTAGGCATTTTCTCTGAAATATTTTGTTAGCACTAACTTTGTGTTCTAGAATATTTTCAGAAGCAAAAGTCAAACTTAAAGCTGACTTTTCCTGTACCCTGCTTTGACTACTAAAAGTTACAAAGTTAGCAGCTTTTGATATGGGTTTTCATAAGGTTGAAAATTTCTAACATGGTAATTTAGCAAAGGTTTTTAATCTCAATTGTCAAACTGTAATAGCTGCTTATTTAAGAATACAAAACATTATAATCTTTCATTAACAGAAAAAATTTTGGCTGAAATATGCTTTTAAGCTTATGCCATTTTCTAATTGAGGAGGAAAAAAAATCATTTTTCAAATAAATGGAAACATTTTCACATATGGTTAGTGCTAAGTAAGCCATAACTGCAGTATCTGATTAATAAGCAATTTCAAAAATAAATTCATCATAAAGAGATTGAGATGTAAAATTTGAATTCCATGTTGATAACTTGGTTTTATGTAAGTCAAATGACAGTCCACTAGCATTTAAAGTTTTTAGCCTTTTAAAAATATTTTTTCATTCTTTATACAAATGATCATCCAAGGTAAAAATATCACTTGACACTTCCATTAACTTTTCTTTGTCTTAAACATCATGAAAAACTTAAGCCTAGAAAATGAGTTAAATTCACCAAAATTGGCAAACATTGGTAACTTTTACTTCAAAGACTGTAAATAAACAGATACATCTTTCAATGGGCTTTCAAGCAATTTTACAACAAAGCATGTACTTCTTAGCCACATCACTATAAGTCAGCAATGTATTCTCTTTAACGTTTACCTGTTGTAATCCTCTATAGGTTTTCCATAACTTCTGCACATTGTGCTTTTCATATCAAATTTTTATTAAAGATCTTAGCTATTTTCTAAATGAATATCCTTTTTATTGGATTTTTTCCAATTACAAATGAAATTTCATTTTACATCTATAATTAGAAACAACACTTACAATGGGACTGTACAAATTTAGGTCAAAATAAAAATATATGTATCTTGTGACTTCATAAAACATCCTTTACTATATTTTTAAAGAAAGCAGAAGTAACAGCAATATATGTAAAAGTAATGATTTAATGACTATAAGCAAGACAAAGCAATAGAATTGTGCTTCTTTTGCAGACTGGGGACAATGAAATGTTTAGCTACAATTTTCCCATACAAACATGAAACAATATTCATATAGAATAAACACCCTCACAAATAACTGATGGGTGATGAACACACACCAAGTTCGACCAAAGCAAAAAATAAACTGAAAATTGTTGGGTGGGGTTATTCATATTTTAAATTCAACATGCTTGCTCTATTTAAAAATACCTGTAGAAGCTCATAATAAATAGCTTCTATTTTCAGACATAGCAGAGAAGGCATATTCCATTGTTAACTGTAAAAGCAACTCTTAAATTTAAAATTACTGCTATACCACCTATTAAAATAACTTTAGATAAAATGCCTTCTTTTAGCAACCTGCTGGTTTATTTAAAAAATTGTTTTAGAATTATAGTGATCAATATGCATTTTTAAAATACAATATTAATTCCATCATAGCCAATGGAAAATTAAGACGGTTTCCATATTTCTCAGTTAAAGGTTTTTCTTCACTGCAACAATCTTTAAAGTAAACATGTATTACTGGAGAAAAGTATATAAAGTATAGAAAGATGTGCCAATTGCTTCTAATGGAACAGACTTTAGAATTAGATATCCACATTAAAAATATTCTTTGCTGGTAAGCAAGGCTCAACATAGGTTATGGGTATCTGCAAAGGTCGAACCAGTTGGGAGAATTTTAACAATCATTTCTGAATGCATGAAACACAATATTTCTTTATAGCATTTATAAATATATCATACAATACTGTTTCCTGTTATGTCATATACCAATATGGCATTGTACAACAAGCATAATGCCATCTGATTCTTACAAAAGCGAATCATTTAAACAAGTCAGTAAAATAAACGGTAGTACCCGCTTTTAGGCATACAGATTGTAAAACTGAAGTTCACTTTTCTTTGATCGGTTTTGCGTAGCAACAGAGAAGTATAAATCAAACAGGAATCAAAATGGCTAAATATGCAAGAAATCGTTATTCACAGTGACATGGCTACATAGAATGCATTATTCTATGCATATTCTTTCCGTTGGTTGAATTTCAAGATAAAAAGCACTTGTTTTCTACAGGTTCACAAAACAGCGTAATAACAAGAACGATCAAGGAGAATGTAATGTAGGCGTTAGTTGAGATTAACAAACTATGGCCCAATGCTTATGTCCACTGCAGAGTACTTCCAAATCCAAACAATGGTTACAGAAACCATTTCCCATCTTTCCTAACACAGAGAAAAAGTCTTGCCTGCTTTCCAAGAAACCAATTCTTTATAACAACAATCTTTCTTTTCAATTAACGTCCATAGGAGTATCACATGTAGTCCATCTTTTATAGCCAAATTTAATGTCACTACAAAAGAAAGCAAATTGGACGATAGTCACATGTATTAGCATCTAGAAAGCTGTAATGGCATGAAGATATCTATATAAATCAGGGGTTTAAAATTTTTTTCCTTAACAGTCTCAGGTATCAACCAGAAGAAGTTGCTGATGACCCATTTACTGATGATTTTCGAGGTCTATTGGCAAAAGAAGATTGGTGGTTACCGCTGGGGCTGTTGCTGGTTCCATTCATAGTACTGGAAATGTGAGGAAACTGTGGATGAGGAGACTGCACTGGAGTACTGGGGCTAGGCAAACAAGAAGAGGTGGAGGGAATACCTCCTGCTGGGCTGTTGGCCTTGTCACTCCCAGAGTCACTTTCCAGTTCTCCAGCATTTGTCAGTCCATCTCTCTGGTGACTGATCTTCATTCTTTTACAAGTAGGTCGAACTCTGTATTTCAATGGAAGTGGACCATTCTACAAAGTTAAAAGGAAAAAAATTACTCTTAATTCTTTAAATATAGTTTACCATCATAATCTAACAACAGATATGCTACTTACCCTTCTCCAGGTATAAATGTAGGCAATATCCATTAGTGTATAATAATCCTTTAAAGGTTCCTCCTCATACATGACATCAATCTAGTGAAAAATATTTTTATTAAGTAATAAAAGAACAAAGGTAAATGTACATTTTTTGTCATTTAAATATAATCCAAAAGTGCTTTAAGAAACATATTCTCCAAACATTTTAACAAAGAAAGACTCCTGAAACTTCAAATGAGAAAAAATTATTTCTAGAGAGTGTTAAGGGATTTGTTTTCATAGCATAAAAGAGAATGTATACCAAATGTTTTAAGATAAATTTCAACTTTAGCACTAACTTCACATTTTTTTTCTATTGCTTTTTTGGGTTCAAAATCCAAAGTGAAAAATGTAATTAAAATTGTAAAATCTATGTAAAATGCAAGAAGAATATAAAAGTAGATACCTGGAAAGTATTAGGTATGTCCATTTTACTTCTGAGAAACTTTCTTAAGTGCATCACAGTCATTGCTGCTGGGCATCGTAAGTATCTTTTATCATTCACCTAAAAGTACATTTAGAAAAGTAACTTTTTCAGTTACTTTAAGATATGAAGAAAGTTTCAATTTGATTGCTTGAATATAAAAGATACTAGTATCAAACAAAATTGGAGGTGACCAACCTCTCAACTAATTACACTCTGAGTTTACTATCATTACAAATACTAAATGAACAGATTCCTAATATAATCTTCAAGCATACCAAAGTATTAACTGTGAACTACTTAAAATATTTTGTAAGACTAACAATCATATATAAAATAAATTCTAATTATTAAATATCACATGTAGACCTTTCTTAAACATTAAACATGACCATTTTCTTCTATTTAACAGCCTAATATTCTAAAGGGCAACACAATCCCTGATAAAATCTGGATTCCAAACAATGTTTCTTCTATATGTTTTTGTAACATGAAACATACCTCCTCCTTAGATTTCTCTTTGTCTTTGTTTACTTTCCGATCCAATCTAATAAAGAGAAAATTTATTAGTGAAACAATCTAATAAAACATTAGCATAAAATAAATTGCCTAAAGATTTTACCTGTTCTGGTCAAAGAATTCAATGGATAAGCTTATTATCTCATCATCAGTTATAATTCTCTTATCTTCATCTGCAACCTCTCCTCTATCTTCATTAGAGCCATTGGCAGCTATAACGATATAGTGAAATGTAATTTTTAAAAATCAGATGCCTAATAAATTTTATATATAAGAGGATGGAAGTGGTAAAGTCAATTTTAATACATTTTAATTCCTAGATAAGCTCTCCCCCCATATAAAATGTCTTCCCTCCCCTAAAAGGTTTACCATCAGCAGAAGGATGAGCTGCATAAAAATCCCTTCTTCTCTTCATTTCATCTGAATGGGGAAAAAAGATGTAAACATTTGGCATAACACAAAGAACTAATGAATAATCTCTTTAAATTCATTTTCTAAGCAAGTTACTCACTTTTGAAAAGCCCTGGAACTAATTTGTATACAATATCTTGGAGAGTTTTATCTGACCTGAAAAATAATTAAAATAGAAAACTATGAATTCAGATGGCAAGAACTAAAAATGTTCATAAGTTTCTATAGTCTTCTTTTGTGCTATAATATTTTACTTGATTGTGATGCTGTCTATAACTATTATTGATAAGATAAAAACTATGAGAATAAAAGTTCTCTGTATATAGCACTTTTTAAATCAGTAGAAAAATATTTTATATTCACTAATAAATTCTTCACATTTGCTCTGTCAAAAGAAGTGTGCCTTTCAAGTTACTAAACTAGCTAATATGAATAGGGAATAAAGAGGAATGGAAGCCCTTTTAAATATTTATTCCTGCCTGTCATGAAGTCCATAAAGCAATGCAAAAAAGGTGAACTAACTCAGTTTTTAAAGGACAGTTAGGAAAAAAAAATCTTAAAATCACTTGAATACTACTAAACTTTGTCTAAACTTGGTCACCATTAATATGGCAAGAAATTAAACGGCTACCCTCCACAAAGCACACACATATTAGTTATGTATTCAAGAGTAAATTTTCTGTGAAGAAATAAAGAGGGTTGCCTTCAGTAAATTATACAACTCCAATAATAATTACAAACAAGGAATTTCAACAGTTTCCTACCTTATATTCAGTAGTGGTCTGGTCTTGTGAACTTGGACATCACAAATAGGACAATACTTGCTGGTCTCCAGGTAACGAACAATACACGTTTTACAGACTAGAAGTAGAACATGTGAAGTTTTTTTATGTTTAGAAATGAGTGGATAAATCATTGGTGTTAGAAACCCAGAACTAGTAGAAAACAAGATGGTGAAAGGCATTTCCAACTAAATAAGCTAATTCATATCCTGAGAACACATATATTGCATGCTTGTAATACAATCAATACATATTAACAAAAAGTCATTAGATGCAAGAGAAGAAAATGCCTTCACCACTTTGTACCAACATTTCCACAGATTGCAGGAATCATTAACAGTTTTCAAATTCCAGGTCGAACTGTGAAATACGCATGATACAAAAGAGAGCTAAAGCTCGGTACTTACAGGAATGTAGACATTCTATTATGGTTGTGGCATCAATGAAGTACCCTCCACAAAGCACACACATCAGGTGGGGATTTAGCTCAGTGATCTTGATTCTCGTTGTTCGATGCATTTCTGCTTGATAAAAAATCCTGCAAGACACAGAAATAATGGCCATAATTCACAGAACAAGAATGGAGATCATCTAGTAATCACAAACCCTGAAACACTGAATTTATAAAACTCATTTAACACTGTACAGCTGGGCTGTCCTAACGTTTCTACAGAAGGAATTTACTCATCAGATCGGAATCAGTTCTACCAAACTGATGCAAAAGGATCCAACTAACATTACTTCTGGTCTCTCAGATCATTCCTGTAGGTAGAAGAAAGTCTGGGGTGGGGGCTGGGAGCTGAGCGTATTAGGGTCTCTTTCTTCCATTTGTCCTCCAGCCCAGCAGCCCCAAGGCTGCTGCAGACGCCACACAATCCCCGCGGATATTTACCAACCACTAGGGCTTGTTCCAGGTCTCCGAATTTATTATAAAACTTCCTCAAGAATCTGCAAGTGAAAATCCGGGGTTCCGGTTGTTTTAGACGGTTCCAGCAAGCAGAACCTGGCACGTTTTTACGCGACGCGCAGGGAAAACAATTCTGCCCTCCCTGCATCCCTGGCATTTCCGGAGCCGGGTGCTGGGGCCGCAGGAGGAGCACCTCCAGTCGGCCTGGGCCGGGGCCTGAGCGCGGCGGACGCCCGGGGGCCGGGATGCGAGGGGCGGATCCGGCGGCGCCCGGGGCTCCGTCTCGCTCCGGATTCGGAACTCGCCTCGGTCGGGGTTTCCATAGCAACTTACACTTACACTTGGCATCCGGCCACCGCTGCAACTCCGCGCGGAGCCCGGCCCGAGCCCCGAGCCTCGGCGGGCGTGCGGGGCGGCGGGCGGGCGGGCGGGCGGGGGAGGGGCGGCGCGCCGCGGGGGCGGGGCCGGCGCGGGGGCGGGGTGGGTGCGGCGACGCCGGGGGGGCGGGGCAGCCCCACGAGGCCACAGCGCTGGGGAGCGGGGAGCGGGGATCGGGGACCAGGGACCCAGTCCTGGGCGGCGGGGACCCCGGAGCCTGCGGCAGCGCCCGCGAAAGGAAAATGCAAACCGCACTCCCGGCCATTTCGGACACTCCGGGGGCCTCTTTTCACGTCGACTTGGTGCGCAGAGCTGGTTTCAGATCTCGACTCTCTCGGTCTGTCCTGTCTGCAATCACTCGGTCAGAAATTTCACGAAGGGATTTTTTGAGAATTGCCAACTGTGCACTTAGCCCGAAACCGTCAGGGCTCAAATTGCAGAGATGTTTATTGAACCGAACCTCTTTAAAACTTCCTTCTCTAATGTGACGCTCTCCTGTAGATTAAATGAGCGATACAAAGTTTTGGAAAGGCTGAAAACTGAAATCTGTTTTACAAGAAGAGGAGAGGGCAAAGCCCAGTGTTTTATTTGGACAAACTATGCTGGGGGCAAGAAAAAGTACTTTAATCGGTACAATAGTGACAATATGTACAGAACCATGTGACCAGCCCATTTCCAACGCTAAATCAACAGCTTGTCAACCCAAAGCAGCGACAGGAGAGAAAAACAAATGTAAAACCCCCCATACGATGAAATGATATTCCCAACAGATACCTCTATTACAGGAAAGTCACAATGGGGAACTGTCAGCAACAATACACCAGCCGACAGTCAGGGAAGTCAAATACTTCGTGTAGTATTCTTGAAAAATAAACTTCAACCCCCCTTCTTCATTCATTTCAGAACCTGATATAAGACTAAGCTTCCAGACCTCACTGAAGTACATTCTCAAATCTTCCTTGAATGGAAATCCAGGACCTTTTGAAACTTGCAGTAAGATATACCTGCGGTTTTAATTCCTAAGGTGTATTAATGCAGTAAAGGGAAACACCAATCAACACAGCTCAATGGCTGAAATTAAGAGCTAACCTCTAGAAAATGGTAAAAAACAAAACAAAGCCTCTCTTATGAAAGTGACCACAGTGGCAACTGGCGACCTCTACCAGAAAACTTCTTGTGTGACTGACTCCTCAGTTATCTCTGGATTACTTGTTTTGGAGAATATTGTCAACATATTAACATAAATCTAAGCGGGGCACGGAGGAGTTGTAGGTAGAGCAATGACCCTAAAGAGTAGCAATATTTAAATCAAATTATACTTGGTAAATTAAAGAACAGCCTTCTTGGTGCTTAAAGAAAATTCTCCTTGTGAAACCACAGGATCTTTCCTAGAAAGATAGCAAGCTGATATTTCTGTTTGCCTGTGAAAGCATACTGCACTAAAAAACCACCGATCACGAAGTTCATGAAGGGGCTCCAATAAAAATAGCTGCCTTTATTTCTCCTCTAGCTTGCAGAAAACCAACACCACACAAAGACAAGTATTAACAAGGAGAACAATCAAACCTCAGTGGAGGGTTATCTACCGGTTGGCTTTGAGCATTTAAGTCACATGTACTTGACCAAAAGTCTTTCAAATTCATCTTAAGTCTTAATTCACACAATTCCTCTACCTCAGTTCAGAAGAATTTGGCCACAATCCTGTGACCATTTATAATGCTAATAAATACCACTGTTACTTATATAAAAATCAGTTATGTTTTTATGCCCTTTGAAAGTAGTGGCAACCTAATGAAGACTTCCAAAGTGTTTGACGTGCTTGATAAGATTTGAGAAACAATCTCTTCCACCTCAGAAGTGAAAACCTTCCAGGTTCCAACCCAGAAACTGCCAGTTAAGCAAACAAAAATGCACCAAACATATCATGGTAAAAATACTCAACCGTTAAAACTTGCCATTGTAACACACTCAGTTGGGGCTGTCAGTTTTTAGGTGGAGGCCTAACACCAGGAATGTCAAAATGAAGGAAAACAGAAGCAAGTTCTTATGTTAACCATCAGCTTGCCTACTGCAATCTAAGAAATGCAAATGAACTCCATAGCCCCAGTTGGGGTTCACAGCCCAACATAAGCATGGGTAAAGTTGGGGTTAATTTGACTCCTGGGGAGAAAGCCTATCTGCACACTTAACATACATCCAAGAAGTTAGTGATAGAGTATTAATGGATTTATCATGTACAATTAAATGCTTAATTTTCTTACAAAAGCTTTATGTGTATACATGCATACAAAGTGACTTGTATATGGCTTTAAAGATATTTTACTAGGCATAAGACTCACACAAGTAGGTTATTTCAAACACTTCTGACTACACTTTGGGGTAGATGTATGGAATTAACTCAAATCTAAAAACTTATAATTTTGTTTATAAAATCAATCCCAGGGATTTCTGATCGGTCTACTTAAAACTCAAATGTTAACATATAGAGTCTCATAACTTGTTATATACTGTCAATAATTTGCATCCTTAAATATCAACTGTTTAGTGTAGCTTATAATGTGTTTCCAGAACATGGGAGTTAAGGTTCCTATAAAATATAGGTTGAACTACTCATAACGTTGTACACACCACCAACCTACACTTGCATTTGGATAAATATGCTCGGAATTTTGCCCACATTAAGGGAAGGGGTTAATACATGCTTCTCTTTCATATATTGAACCGTGACCACTAAGCCCACTAAATCCTTTTATTGCAAGTGGTAATGATCAAAGTCTCTCTACTTGTTTACTTCCAATTATTAACTGTAAATCTCTGGGAAAAAGATCATGCCATATCACTGTCAAGCCCAAGTGACTGCGTAAACATATGCAATCAACTTTTTAGTGCTCTTTTCTAAAGCATCCCTTTGCCAAATGACCTATGCTGACATTTAGCAAAACCTGTAAAAGATAGTGGACTGGAGTCATGATGCTGAGTGCATCCTTTAGTAGAAGTCGAGAGAAAAGTTGCAGTCTCCAAAAGGGGAAAAAAGAAAAAGGAGAAAAAGAAGTAGTGAGAAAGCAAGCCTCCAGCAAAGCTAACGTCCAGTCACCATCTTCACTCCACAAAAAGCTCCAAATTTGAAATGCCCACTTCCCAGGGAGCACCTCCCAAGCGATGTTCAGAGCACTTATCCAAGACTCCCAACACACACCACCTTGAAAACTTCAGCATTTTAAACACAAATGCAGGAGACCTTGGAAACAACTGGGAACCGCCATCTTACCAGCCATCCAATCTCAGACAAGTGTCCCCCCAACTTAAGTTAATAACATTTTCGTCGGGGCTCTCTCCAGCCTAACACCCACCTTGGCGGGATGGCCGCCCCCCACGCAACCCGTCCCTATAAAATGGGGGCGTTCTCTGGCTGCTGGAGCCCCTCCAGAGCCCTTTCTTCGGGAGAGGAGGGAAGCCACTTGACCCAAGCAGCTCCCGATTTCAGGAACCCGTCCCCGTTTCATCCAAATCTACCTCTCAACAAAGGGCGCTGCGGCCGGGAGAGCCGCCGAGGCTGGAAATACCAGTACTCCTCTCGGGGGCCATGTGCGTCGCGAGGGTGCGGAGGGGCGCCCGGGGGAGCGGGGAACTAAAACGTGGGGCCGCGCGCGGCGCGCCGGGGCTGAGCGGGCGGCGGCGGCTGGAGCGGCGCCGAGCCCTGCTGGCGGCGGCGGCGCGGCGCGGGCTGCGGGTCGGTCCCGGCGCCGCGGGAGTCGGCGGGCGGCGGCGGGCGCGCGCTCGCGGGCGCGGGGAGGGCGGCGCGCGGGGCCGGCAGGCGCGGGGCGGGCGGCGCGGGGCGCGGGGCCGGGCGCCCACGCTGTCAGCGCCCTCCCGGCGGCGCGGCCGGGGCGCGGGGGGGGCTCCCCTTCCACCCGCGGCCGCCCCGAGCCCCGCGCGGCCCCCGCCGGCCCCCAGCCCCGTCCCGGGGGCGCCTCGCCTCCTACGTACCCGGAAAGAGCAGCCGGCGCGAGGCGATCGAAGCGGGCGGAAAAGACAATGAAAGTTAAAAGTCGTTCAGCAGAAAATGAATGCGAGCCAAGCGGCCATCTTGAAGCGAGCTGCAGACGCCGCTGTCAATGGGCAACCAGCGCGGCCCCGAGCAGCCGCGGCCGCCACGCTCGTCTCATGCCGCCTCCGGCCGGCCTCCTCCTGCTCCGGCGCCTCGGCCTCCTCCGGCGCCTCGGCCTCCTCCTCCTCCGCCTCCGCCTCGACCTCCAACGCCTCCTCCTCCGGGGCCTCCTCCTCCTCCTCCTCGGCCGCCGCCGCCTCCTCCCGCTCCGCACTCGGGGGAGGGCGCGCGCGGAGGGGGCGCGATCGGTTTTATTCTGCGGGGCTGGGAGGTGCTGCTAAGCCGGAACGGGGCTCCCGCGCCCACATCCCCATTGTCTCGCCCCGATCTCTGCCTCTCATACTACGATTATTTCATAGTTGCTGTGGGGGAGGCGGGCGGGCGGGGGGCGCCGTGTGTGTGCGTGCGAGCGGGGGGAGGGGAGGAGGGGGAGGGGAGGGTGGAAAAAAATGCACCGCTGAAGGCAGAGTGGAAACTGACACCGGCTCCAAAATGGCTCGGAGTCCGCCCGCCCCCTCCCCCCGCCGCCCCCCCAGCGGGTCACGTGCTCCCCTCATTCCTTAAGGGCGGCCTGGGAATTAGTGTCGGTGTAGTCAGGCCCGTGGCCGCCCCCTCCCCTCCGCGCCGCGCGCCCGGCCCCCTCCCTCGCTCCGCGCCGCGGCGGCGGAGACATTTCTCCACAGCGCCACACGCGCCGCCCTGCTCCGCGCGGCCGCCGCTCCGGCCCCGCACGCCGCGCAGCCCACCCCGCCCCCCGTTCTTTCTTTCTCCCGGCCGCCCGCCTCCTCCCGGGGCGCATACGTCCCGCGGCCGCCGCCCCCCGGCCGGCCCCGCGGGCTGCGGCCCAGGCTCCGGCGCCGCGGCGCGGAACCTGCGCCCAAGTTGGGCTCGCGGAAACAACAGCGCCCGCCCCTGCCCGCCAGCCCGCGGCCGCGCCGGCCTCTTCCCCGCCCGCGGGCGGCCGAGGCGGGGCGCGCGCGGGCGACGGCTGGCTCCGGGCAGGGGCTCCGCGCCGGGCCGGGACCGGGCGGCCGAGGGTCGGGCTGTGGGCGAGCCCTCGGGCGCAGGTAACGGGCCGGGCAGCCGCCCGCGCCCGCCCCCGGAGCCCCGAAGCAGGGGTCTGCGACAAACCCAGGAGATCGCATCGTTTCCTCCGTGTTTAACTTTAATCCTGAGAAAAGGCTATCGTTAAAAGTTCACACTACTCCTATCTAGCTTCACACAAAGTAATAACACACGAACTCAGATCCAAACAAAATATCATCACTCTTTGTGGAAAACAACACCTTATTTATTCAGGGTGTAATACTGTCTACTTCCTTTCAGAAGACTTGAAAAAGATCAAAATAGGATAAATGGACAGTTACTACTAAACGATTCAAATACTTGGGCAGTATCTTTCCCTCTTAACCCTTTCACACGTTTTTAAAGTGTCAAAATTGATGAATGGTATAAATTCAAAAGGAAAATTCTTTTCTACTGAAAAGGACATCCAGCTCGCACAAACGGTGGTTCAGCTGAAGGCAAGGCGTTTCTGGTTTTCCTCTGCACTCGGGCGGATCGTTAACTTCCCCAAGTTACAACTGAGTTGCTCTTTCCAGGCTTTTCGAAGCATCTTTAAGTTTCCCCACCAAGTCCTAAAAGACGTGTATACAATACCACGTTTTTAGGATAAAACATGGAAAGAAGTATCCAAGCTCAAGAAAGATGCAAGAAAAAAAATCAGGACACACCTTCCAAACAAGTTTAAAATTCAACAAGATTTTAACTTTTGACAAACTACTATCGGGCAAAAAAAGCGTTTCCTCGGAAATACCTCATGTTCAAATCGGTTATTTGCCCTCACACTGAAACATGATTTCTAACCGGATCCTTAACCGCCCAGATACATCTGAATTTTCTCAAGTTATCTAACAAAGGTTATGCTGTATACACATTTTCTGAAAGTTGAAAGTTTGATTCATAGTTACATTAAAACGACTCTGCAGAAGATGCCTTTGAAAAATTCAATTTCACTTAAATTTCCAGTAATGAGCTTCATTTTTTAAAAACTATGAAATAAATTCGTTGTCATATCCACTAATAAATGTAGTTTTGAATTTTCCCAGTCTTAAATGGGCAATATAAACAGTTTTAGAATGTTATGTATACTTCCCCCTTTATAAAGTCATTTAAAAAGTTTCAAAATCCAATTTTGACAGTTTAATTCAATTTCTGAAAGCAAAGACATTTTCAAAGCCATGCTCTTAATTTTGTTTATCTTATTGGACCAAACTCATCATGAATAGAAGAAATTTACACTAAACACTACAGAAGTTTATTTCAATCAGCAAGAACAGCAAATACAGACCAATTCTCTATTAATAACATCTTAATTTCAAGTGAAGCCTATCTTAAAATACTACTTTTGATGCCCCTTTCCCATTAAATCCTTAACCAATCTTCATTATCTGCTGACAAATGGTTAGATTAATTTTCTTTTGAACTTCCCAAGAGTATAACTCTCAAGTAAACATTTATAAAAAGACAGGAATATTTATAGATCCTAATACTGTACCTGTAATTGTTCCATGCTGCAACTAAAACTAATCTCTGGATAGGATGGGGAATCAGTGTTCTAGGGCAGGAAAAAAAACACGCAACAAGAAACGCTGTTTATTTAAATCAATGAAATTATAAATTTCATTATTGGATAAGACTTATCTATAAATACCTGTACACTTAAGGTCACCAAATATGCAGGTCTGTACATCCTATGAAGTTGATTGGTCTAAAATAACACAACAAACACGCAACAGCTTTTAACTCTAGGTTTTAAGAAGTTCCCTAAATCCCCCGCTAGAGAAGTTTCTTAAACTTTACCTTTATCTGATATTCCAAGCGCCAAGAAACATCCGTTATATGAGGGAGAGATCTGCCTATACTGAAAGATGCAATGATAACTTCGTACATAGTCTCCTCAGAAGAACTTTTCAGTTATTTATATTTACTAAGAATGGCTCTACTTTCCACCCCCAACTCCATTTTAATCCATTCTGAATTTAAACCATTGTTAAACTTTATTTTTAAATTATGAATGGTAAAGGAGCATTTCAAAATCATCTCAATAAACGATCTTTAAAAACATGAGCTTAACTTCAATTGCTTGACATGCCCTTTGGCTCCTTTTCTTTGGGTCAAGATCCCGAAGATCTTGTTTCACACCAACACTCTCCATTCATACCTGCAAGTGAAAAGTGCCTCAGCTTGACACCTTATACAGTACCTACCTTCCCAGTAGGATTTCTAGGGAATTCTTATTATTCTGGAGAGAAAAAAGAAAGCAAGAAAGAAAGAAAAAAAAACATCTTTACAAACAAAGTAAAAGAAAAATAGTACTGTTAATTAAAAATTTTAAAGTAAGTAACCTGATATTCCGTGCAAAACAGTTCTATTCGCTCTCTGTCAAATTTACAGTCTTCTAGATAAGTGCTAGAAGAAAGAAAAAAAAAGCCAAAGTTCTGTCTCCATTTTTAAAACTGAAATTGAAATCATTAAGGTAGTATTTGAAAATAAATGGATATTTAAATAAATCCTGTACCTTAGAGTTGACTTGTCAGCTCGGTGCTTTCCTGCCTCTAGTATGTAAGTTGCAGCTGCTGCATGACAATGTTTTAAAACCACTGGGTCGATATGTTTCAAGTCTGGATGATCTAAAATAAATTAACTTCCAGTGATGCCTATGATAATAAATTCTTTACAGTCATGTTCCAAAAAGGATATTTTAATTTGGGTTTAAAAACCCTTTAACAAGATTAAAAACATCAACTATAAGGACAGTCAATTATAAGTAAATGAGATGAGCAACAAGATCAAGTGAAAAACAATAAAAAGAACACAACAAGAACTCTACTATTACTAGCTTCAATTAACTTATTTTGCCTTAATATTTTTACTATTAAAAAATATTATAGCCCCCAAAGAAAATATAACAATGCAATGGTCATTCTAACACTGGAGTAAATTCAAAGGAAAAACAAGATAAATATTTTACATTGTGTCAATTTTAGAATAAACTTCCATCCTAAAAATGATGAGTTTAGGGTAACCGGCTCCATGAACAAATACATCAAGGGGGTAGAAGGTAGGGCATGAGTTCAGAATATAAGATACAAATTTCAAAATTATATTAGTACTTTCAGGGTTTGACAGTCATTTTTTTTTTGAGATTAACCCAGGTGGTGGTTACTATTTTCGTTTAAGAACTTCCACTTTCATACTTTTTGTACAAGTGTTTAGTTCATGAAACTACAGAAAAAAAACAAAAATTTGAATTGTTGGGATATTTATATTTAAGAAAATCATCTAAAAGCGATCGGTCTTAAAATATGTCTTCAATCCATACTGACACTGCACCTCCGCAGTCACTGACCGGATCGCTTAAAAGACACTCGCATCCTGGTAACTGGGGCGGAACAAAGTATTGTGCATCATAGTTTAAGGTTCTAGGCGTAGAACCTGTGTAAACATGCTGAACTAGAGCGCTGGAGTGATCATAGCAACTTGAGGTATGCTCTAAGTTGGCAAATGTCAACACTGTCTGACCTAGTAATTACTTCGGAAACAGACCCTTAAACCTTTGCTAGCCTAGCCCTGGAAGCTTGAATTGCAGGGAGCTCCCCAGATGAAGTCCAACTGTCAAAACAGCCGCAGCCTCAGACAAGGCTAAACACCTTAGATGTTTAGGCCACAAACAAGACTTGAACACCGGCTTTACAAAAGAACAAAGAGACTGGGAGGGAAACCGGGCCAGGAACGTGGAGTTGGCTCTATGCAGGTGCCAAGTGGGGCCAAAACAATGCTCAGAGTCTGCTCCGAGTCCTGGCAGAGCCACGTCCCCAACACTCCGTCCGGAGCGAAGGGCAAAGCCCGGAGACTTCCTCTTCCCGGGGCTTTCCCCTTCTCGCTCCGCCGGCTCCTCTTCTCCGAGCGCCCCTCCACCCCGGCGGATCCAGCTCCGAGCCGAGCCGAGCGGCTTACCTAACACGGCCTCGTCCGCCTGGGCGTCCAGCAGACTCTGGAATGCCGCCCGGAGGAGAAGCGTGAAGGCGTTGGAGTCGAAGGAGCGGGGATCCGCCAGCATCTGGAAGCCTTTCTGCACAGACTCCGAGAGCTCCATTGTGAGCGCGCCGTGACCTTCGACACGCACACCACGTGACACGCGCCGCGCGCTCAGCTGATGCGGCCGCGCGCGCACGCGGCTCGGGGCGGCTGGCGGCGGCGCGGGCTGCGGGGCCTCCCCGCCCGCCTCCGCGCCCGCGCGCGGGTCCCGCGCCCCCAGCCGCCGCCTACGGCCTCCCACCGTTTCCGTCCAGCTCTCGCTTGTCCAGCGCAGGCCGCGGGAGCTGCCGAGCCTTGGCGAGAAGGGCGGCCTCGGGCGTTTTGTGGACGCGCTCGGCGCTTTCTCCTTGGTTCGGCGCTTACCTCGGACGGCCACCAGCTCGGTTCCCTGAGAGACCCCGGGGAGACTGCGGACGGTGTCGGGATCCCGGCCCCCGCCTCCCGCAAACGGCGTCCTCCCCGCTCCTCGCTCTGCGCGAATCCTGCGGGAAGCTCCGATCTCAGGCAACTGGATTTTGCTTTTGTGGTTTTTTGTTTGTTTTGTTTGTTTTTTAGCTCACCAGCTTAACCTCGCAGCACTGCCCTTTTATGAGACTGTAAGACATCTAATTATGTGATTCTTGCTTATTTTTACTTTTTTTTTTTTGTCATTTCTGGAATACGGCAGTAGTGTCCTTCCTGCATGGGGGGTGTGTACACATGCACGCATACATAGAGTTCCTGTATGCACTGCACTCCAGCAATCGGATTAATAAATTATTCATGAACAGATTTGACAGGATTATTAACAATTTTATATGCCGCTGCAAATAAAGCCAACTGCCATACACATTTTGTGCTACTCACCACATCTATGGGTCCCGTTTTAGTTGCTCTATAGAATCTGCATAAATACGTTTTTATTAAACAGCTACCTTAGTAAAGTACAGTTAGGAATGGCAAGATCTTTATTAGAAGTGAGTTACTGTTTAGGATGCTCATACCTTTAAAGATTCAAATACTGTATAAAGTTTAACTTCCTCTCTATTTCTACGAAGTTGGTTTAGAGAACAAGAATGATTCTTTAAAAAACCCGTGAAGCAAAGTAGATTAGGTATTTTTAATCAAAAGCACTTGAAAAGTTAAAAAATGCAAGTTCTTGAAGGGTGGAGGGAAGGGATGCGGAACAACAAAGATGTTTTAGTCTTCAGGAGCGATTATTTGCAACATTAGACCCAAAGTGAAACATTATTTTCTTTTTCTAACTTAGATGTCTGTTTTAAAAATTTTTGATGGATACAGTTGACATTTACCTTGGCACCAATACATAAAGTGTACCTCATTTCACAACAGGATGCAAATGGAGTAAGCATCAGTAACAGATTGAGTAACTACTCAGCCCTCCTTTGAAAGCTTTAAAAGGCACGTGCAGTGGCTCCTCACTCGGTGAGAATATAGTAGCAGTGAAGGATTTAAAAGTCTCCCTAGAGTCTTTATGAAACAAGCACCTATTAATCATGTTCATCTTTTCTTCCCATCACTCATCTTCCTAATTTGTTTCTCATTAGTAGTAAAATGTCAGTTGAAAAACTTCATGATACCTGATTACATAGAGAATAGTCAGGACAGAGTTGTGTAAATGTTCAACAATATTAACAACACCCAAGCTTATTATGTTTATTACACATGTATTTTATGACCTAGTGTAACGTTGATTATTAATACTCTAATAGAATTTGAGTTGATAACTCTAATACTCAATTTAGTGTCAAAAAAGAGAGTATTAATCATGGACATAGATTTTAAAATATTATTTTAAAAGAAAAATAAACACAAGTGGTTGTCAATTTGTGGGCATGAAAGTTAGGAAATTCAGAAGGATTGTTTCCATAATAGCTGTCATATTACTTTGTTGCCCATGTATAAGTACTTTCTCTTAGAATGTTTCCTCCTCTTAGGCCTAAGTATATTCATGTGTTAGGCCTAAGTGATGGGCACATTTTAAGCTCACAAAAATTTTCACCATAATGTGTTCTAATGCTAGAAAAACGGAATTTTCCTACTACAGGTATATTTATTTAAACTTCCTTTGAAGGAGGCACAGGATCGAGTGTTTCAAACGTGTGTCTTTGACAAGTCATTGAAATACATGGAAGTATGATCATCAAAAGGCATGACTACCCAGATGTAGACTCTCTTGGTTACAGCCATAAAGATCAATGCATTTTATGTTAGAAAAACTACATATGAACATATTCTGAAAGTATGAAAATACTGTTTAAAATTTTGCTTTACTCAAAACAGCATTGGAACTTTGACTAAACTTTAAAAAATTCTGCATGCTCAAAGCCAGTAAACTAAATTTGGCTTCCCAAAAGCCTTTTAAAAGAACAATTATGTGCAGCTGAAAACAACAAAATACAGATGCAACCATCTTCACATTAACAATATATCTTGCCTCCTAAACTGCAAATATTAGGTAGACAATGCTGATAAATTTATTTTTCTTTTTGAGAATCTAGAAATCATTTGAAGAACTAGAAGTTACCTTTTTAAACAATGTTTTAGAGTTTCAAGTACATTTGATATCCTTTGAACTGGTTAATATTTTTAGAAACAAATTTAATATTGGTCCCTTTATTGTGATTACAATTAAATAGGCTAGGGCTTTTACCGGATCTATGTGGTCAGCTTTTCCCACAGGCCTCATTGCTGCATTTGTTAGTGTTATGAATTACAATATTTTCTTTTTCAGATTGTATAAGTACTTTTGCTTTTGTGCAAATAACGCTGAAGGAAGATATTCCTTTAGATTGAAGAGCTCATGGAACTCCATGGGGAGAAAAAATAATAAGTTTAAGTGCCATCGAGACAAAGACTAGTTTTAACTGGCTTATATATTTATTATATATTCTAGTGGGGATCTGTTTTATCCCTGCCTGCTCATATGCTACAGAGAAGAAAGTTTAGAACACTTTAGAAACTACCTCTAAATAAGAAACCATTCTCTCTGTGTTCCCTAACACCGATGCTTTGATGGTTACTTTAAACTCTGAGATATTTGTTAATGAAAATAGTCTTTACTGTTTTAAAGCTATTTTAACCACAAATGGACAGTTGGAAGGAGTATTTAACTGAGTTATATATGACACTTGAGAGTATAAGTCAAAAACTGTTTCAGTGAAGTTTATAAAACCTGTCTATATTCTTTTATTAAATAACTTGGCAAGGCATAGTTTGTGACTTGGAATTTGAATGGTCAAGTTTTTGCACATTCATGATCACAGAGTTCAGTGGTCTCAAATTGCATCTTATATCACACTGTGAGACACCAAACTGAGTATTCAGAGGGGACAGTAAAGCTTTTATTTTCAATTTAAACATGTAATCCAATCCCTAATTATTTCTAAACAGTCATTGCTGCAATAATTGATATGGACAAATATAACCTTTTCTCACATTGTATAGTTTAATTTGCATATGTGGATTTAAAAATGTGTGAGGGAAATGAAATACAAATTACATTAAATAAACTGTAACCACAGGGTTTAAAATTAATGATACAGTGTTCTCTAAAACAGATAACTTACGCTTATGATTTGGCACAAGTGTTTTGTATTTTTCCCCTAAAACTTTTTTGAATAAATTTATATTAAATGGTAAATAGTACAATTTCTATTTAATATTGTCATCATTTAGTACCATTTTATGTTATTTATTTATTTATCTATTTATTTTAGTAGAGATGGGGGTTTTTCCATGTTGGCCAGGCTGCTCCCGAACTCCTGACCTCAGATGATCCGCCCACCTTGGCCTCCCAAAGTGCTGGGATTACAGGCGTGAGCCACTGCACCCGGCCGGTACCATTTTAAATATTTCATTTTCGTAAGTTTTATCTGGGAAATATAAAACATAAAACTTCAAAATATAAGAAAAATTAAATATTTTAAATCTAAGTTTTAAAAAGTCAAATTATCATGCTACTGAGAAATTGAGTTTATTATATAAGATCTCACAACATTTCCTGAAATTAGAAAACCGTAATTTTTTCTTTTTTTTTTTTTTTTTTTTTTTTGAGACAGAGTCTCACTCTGTCGCTTGGGTGCAGCAGCATGATCTCAGCTCACGCAACCTTCATCTCTTGGGTTCAAGCAATTCTCATGCCTCAGCCTCTCAAGTAGCTGGGATTACAGGTGTATGCAACCACACCCAGCTAATTTTTGTATTTTCAGTAGAGACAGGATTTTGCCATGTTGACCAGGCTGGTCTCAAACTCCTGACCTCAAGTAATCTGCACACCTTGGCCTAGAAAACCATAATTTTGTTAAACTTTGCAAATAAGAAACTCTGTAGTCAAAATCTTGGCAAGAAAATACTATTTAATTTCTAAAGTGAAATTTGGGAGCTGTCATCAGTGTTGTCATGCCATGATTTTGTTAGCTACTTGAGTGAGTATAAGATAATGGCAAAATTAAAGGAGCAGACCTAAGAATGAAATTATAACTTTAAATATCAAATCTTTGTATCTAACCAGTCCACAGTTTTAAAAGGATTTCGTGGATATTAGAAAAGTCATGTCTACTCTTTAGGACTTCAGCGTAGCATGTTGAAACGTATTTTAGGAAGTTTGATCCCTTATTTTTAAGCAAAGCAGTTAATGTCACATGGGGAATATCTGAGTTGTAAAGACCAAAATTGTGAAGTCTTCATCTAAGAAGAAATGAGAAATCGATTTGTAAAAAAGAAATGAAAATAAACAAATGTAATTTGGCAAAAGATGAAGGCAAATTTTAAGTTAAAGGAAGGAAGTTAGGAAGAAATGAAAGAAAGCAGTCATACTCCATGTAACATTTAATGAGAAAAGAACAGGTTGCATTATGTGTCTTAGAATTTCTCTGCACAGACAAATAAAAAATAATTTTCCTTTAAATTCCGTAAGTGATTTAAATGATTCACTTATCTTTTGTATGGATTATAAAAAGCAAGTTCAATTCTTAAATCACATAATTTCTATCTTCACCAGTTAATTTATATGAAAATTAGGAACTGGCCAATCACCTAATAAATTCCATCAAATAGACCATTTAGATAATAAGCACAGTTACCTCCTCAACAGCAGGTTGATTTTTTTTTCTGTACTAAAATTATAAACGTCACCACTTCAGTTTCCTATATCATTGATCTGGTATCAGCCAGGATGGCCCATGGCTTAGCTGTAGGAGGGTAAAGTGAAGAAGAGACATGAAACAAGTTTACATTGATGACTGTATCTAATTCTTCCATGTGTACACAGACAGTCCTTTAAATTGTTTTATATCTTTAAAAAGAGGGAGGGAAGGAGGGAAGAAGAGAGAGAAAGGGGGGAAAGAGGAAGAGGAAGGAAGAGAGAAAGGACCTGAGAAGTGTCACAGAAAGCTTATTTAGTGTTTATTTTCTGTGACACAATCCAAGATTCTTTTAGCTACAATGAATTCAACTAAGCTTCATTAGTAAGGCTTGGAAAAGACTGAAAGATCATCTGTTTTGTCCAGAATCTAATCAGTTTCAAGATGTCCTACATTTAGACTACAACAGCAGAGAATGTCTAACAGAGTCTCTTCGTTTTTTAGGTCTGGATTTGGAATCTCTGTGTTTTTTCATACCTTAGAAATTGGAGTTTGGGTTGGTTTCACGAATTCCAGCAAAAAATGGAACAAATGGGCCTATGCTGTGGGATATTATTGTTGAAAGCCAGTAACTTTTTCAAGTTTGTATTTTGAGAACATGCTTTTTACATGTTAAAATGTGTACAAATAAGTATATTTTGTTTAAGGAACTATAATTTTACAAACAAAAATGAAAACAAAAATAAAGGTTTTTGTAGATTAAAACCAAAGTAACAGTATAATTGCTTATAAACTGAAAAATGTAACTATATTCACTTGTCAAATGAAGCATTTTAGAATGGAAGTTAGTATATAAGAAGGGATGATTTGCATTAAATACATTATAAACAGTTAAGGAGACTTTACAGCTAAAGTACTTTTAACTCATTTAAAGTAAGCATTTAAACCAAAATTAATATTTCAAAAGAGCTTACATGGCAATGAAAGCCTAGATAAGTGTTTTAATATTTTTAATTGTGTACAATATTTAAAATGATACTGGTTAAGAATTTAACATTTTGGGCCGGGCGCGGTGGCTCACGCTTGTAATCCCAGCACTTTGGGAGGCCGAGGTGGGTGGATCATGAGGTCAGGAGATCGAGGCCATCCTGGCCAACATGGTGAAACGCTGTCTCTACCAAAAATACAAAAATTAGCCAGGCGTGGTGGCATGCATCTGTAATCCAGCTACTAGGGAGGCTGAGGCAGGAGAATTGCTTGAACCTGGGAGTCGGAGGTTGAGTGAGCCAAGATCGTGCCATTGCACTCCAGCCTGGCAACAGAGTGAGACTCTGTCTCAAAAAAAAAGAATTTAACTTTTCTATTATGGTTGTTATATTCAACAGAATACTGATTTTATCCCCCTTTTCAAATTAAATATAGACTTGAAGCCATTTTATGGATAAGTCAGTCTAAAAACTACATTTTTAAAAATCCTAGTAGAATAATTGTGTTCAGCTTTTTCACATTTGTTACATAGCTAGAACTATTCAGAAAATACTTTGAATTGTTTATACGTAGCTGATTTTTACACCGTGGTGAATGTTTAGAAAGTAGTTTTACAGAGTTTTGAGAAAACAAGCACCTAAAAAAATAGATTAAACTTTTCCACTGTGTTTCTTCCCATATACTCAGTTTTTCCCTGAACTTTTGTTTCATTGTTTTATTAAGGTTAAAACATAAATGTTTTTCTAACTCTCTCAAATGTTATTTTCAAAATTAATTTTCTTTGTGTAAGCATTTTAATCTATATTTTATGAAAGGGGATGGGGAGGCAAGTTTTATAAAATCTTTTTAATGTAACAAAACACCAAGAAAATAATGACTAGCAACAGGTGAAAGGGAGAATTGTATTTATATAGTCAGTTTAGTCCATGTAATTAGAAACTTGGACCTGAATTACTGGCGTAATTACTCAACTTTCTTTTCTTTTTTTCTTTTTTCTTTTTTTTTAATGCTAACAGAAATAGGCCGGATCATTTAGAGCAGCAGTATTCTAAATCAAAATTAATCAGATAATTGGCAACTTTTATTTGACTTTTAGTGCTCTATAAATTACAGACCAAAAACAGGAGAAATTTGCTAAAGAATAACAATGTAGATGGAAATATGTGGGTAAACAAGGCCCTAAGAAAACTGAATTTTCAAATGGTTTTCTTAGAATTTGAAAATGAAAGAAAATTTTAAATTAGGCCTAGCTGTGATATATAGGTGAGTAGTTGATAGATCTATAAGAAAACTTTTATTTTTGCTTAAACAATAATTAAAATGTTTATGAATTGAAATAAAAAATAGTTTTATAAGACCAAAAGTATCAATAAAGACATACATATTTTGTTTTATAAGTTTCAATAGCAATATACATTCTTCTTTATAAAGAACTTTCAACAGTGTATACTGGAAATGTTGGAAAAAAATTGATTTTGCACTTGTCAATTATAATAGAAGGAAAATAATATTCTTACATATGTTTTTATATACTTTTGAAAGTTGCCTTAAATTATTTTTGTAGCAAGATGAACATAAATAAAAATATAAAATACAGATGTTTAGAAGTCAGTTTAACCAATAATTAAAGTGCTTCTAGAAACCTAAAAGAGTGTTTTCAAACGAATACTTTTAAATTAATTTTAATTTCATTTTGGTTTTATTCTATTTCTAAAAGTTGCTATGATCAATATTTGTCTGTTTGTAGAAACTATGACATCTATGATGACAAATGTTCAAACTGAGTCATAATGATAGTCTGTTAGGTTAAAATCAAGAGTCACTACAGGAGAGTAGTCATTTTGCAAACATCCTGCCGTGTTAACAGGGGTTGGGGGAAAGCATATGTCATAAAGTAACAGACTTAAATCTTTAGCTAAGTAAGCTTTAAGTATCTGTCCATTGCTATAAATAGTATAAAGACAATCTAACTGTGTTTGCTTAAGCTTTTTATCTTAGCTTTCTTTTATGGTATTAAAGTTTAAGAAAAGTATAAAGATAAAAACTTGGCTAGATTTAAACATATTCAATATGATTCCTAAGATGGTTTTTTAAAAAAAAAAAAACTTTACATAGAAATGTCATCAGGTTCTTAGGCATAGTTATATGTTAGCCAAAAATTTTAAATCATTCCAGCTAAATATAATAATAGGAGAGTAGCCAGTACTTCTCTGAGTATTATAAGAATATTGCGCCATTCTTTGAATAAAAATAGTCATTCTTTTTTCTTTAAGATATCTCAATAATTATATGAATGATAATTTTGGAAAATATAAGGGTTTAAGTGGCAAATTTAAGTATCAGTGTTTATCTTTTGTTTCAAGTGGAATATCAGTTTTTCTAAAAACATACTCATTTGTAACAAGATTTATTGAAAAGAAATATCAAAAAACTCTTTTTTGGGGAGCATTTATCCAGTAATGTATTCAATTTTATTTAATAGGGAGATTTTAATAACTTTGCTTAACAAGCTGTTTTTTATCTTAATAACTGTAAGGATTGCTATAAAGTTATATAAATAAGTTATAATACCTTCTTAAAGTATACTGAAGTTGATAGGATTTTTAATATGGGTTATAAAAAAAGCACCATAGGTTGTAACTTCTTTACTTTTTTACTTTACTGTTCTCATAGAGAGTCCTTTATTAGACAAGTACCTGGTACTTAATAGATAGTCAAGAATATTTGTTCAATGAATGAAGGCAGTATAGTGCATGGAGTACAGAAAACGGGGCTCATGCCAGTATCCCACTTGCTTCCAGTTCTATGACCTTGGACTAAAGACTTATTTTCTCTAAGTCTAATTTTCCTAAAGTGTACAGTGGAAATAATAATAGCATCTCTTTCACATGGCTCTTGAAAAGTATTAAGACCTAAGGCACATGCACCATTATTGGTATTTATTTGGTAATTTTAACCAAATTGTGTAATTCTATAATTGTGAGGTTTTACTGGTGCAGGTGCGCATGCGATGTAACCATTTGAGGACCCCAAGCACATAAGCCCCTATTTAGAAAATGAAAACGAAAACCTTCTGGGTGCTGCCTGGCACTTCTTCACTATCAGGAACTGTAAAGTGAACCTTACAGAGCTCTTTTAATAACAGCAGTCATATGATGCCCTCAAAGGCCTTGATGACAATAATTCTCTTATCTTCTCACCTCCTGATCCCTCAAGAATCTTAGAGCCCACCAATGTTCATTATGGTCAGCCTGCTTGTAAACATCTCTCTCTTTAGAAGGCATAGTGGACCATTCCATTCCCTGTCTTTTCACTGGTTCTTCCTCCAGTTTTTCTTGAATCATTTCCTTTGGTAAGCAGCTCTTTAGAAAATCTCAGGGAGCAAAATCGAGATGTCTTCGTATTTTTCTCTGGCACATCCTTCGTCTGGGTTCAGGGAGTTGCTGTCTCACACTCTAGTCTGAGTGATCCATAACTTGTGGTACTTTTGACTCTGCTTGAAACATCTATCTACAAAGAGCCCAAAGTCCATAAGGCATTGAGAAGACTGGCCAAATTGAAAAAAAACAGTAAGAACCCTCATTTACCATGGAATGGAGGACACATGATTTGGAATGTAGAGGTTTAAATTCTACAACTCCAAAATATCGAACAGTTCAATGAGTTCTGGGAAAGGTATGCAGTTGTGTAACCGCGCTACACTCAAGATGTAGAGTGTCACCATAATCCCAGCGAACTTCCCTCTTCCCATTTGCAGTCATTATACTTGCCCTACCCCTGACCCCAGGAGACTACTGATCTACTTCATCTCACTGTAGTTTTGCCTTTTCCAGAACATCATACAAATGGAATCATGCAGTATGTAGTCTTTTGTGTCTGTTTTTTGTTTTGTTTTGTTTTGTTTTCTGAGACGAAGTTTCGCTCTTGTTGCCCAGGCTAGAGTGCAGTGGTGTGATCTTGGCTCACTGCAACCTCCGCCTCCTGGGTTCAAGTGATTCTCCTGCCTCAGCCTCCCAAGTAGCTGGGATTACAGGCATGTGCCACCACACCTGGCTAATTTTGTATATTTAGTAGAGACGGGATTTCTCCATGTGGGTCAGGCTGGTCTCGAACTCCCGACCTCAGGTGATCTGCCCGCCTCGGCTTCCCAAAGTACTGGGATTACAGGCAAGAGCCACCACACTCAGCTGGTTTTTTACCTAGCATAACATTTTTGAGATTCTCCCTGTTGATATATCAGCAATTCATTTCTTCTTATTGCTGAATAGTATTCCATTGTAGGGACATACCAGTTTGTTTTTCCATTCACCAGTTGATGGACATATGGATTGTTTCCAGCTTTTTGGCAATTATGAATAAAGCCTCTATGAAGATTTCTGTGCTAGTTTTGTGTAGACATAATGTTTTTATTTCTCTTACATAAATTCCAAAGTGTGGGATTGCTGGGTTATATGATGTGTGTATGTTTAACTTTACAAGAAGCTGCCAAACTATTTTCCACAGTAGCTACATCGTATACATTCCCACCAGTATTGTATGGGACTTTCAGTTGCTTCACATCCTCTTTCTTATATGGTATTATCAGTTATTTTTATTTTAGACACTTTGATAGATATATAGTATGTTATTGTGGTTTTAATTTGCATTCCCGTAATGACTAATATGTTGAGCATCTTTTTATGTGCCTGTTTCTCATCCAAATATCTTCACTAATTGTCTATTCAAATATTTTGTCAAGTTTTTAATTGGGTTGTTTTCTTATTACTGAGTTCTGAGAGTCCTTTATGTATTCTAGAGACTTGTCCTTTATCAGCTATGTGTTTGCAAATATTTTTGTAGATATTTCATGAATTGTCTTTTCATTTGAATGTCACTCAAAGAGCAGAAATTTTAAGTCCGACTATTTTTTTTTAATGAATCGTGCTTTTGGTATTGTATTTAAAAATATCATTCCCTAACCAATGTCACAAAGATTTTCTCCTATGTTTTCTTCTAGAAGTTTTATGTTTCACACTTTAGATTTATTTTAAGTCAATTTTTATGTATGGTGTGAAATATGAGTTGTTATTCTGTGTGTTTGCATATGGATGTTCAATTATTTTGCCCTATTTTTTGAAAAGACTATCTCATCTCTACTGAATTACCTTTGTACTTTTTTCAAATTTCAACTGACCATATGTTGTGGGTCTATTTCTGGATCTTCTATTCTGTTTCATTTATCTATTCATCAGTCCTTTTGCCAATACCACGCAGTGTTGATTATGGTAGATTTATAGTAAGTCTTAAAATTAGATAATGTGAATCTTCTTTGTACTTCTTTTTCAAAGTTGTTTTGGCAATTCCATTTTGTTTGCTTTTCCACATAAATTTTAGAATCATCTTGTTGATTTTTTTTTTTTTGAGATGGTCTCACTCTCACCCAGACTGGCTCACACAACCTCTGCCTCCCAGGCTCAAGCAATTCTCCTGCCTCAGCCTCCCAAGTATCTTGGATTACAGGTGTGCACCACTACTGCCTGGATAATTTTTATATTTTTAGTATAGATGTGGTTTCACCATGTTGGTCAGGCTGGTCTTGAACTCCTGACCTCAAATGATCCACCTCCCTTGGCCTCCCAAAGTGCCGGGGTTATAGCCGTGAGCCACTATGCCTGGCCCCATCTTGTTGGTTTCTACCAAAAAAAGCCTAGTGGGATTTTTATTGGAATCACATTTAATCTATAAATCATTTTGGAGGTGAAATGACAACACTATTGAGTCTTCCGATATGTAAACATGGTATATTTCCACTTTTATTTACATCTTCTTTGATTTCTCTCTTCAATGTTTTATAGTTGAGCATGCAGATTTCATATTTTGTTAGATGCATACCTAAATATTTTATGCTTTTTGGTGCTATTTGAAATGATACTTTAAATTTTTTCATTTTAAAATTTCTTCATTACAAGTATATACAAATACAATTGATTTTGTCTGTTGACCTTATATCCTATGACCTCACTAAAACTCACTTATTAGTTCCACTAGCTTTTTTATAGCTTCTTTGGGAATTTCTGTATAGACAATCATGTCTTCTGTGAATAGAGATAGTTTTATTTAATATTTTTTCCTTTTCAATCTGCATATCTTTGATTTATTTTTCATGCCTTATTGCACGGGCTATGGCTTCCAGTACGATGTTGAATAGGAAGGTGAAAGTGACATCCTTGCCTTGTTTCTCATCTTTAGGGAAAGCATTTGGTCTTTGAGCATTAAGTATGATATTAGTTATAGGTTTTTCATAAATGCCTTTTCTTAGGTTGAACAACATGGGAATATTCCTTATATTTCTGGTTTGCTGGTAGTGGTTTTCAAAATTATGAGTAAATGTTGAATTTTGTCAAAGCCCTATTCTTTATCTATTGAGATGATCATACATCTGTTGAAATGGTGAATTACTTTGATTGCTTTTTAAATTTTGAAACTAACTTACATTCCCAGGATAAAGCTCACTTGGTCTTGGTGTTTTATTCTTTTCATATATAGCTGGATGTGATATATATGTGTGAATATATATACATACACATATATGTAAAAACAAGGTTTCACCATGTTGCCCAGGCTGATCTTGGAACTCCTGGGCTCAAGCAATACACCTGCCTCAGCCTCCTAAAGTGCTGGGATTACAGGCATGAGCCACCGTGCCCGGCCTTGATTTGCTAATATTTTGTTGCAGTTTTGTGTGTGTGCGTTCATGAGGCAAATTGGTCTGTCACTTTCTTTTCTTCTCATGCCTTTGTCTGCTTTTGGTATCAGGGTAATGCTGACCTCTTTCCTCTTTTATTTCTGGAAGAGTTTGTGTACAATTGGTATTATTTTTTCTATAAATATTTAGTAGAATTCACCAGGGAGGTCATCTGAGCCTGCAGTTTTCTTTGTTACAAGGTCTTAGACTATGAATTTATTTTTGAAGTGAATATAGTACAATTCAGGTCATCTATTTTTTTTCTTGAGAGAACTGCCACTTGTCTTTTCATTTCTTTGATGGTGTCATTCAAAGAGCGAAAGATTTTACACTAGTCGTAGTACTTAATACAATAGACAATAGCAAACAATTGTAAGTTCTTAAGCAGCATAGTACAGTGAAACAGTAGTGTTCAGGAAGATGAGTAGGATTTAGACAGGATCAAAGAAGGAGACTGGAGTTAAGGAGACTATCAAGCAGATAGGGGTCAGGGCAGAGGTGAAGGTAGCAAAAAGGAGGAAAGTGAACCCTTGGAAGTCACTTTAAAGAAAGAATTGACAGGACTCAGTAACTGTCTGGAAGTAGGGGCACTCAAGAATGAACCTAAGATTCTTTGTGGAGAGATGGAAAGAATGGCAAAACTGCAGACATAGGTGGTTGGATGGAAAAGGTAGCCATTGTACAGGGCCGGGTCATGCTTCCTCTTGGGATATGTTGAGTGTTAAGTGAGTTGCTATGGGAATTGCTGGTGAAAATAGCATTAGAAGGGATGACAATAAGAGAGATTCCTGAATTAGCAAGGCCAGGGTGCCCCAGAAGGAAAAGAGAATCAGATAGGATTTCCATATGAGATATAGCGTGCCTAATTAAATTAGAATTTCCAATGAAAAATGAATGATTTTAAATAAGAATGTTCTAAATATTGTACTTGACATACTTATAATAAAAATTAATTCATTGTTTATCTTAAATTCCAATTTCATTAAGCATCCTATATTTTTATTGCTAATCCTGGCAACTCTAGGATCTGAGAACTGTGATTTCCTTGTGAATTGATCTCAAGAACCACAAAGAAAGAGAAAACATCATAAGAAGAGATCACAAAAGTTGCAGAGGAATTTAAAAATACCAATCAGCGTAGGTTGAGGACCAGGCTGTTGATGACAGAAGAGCACTAATACTATATAAATCATAGGCCTATTTTCAAGTTTGGGTCCATAAATACAAATGTTAGCCGCATTTGAGTTTCTCTCTGAATAATATTAAGAATCACTTATGACCCAAGGAACTGACAGACTAAACTTATTATTAAAACATATTTCAAGAAAATTAGATACTATTATTTTAGTTCAGTTTTTTAGAGACAGGGTCTAGCTCTGTCACCCAGACTGGAGCGCAGTGGCACCATCATGGCTCACTGCAGCTTCAAACTCCTGGGCTCAGGTGATCCTCCCACCTCATCCTTCCAAATAGCTGGGACTACAGGCACATGCCACTATATATGGCTCCTTTTCAAAATTTTTTATAGAGATGGGGTCATGCTATATTGGCCGGGCTGATCTCAAACTCCTGGCCTCAAGTGAGCCTCCTGTCTTGGCCTCCCAGAATACTAGGATTACAGATGTAAGCCACTACACCTGGCCTAATTTATTTTAAAAATAGCAAATTATTAATGATAATCTTATCAAGAGGGTAATTAGAAAAATTATAAAACTGGCATTAAAGGCTTTGAATTAATTTGAGATAAATAAATTGAGATAAATAATACACTACATACTAGGGAGCTATGCCTTAAGATATGCATCCTCTCAGCAACTCTGAGAATAAGTACTAATATGCCTTTTTCACAAATGAGAAAACTGAGGCTAAGAGGATTTTGTTTTCTTACTTCAAGTAACAGAATATGGTGGCTTCATATTGTGGCAGCTAAGCTAAGCTGAAACTATGTTTCCTGGAATTCCCTGAACTTGTATGGCTCCTGTTTAGAGTTGGCCACAAGAGCTTTCTGTGCATGATTTGGAATGCAGAAGCGAAGCAGCAGCCATTGCACGCAGAGCAATGTTGCTGGTCTCCTGGCTCGCTTTGTTGGCATGAGGCAGCGGCTGCAGTCACAGGTCCCTTCGCTCCCGCCCATCTTCGTCAGGTGCTCTCAATCCTGGGCCAGGTTAGGTGCAATGAGAGACAGTACAAAGCCACCATCCTGTGTTACTGCAAGCAGATGTTCTGGCTTTCCACCACTTTGTGTCCAGTTTTCCTTGCCAACAGCCCATCCTGCTTGTCATTTTCAGTGGCTTCAGGCCCTCCAGCAGAGGCAACATTGAGCCCCATATGGGCTCCAATCCATGCTCCCAGATTAGTGCTTTATCTGCTCCTCCAACTATCCCCTCCTTTGCTGACCTTTATTATCCTATCTCCCACAGTTGCACAAATGTAATCCCTATGATGAATCCTTTATTCCATATTACTCCTAAGAGTTCTGCTTCCTGGATTGAACTATTGACTGATAACCAGAGCAAGCAAATTGCTGAGCAGCTTCCCAAGCCCAGGTCTGTCTGGCTCCGAGGCTTATATCAGTCTTCCTCTTATACTGAAGAAAAACAATTAAGATTGATGCTTTTATGGCCCAGCGAGGTGGCTCACACCTGTAATCCCAGCACTTTTGAGAGGCTGATGCCAAAGGATCCCTTGACCCCAGGAGTTCAAGACTGGGCAACACAAGGAGACCCTGTCTCTACAAAAAATGAAAAGTTAACTGGTTGTGTTGGCACGTGCCTGTGGTCCCAGGTACTTGGGAGGCTAAGGTTGGAGGATGGCTTGAGTCCAGGAGGTTGAGACTGCAGTGAGCATGCCACTGTACTCTAGCCAGCCTGGGTGATAGAGTGAGACCATGTCTCAAAAATATATATATATATATATATATATATATATATATATAAAATATACATATTTATATGCGTATATAAATATATACGTATTTATATGCATATATAAATATATACGTATTTATATGTGTGTATAAAATATGTACATATTTATATGTGTGTATATAAATATGTACATATTTATGTGTGTGTATATAAATATGTACATATTTATGTGTGTGTATATAAATATGTACATATTTATGTGTGTGTATATAAATATGTACATATTTATGTGTGTGTATATAAATATGTACATATTTATGTGTGTGTATATAAATATGTACATATTTATATGTGTGTATATAAATATGTACATATTTATATGTGTGTGTATATAAATATGTACATATTTATATGTGTGTGTATATAAATATGTACATATTTATATGTGTGTGTATATAAATATGTACATATTTATATGTGTGTGTATATAAATATGTACATATTTATATGTGTGTATATAAATATGTACATATTTATATGTGTGTATATAAATATATTTATATAAATATACTGTGATATTTGAATAACATTTATTATCAAGCTTGGCTTATTGTTATAAATGGTATATTGCTTAGTTATCTTGCTGAAATTGGTAGGTTTCATAGCAGTTTGAAGCTCTTTCATGTTTCCCAATATGTGCTGTTTTGAACTTCAGTCATTGTGTATATGTCATCTCTCATACTGAATAATAAAGTTCTTCAAAAATGAAACAAAACTTTTGAGATTTGTTCTCCAACGACTTCTGCCATAGTCTTTTGCAAATAATAGGTGCTCAATAAATATTTGTTGGCTAAGCACAGTAGTTCACACTTGTAATTCCAGCACTTTGGGAGGCTGAGTGGGGAGGATCAATTGAGCCTAGGAGTTGGAGACCAGCCTGGGCAACATAGTGTGGGACCCTGTCTCTACAAAAAAATCTAAAAATTAGCCAGGTGTGGTGGCGTGCACCTGTAGTCCCAGCTACTTGGGAGGCTGAGGTGGGAGGATTGCTTGAGCCAACGAGGTTGAGGCTGCAGCTGCAGTCAGCTATTATCATGCCACTGCACTCTAACCTGGACAACAGAGTGAGACCCTGTCTCAAAAAATAAAGTTCGTTAATTTTAATATGAGCAGTCCAATTCCTCAAAAATGTGCAGAATACTCCCACATTAGAATATGAACTTAAATTTAGGGGCACAAGGGATATGTCATAATATGTGCAAAAGATGTTGCGATTGTAATGTATAGACCAACAATTTTAAATAGGAATTGGACTACTGTTCAAAGGGCTGGAATGTTCTTGTTACAAGCTGGGAAGCTTTACAAGGAAAGAAAATCTTGCCCTCCCTTAGTCTAAGGCATATTGTGGAGATTTTTGTCACAAATTACTGAAAAGATGCCTGTCCTGTTACTGATAGAGCAGTGCATCCATCGGTTTTCTTAGTCCTCAGAAACATACTCTGACACTTAATCAGAAAAAGATATTTTTGAAGGATAATAGGTTGCCTCAGAATCTCTGGATCAGAGAATGAGACTTTTGGGCAGTGAAACTAACTCCCCAGGAAAAATGTGTTTCCTTAAATTTTGTGCTATTTACAAGTAATGTCTGTAGAAGTGACACACATTTAAGTTTAATCCGTATTATTATTATTGTTATTATTGAGACAGAGGCTCACTCTGTCACCCAGGCTGGAGTATAGTGGCACGATCTCAGCTCACCACAACCTCCGCCTCCATGGTTCAAGTGATTCTCCTGCCTCAGCCTCCTGAGTAGCTGGGATTACAGGTGCCCACCACCATGCCCGGCTAATTTTTGTATTTACTAGACAGGGTTTCACCATGTTGGCCAGGCTGGTCTTGAACTCCCAACCTCAGGTAATCCACCCGCCTCAGCCTACCAAAGTGATAGGATTACAGGCGTGAGCAACTACACCCGGCCTAATCTCTATTATTAACATTTCTTCATCACTTAAAGTCTAGACAATCAACAAAGTAAGAAATCAAGCCCTGATTTGTGTAGCGTTTGCCAATTTTCATGGTGTACATATTGCCACTGCAGCCAGTCTCAAGCTCCCAATGTGATGGCATTGAACATGGAATTGGGAAGAGATGTACCACTAAAGATACAATAGATGTAAATAATCTTATATCCATATATAATAGTAATATAACTAGGACATGATGGCTTTTGAGTGTTTGCTAACTTTTAAAAATATAATTTATTTAATTGTATGTTTATATAACTTCATTCTCAGTATTACATTTAAAAACTGGCTCACAGCCTCTCTGAAAATTTAGCAGTCAGCTTTTGCAAGCTGGTATAGCTGGCTCTAGCACACCACTGCTTTAGGGCCACCTAGTCAGAAAACAGCACCCCAAGTCACCCACAGCAATGCTTCAGAGAAGATAGCGTCATACCATAGCTAGACACTGACCCTGCCACTAGCATTGGCTTTGGGCACAGGAGGATACATCTACAGCCAATGCTCTTGCTAGTTTAGGAGGCATCCATAGTTGGCATCTGTCACCACAACACCATGAACCTGTGTCCTTGTGTTGCTAGCTCCCAAGACTTTGATTTGGTAGGTACATCTGATGATAGCCCTCACTCAAGGACACGGAATCTGCAAAAAACAAAAGCAAAAGAAAACACAAGTATTTCACACTTTCAACTTAGTAGGTAGCAGACTCTGCCTCATAATGAGAGGGATTCTCCAAATATAGAAAAAGAATTGAGATATAAGAACAAGTGTCTGCCCAGTTCTGTATTTCCTCCCGGTGATCACCTTACATCAGTATACAATCTTTCCATGCACCTAAACTTCTAAAACTAGAAGGAAGATAGAAGAAAAATAAGAAAGAAAGAAAAGGGAGGAGGGAGGTTTGGAGGGAGAGAAAGAAAAATAATCTTGGAAGGAAATAAATGATTCTAACTCACAAAATGAGTGAGCTCCAGTCCAATGGAAAATGTGCTCCCCTCCTTCCCGGAAACGGTCAGCCCAGTGTCATCATGAACTCATCCAGCTCCAAGTCAGGGTCTCAGGATGCTGTGTACATCTCTTCTAGTGTCATTGCCATCCCATCTCAATAATCTGGAATCTATGGACCAAGCTATAAAATTAATCACTAGATTAATTTAGAGCTTATATAAAATAGTAGGAAGAAAAGAGAAATTAGTTAAAATGTATAGTTAATACCTGTCTCAAGAAAAAAGAAAATAGTTTTTTTGTGTGTGTTTTTTGTTTTGTTTTGTTTTGTTTTTTGGTGGTCTCGCTAGGTTGCCCAGCGTAGTCTCAAACTCCTGGCCTCAGACTATCCTTCCACCTTTGCCTTCCAAAGTTCTGGGATTACCCACCTGCGCCTGGCCAGTAGTTCTCATTTACATCATGAATCACCAGCTGGGGTAGAAGTTATGATTTCCTCCTCTACTACACAATCCATATTCTCTTTGCCTTCACTTAGCACTTCAGCTGGTTGGGATTCTGAACCCAAAGGGATAACTCATACCATCATTCCTGAAAGATGGGAGCCCTTAATGGTCCTGCATATGTGGGGTTTCTATAATTTCACCACTACCAAAATAGTATTAAGAGGTGACCTGATGGATCTTTAAGAATTTGTGCTGCTGGATGCAGTGGCTCACGCCTGTAACCCCAGCTCTTTGGGAGGCCCAGGAAGGTGGATCACTTGAGGTCAGGAGTTCAAGACCAGCCTGGCTAACACGGCAAAACCCCTTCTCTACTAAAAATACAAAAATTAGCCAGACGTGATGGTATATGCTTGTAGTCTCAGCTACGCAGGGGGCTGAGGTGGGAGAATTGCTTAAACCCGGGAGGTGGAGATTGCAGTCTTACCTAAGACTGCACCACTGCACTCCAGCCTGGGTGACACAGCAGGATTCTGTCTCAAAAAAAACAAAAAAATTGGTGCATACTCTTTTCTTACTCTTTACTTAGTGACAATCTTACTTTTCCTTAATAGCCAGCAGTATTCACTGGAAAGCAATGTAATAACTTTCTTGAACTGTTACCTGCTGCCATGAGAAACCTGAACTGGCCATGTGACACTTTCAGTTTATAATCTGGTTTACCTGTAGTAAAAGCATTCCTCCCTTGGGTACTGAAAGCTCTGTGCCAGAGCCCACTGTCACAGGGATAGTCAGCAAACATTTTGCAGGTGGGTCATTAGGGATGGTAGTGAAAAGTTTCACTCTCCCTTCTATCTCTTGGTTCCAAATCCACCTGTTCTAGCTGTGGGAGAATTGTTTGCTAGTTAAGAATATTTGCTGCATTCCAGAAGACAGGGCACCATGTATCATTAAGTGTTTAATTTGATGATTAGGTGTTAATCGTTCCACCATTCTACAAGGCCAGCTACCCCTGAGTAATGTATATACAATAAGTGCATCTTATAAATGCAGGATCACTGTCTTGAATAAATTTTTGATAATATCATCTTTTTCAAGATGTCTGTCAGCTTCGCCTACTATACTGGTGAGTTAAACAGCAATGTGAAAAGAATCTCCATTCCTGCATCCCTTAGGGATAGGATATTGCTTTTGGGTGACTTGTTAGTGTAGAGGGAGGGAAGAGGGGACATTCTAAGGACTCTGAATGTGGCCCTTCCCATCATAATAGCTCTTACTACAATAGTCAGTATGAAGATTTCTTCCATTTCTAAATTTACTTTTCCATTATGCTCTTAGCCACAGAGGAACTAAATGCAGTATAATCCTATCAGGTCTAGGTGAGACAAACTCATATCAGAACTTTATTTCAAGGTGGGCATGGTGGTTCACACCTGCAATCCCAGCACATTGGGAAGCTGAGGTGGGAGGATCACTTGAGGCCAGGAGTTCAAGACCACCTAAGCAGCATAGTGAGACCCTGTCTCTACAAAAAAATTAAAATAAAATTAGCCAGGCATGGTAGTACTTTTCTGTAGTCCTAGCCACTCAGGAGGCTGAGTTGGGAGGCTCACTTGAGCCTAGGGGCTGGAGGCTGCAGTGAGCTATGATCTGCACTCCAACCTGGGCAACAGAGCAATATTTTTTATGGTCTCTAAAAAGCTAAAAATTAAAAAGCCAAACAAACTTTATTTCACATTTTTATTTATTCAATAAACACTTCTGTGTATCAGCCACTTACATGGCATTGTTCTAGCTGCTTGAGATACAGCAAGGAACAAAACAGACAAAAATCTCTGTCCTTATGGAGCTTGTTTTAAAAGAAAGAAAAGCAGACAATAGGCCAAGTGCAGTGGCTCACACCTGTAATCTCAGCATTTTGGGAGGCTGAGGCAGGTGGATCATTTGAGGTCAGGAGTTCGAGACCAACCTGGCCAACATGGTGAAACCTCTAAAAATACAAAAATTAGCCAGGCATGGTGGTGTGCACCTGTAGTCCCAGCTATTCAGGAGGCTGAGGCAAGAGAATCACTTGAACCGGGGAGGTGGAGATTGCAGTAAGCCAAGATCATGCCACTGCATTCCAGCCTGGGCAACAGAGTAAGACTTCATCTTAAAAAACACAAACAAAACCAGACAATAAATGAGATAAGTAAATAAGTAATGTGATACACAAGAAAGAAACACATTCTGTAGTGCAAAAAATCTAGAAAAGGGGATAGGGCATTCTAGATGGGGAGGTGTTTTCACTTTTAAAAAGGGTGGTCAGGGAATGCCTTATTGAGCTGGTAACATTTGAGCTAAGATGAAAGGAAGTAATGGAGTGATTCTGTTCTTTCCTACAAAACACATTGCACTCAAGAATTAGATTTAAACTGGCTCTAAGCCAGTTTCCAATAATCCTTCCAAACAAGGTATTTGCCTTTACAGTGTATATTTACCCTGATTAACGACCATGGGCACCTTTGGGAAAGCCCAGGAGGAGAATTTACACTTGACATGCCTGGTGACCACAGATGATAATGTAGTTAAAGTACCATATAATAACGAAGTCCCATCTAGACTCTGGCTGTTTTATCTCACCAACACCACCACTGCCACCACCACCACCACCCTCTATGGAGTGCAGCAGAAACAGGAACAAACTCACCTGTGTCTATTTTTAAGACTCCATTAATATGGCCCTTTTGTTACAACAATGGATGTGCAGATACATTGCAAGTAATTCAATTATAGGGATGAGAATGTTACATTATTTCACATTGCAAGTAATTAAGTCACAGGGACGAGAATGTTACATTATTTCTGTCTTTGATTTGTAGTGGCTAAGAGCATTGGCTTTGAAATTTGGAAGACTTGGGTTTAAATTCTAGATCCATAACCTATGTGTATGATCCTAGGCAAATGACTCGACCTCTCTAAGCCTCAGTTTCCTCAACTGTAAAAATGGGGACAATAATATTTATTTCATTGTTCAATGAGGTTGTTATTGAGAATTAAATAAAATAATCTGTAAAGTGCTCAGGGGTAGATATTAAGAACTTAATAACCTCTGAACTTCTATTTCCTAAGTGAAACCTCATGAGGATTTGTAAAGCACTCAGTCTTGTCAGGAAGACACATATAAATGATCATAAAATGCCTCAGTAGGTGTCTAATCTCACCCACTATAAAACTGTCATGATTAAAAAGCAACATACAGACTGCATCAATTCTATGGAAAGTCTCAGTGACAAATTTAGAAAATAGCAAGGCTGCTCCCTGAGCCCTCAAGTGCGGGTACTGAGTCTTGTTCCCACTGTGTCCCTACTCACTGCCACACCTCATAGAGAACATGACAAAAATCCAGCACTGAAAAGATATTTATTGAATACATTTTTTTAAAATCGTGCTTCCAAACGCTAGAGGTATCCTTTATTTATTTATTTATTTATTTATTTATTTATTTATTTTGCAGCTTCCAAAGCCTTATGCTACAACAAACTTCCAATCAAAATTCCAGCAGGGTTGTTTTTCTTTTACTAAAGAATCAGCAATTGAGAAGCTGATTCTAAATTTAATGTGGAAATGCAAAGGCTGAAGAATACCCAACACAATCTTGAAGAACAAAATTGGAGGACTTTTACTTTCAGATGCTAGGACTTAAAACTACAGTCATCACTTTGGGAGGCCGAGGGGCATGGATCACAAGGTTAGGAGTTCAAGACCAGCCTGGCCAAGATGGTGAAACCCCATCTCTGTTAAAAATAAAAAAATTAAAAAAAAAAATTAGCTGGGCGTGGTGGCAGGTGCCTGTAATCCTAGCTACTCATGAGGCTGAGATGGAGAATTGCTTGAACCCAGGAGGTGGAGGTTGCAGTGAGCCAAGATAGCGCCATTGCACTCCAGCCTGGGCAACAGAGCAAGACTCCGTCTCAAAAAAAAAAAAAAAAAAACAACAACAACAACAACAAAAAAAACTACAGTCATTAGGAAAACATGGTATTCAAGCATAGATAGAAAACTTGCAGGCCGGGCACGGTGGCTCACACCTGTAATCCCAGGACTTTGGCAGGCCGAGGCGGGCGGATCACGAGGTCAGGAGATCGAGACCATCCTGGCTAACACCATGAAACCCCCTCTCTACTAAAAATACAAAAATTTAGCCAGGCGTGGTGGCGGGCGCCTGTAGTCCCAGCTACTTGGGAGGCTGACGGAGGAGCATGGCTTGAACCCAGGAGGCAGAGCTTGCAGTGAGCCGAGATTGTGCCACTGCACTCCAGCCTGAGCAACAGAGCAAGACTCCGTCTCAAGAAAAAAAAAAAAAGAAAACCTGCCATATAGAACAGAATAAATAATCAAGAAACAGACCCATACATACATGATTACCTGGCTTATGGTAAAGGTGACATAGCAGGGCAATGAGGAAAGTATTGATGTTGAGTCAGCTTGGTATCTATATGGGAAAAAAAATGTACCATAACCTTTACCTCACCCCTTATACAAAAATAAGTTCCATGTAGAGTACATGTAAATGGTACATGCGAATAGTGCTTTTTAGACAAAAACATGGGAGAGATCTTTATGATATTGGAATAGGCAAAGATGGCCTGCCTGCAACACAGAGGGCTAACCAAAAAAAATTTTTAAATGATATAACAACATATATTAAAATTAAGAACTCTGTTCATTGAAAGACACCCGTAAGAGAATAAAAGGAGAAACTGTAAAGTGTGACAATATGGCCAGGCGCAGTGGCTCACGCCTGTAATTCCAGCACTTTGGGAGGCCGAGGCAGGTGGATCACGAGATCAGGAGTTCAAGACCAGCCTGGTCAAGATGGTGAAACCCTGTCTCTACTAAAAATACAAAAATTAGCTGGGCGCGGTGGCAGGCACCTGTAATCCCAGCTACTCGGGAGGCTGAGGCAGGAGCATCGCTTGAACCCGGGAGGTGGAGGTTGCAGTGAGCCGAGGTCATGCCATAGCACTCCAGCCTGGGTGACAGAGTAAGACTCCATCTCAAAAAAAAAAAAAAAAGAAAAGGGAGAATATATAACAATACATATATCTGAAAAGTACTCATCTGGAATATGTAAACATTTCTACAAATCAAGAAAAAGACAGACTACCAATAGGAAATGGAAAAAAGACTTGAACAGACTTTTTGTTCTTGAAATAGAGTCTTGCTCTGTTGTCCAGGCTGGAGTGCAATGATGCAAGCTCAGCTCACTGCAACCTCTGCCTCCTGGGTTCAAGCAATTCTCTGCCTCAGCCTCCCAAGTAGCTGGGAATACAGGCACATGCCACTGCACCCAGCTAATGTTTGTATTTTTGTAGACACAGGGTTTCGCCATGTTGGCCAGGCTGGTCTCGAACTCCTAACCTCAAGTGATCCACCCACCTCAGCCTCCCAAGTACTGGGATTACAGGTATGAGCCACCATGACTGACCCTTGAACAGACTTTAACAAAACATTATGTAAAAATGGCCAATAAACCTATGAAAAGATAACATCATTAGACAATAGGGACATGCAAATTAAAACCACATTGGCTCTACCAAACATCTAAAGAAGAATTAACAGCAATTCGTTTCAAACTCTTCCAAAAAAGAGAAGAGGAGGAAACACTTACTAATTCATTTTATGAGGCCAGTGTTACTCTGATTCTAAAGCCAAAGACATCACAAGAAAACTACAGACCAATATTTCTTATGAATATAGAAGCAAGAAACCTCAAAAAACACTATTAAATCAAATGAAATGGCATATTAAAAGGATTCAAAAAACTATGACTAAGTGGAATTTAAAAATCAGGAATACTAGTGTGGTTAATATAAGAAAATTAATCAATGTAATACATAACATTAATAGGATGAGGGGGAGAACCCATATGATTATCTCAATTGATGTAGAAAGGGCATCTGATAGAATCCAACACCTTTTCATGATGAAAACACTCAGAAAACTAGAAATAGAAGGAACTTTCTTCAATGTGATAAAAGGCATTTGTAAAAAACTCATAATTAACATTATGCTCAATGGGATGAAAGACTAAAAACTTTTCCCCTAAGATCAGCAACAAGGCAAAGATGTCTGCTTTATTAACTACTGTTCAACAGTGCACCTTAAGTTCTAGCCAGAGCAGTTAGGCAAGAAAAACAGATAAAGGACATACAAATTGGAAAGGAAGAAGCAAAACTTAACTATTTTCACAGAGGACATGATCCTATATATAGAAACTCTCAAAGACTCTACAAGAACAAACAAGAATATTTGTTTTTAGCTCTACTAAAATCTGCTCTTAGTATTAGATTTTAGTAGAGGTAAAAACAAATTTAGCAAAGTTGCAAAGTACAAGATCAACACACAGAAAAAACAGTTTTGTTTTGTTTTGTTTTGTTTTTTGAGACGGAGTCTTGCTTTGTCGCTCAGGCTAGAGTGCAGTGGCGTGATCTTGGCTCAATGCAACCTCCGCCCTTTGGGTTCAAGTGATTCTTCTGCCTCAGCCTCCCGAGTAGCTGGGACTACAGGTGCGTGCCACCACACCTGGCTAATTTTTGTATTTTTAGTAGAGACAGGGCTTTGCCATGTTGGCCAGGCTGGTCTCCAACTCCTGACCTCAGGTGATCTACCTGCCTCAGCCTCCCAAAGTGCTGGGATTACAGGCGTGAGCCACCGTGCCTGGTCAACAGTGGTTTTTCCATATACCAACAACAAACAACCAATAAGGAAATTAAGAAAACAGTTTCATTTTCCATAGCACCCAAAGGAATAAAATACCTAGGAATAAATGTAACCAAGGCGATGAAAAATTATTACACTAGAAACTACAAAACGTTACTGAAAGAAATTAAAGAAGATTTAAATAAGTGGCAAGACATGCTGTGTTCATGGAAGAGAAAACTTCATACTGCTAAGATGACAATACTACACAGAGTGGTCTATAGATTCAATGTGATCTCTATCAACGTTCCAATGATAATTACTGTAGAAATGGAAAAGCCTATTCTCAAATTCAAATGGATTATAAAGGACGCTGAAGAGTGAAAAACTACTAAAAAACAACAAAATTGGAGAACTCACACTTCCTAATTTCAAAACTTACTTCAAAGCTGCAGTAATCAAAACTATATGGTACTGACATAAGATAGACATGTAGACCACTGTAATAGAATTGAGAGTATGGAAATAAACGTATAAATCTATGAACATTTGATTTTCAACAAGACCATTCAATGGGAAAAAGACACTCTCTTTAATAAATGTTGCTGGGACAACTTGATATACATGTGCAAAATAATAAAGTTGGATACCTGTTCAACAGTGCACCTTAAGTTCTAGCCAGAGCAGTTAGGCTATCCCCTACCATATATAAAAATCAATTCAAAATGGATCAATAATCTAAAGATAAGAGCATAAAATTCTTAGAAGAAAACATAGGTGTAAATCTTCATGACCTTGAATTTGACAATGATTCTTAGATATGAAACCCAAAGCAAAAGCAACAAAAGAAGAAAATAAATTGGATGACTTATGAAAATTACAAGCTTTTGTGTTAATGTCAAAGGACATTGTCAAGAAAGTGAAAAGACTGTGTACAGAATAGGGGAAAATATTCACAAATAAGTGTCTGGTATCTAGAACATAGAAAGAATTCTTAAAACTCAATGACAAAAAGACACTCCAATTAAAATATAGGCAAAGGACTTGAACAGACATTTCTCCAAAGAAGATGGGCAAATGGGCAATGGAAACAAGAAAATATGCTCAACTTCATTAGTTATTAGAGAAATGCAAATCAAAACCACAGTGAGGTTCATACCTGCTAGGATGGCTATGGCTATAATTTTAAAAGCAGACAAAATACAATCTGAAACTAATAAGTATATTTCCTGCCAAGGATGTGGAGAAATCGGAACCCTAGTACAGTGATGGTGAGAATGCATTTTTTTTTCTTTTCTTTTTTTTTTTTTAAGGCAGAGTCTCACACTGATGGAGAGCAGTGGTGTGAACTTGGCTCACTGCAACCTTTGCCTCCTGGGTTCAAGTGATTCTCATGCCTCAGCCTGCAGGGACTATGGGCATGTGCCACCAGCTCGGCTAATTTTTTGTATTTTTAGTAGAGATGGAGTTCCGCCACGCTGGCCAGGCTGGTCTCGAACTCCTGGCCTCAAGAGATCCACCCTCCTTGGCCTTCCAAAGTGCTGGGATTGCAGGTGTGAGCCACCGCACCTGGCCAATTGTGATAATGTAAAATTGTTCAGCCACTGTGGAAGAAAGCTTGGCAGTTCCTCAATAAGTTAAACATAGAATTACGATATGACCCAGGAATTCCACTCCTAGGTATATACCCAAAAGAATGGAAAAGAGGTACTCAACCAAATACATGCACACACAGATTCCTAGCAGCACTATTCACAATAGCCAAAAGGTGGAAATGGCTTAGATATTCATCAATGGATGCATAGATAAACAAACTGTAGTACATACACACCAGGAAATATTAACCAGCTATAAAAGGAATGAAATACTCATACATGATACAATATGAATGAACCTTGAAAACACTATGCAAAGAGAAAGATATTAAACACAAAAGGCCACATATTGTGTGATTCCATTTATATGAAATATCCAGAATAGGTAAATCTATAGAGATGAATGCAGATCCATGGGTGGCAAGGGATAGGTCAAAAGGCAGGAAATGTGGAGCCATTGCTTAATGGATACGGAGTTTCCTTTTGGAGTAATGAAATGTTCTGGAGCTATATAGAGGTGGAGGTTGTACTACATGGTGAACGTCCTAACTGCTACTAAATTGTTCACTTTAAAAAGGTTAATTTTGTTATGTGACTTTCACCTCAATAATCAAAATAAAAAGAAATTATAAAAAACACATTGGAATATCCACCAGAAGACTTAAAATGAAAAAAGACATACAATACCAAGTTTTGACAGGGATGTGGAGCAAGAGGAACTTTCAAAAACTGGTGATGGAGGTGTAAATTGGTTACAATTACTTGGGGAAATTGGCAATATCTACTAGAGCTAAACCATATGCATAACCTATGACCCAGCAAATCTACTCTTCAGTGTATACACAAATAAGTGCATAAATATGTTCATCAAAAACATGTTCATAGTTTATAGGAATACTACTTGTAATAGCCCACAGCTGGAAATTAACCAAATGCCCATCTACAGTAGAATAGATAAACAAATGGAATACTGTACAGTAATGAAAATGAACATTCTAAAACTACATGCAACAATATGGGTCTACCTCATGAACATAATGTTGAGTGAAAGAAAGAAACCAGATACAAAAGAGTACATGTTATATGATGAATCTATGTTGTTGGAAGTTAGGATAATGGGTGTTTTTGAGGAGGCACTGGAAGAAAACAGTGCCTTCTGGGGTGCAGATAATATGCTAGTTTTTGTTTCTTTTTTTCTTTTTTTTTTTGAGACAGGGTCTCCCTCTGTTGCCCAGGCTGAAGTGTAGTGGCACAATCATAGCTCACTGCAGCCTCCATCTTCCAGGCCCAAGTGATCCTTCTGCCTTCAGCCTTCCAAGTAGCTGGGACCACAGGCACGCATCACCATGCCTGGCTAAGTTTTTTGTTGTTGCTTTGTTTAGGAGCTGAGGTTTAATGGGCAGAAGAAAAGAGAAAGAAAAATACCTCTCTCTATTGAGAGAGAGGGGTAAGACATATGGCAGGAAAGGAGGAAATTATGATAGAAAAGTTGGAGATCCTGTTGCCGACACTCCGACGGGCAGTCGGAGGCTGGGGTCAGTCAAGAAACTTTTGGGGCCGGGCGCGGTGGCTCACGCCTGTAATCCCAGCACTTTGGGAGGCCAAGATGGGTGGATCACGAGGTCAGGAGATTGAGACCATCCTGACTAACACAGTGAAACCCCGTCTCTACTAAAAACACAAAAAATTAGCCGGGTGTGGTGGCGGGCGCCTGTAGTCCCAGCTACTCAGGAGGCTGAAGCAGGAGAATGGCCTCAACCTGGGAGGCGGAGCTTGCAGTGAGCTGAGATCGCGCCACTGCACTCCAGCCTGGGCGACAGAGCGAGACTCCGTCTCAAAAAAAAAAAAAAAAACCTCTGGATAACACTGGGGTTGGCAGGGAGGGTAGCCCCAGCCATAAATCCTCATTTGTTCCAGGACCTTTTCCAGCCCACGCCACGGCTAAGTTGTCCGTGAAAGGGAGCTGGTTCAAATACGGCCAACAAGCCCAGCAACCCGTGGGTGCTGGGGGATTCTCCATGTTTTCCCCAGTAAGCCTGTCCCCCAAGTCTTGCAAGGCTGGCAGTCAGGCTAATCATTTTTAAATGGCTGAAGGGGGCCCAGTATTTGGTTTGATTTGGTTTTAAAATGGAGGCCGAGAGCCCCAAATGAAAGGACAGAGTTGGAATCTGCTCCTCTACTCACTGTTTCGATTAATGCTGTACCTTGGTATCCCAGACAAGGTCCCCAATATGATATGGTGACCTTGTCTGGGGTATATACCCAGGGTTCATCGTCTCGCGCCAGGAAAATTTAGGACACAGACACACACAAGGAGTTTAGGAGAGGAGAATTAAAAGGCAGAAGAAAAGAGAAAGAAAAACAGCTCTCTCTATTGAGAGAGAGGGGTCTTCTGAGCAGAAAGGCCCTCTTTTATAAAATTTTTAGTAGAGACAAGGTCTCGCTATGTTGCCCAGGCTGGCCTCAGATTCCTGGCCTCAAGTGATCTTCCTGCCTCAGCCTCCCAAAGTGCTGGGATTACAGGTGTGAGCCACAGCACCTGGCCTGTTTTCTGATTTGTTGCTGTTTTCATGCATGTATTCAATTTATGAAAGTTCATAGCTATACACTTTTCTGCTTATATTATTCTTCAATAAAAAATTTAAAATATTATTATGGAGAAGTTTTGGGTGATGGGGAAACCTGTTTCTGGAAGATCTTCGAGAGTCTCAGGATAAATCCTGACTTCCCTACTTCTAAAAAGCTTAGCCACGCAGAGCAGTTTGGATTGTATAGCAGTCATCATCATGCTCTGTCTTCTTTTGGGGTTACAATAAGCCATGGAGAGACTTCCACTCAGAATTTCCATTCCTAGCTTGAAAGGAGAGCATCATTTCATTTGTTTGCATGAGAAATAGAGAATTTGTAGCTGGAGAGGACCTCAGAGGTAGCCTAGTCCAATTCCTTAATTCTACTAATTAGGAAAAAAGTACAGAGAAGTAATCCAAGCAAGTATAACATGATATCATGTAAGTAATATAAGCAATATAATTAATACAAGACATTAAGTAATATAAGTTTAAGTAAAATAAGCCATATATTCTCTTCTCTGTTCATATTAATGATCTTAAAGGATTCTAAATCTCAATCCTTCATGTCCCTCCTCCCATTTGTAATTCAAACTATGTAATTTTAGGATTTGAGATATTGAAATTATTATTAGAAATAAAAATTTAAAACTGATAAAGCATCCCTTTAGGATTATCTTTCTTACATTAAGAAGAATGTAAAGTAGATCTCAGGCATTTTTTGAGATTTAACAGATCAAGTTAGGAAATTGAATTTAATTGATCTGCTAGGACAAATTTCCTTAAGAATTACAGGTGACATTGAAGCACTAGAGTTGAATGCATTTCAGGAGTTAATAACAAATGAGAAAGTAATGAGCTAATTTTATAAAAGAGTCCAGTGCTATATATCTTTCAGGGAAGGTTAACAATCATGAAAAATGGAAAAGTGGAAACATTTTCTTCTCAGAAAATGCCACTAAGCCATTTACTGCAAATGTCTAAGTTGAATTTATATTTTTACGAAAAATAAATTTGAGGTTCTGTCAAAATATGTCAATTCTCTTCAATTCCAATTCATTTATATTAAACCAGGCATGAATTGACAAGCTCTTAACCATAAGTTTGAGACAGTCATTTTGATCTTCTCAGTTGGAATTCCTGTTCTGAACACCTATACTTGATGCACATACATCGTCCCTTGGCTATCATCCCTGTCCCCATCTGTTGGCATGGCTAGCTGCCCACTCACAAGTTTGGACTCCCGCCCTAGTGTGGAGGTGCCAGGGAGTAACAGTTTACAGTGGCAGCCTGTACAACAATGACAATGTATTCTCTACCCAACTTTGCAACATGGTGTCCACTAAACTTAGGTGCTGTGTGCTTCCCTTTATCGGATCACATTTTTCATGATATGTTCTTGATAAATGAAATGTAGAGAACAATAGTAGAGTCTGGGGAGAAGAGGATGAGGGAAGTGAGCTTCCTGGATTTACATGTTTTAAAACCTGCAGGGTGGGCCAGATGCAGTGGCTCAGCCTATTACAGCACTTTGGGAGGCTGAAGCAGGTGGATCACTTGAGGCCAGGAGCTTGAGACCAGCCTGGCCAATATGGTGAAACCCTGTCTCTACTAAAAATACACAATTTAGCTGGGCGTGGTGACACATGCCTGTAACCCCAGCTACTTGGGTGGCTGAAGCACAAGGATTGCTTGAACCAGGGAGGTGGAGGTTGCAATGAGACAAGATCGCATCACTGCTCTCTAGCCTGGGTGACAGAGGGAGACTCTGTCTCAACAAACAAACAAACAAGCAAAAAGATAATAAAAAGAAATCCCTGTAGGTTAATTTCACTGGAGTAGCTACCTTGGAAAGCCAGGAAGATCATCATAAGTACCCTATAGGAGAAAACATCACCCCCCTTTTTTTGTTTGTTTTTTTTTTTTTTTTTTTGAGACGGAGTCTCGCTCTGTCACCTAGGCTGGAATGCAGTGGTGCGATCTCGGCTCACTGCAAGCTCCGCCTTCTGGTTTCACACCATTCTCCTGCCTCAGCCTCCTGAGTAGCTGGGACTAAAGGCGCCCGCCACCACACCCGGCAAATTTTTTGTATTTTTAGTAGAGACGGGGTTTCACCATGTTAGCCAGGATGGTCTCGATCTCCTGACCTCGTGATCCACCCGTCTTGGCCTCCCAAAGTGCTGGGATTACAGGCGTGAGTCGCTGCACCTGGCCCAACATCACCCCTTTTATGAGATCAATCACAGCAGGCAATTGAGCCACTTTTAAAAGACTGTACCCATTTCTTTAAACAACCCAAAGGGCCAAAAGGCTGAAGTCCTTTTCTTCCAAAAAGTTTGTGATGTCTCTTCATATCAGGCTTAGAAACACTAAAAGATTTTCTGGATGTTTCTAGGCTTTAGAGAAACTACTAATTATCTCAGTGTGATTGAAATAGAAAAGATGAAAATCTATTATATAGACTCTTCCAAATTCTTCTAAGGCTGTTGTTCGTAGCTCAGTTACAAACATGATTTTTTTTAAACATAGGTCATTGAATATAAATATCATCCTACTTTCTATATTTTATTATACCTAGGAGTATGCAATGGAATGTTAAAGCATAAGGTTTTAAACCCCTGTGTAAGGCAATTTACAGTCAAATCTCTGATCCTTCAAATTCAGGAGGAGAGGAGATTAGAATCACACATATAGAAGGCAACACAAAATCTTATAAGGTCTCATGATTTAGTCTTTGGTTCAGAAGAAAATTTCTCAAGTCATGAAACCCAGGCATTAATCTTGCATAACTCCTGGGAGATAGATAATGTGACTTTTTGTTAGAAGGACAAATGATAAATAAGAATATCAATAGAAATCATGGGCCCATTACAATTGCTTTTGCACCTTTACAAAGTGCTGAAATATGGCTGGGCGCCATATTTCCCAGCACTTTGGGAGGATGAGGTGGGTGGATCACGAGGTCAGGAGTTGGAGACCAGCCTGGCCACTATGGTGAAACCCCATCTCTATTAAAAAAATATATAGAAAAATTAGCTGGCGTGGTGGTGGTGCGCTCCTGTAGTCCCAGCTACTCATGAGGCTGAGTCAGGAGAATCGCTTGAACCTGGGAGGTGGAGGCTGCAGTGAGCTGAGAACGTGCCACTGCACTCCAGTCTGGGCAACGATACAAGACTCAGTCTCAAAAAAAAAAAAAAAAAAAAAGTGCTGAAATAATGAGTAGGATACTTACCAAGATTCGGGGATGAATTTATTTTCTGCCAAATGATATGAATTATCTTTGTTCTGTGACAAATCTGGTAAGCCAGAGGAAAAGAATACATTTTTTTTTTTTACCTTAAACAGTTAGTAAGCACATAGTATGCATCTATTATGTGCCTAGCGCTACAAGGAATTTGAAACCTACTTGTTAAATTCCGTATTTATCAACAGAATGCTGTGGTAAAAGAATCCTTGAATTGGCCCGGGCATGGTGGCTCATGCCTGTAATTCCAACACTTTGGAAGGCTGAGGCAGGTGGATCACGAGGTCAGGAGTTGGAGACCAGCCTGACCAACATAGTGAAACCCCGTTTCTACTAAAAATATAAAAAAAAGAAAAAAAAATTAGCTGGGCGTGGTGGCGCGTGACTGTAATCCCAGTTACTCAGGAGTCTGAGGCAGGAGAATCGCTTGAACCCCGGAGGCAGAGGTTGCAGTGAGCCGAGATTGCACCACTGCACTCTAGCGTGGGTGACACAGTGAAACTCCATCTCAAAAAAAAAAAAAAAAGAGTCCTTGAATTTAGTCTCACAAGAATCTGTTTTCTGATCGTGGATACACCAATTGCTAGCTATGAAATCTCAAATAAATCGTTTACTGTCTTTGAATCTTACTTTCCTCATATTTCCTAATGAGGCCAACTCCTATTCTGGTTTCTTTTTAGTGTGGTCACTGTTGTAAATAAGTTGACTATGTAAAAGTTCTTTGAAAATCAAACTGTGCTGGCCGGGCGCGGTGGCTCATGCCTGTAATCCCAGCACTTTGGGAGGCTGAGGTGGGTGGGTCGCCTGAGGTCAGGAAACCAGCCTGGCTAACATGGTGAACATGGTGAAACCCCAGTTTCTACCAAAACAAATAGAAAAAATTAGCCGGGTGTGGTGGCAAGCGGCTAATCCCAGCTACTCGGGAAGCTGAGGCAAGGAGAATTGCTTGAACCCAGGAAGCAGAGGTTGCAGTGAGCCGAGGTCACACCACTGCACTCCAGCCTGGGCGACAGAGTGAGACTCCGTCTCAGAAAAAAGAAAGAAAGAAAATCAAACTGTGCTTCAGGAGGCATTATTTACATCCCTAGAAAAAAATCATCCTTATACATTTGTGGGGAATTACTTTCCTTGGTATTTGAAAAAGAAAAAATCTTGTTATCTTTTTATTTTAATTTTTATTTTAGATTCAGGGGTACATGTGTAGGCTTGTTATATAGGTAAATTGCATGTCACAGGGGTTTGGTGTATGGATTATTTCATCACCCAGGTAATAAAAGCATAGTTAGTACCTGATGGATAGTTTTTGGATCCTCACTGTCCTCCCTCCGTCCATCCTCAAGTAGACCCCAGTGTCTGTTGTTCCCTTCTCTGTGTCCCTATGTACTCAGTGTTTAGCTCGCACTTATAAGTGAAATCATGCAGCATTTGGTTTTCTGTTCCTTTAACTTTTAAGTTAAATGTTGGGTACAAATGTAGAAGGTTTTTTTTTTTTTTCTCTTGTTTTTTCTTGAGACAGAGTCTCACTCTGTCACCCAGGCTGGAATGCAGTGGTGCGATCTTGGCTCACTGCAACCTCCACCTCCTGGGTTCAAGCAATTCTCCTGCCTCAGCTTTTCAAGTAGCTGGCATTACAGGCGCCCACCGCCATGCCCAGCTAATTTTTGTATTTTTAGTAGAGTCGGGGTTTCACCATGTTGGCCAGGCTGGTCTCGAACTCCTGACCTCAAGTGGTCCACGCCTCAGCCTCCCAAAGTGCTGGAATTACAGGCGTGAGCCACTGCGCCCGGCCTGTAGAAGGCTTTGAATGCAAGATTGGAAGTTTGGATTTTGTCACAGTGGCAGTAGTAGTTATTTACAGATTTTCAGCTGGGGAGTGACATGCTACTTGGTTATTTCATTCAATTTATATAGTCTTTTCACTTTTAAAATACGTAAATGGTTTAAGCTTAACCAGGAAATTGCCATTTCATGATGAGTTTCATAGGACTATCGTCGTTGTCATCATCATCATCTGTTATTTTGTGCCAAGCACCATTCTGTAGTTTAAGAATATTTACTCATTTAATCCTCACACAACCCCACATATAATTACTATTGTAATTATTATTATAATTATTATTCCTATTTTATGAAGACTCTAGGCACAGAGAAGTTAAGTGCTTTTCCTTAGCTTACACAGCCAATAACCAGAGAAGCTGGGATTTGAACACAAGCTTCAGTCTGTGCTCTTCAACAAATATTCAACTAGATTCAATAAGTATTTATTGAATATCTACAATATGACACAACTCTGCTAGATGATGGAGCCAAAAAGAAGGAAAATGGCCAGGCATGGTGGCTCACACCTATAATCCTAGCCCTTTTGGAGGCTGAGGAGGCAGGATCGCTTGAGCCCAGGTGTTTGAGGCTGCAACGAGCTGTGATTGTACCACTGCACTCCAGGAACCTGGGTGACAGAGCGAGATCCTGTCTCGAAAAAAAAAAAAAAAAAAAAAAAGGAAAAGGTATAGTGACTGCTCTTAGGGAGTCTATCCTTCATGAAAACATCCTTGTTAATTATATTTTTCCCCTAGTTAGTCATAAATAATCACTGTTTACTTATTTATTAATTTAACATTAATCTATTGAGTACTTACTTTATGCCAAGCTTTGTTCTAGGTGTTTAAAGCCAACAAAATTATCTGCCTTCATGGAACTTACCTGCTAGTGAGGGGAGACAGACAATAAACAAATAAATAAGTAAAATATATATTGGAAGATGAGAAGTGCGATAGATAAAAGTAAAGAAGGGATGGAAGATAGTGCTGGGGTGAAAGTGGGAGTTGCAATTTTAAATAAGCTAGTCAGGTAAAGACTCATTGAGAAGGTGACTTTTAGTCCAAGACCTGAAGATATCTAGGAAGACACCTGGAGAAGAGTATTCCTGGTAGAGAAGCGACAATGGCAAAGATCTCCAGGAATGAGTACACCTGGAGTGTTGGAAGAATAGCAAGGAAGCCCCTGTGGCCAGAGCAGAGGCACAGCACAGCGGGGGACAAGGCAGAGCACAGCGGGGGACCAGGCAGAGCACAGCGGGGGACCAGTCGAGGACTTTTGAGACAGCCACGAAGACTTTGACTCTATCCCAGATGGGAATACACTGGAAGGGTTTGAGCAGAGGAGATTTTCAAAGGATCCTCTTGGATGCTCTATTCAAAGTAGACATTAGGTATAAGGGTTGGAGGAGAGGCTGAAGTAGGAAAGCCAGTTAGGAGACTATTGCAAGAATCTAGGGGAGCGATTATGGCAGTGTACGTCATGATGGAGGTGGTAAGAAGGGATTGGTGTCTGCATAGGTTATAAAGGTAGAACCAATAAGACCTCCTCACAGGTTACATGTGGGGGTGCAGGAGAAGAGAGAAGAGCCAAGGATGACACCAAGGCTTTGGACCTGAGCAATTTGGAAGGAGGGAGTTACCATTTATTGAGATGGGGAAGAGAGTGGGATTTACAGTTTTTATCTGGGGGAAAAATCAGAAGTTCCATTTGGGACACAGTAAATTTGAGATGCCCGCTAGATATTCATGCCATGCTGTATAGGCAGGGATATATTTGAGACTGCAGTTCAGGGAGGAGGTGTGAGCTATAGGTATAACATTGGGAGCTGTCAATACAGAGGAAGTTTGTCAAGCCTAGAGATTACTTGAGAACGACCTAGGAAAGAGACCAATTCAAAGACTGAGCCTTGGGGTGCATCAACATGTAGACTTAAAGGAAAAAAGCATCAGGAAGAAAATTAGTGGAAAATCACTGCCATGTTTGGAAGGAGCACAGGAGGATCTTGTCGCATTTTTAAACTAGATTCATCAGTTTCCCAAGACCATATTCTCTTTGTTTACTGAAAACTTGGCAGCCGTGTGTAAAGTGGCATTGTTTCTTTTCACAAACAAATTAGAGCCCATTTAGTACTGTGTTTGAGTGCTATTAAATATTTAGGTAATCAGTTGTAGGACTAATTGACCTTTGGGGATGTCTTTGTAGCCCCTTCTAGAATGTCAAGTGTTTTGTTTTTAAATAATAAAAAATTGTTCCTTGAGAGTATGCAAATCAAATTCTCAGTCCAGTTAATTACATATTAGTGTTTCGTTAAGTAAATCTGCTTAAGGCGAAATTGCTCTACAGTCAGTTTTAGCGAGTAACCAACTGATATTCGGGGTCATAGAAGGTCTTTAATGCAGGAATAATGTGAATCAAGGGAAATGTCTGTGAATTATATGGTAAGAGTTGTCTTTTCTCTTTGCATGGAGGTTTTCCAGCTAATTGAGTTCATTACTTGTCCCATTAAAGGAGATTAAGTATGTCAACACTGTAGCTGGATAATAGAAGGTCTGTAGCAAAAGTACAGCTCATGCTAAAGTTCAAATCTTTATTTCTAGGGAACAAGATATAGAGATAACAAAGGGAATGAGGAAAAGGAGGTTTCAGCATTCCAGACCGAATATGAAAAGAGGCTCGGCAGGCGACAGGGCATAGCCAAGAATGAAAAAGGTGGGGGAAATCTCACAAGATATTCTCCACTTCTTCAGGTCTGTCCCTCTGTTAGATACATTTCTGTTCTCCTCTCTTCCCCATCTTAGTAACCTCATAACACATTCACCATGAGGCGGGAAAATAGGGTCTGGATGCAGGAAAGCTAAGGCCAGATTCACACTTCAGCTATAACAGGAAATATCCTCTCCATAGGGCATACAATCAGGAAATGTCTTTGTAACTTCACTTCATCCTCTTCATTTACATAGGGTGTACCCTAAGTAGAGGGAATTTAAATTCACAAAAACTGTAACAGGGCCTTTGTGCCCCTATGCTCACTCCCGCTGCCCGCTCGAACACTGTGGAGTGTACGTTCTTTTTTGTTTGTTTGTTTGAGATGGAGTCTCGCTCTGTCGCCCAGGCTGGAGCGCAGTGGCACTATGTCGGCTCACTGCAAGCTCCGCCTCCCGGGTTCACGCCATTCTCCTGCCTCAGCCTCCCGAGTAGGTGGGACTACAGGCGCCCGCCACCACGCCCGGCTAATTTTTTTGTATGTTTAGTAGAGACGGGGTTTCACCATGTTAGCCAGGATGGTCTCGATCTCCTGACCCCGTCATCCGCCCACCTCGGCCTCCCAAAGTGCTGGGATTACTGGCGTGAGCCACGTCGCCCGGCCGGAGTGTACTTTCATTTTCAGTAATCCCTTCATTCCTTCCTTGTTTTGTTTGTGCGTTTTGACGAATTCTTTGTTCAAGATGCCAAGAACCTGGACACCCTCCACCGTTAACAACCATGCTATCCCACCTGAGTAACTCTGTTATTTTACTAGCCAGAATATTCCTGCTAAGGAGCTATACCAAGGACACACATGTATTGTGCATCGTAGCCAGACGTTGCCTTCCTGCTGCAGTCTGTATACATATGAGCCAGGTGTGGCAGACACTGCTATTGGCTCCCAAATCCATTCTCTCCCTTTCTCTACAGTAACTCTGGAATTTTAGCAGACACAGACCACACAGAATAAACATTACTTTTTCCAGGCTCTTTTGCCATTCCATTCTGACAACATACCCATTTTGAGATTTACAAAAAGTTTTGCCTCTTCCATGAAACCTGATCCGAATCCTGTATCTGAAAGGTGATTTTATTCTTCTGTGAATGATCACAGGATTTTACCTGCACCTCTGTTATGACATTTATAAAAATGTCTGATACACATTCCTTAACACTTTTTTTTGAGACACAGTCTTGCCCTGTCGCCGAGGCTGAAGTGCAGTGGTGTACGTATAGCTCACTGCAGCCTTGAACTCCTGGCTCACGTAACCCTCCTGTCTCAGCTGCCTGAGTAGCTGGGACTACAGGCGTGGAATCCCATACCCAGCTAATTTTTAATTTTTTAAAATTTTATTTTGTAAAGTTAGGATCTCTCTGTGCTCCTCAGTTTGATCTTAGACTCCTGGCCTCCTTCACTTTGGCCTCCCAAAGTTCTGGGATTACAGGCGTGAGCCACTGCACCAAGCCACATTCCTTAACACTTCTATCTTGTAAGCTCCTTGGACACATGAACTGGATTTGGTTTATGTTCCATAGCCTCATATCAAGTACTTTGCAAGTAGAAGGCACTCAATCAACATTTTTTGCGTATGGCATTGTGGAAATAGGTCCTTTGTTACACTCTTCCCACTTGTTTTGGACTTCGCTCTCCTTCTAATGTTTTATTTTCAAATCTTTATTATTATTGTTTTTTGAGATGGAGTCTGGCTCTGTTGCACAGTCACGCAATCTCTGCTCACTGCAACCTCCGCTTCCCGGGTTCAAGTGATTCTCCTGCCTCAGCCTCCCAAGTAGCTGGGATTACAGGCACCTGCCACCATGCCTGGCTAATTTTTGTAGTTTTAGTAGAGATGGGGTTTCACCATGTTGGCCAGGCTGGTCTCGAACTCCTGACCTCATATGATCTGCCCACCTCAGCCTCCCAAAGTGCTAGGATTACAGGCGTGAGCCACCGCACCCAGCCATCTTTATTCTTTTGGAAGGAATAAAGACAATGTAATTGAACTTGAGAAAACAGAAATTAAGTGATTCTACTTTTATTTTTCTGTCTTCTTTAACATCTTTGCCAAATAAGAGGCTCCTAATTATTTCATTAGTTACACTTCTATTTAAGACAATGGTGGAAAGCTTCCTTAAAATATACTCTCACTGTTACTCTTTTGCTTGAGAACCTGTGGTGGGCCTCTACTCCTTTCTGTGTCAAATCTGAATTCCTCTGTGTCGTTTTTCAGTGAATTCCTCCTGTGGCTATCGAAATGTAACTTCTCCCACTCCCAAGAAGAACCTTCAATCCTATCCCGTTAGACTCCTCACTGCATGGGAGTGAGCCCTGTTAACTCCCACTCCTGTTATTTTGTTTTTTCTCTTCCTCCAGCTGATACCACCTTTTTGCTCTAAGTTTCTTGTGGAAATCCTATTCATCTCTTAAGTGCCTACTTGAAATTCACCCTCTCCTTGTAATTTTATGGTAGAACATTGGCACTTATTAATTGCTTTCTTTCTGAAACTGCATTTATAATTTACAATGCTTTTCGTAACTTAATTTCATTTAAAATGATCTCTGCTGTTTAATTGTTTGTACCTAACTAAATTATAAGCTGTTTGAATTCAGGAATATATATTTATATACTGATATTTAATTATGGTTAGTTATAGTTACATAATCACCAAATAGCAGCCTAGTCAAGGGCTGGGTACATAATAGATATTCAGTAGGTACTTATTGATGGATGGATTGGTTGGGTGCAGAAGTATATTCTTTAACTCTGAGTGAAATATAAACTAATTTGTTTTTAAAATTTTGTTTAGGTAACATATACATCTAATTTTATTTTTCATATCATTTTGAAATGAACTGAATGCCTATTGTCTACCTATATCACTCAATTTTATTTTTATTTTTATTTTTATTTATTTATTTATTTTAAGACAGAGTCTCACTCTGTCACCCAGGCTGGAGTCCAGAGGCACGATCTTGGCTCACTGCACCCTCCACCTCCTGGGTTCAAATGATTCTCGTGCCTCAGCCTCCTGAGTAGCTGGGTTTACAGGCGCCTGCCACCACCCCGGCTAATTTTTGTGTGTTCAGTAGAAATAGGGTTTCACCATGTTGGCCAGGCTGGTCTCTAACTCTGGACCTCAGGTTATCTCCCCGCCTCGGCCTCCCGAAGTGCTGGGGTTATAGGCGTGAGCCACTGCACCTGGCCAATTTTAAAGTGATTTCTGGGGATATGATCCCTCTGCAATGAAAATAAAAACAAAACCATACTTTGATAACTCTTTCTTGAAAATTCACTTAACATACAAAATCAGCTTAAAATTAGAAATTGAAGACAATTTGATAAACTTAATTTTACACTATTTAGAAAAGCCTGGTAATCCGCTTTTGTCAGAAATGAAGCCTTTTTTGAATTATAGATTTTGTCAACATATTTTATTGAATAATAATGTCAAGTTTTTTAGAAAATAAAACCAGATAAATTATGAAGAAGGCTATGCAAGACTCAATTACAATGTAAAGAAATGCATCTTCACTAAGACAGTTTCTCTCAGTGCTAAGTTGATAAATATTGATGGGTAGCAATCCTTTGGAGACTACTGTATGCTGCAAGCATAGGTGCTCCTGAATAAAATACTTACAGAGTCCAAGAAGTTTATCTGAAGTGTAAAAACACTATTTATTTATTTATTTATTTTTGAGCAGGGTCTCGCTCCCGTCACTCAGGTCGGAGTGCAATGGCATGATCACAGCTCACTGCAACCTTGACCTCCAGGGGCTCAAGTGATCCTCCCATTTCAGCTTCCCCACTAGCTGGGACTACAGGCACGTGCCACCATGTCCAGCTATTTTTTTTTTTTTTGGTATTTTTTTAGAGATGAGATTTGGCCATGTTGCCCATGCTGGTCTTGAACTCCTGGGCTCAAGCCATCCACCTGCCTCAGCCTCCCAAAGTGCTGGGATTACAGGCATGAGCCACCATGCCCAGCCTAAAAACATTTTTATGTGGAATCTAATTTATATGTAAGAAATAGTTATAAGCCCTTTTAATAGATAATTGAAAGGTGAAAATAGGCCAGATGAAACAGCCTGGACAGAAACCTCGTCTCTACTAAAAATATAAAAATTAGCTGGGTGTGTTGATGGGTGCCTGTAATCCCAGCTACGTGGGAGGCCGAGGCAGGAGAATTGCTTGAACCTGGGAGGCAGAGGCTGTAGTGAGCCGAGATTACGACACTGCACTCCAGCCTGGGCGATAGAGTGAGAATCCATCTCAAAAAAAAAAAAAAAAAAGAAAGGTGAAAGTGAAAATACATTTATGGTAACAATTATAGCAAACTCAAAACTCACAAGATGTAAATTAATGAGGCTTCACATGACTGGATATTAACAGCAATAAAAGTGTTCAACATGTAATTCTTTTTGTTTTTCCAAATAGTATTGTAAAACTTTCATAGCTTTTATACAAGATGACTATCTAATTAGGTGACATAAGGAAGAGAATATTTTCCTTTCCTGTGAAAGTCAAAACTAAGTCTAAATTTCTATTATCATCATAAAAATATTATTATAAAAATGGCAAATTTTTATCAGCCTGGAAAAGCCTTAGTTCAGGTTTGATTTCTGGAGCTCACAGATGAAGCTGGAAAAGCTTACCGTGTTCTAGGTGCAGCATTAGGTTCTGGAGTTGCAACATGTTTATAACATTTACAATACTGTTAAGAATTTCACAATTGGAAAAAATTATGCTAACAAATTTTCTGCAATAGGAAAAAGAAAAGAATTATTTTTTTGACTTTAGGATTCATGGGTTAAACTTACATGTCAGTTGATAATAATGACTAACTGATTAATTAGAAAAAATTCAGAAGCGTGTATAATTTTCACCTTATAATAAATCAAGAGCTGGCTGGGCGCAGTGGCTCACGCCTGTATTCCCAGCACTTTGGAAGGCCAAGGCGGGCAGATCATGAGGTCAGGAGATCGAGACCATCCTGGCCAAAAAGGTGAAACCCCGTCTCTACTAAAAATACAAAAATTAGCTAGGCGTGGCGGCACATGCCTGTAATCCCAGCTACTTGGGAGGCAGAGGCGGGAGAATCGCTTCAACCAAGGAGTTGGAGGTTGCAGTGAGCTGAGATCGTGCCACTCACTCCAGCCTGGCATGAGTGGCACTATTAAAAAAAAATGTCAAGGGCAAACGTCTTATAGTCCCTTATACGGACTCATACATCCACACTTATGAATGAGATTCATGCTATTCCAGATCAGAATTTTAAGGTTTTTGGTCATGGTCATTAATAAACTTGCAGAACAAAAGATTACTTATTCTGATAATGTCATTGTAAGTTATAGAGACTGAGTTTCCAAGCATGAAAATATGTGACATTCCAAAATGATTTAAAATTTGGAAACATCACCATTTCATTTTAACCACTAGGTTTAAAGTGTATATTTCTCTTATCTTTAAAACAGCTAATTTAAAATACCTTTAAAAGGATTAATAGTATTATCTAAGACCGTAACACTCCTGTTCTCAAATTTATCTTAAATATATGTTTCTGAGATTGTTCTGAAGGAGTCTCTGCCTTGATACTTGTCATACTGATTTCAGAAATTAGACATAAAATAGAAGTATGAGAGACACCCAATTGTATCCAGGAATTGACACCCTACAGTTATTTTAAAGTGCTCTTTGCTTATTTCTTATATAGTGCAAGCTATATTGGGACCCAATATAGCTTAGACCTACATTTGAACTGTGTGAGGAGATAATGGGTCTGGGTGCAATGGGGCTGGGTGCAATGGCTCATATCTGTAATCCCAGCGATTTGGGAGGCCAAGGCGGAAGAATAGTTCAAGGCCAGGAGTTCTAGACCAGCCTGGGCAAATAGTGAGACCCTGTCTTTACAGAAACAAACAAACAAACAAACAAACAAACAAAAAAAAAGGAGGGTGGGCGGGATAGAATGTAATATTTGTGAAGAAATTTACTAGTGTTGTGATGTAACTGTGAATTGAAAATATTTTAAATTTTACTTATCTTTCCAGTCTTGTCTTCTAGTTAAAGGGTTCTTTCATTAGCTAAGATTTATCTTTGAAGTCTATCGAATTTTTATTTTATTTTATTTTTAGCAAGACTCTGTTGCCCAGGCTAGAGTGCAGTGGTGCAATCTTGGCTTGATACAACCTCTGCCTCCAGGTTCAAACGATTCTCCTGCCTCAGCCTCCCAAGTAGCTGGGATTACAGGCATGTGCCACCACGCCTGGCTAATTTTTGTATTTTTAGTAGAGATGGGGTTTCACCTTGTGGCCAGGCTGGTCTCCAACTCTTGACCTCAGCTTGGCCTCCCAAAGTGCTGGGATTACAGGTGTGAGCCACTGTGCCTGGCTCTAATCTTTTAATCATTTCATTAAAGAGAAAAAGCCAACACTAACAAATGGAAACCTAGAACTTAGGGATGAAACTAAGACATTCCTCTCTTTTTAGCATATTAAAGCATGTGGGGGGCCAGGTGCAGTGGCTCATGCCTGTAATCCCATCACTTTGGGAGGCTGAGGCAAGAGGATCGCTTGAGCCCACGAGTTGGGAGCTGCCGTGAGTGAGCTATGACTGAGCCACCGCACTCCAGCTTGGGCGACAGAGGGAGACCCTGTTTCAATAAAAAGAGCATGTGTGGTAGGCAACCTCTAGGATGGCTCCCTGTAACCCTCATCTTCTGGTAGTCATGCCTTTGCAAAATCCCCTGAGTCGGGGCAGGACTTTGTGACTCAGTTCCAATGACTAAAACAGAGTAGAAGCCATGAAGCATCCCTTCAGAGACTGGTTTACAAGACTGCTGCTTCCTTCCCTTTGGCTGCCCAGTCTCTGGCTGCCCCGTCTCTGGCTGCCTCAAGGATCACTCAGAGGAAAACCAGCCTCCATGTTGTGAGCTGCCCTATGGAGAGGCCTGTGCTGTAAGGAACTCAGGGAAGTCTTCCTCTTTGATTAGTTTGGGGCCCAATCCAGCATCCCATAAGTAATGGAGGCCTCCCACCACCTGCACGAGGGAGTCATTGAGCACCAGTAGACCCTTGAAATAGACTTGGCCATCAGCTTGACTGTAACCTCATGGAAGATTCTGGGCCAGAACTGCCCTCCTGGTTATGCAGCCCCCAGAGTCCCCAGTCTCAAAAGCTGGGAGATAAAGAATGTCGTTTTAAGCTGCTGCAGTTTGGAGGTAACTTGTTTTGCAGCAGTAGATAAACAATATAGAACATAATTTCTAATACTTTCATAACTAAAACCCATTGAATGGAAGCCCAGAAAACCCAGTTTTAGACCATGTTCTAATCAATAACTGGTAATGTTATATAATGTATAGAGTAGGAGTTCACCAAAACTCAGACGTAGCTCTTTTTTTTTTTTTTTTTTAAGACAGGGTCTTACTCTGTCACCCAGGCTGCTGGAGTGCAGTGGCACCATCAGGGCTCACTGCAGCCTCAAACTCCTGGGCTCAAGTGATCCTTCTGCCTCAGCCTCTCAGGTAGTTGGGACTACAGAAGTGTGCACGCCACCATGCCTGGCTAACATTTTTATTTTTATTTTTGGTAGAGGTGGGGTTTCGCTATGTTGCCCAGGCTGGTTTCAAACTCCTGGTCTCAAACAATCCTCCCACCTTGGTCGCTCAAAGTGTTGGGATTACAGGCATGAGCCACTGCACCAGCCAGCATCTTATGTTTCTTAATGTGAGATTTCATTTTCCAGAAGTCAGTAAAGATCTAAGCTCTGATGTCAGACTGCCTGGGCTTCAATCTTGAGTCTGCTAGTTACTGAGTGTGCACAGGTGCATGAATCTTTTCTCCAAAACTTATTTTTTCATCTTTAAATGAAGGTAATCGTAGTACTGTTGTAAGAACTGAATGAAGTAATTCAGTAATTTAAAGTGCCTGGTATCTAGTACACATTTAACAATGACAAATTATTATCATCATCATTATTATCAACATCAGGTCAGAGAAGGGACTGACAGCTTTTATTCTTGATATTTTTCTTCTCAGCTTGCAAAAGAGCCCTTCACTCTTTAGAAAATAAAAATACAACCAGTTTGCTTTTTTTTTTTTTTTTTGAGATGGAGTCTTGCTCTGTCGCCCAGGCTGGAATGAAGTGGTGTGAATTCGGCTCACTGCAACCTCCACCTCCTGGGTTCAAGTGATTCTCCTGCCTCAGCCTCCCGAGTAGCTGGAATTACAGAAGTGTGCCCCCATGCTCCACTAATTTTTGTATTTTTAATAGAGATGGGGTTTCACCATGTTGGCCAAGCTGGTCTTGAACTCCTGACCTCAAGAGATCTGCCTGCCTTGGCCTCCCAAAGTGCTGGGATTACAGCTGTGAGCCACTGCACCCGGCTAGTCTCCTATTCTACAGGGAACTATGACTAAGAGTTGTTTCAAATTTTAACTTAATAGTGAGCTCTATTTAGAAAGCATTTTTATTCTTTAAAAGAATATTTTGATTTACACATTTCTCATTTAAGCTATGATGAAGTTTTCATAAATTTGACGTGGGACAAAAATGCAAGTAGTAGGATTACCAACTTGCATGATACTTTTTAGGTACTTTTTAGGAAACCTGAATATTGATAAGACATAAATTGTGTCCATAAATTAATACTTTCTTCCCCAAATACAGCAAAACTATTTATGCAAGTATATTGTTTCCTTCAGAATAATAGCTTTCATTCATTCAACAAATATGTATCTAGCTCCTCCTGTGTTCCAGGGACTCTTTTGGGTGCTAGAGATGTAGTGATAAACATAACACAATCCTTGCTTTTAAGGAACTTACAGTTGGAGCCAGAAGAGTACACAGACAACTTCAGGACAGCTTAAGGAGTACAACCGAGTATGGGATACAATGAGGTACCCAAAAAATAGGGGTGAAAGAAGGTTCCCTGGTGGAGGTGAAGATCATGGGCCTCAGTCGTTAGGCAAGAAAAGTGGACAGAGGAGGTAGGTTACAGTTCTGGGGTTACTGTGTAGATATCTGGAGGCAAAAGAGTGTGAGGCGTATTTATGGAGCCACATGTAATTCAGTATGGTCCCATCTTGTAGGGCAGTGAGGAGTGACCAGAGATGCAGCTAGGGAGAAGAACAGGGTTCAGATAATAAAAAATCGTGTATGCCACACCAAGGGTTTTGGATTTTATTTTATTAGTATTATTTTCGAGATGAAGTCTTGCTGTGCCATCCAGGCTGGAGTGCAGTGGCGTGATCTCAGCTCACTGCAACCTCCACCTCCTGGCTTCAGACGATTCTCCTGTCTCAGCGTCCCGAGTAGCTGGGATTACAGGCATGCCCGGCTAATTTTTGTCGTTTTAGTAGAGATGCGGTTTCACCATGTTGGCGAGGCTGGTCTCAAACTGGCTGGTCTCGAACTCCTGACCTCATGATCCGCCTGCCTCAGCCTCCCAAACTGCTGGGATTACAGGCGTGAGCCACCATGCCCGGCCGGGTTTTGGAATTTATTGTGAATGCGTTGGAGAAGCAAGGACTGATTTTAAGGAGGGAAGTCTCCAACAGGTTACTCCCTTATTCAATAATTCTCCTTTACTCAAAATTGAGATTTTCTCATTTTAAGAGAATGCCTCTTAAATGGCCTTCAGCTCACTCTTTTGAATGGACTCAATGCTAATAAATGCGTTTGAGAATGAACTTGAACTGGGAGTGGAATGGGAAGCAGAAACCTTTTAGAGGAACTGTGTTTAGTAAACAAACTTGATGAAGCAGGTTAATTACTATTTGGGGTAAAAATTTTGCTCTGATTAGAAAGCCATGAGGCTGAATCATTGCGTCTTATTGCATTTCATAAAACAGACATTTCTGTGCTTTTGAATTTGTTAATTGGATGGCCAATCACATTTTTAACTGGCTTGACAACAGCAGAATCCTTCAAATGCTGTAAAGGAATCTCATCTAGTTTTAAAAATATGGCAGCCTGGGAAGCTTCTGGTTGGGGCCAGGACGCTGCAGTCAGAGCAGGGCTGTGTGCAACCACTGCCTGCTGCCCACACATCGCTCCACAGTCTAGTTTGTGGTCCCACTCTAAATCATCTCAGAAATCACTGCTGTCATTTGGGTGTGGGTTTCTCACCTGGCAGTGCTGTCTACCAGTGTTTGGAACATTTCTATATGCATTTATCTTCTTTAAAGTGTTGGTGCAAACATGTCCAGTTAAATTCTGTGATGTGTGGAGTCTTTCTCACTATAGTAATATGGTTTAAGGCCAATACTGACCATCTTTTACACTCATCCTGTTCATAGTTTATGGCAAGCATATGGAGGAAAGTCTGTATTTTTTTGTTTTTGTTTTTTGTTCTTTTTGAGAAAGAAAGTAGAGATTCATGTTTGAGACCAACTTAAAATATTCTACTAACATTATTTTATAGCCATAAAGTGTCTATTCCCCAATTTTTATTTATGATATGTAGCATTAGTGATAGTTTTTCTAATTTGGGAGCTCAGATGTCTTTACTTTTTGTGGTTTTATAATTTTATTTCATGTATTTGACGATCACTGCTTAGTTCTCATCCATATTGACTATAATTTTTTTTTTCTTGAGACAGGATATGGCTCTGTCGCCCAGGCTGGAGTGCAGTGATGCCATCTCGGCTCACTGCAGGCTTGACCTCCCAATCTCAAACAATTCTCTCACTTTAGCCTCCAGAGTAGCTGGGACCACAGGCGTGTGCCACCATGCCCAGCTAATTGTGTGTGTGTGTGTGTGTGTGTGTTTGGTTATTTTTTTTGAGACGGAGTCTTGCTCTGTCACCCAGGCTGGAGTGCAGTGGTGTGATCTTGGCTTGCTGCAACCCCCATCTCCTGGGTTAAAGCGATTCTTCTGCCTCAGCCTCCCGAGTAGCTGGGATTACAGATGTATGCCACCACACCCAACTAATTTTTGTACTTTTAGTAGAGATGGGGTTTCACCATGTTGGCCAGGCCGGTCTAGAACTCCTGACCTCAGGTGATGCACCCGCCTTGGCCTCCCACAGTGCTGGGATTACAGGCGTGAGCCACCACACCTGGGTTTTTTTTTTTTTTTTGAGATGGAGTCTCACTCTGTTGCCCAGGCTGGAGTGCAGTGGCACAATCTCGGTTCACTGCAACCTCCACCTCCCAGGTTCAAGCAACTCTATTGCCTCAGCCTCCCAAGTAGCTGGGATTAAAGGCGTGGGCCACCATGCCCAGCTAATTTTTCTGTATTTTTAGTAGAGATGGGGTTTCACCATGCCCGGCATTTTTTGTGTTTTTTTTGTAGAGGCAAGGTTTCACCATGTTGCCCAGGCTGGTCTCAAACTCTTGAGCTCAAGTGATCCGCCTGCCTCAACCTCCCAAAGTGCTAGGATTATAGGCATGACCACCGTATCCTGCCTGTCTGTAGATTTTTGAAAGTGGTAACAGGTGCATAGGTAACCAAAGTATAGAACTTATTTGGTGAATCTTCATCCTCATCACGTTTTCTGGATAACCACACATGGGTGGGTATGGGACACCCTTATTCCTTCAGCCTAGACAGCTTTGTCAAGCCTGGTATCAACACGCACATCTGGAGTTCCCACCTCCTTCACAGCAAATTTCCAGATCTCTTTGAATGCCCAAGGGACACACTTCTTGAAGCCTACTCCATGGATGCATTTCTGAATGTTGATGGTGTATTCTTGGGCCACCACCTTGCTGATGGCAGAACAGCCTTTCTTCTTTCCACCCTTCTTTGCAGCAGCCATTGTGCCAGGCCCAAGTTGGAAAGGAGCCAGATGTCTTTACTTAATAGTTTTTCTCCTTTAGCAGACATAGTCTTATAATCCTATCTATTTCCAGAAAGGGTTTCTGCCATGTGGAAAAAAACATATGCAACAAAGTGAAATAAAAATAAGTAAGGGAACCAAGAAAAAGGGAAATAAGAGTAGAAAAGACAGAATCAGAAGAGAGGTTATCACACAAAATATATACAAAGAAGACTATACTTTCAGGAAAAATCCATGCATTTGCCTTAAAACTTCTTAAGAGTCAAGAGGGAAAAAAACACCATTAGTTGTAATTCTCAGTGCCTAGGTGATTTAGAGAAATCACACATACCACCACCATTACCAGCAGCAGTAGCTGTGCCCTTGGAGAAAGAAGCCTGGTAATTTGTGATTCTGAGACCAAAGAAATTTATCTTGCTTCAGGCACCACTCATCAACCATATATGCTATGAAGTGCTCTATTGTGGGTTACTTAATTTCGCAACAGTTTTTATTGAAATAGCAGGAGACAAAAGCCAAAATGTGACAAACTTAATGGAGTTAATAATGACTCAAATCATCTTACAAAGAAGACGTAAAGAAGCACCTATTTAATCACTCCACACCACCCTACCTCTGCTAATTGACATCAACAAAATAGACAGGTGTACCCTACCTTTCTCCCCACTCTGCTCCATTCCCTAGCTGCAGGGGAGCCTGGGAAAGGTAGTTTTTAGCTTCTCAGTACAGGAAGGCACAGTAGAAGAAGGCTGGGGGAGATATTGTGCAATGAGTCTACTATATCCCACCTGTATTAGTCTGTTGTTATGCTGCTGATAAACTCATAACCAAGACTAGGTAATTTATAAAGGGAAGAGGTTTAATGGACTCACAGTTCGGCATGGCTGGGGAGACCTCACAGTCATGGCAGAAGGCAAGGAGGAGCAAGTCACATCTTATATGGATGGCAACAGGCAAAGAGAGAGAACTTTTGCAGGGGAACTCCTCTTTATAAGTAAACCATCCGATCTCAGAAGACTTATTCACTATCTTGAGAACAGCATGAGAAAGACCTGACCCTATGATTCAATTACCTTCCACTGGGTACCTCCCATGACATGTGGGAATTGTGGGAGCTAAAATTCAAGATGAGATTTGGGTGGGGACACAGCCAAACCATATCACCACCCCAGTAATTTTAGTCCTTTGGATATTGGTTGGTCTAAGAATTAGTTTGGACCCAGTTCTGGCTGATGAGATGTGAGTTGGTATCTTCTGGCAAGGGCTTCCCTTCCTGAATAGACAGAAAATAACTTCTGAAGGAAATCATTCTCTGTCCTTACCCTTCTTCCTATCTGGAGCCCAAATGCAATGCCTGGCTATGTAGCAGCCACATGGAGACTGTGAGGTGACAAGTATGAGAACAAAAGTCAACACATTAAGGATAATAGGAAAGATAGAGCTGGGTCCCCGATAGCATTGTTGAGCCATTGCTCCAGACCTGGATTGACTTCCCCTGGACTATTTTTATTTGAGACGAATAAACATTTATTTGTTAAAACAGCCAGAGTTGAACTTTCTGTTTGCTGCTGGATGCATTCCTAATCTAGAGCCTATTGCAGCAGCCAGGCTAGGACAGAGGTATTAGCTGTGAAGATGCAGAGACACGGTCAGACTCAGGATATGTTTTGGAACTAGAACCATCAGGACTTGACGATGGGTTGGCTGAAAATGGGAGAGAAGGGGATGGAAGAAATCAAGGATGCCATCTATGTTTTTTGCTAGATATGACTGATGGAAATGTGTAATCTTGTTTTAATTCAGAAGGTAGGAAAATTCCTACTCTCACTGCTGCAGAAATACCTAAGGAAGATAAAAACACTTTTGTTGCTCCCTTAAAACCTGTTTTCCATTGAGCCAAAGGAAAAGTTGGGTTAAATTCATGTTAAATAATGCAGAAGACAGTTGGAAATTCCTAACATCTATTCTGGACACTGCAGCTGGAACATATAGCAGCCTCTCCATGCCTTGTCATCTCCCAAGCCTCTTTTCCATCAAAGTCCAGGTGTACAAAACTAAACTATTATGTTCTGGTTTTTACTGCTTGCAGGAATAGACTATTAGAATACTAATACTTCTAAAGAATATATTAACTTCTTGAGTCAGTAAATAATGCTCCACAGCTGGATCAAATAAGCATTTCAAATCAGAGCTATTTTTTAAAAAAGAATATCTTATTTTTTCAATGAAAAATTTTTTTTAGAGATGAGGTCTCGCTTGTAGCCCAGGCTGGAGTGCAGTGGTGCAATCACAGCTCATGGCAGCCTCGACTTCCTGGGCTGCAGCAATCCTCCTGCCTCAGCCTCCCGAATAGTTGGGACTACAGCTGTGGCTCACCACGCTTGGTATTTTACTTTATTTTTGTAGAGATGGTGGTCGGGGTGGGGGTCTCACTGTGTTTCCCAGGATGATCTAGAACTCCTGGCATCAAGCCATCCTCCCTCCTTGGTCTCCCCGAGTGCTCGAATTATAAGCATGAGCCACTGCATCTAGCCCATATCCATCTATCTATGTATCTATCTATCTATCATCTATCTATCTATATCTATATATTCTATAATATATTCTATAATCCTAGCACTTTGATATTTAAAAATATCAAGTAAAAAAGCTACATGACTGTATATATTTTGTATCTATTCTTACATTGCTAGGGCTTTACTTTTGTTGAAGAGAATAAACTAGGAATGTCAAATACATTGCCTGCTATAACCACAGTTGCTTCTAAAGAAGATGCATCACCCCCCGTACCTCCTGAAAGGGAACACATATTGCATGGCCTCGTCATCCCCTGTCCCAGCCCCAGGTGGAAGGACAATACATTCATAGGTTGGCATGAGTAGGCTTGGAAGGGTAAACGGGCCATTGAAATCCCTCTCCTCACCCCCTGTAAGAAAATTGATATAAAAAACTTACGTGAATGAAGCAGTCTTCAGCAGAAGGTGAAACTTGAAAGACATGAGGTAAGCCTGGCATGGTGGCACACACCTACAGTCCCAGCTACTCAGGAGGCTGAGGCCAGCAGATCGCTTGAGCCCAGGAGTTTGAGACCAGGCTAGCAACATAGTGAGACCCTGTCTCTACAAAAAATTTAAAAAGCAGCCCAGGTGTGGTGGTGCGCACTTGTGGTCCCAGTGACTCAGGAGGCAGAAGTGGGAAGACAGTGTGGGCCCAGGAGATCGAGGCTGCAACGAGCCGTGATTGCACCCCTGCACTCCAACCTGGAGTAGAGAAATGCCATGAGAGCCTCCAGGTAGGTCCTGAGCGGGGAATGGCAAATCAAGTAACTGGCTTGAGCACAAAGAGCCAGGCCATGGTCCCTGACGGTAGAATATTCTTTCCAAGGGCCTCTTCTCCTGCCCAGCACTGGGTGGCAGGAGGAGGAAGCCTGGGTTGCAGCAGTGGCAAGATGAGCCTCAGTAGCCAACACCAGTGATAATCAGGGAGTCAGCGAATCCATCTGGAAGAACTTCGAGGACAGACAAAGCTAACATGGCCTCTGTCCCCTGTAAACTCATACCTCAGTGAGCTGAGGGAACCAGAGCCAGGCTCTGCCTTTTACAACAAAAACAGCCCAACCAAAACAGCCCAACCAAAACCCCAAACAGGAACAAATTCTACTACCTTTTATACTGTAAATACAAATAATTACACTTTTGTGTTCTCTCCAAGCTTATACTACATGAGATCAAGCTTTTGGGGCTCATGGAATACTTTCATATGAATAATCTCAGGCATTACATTATCTTCCTTCCTTCCTTCCTTCCTTCCTTCCTTCCTTCCTTCCCTTCCTCCCTCCCTCCCTCCCTCCCTCCCTTCCTCCCTTCCTTCCTTCCTTCCTTCCTTCGACAGGGTTTGTTCTATTGCCCAGGCTTGAGGGCAGTGGTGCAATCATGGCTCACTGCAGCCTCAACCTCCCAGGCTCTAACGATCCTCCCACATTAACCTCCCAAGTAGCTGGAACTACAGGTGTGTACCACCATGCTCAGCTAATTTTTAAAATTTTTGTAGAGTTGGCGTCTCAATATGTTGCCCAGGCTCATCCCAAACTCCTGATCTCAGGCGATCCTCCCTCCTTGGCCTCCCAAAGCGCTGGGATTACAGGTGTGAGCCACCTCCCCAGACCTCAGACATTATTTTCTCTAAGGGGAAACCTAAATTCTATATGAGGCATTTCATTCAAAAATCCCACTGAAACTGAAGCATTCTGTGAAACTAAGGAACGATTTCTAAGGAAGATACCTTTGCAGCCTTCCTCCCCAGGCCTGGGCCCATGTTGTGTGAGGTGGAGGAGAGTAAACCAGGACTTGCAACAGCACATCTCTCTCTTTTTTTTTTTTTGGAGATGGAGTCTTGCTCCTTGCTCTGTCGCCCAGGCTGGAGTGCAGTGGCGCGATCTCGGCCCACAGCAAGCTCCGCCTCCCAGGTTCATGCCATTCTCCTGCCTCAGCCTCCCGAGTAGCTGGGACTACAGGCATGCACCCACCACACCTGGCTATTTTTTAAAAAGCTTTCTGTAGCGATGAGGTGTTGCTATGTTGCCCAGGCTGGTCTTGAACTCCTGGCCTCAAGCCATCCTCCTACTTTGGCCTCCCAAAGTGCTGGGATTATAGGCATGAGCCATTGAACCTGGCCTCTGTTTGACATCTCTTTTCTAATTCTTCCACTTTTCTTGTTAACCAAATTTAACCAAATCAAATAAGCCCACAAATTGTACGTGTGCACAGCGGCTAAAACCTTCTTGTGCCTCTCATTTGCCAAGCCACAAAAGACACTTAACCATCCCTGATACACAGCTCCCATGACAGGAGGGTGGGATAAGTAAATGGGATATGATGGCCGTGGAAAGTTCTCTGGGGCAGTAATGTTTAAGGTGAGAATTTCAGGGCAAGAAGAAACCAGCTATGCTGGAACTAGCATTGTAGCAGAGGAAACAGCATATGCAAAGACCCTGTGTCAAGGCATTTGGATATTTCTTAGCATATCCAAGGAATAAAAAGAAGACCTAGATGCCTGTAATCCTAGCATTTTGGGAAGGCAAGGTGGGTGGATCACCTGAGGTCAGGAGTTCGAGACCAGACAGGCCAACATGGTGAAACCCCCGTCTCTACTAAAAATACAAAAATTAGCTGGGCTTGGTGGTGGGCGCCTGTAATCACAGCTGCTCGGGAGGCTGAGACAGGAGATATTGCCTGAACCCAGGAGGTGGAGGTTGCAGTGATCCGAGATCACACCATTGCACTCTAGTCTGGGTAACAGAGGGAGACTCAAAAAAAAAAAAAAAAACCCAAAAACAATAACAAAAACAAAAAACAAGTGAGCTGGAGTATATTGAGAAAATGGGAGAAATGACAGGACATGAACCTAAGGAAGTATGTAGATGACAGATAGTATTGGGACTACAGTAACATGTTTGTATTTTACTATCAGTGTAAAGAAAGCCTCTGAGAGGTTTAGGCAGTTGTGTCATAATTTGTATTTAAAAACTATTGATACCAGTTATATAATGTTCAGAAATGGGCAAAACTAATTGATGGCAATAGAAGGTAGAAGAATGGGTCCCTGTGGGGGTGATGACTAGGAGGGAGAATGAGGGAGTGCTTCTGAGGTGCTGATCGATTTCACGATCCAGGTGCTGGTTATACAGGGGTGTCCAGGTTATAAAACAGCAACAAGCTGCATATTTATGATTTATGCACTTTTTCTGTAAAATTTATTCCGTAATATTTTGGTAAAAATTTTGCTAAAAAACGGAATAAATGTTTACAATAGTTTGAGGAAGAACAGATTTCAGGGACAAGGCAGAGGGGAGACCCCTTTGGAAAAGTTGATGTTGGCTTGAACTAATATGGCAGCTGTCAGGCCAGGTGTGGTGGTTCGCACCTGTAATTCCAGCATTTGGGAGGCCAAGGTGGGAGGATCACTTGAGTCCAGGAATTCAAGATCAACCTGGGCAACATAGTGGGTCCCTGTCTCGACAAAAAATTAAAAAATTAGCCAGGCATGGTGGTGCATGCCTGTAGTCCCAGCTTCTTGGGAGGCTGAGGTGGGAGGATGGCTTGAGCCCAGGAGGTCAAGGCTGCAGTGAGCTATGATCATGCCATTGCACTCCAGCCTGGGTGACACACTGAGACCATGTCTCAAAAAAAAAAAAAAAAAAGTATGGCTGCTGTTAAGATAGAGAAAATTAGAAAGATAGGATATATTTGGAATGAAATTGCTGGAACTTGCTGATGGATCAGATACAGGCATCTTAAAGAGAAGAATGACTTCTAGGTTTCTGACTTACACAGCCAGATAAAGGGTGATGCCATGCCATCACTGCATTGTAGGCAGAAGGTCAAGGATTCAGCTTTGGAATATTATGTGATTTTTAGACACTTCTGAAGCATCTACCAGGTGGTTGTAGCTTCAGGTAGATTGTTGGATCATTAACTGATGCTCAGAGAAGAGATTTGTGAAAGAGGCATAAGTGTTGTTATTGTAGGCATACAGATTGTAATAGAAGCTATGAGAATGTTTGGGGACATCCATGGAAAGAGGGTGGAGAACACGGAGAAGAAGACCACGACTGTCTTAAGGAGCTGCTTCCTTTAGAGTTGGTTAAAAAAAAAAAAAAACAAAGAAGAAGAAGAAGAAAGAGACAGAAAAAAAGATCAAGGAGATAGGAAAAAAGAGCGAGCAGTTGTGGTGTCAGTCAAAGAGGGTTGCCTGGTGCTAGGTGGTTAAGTAAGACCATGACAGGGAAGAATCCTCTGGATTTGACAACATGGAGACCATCAGTAACATCTGTAAGTATCTGTCACTTTATTAATGATGCCAAGCCTGTCTTCCTCTGTAAAATGTCCTAATAGTTTACCTACTTCCCAGAGTTTTTGAATTTAAAGTACTTTGCACACTTTGTACAAGACCTGGCTAAATGTGAGTTGTTAGTTTAGCTGAGAACAAATGCTTGCATTGGTATAAAATAGGTTTGATAACACCCTCCTCATAAACTTGTTAAAAGGAATACATGAAGTAATGTTACATTTTAGAAAAGTAGATTTTAAAAACAGGTATAGGAAGTAGGTCTTCCCCACACCTCCATCTGAATCGATTACAGCTGGTAAATCTGAGAACAAGAGGACCAAACCACATCTTCAAGGAAGCAGAATACTCAGTGGTAAGGTTAGGCCCTGCCAACCATTTATTTAATTAAGAATCCTTTAGAGAGGTATTGAGTACTGGTAAAAACAGAGAGATCTGTGTGGCAGAAAACATGATGATAAATTAAAGCACTAACATATATTTCAGTTTCTATGCAAAACACAGTCTAGCGTTGGCTCTCTATAATTGTATGGCTGGTAGAGATGCTTCAAAGATGTGCTGCAATTCAGCAAAAGCTGCCACAGGGCCAAAGCCAGTGGCCCAGGATTAGGGGACCTAATACTAGTAAAGATAGAGTCACAGTGCTCCCTACAGTTTTTAAGCTTAAAGGCCAAGACGAGGCCAAGGATGCTGATGCCTTTGTCCAGACCTTTCTAGTGTTCATATTCTACCACCCAGAAATCTAATCCTAAGAAGAGAATTTACCAGTCATTGCCAGGGCTAGCACAGCCCTGGGAAAATGGGAATATGCGGGAGATAGTTCCTCTATTTCCTTTCAGCTGAAGATGGACCATGCTGGGCACAGTGGCTCATGCCTATAATCACAGCCATTTTGGAGGCAGAGAGAGATAGGAGGATTCCTTGAGGCCAGGAGTTCAAGACCAGCTTGGGCAACATAGCGAGACCCCCCCCGCCCACCATCTCTACAAAAAATTTAAAACAAAAAACAATTAGCCAGGTGTGGTGGCAAGTGCCTCTAGTCCCAACTACTCCGGAGGCTCATGTGGGAGGATTGCTTGAACCCAGGAGTTGCAGACTGCAGTGAGCTAAGATTGCACCACTGTACTCCAGCCTGGGTGACAGAGCAAGACCCTGTCTCAAAAAAAAAAAAAAAAAAGATGGACTAATTGGCCATGTTCTCAGATAAACTGGTGGTGGAAGGTAATCTTTGGCAACAAACAAGCTGAAAAAATATTACTCATTTTTAATCTAGTTAATAAGGGAAATTGAGAGAAGTTCTAGCACAACTGTGAGGTACTGCAAAGGCACTATTTTTCCTGGTCTGTTCTGCTGGAACTCCCATTCCTAGACAGCCTGGCATCAGGCACAGCTGAGAGGGAAACCCTGTCAACAGAGGACAAGTCCCTATTCTTACTGAGGGGCAGGTGGTCAGATGGTCACGCTACCAGAAGAAATAGCATTGACTGTTTGCTGAGCCACTGGGTTTGCATGCAATGGGATCGGGAGGCTGTGATCAGAGAAACAGATGAGAATCTTTTCAAAAACAGACAAACATTAAAATGCAGGAGGTCTATTTATTTGTCAAGTCAACGTTTAGTAATAAGGGAGAACAAAGTTTACCCTGCTATCAGAAAATAAGAAATCAGAATCCAGTCATATGGGATGGGAGAAGCTCGCAAGCTATTACAACTGAACTCAGGAAGCAGATAATCAGCTAGGAAAGAGGTACCCTTAAATGCCAGGCTGTATCTGAGAGTGTATCTCCCTTGATCAGAGCCCAGAGTACAAGCTAAACAATTCCTTCATAAATCAGCACACATCAGCTTCTAAAATCAGCAATATGTCTCCAAACATCTTGAACTGACATTAAGAAATGCTGCACCATTGAGAAAATGGTTTCCAGTTATTTGAACTTAAAGAATTAACTTGTTGAAGCACATCTTTAATCATTGATAAGTTACTGAATTCAAAGAGAAGTAATAATGAATGGTAAACCAATTAACTAGGAATTATATTTCAATTTTTTTTTGCTTTGGCAAACTTGATGATTAGTTGATATTTTTTCAATATTTAGGAACAAGGAACACATATAAATTTCACATTTGTGTTTTTAGCATTTTGACCAGCAATTCATTTTTCAATTTCATGTGTGAAGCTAAACTGATGATCTGTTAATCTTCGTTTGTTTGGAATTAGCCTGAAAAGTGCTAAATACTGCTTTTTGGATAGAATCTTGAGTGGACTAGAACCAGTTTGTTAGGAAAAAATAAATCTGAGCCTACTTTACGTTTGAAGTAACTGAACGATTACATGATTGCTTGGCTATTTTAACAGTTGATCTTGATTTCCACACAATGTGCAAATTTATTATTACTATAAACAAAAGGGGAAAAAACCCTTACATCTATTACAAAATGCTTTAAGAGATAGTATTTAGTCATGATATTTATTAACACAGTTCATAGTAAAGCTGAAATATGGCAATAATCTGGTTAGTTTGATTTATGTGGATAGACAAATTATCTGGTTGTCAAATACATTACAAAACTCATATTTTAATTTCTATTTTATAGACATGATTTTAATGATCTGTATATTTTACATTCATGTCACGTTCGTACCCGAAATCTCTAATTAATTCATGTTTTCCATTACACCTTGGAGTAATCATTGCCCAGCTATAGGGAACAGTATGAAATGAAGTGTGTTATGCATCATTAAATGTTTATGTTAAAATAGGGCATTATCTAGTTAGTTAATTTAGACCAGGTAAAACTACACAAAAACGTTTCTCTCTGTTGCTCAGCAATTCAGCCGTTTCTCTGCACATCCTTCCTCAAGTTCTCCTGTCCCATTCACATTAATTATTCAAGGTCCCGAAACTTTTTCTTCCAGCAACGTTTGCTCTGATACTCATTCAAAGGTATAAATAATTGACAACAGCTTAGAATGTGAGTTTTCTCAGTAGCATTTGGATTTTATTGAGGTTCAAATTTTTAAACTACAAAAATGGTGAATGCATCAGTAAATGGGTGATGGAAATATTTGGGGAGGATGCACTGTTTGCAGTTGTCCTTGAAATTGGATCAAGTAGCCACTTGCCTACTCTGTCTGCTAGGAAGGCAGATAAGAATTCTGCACCTTCCTCTTCTACCCCTTAAAACTCTCCTTTGTTTCACATAACCAGAAAATGTTTATTTTAATTATCTAGATATTCCATTTCTATTTTTCCTTTTTTACTGTAAGAAATGGCATGGTAAAAGATTCAATAAAACCATAGTATTTTATGCTCAATACTCTAAATTAAGAATTAAAGTCCTACTATCTAGATGCCATTCCAAATGATTAATTTTGTTTCACATTGTTCATAAGAATAATACATTACTTTAGGTGATGTTTTTTCCCACCAAATTGCTTAGTTAAAAAAAAAACATTAGTAATTGCTAGTTCCTATTATCTAAGTAGATAAAATATAATTAGAAAAACAACTGGATAGTTTCACTCTACGTTGTTCTCAGTGCAATGTCCAGTTTGCAAATGCTTCATTCATTTGTTAATTTTAGAGGACAGCATTTCAGTGCAATAATTGAAAATAGCTCATAGCCTGTTCTGTGAAGAAACAAAACATTGGTTGTGTTGGTGTCAAGTAAGTTAATTATGCTTTATCACCTTCAAATGGAGCATATAATTGATTTATGAAATTCTGCTATCGTGTTGAGACCATTATTAGTAATCAAGAATTCCAATAGTTTCTTCTTATTCCTCATGTACAAAATCATCTGGGTATTCCATATGTTTAAAAACAATTCAATTTGGAGCACTTGTACTATCATAAATTGATGAATTAAAAACTAGATACAAAGTGTGGAAACTACTGTAAAAGATTACTGACTTCTAAAAAATATTGCATTTATTGTGGCAATACATTCTTATTCAGCAATATGACTATGTAATTTTTCTGTAGTACTTTGTAGAATTTTCATTAATTCCACTTAAAATCAATGGCTTATATACAGTTCTTTTTTGTGACATGAAAACTATAACATTTTGGCTGATCAATGTTCTTTTGCTTGTTTACTTTTAGGTCTTTACAATTACCTAAGGAATTGCCTGAGGCATTGAACATATTGCCGGATATTTAGCTGCAAACAAACAAAAATGTTTTCAAACAAGGATGTAGATGAAAAAGCTATACAATGATTTTAATACCACCTCCACTCCATCACCTCTACACCACCAGCACTGTCACACATACTCTCAGAATGTTTGGTATCATATACAACTCTCCTAAAGCAAGAGATAATGTCAAAAATTTAAAAAGAGAATGCTACTCCTACATTTCCAGGTAACATAAAGAGTTGTAACCCTTGAACTTCCTGTATATATTAATATTTGTTTTCAACACACTAATTGCCTTGGACCTCTATGAATTTTATGTATTTAATAAATTAATGCAAGTGTTCATCTTAATTTTAGATTTACATTTGTTATCTTTGAACTATATCAATTTCTCATAAAACAATTAAGAAACAGCATAAACAAAAAGGGAAATGAAAATATTTCATTTCATTATTTAAGTGTTTGATAATGCTTGGTATCAAGTAGACATAATCAGAAGAGTATTTAATAAAGCAATGGATTAGGAAGGGGCTGTTAGAGAACATAGATGGTATTACTCTTTAATAATTAGGTACAAAAATAAGGTCTTAATAAATTGGAAATTTATGTTTTCCATTGAATGTTCTTAAAATGCCAATAGAATTATAGTGAAATGATTTTCTTTGCTGATTCCTATGATAGTATGATACATACCTTATTTTAGATATTTACATTTTCATTCTGTTAGAATGAAATACCTGTATGTATTCCATGTGCTGACATATAACAAAATCTGGGATTTAAGAAAATGTACTTCAAAAATGTAAAAATTGCAGATAATTGAAATTTGAGGTATTTATAATACAAATAAGGACCATTTAAAATATACCAACAGGCATTATTAAAAATAAGTATATAGTTCTGTAAAGATTGTGTGTGTTATATATTGACTATCAAACACTGGACATTTGTGAACTAGCTTTTTGCTATTCCTAAGTATTATCTTTCCAAAAACTTGCTATGAAGGTCATTTATATTTCCTTTCTAAATGGATTTTGAATAAAACATAAGAGCTGTATTTAACATTCTGCATCTGAATTCCAAGACTCTGATTGTATGCCTTCTTTTACATTACAAATCTATCAAATAGAGATGATTTTCCTTTTGAATTCCATATTACCTAGCAATATTTAACACCTGAAATGCTAGAAGTGGCACCCATTGATCTTTGCTCTGCATTGAAAGTTGATCAGTACATGGCCTCATGAAAGAAAAATGTTCTTTCTAGGGTTTAATAAATGCTTCACAATGAGTTTTTTTTTTTAAGTAGGCCTTAATACCTAATCACTTGCATTCGGTGGCTAGATTTGAGTGGATAAGAACACCTACCAAAGTACAACTTCCAATTTTTATTTCAGAAGGAAACCATCCTTGAGAGATGAGAAAATAACTTACTTTAAGCTTTATTCATTTTTGTATTTGGCTGCCATAAAATATCTTTTACTAAGTAGCTTTAGGGTTTTTTTTTTAATCTAATCCTGATTAAATTAAAAGAAAAACCTGGTAAGTTAATTGTAAGCTTTCCCATAAAAGAGAGAAGCACAAAATGCCATGGAATATATCCAAGAAACATAACATAAACATGAGACTTACAATGCACAATTTAAAATTTCATATGTTGTCAAATGATAAATGTCTGTTCCAGCTATGAATACTTTAACTTCAAAAATCTTTCATAGCCTTAAAAAAGAACTCTCACAGAAACAGAAGCTGGAATGTTATTTGTGAACTAGGCCTTGCACCTTGTCAATATTTTTAGTTCTTAAATTTCTGGAATGTTCTAAAGACATAAAACATCTACTTCATTTTGAAATTTTGATTTTAACATTTCACTAACAACACTGGGAAAGGATCATCTTAACTAAAGGTGTCAAGACTAACGTTTGAGCTTAGCCGTTGAACTTTCTCTTAGGGGAAACAGTTTAATCCCCAAGTACTATGAGATAGGCGTTTTAAGGCAACTTTTTAAAAAGGAAAATAAATCTGCTTTTTGCCGTCTAGGAAAGATACATTTTTCCTTGTGGAAATCTGCAGTCTGAAAAGACAGATATGAAAAGCATGAACTGTTGAAAATAACCTAAATGTTCTTTGAAAATTTAAAGGCCAGCTTATCCTGCAATGGTGATAGAATAGTCGGCTTACAACACGCAAAGCCGAGCCGCGGGTGGGCAGGCGCCGCCCGTGGCTCGCGGAGTGGATGCACTCGAGGGCGCGGCCGCTGCGCTTGGGGAACTTTCAGGGCGCCAAGTACGGGTAGCGCTTCTGATGGATTCCCGGGTCTGGGAGGATCCGATTATCCCGGGGCCGGGTGACACGCACAAAGCTGAGGTTAGAGTTGGCCAGGAAGGGAGGACCTGGTGAGCCGGTGGAACAAAAGCGGGAAGGCCTTTCCTTCTAGGAGCAAAACCAGCGACGCGTCCCGGACGCCCGGGGACCCCTGTGGGTCTCGGTTTCCTTCGCTGTGACCCTGACATGTTTCCCTCCACCGGCCCGAGGAAACCGTCGCTTCCAGCCTCCAGGTACCGTCACCTCTGCGGGGCTGCGAGCGGAGGACCGGGACAGAGAAGGAGCCGGCGGTCCTGGCCAGCCGCGCGGCTCAAAACCCGACGGCGCGGGGACTCCGGGCCTGGGGCCTCCATGGCTGTGGCCTCCTTATCTCCCGGGCCGGCTGCTCCCTACGCTGCGGGGCTGAGGGCACTGGGGACCCAGGGGCTTCTCTGGCACTAGCGAGGACCTAACCTTGAGTGAAGAACGATGTCAAGTGAAAGTGAAGAATAACGGGGGTGGGCGCGAAGAGAATGGTCTTGGGGCGCGCTTGCGCCTCTACCCGAGGACCGAGGTGGGGATTCGACAGACGCCAGCGGTGGGGATCCGGGGCGAGAAGCCCCGACTTTCTGAGTCGTGAGCCGCCTCCAGTCGCCCCAGGACGTAACCCCGAGGAGCTTTCAGACACTGGCCGCGCCTAATATCGCTGAGAACCGCGAAAACCGGAGTTCCGGCCGCCTCCCGGACTGGCGTCCCGAGGCCAGGGGACCCGCTTGGGGCTCCCGGCCGAGCCCCGACCTCGGACGTTTTTCCGGGAGCCGCGAGAGGCCTGGGGGCCTGGGCCAGGCGCCGCGGCGGGCATCGATCGCCGGCTCCCAGAGAGTGGCCCCGCGCAGGTGGAGGTGACCCCGTCACCTCCAGGAGCGCCCCCAAGCCCCGGTACCCGCAGCGTGCGCCCTCTCCTCCTCCCCGAAGGTTAAGTTCGTCTTTTTCGGTTCTCGGTTACGCATCCCCTTGGCACGCATGCCCAGCCACACCGTGGGCGAAACTAGAGGGCCCGCGTCCCCTGGGGGCTGCCGCGGGGCCCCGAGTGAGGTGTCCCCTCCGGGCCGGGCCCGAGTCGGAGGCCCCCTTTGCAGCCTAGAGGAGCGCGGGGCTGGCGCTGCGCAGGAACCGCCAGGCCGGGGAGGGGGCCGCGCCCGGGCCTGGGCCAAGAGCGCGCGTCCCCCGCCCGGGCCCTGCGGCCCTCCCCAGGTGTCTGAGCAGAGCTGCTGAAGCTGCAGAAATGTGCTGGCGCCTGTCCACCGCCGCACACAAAACCCAGCCAAAAGCGGCGAGAGGAAAAGCGAATATGGCGCTGCTGAAAATGGAGACTCCGCATCTAGAAAGTCTTTCTTTCCTTTCCTCTTTTCGCTCTTACTTCGTCGATCTTTTCCCCCTTGCCCTCTCACGAGGGCCTCCTGCGCTTTCCTTCGGGTGTTCTCTACCCCTCGGCCCCTTTCCTGTTCTTATGAATAACCTCCTTTACTCGGTTTTCCTTCTTCCTTTCCACTCCCGGTTCCTCTTTCTCCATTTTGTGTCACAGGCGCCTTGCTTCTTGTTCCCTTTCAGGGCGCGCACTCCCCCGCCCGGCTCACTTTATTTTGTGTGTGGGTGGCGGAGCAGGGAGGGGGTGGCAAGGATCGTGAGGCTAAGTATCGAGTTTGTTTGTTTGTTTTTCTTTCTTTCTTCTTCTTCTTTTTAAAGGTGTTATCTTAGGAGCCAAGCATCTCCTTTGGTCCTGCGCTCCTTCGCCTAGCGCCTGGTGCCCCCCACCCGGCTGCATCCGAGGCTTGCGCGGCCCGGTCCCATCAGCCGAGCGTCGCCCGCCCAGGAGGAGGCTCGGGTTCTCCGCAGAAGCGAATACTTTCTCTTTTTGTTTTAAGTTAGAACCTTGCTTTTGCAGTGATTCGTTGCTGTGGCGTGATTTTAAACAGGTGAGAAATCGGAGTCTCATTTTCCCAGGGGGGCTTCCAATGAGGATTTTAAGAGAAGCGTGCAAAGAAGACAGCAATGTCCATCTTTTTTTTTTCTTGTTTTCTTTTGAACAGAGGGAACCCCCACGCGCTGAGATAGTTATGTTTTTAAGGCTAAACTTTTTTAAAATTAGTTTTTCTTTTACACTTATGGCTGACTTTTGATCCTTTTAAAGAAAGGATGAAGTCAAAACAGATTAATGCTTTTGAATACACAACGTCCCCACGTCCCCAAATTGTGGTGCTGGGATAGTTCCTCTAAGATGCATTCTGATTTTGAAGTTCAAGGTCTCTAAGCGCTGTTAAGCGGAACCATGAAAAATACGTTGCTACATTAAAGATAAAACAGACGGTGATACTGACTGCAGAATCGTAGTAGAAACTTTTTTTTTTTTTTTGAGGCTGTGCAGGATTTGCCTTGGTTTTATTAGGGAACCTGCTAATAGAAGCAATTTCAAGTGACGGGCTTCCCTCAGTAAAAAGCTGGAAGCAATGACATCTTTTCTATCTGAGTGACTCTCCTTAGTCGTGGTAAATAAATAAATAAATAAATAAATAGATAGATAGATAGATAAATAAATAAATAAATAAAAATTAGTTTACATGCAGTGTTTGAAAAGAAAATGATTTTGCTTCCCAAGTTTTTATGTGTTTTCTTTTTTACCAACTATATTTCACTTTATTTACAATTGTCAGTTTATTCTCACACCTTCTGGTTAGTTTTATCTTCTCACCATGGTCTGTTAGAACCCCATCCTCGAGCAAAAAAACAAAAACAAAAACCACCCCCCCAAAACAAACAAACAAACAAACAAAACAGGTGTTCATCCCTGTGAGATGCTAATGCCCCTGGAACTGTTTGAAAAGAGCAAAATTTTGTAAGGAGATTCTTTTCAAAAAGTGTTAGAGAAGTATTCTTCAAAAACATCTTAGAATGTTTCCTTAAAAAATTTCCTTTCTTGGTTTTCATTAATTGCCTTTGATTAAAATTAGGTTACAAACATATCTTAATTTCAGACTGTTTCTTTATAAAAGAAAGGAGAAAGTAAATAGGTGTTGGCAAGGACTAAACCAATGCAACTAGGCCCTGTTGAGAGCCTAAATCTGTAAACTGGTACCCTTAAAAAACATCAATCAACTTGAGGTTCGTACAGGTAGTTCTTTGACTCAAACAGTTGATTTTTAAAAGTCTTATAAAATAGGTTAAAATGTGTTTTTAGTCCAGGTTCCTACTTCTTTGTTATGCATTTCTCCTCGTAGATAAATAAATGAATCTAACTTGATGAGTAGGTAGATTTTTCTCCAGAAGAACTTTCTAAAAATGGGCAAAGTTAGGGAAGTGATTAATACCCTTCAGTTTAATTGGAATTATTCAGTGCTTATACCAAGTTAATCCTATTAAGATGCTATTTCCTGCTCAGGGGGATAAATTAAGCACAACTTAGATTATTTTAGGTGGACAACTGGTATATAGTCTAAGCAATGGGGGCTGGAAAAAAGTATCTCTTCTCCAAAAAATATAGATTATGTACCAGTAATGTTCAAAGTACTTTGAGGAAGTGTATTGATGGGATGAATATAAATCATAGTGACTGTTGTTAAGGGGTTTACGGATTATAAAGAGCAATTGAGCTTCCTTTATTTTCTCTTATTTAGAAAACAAACATTCATAAGAAAAAAATAAAATTAGATCCCTTCTTTTGCCCACATACAAATTCAGTTTCAGATCAATTAAAAAGTTAAATAAGAAAAATAGAATTAAAAAAATATTGGAAGGCTGGGCGCAGTGGCTCACGCCTGTAATCCCAGCACTTTGGGAGGCCAAGGCGGGCAGATCACGAGGTCAGGAGATTGAGACCATCTTGGCCAACATGGGGAAACCCTATCTCTAGTAAAAATACAAAAATTAGCTGGTTGTGGTGGCACATGCCTGTAATCCCAGCTACTCGGGAGGCTGAGGCAGGAGAATCGCTTGAACCTGGGAGGCAGCGATTGCAGTGAGCCGAGATCGCGCCACTGCACTCTAGCCTGGCAGCAGAGTTATCTCTGTAACTCTCCATCTCAAAAAAAAACAAAAAAAATTGAAAGGAAATATAGAATTTGTAGTATGAAAGGATTTCTTAAACAAAACATTAAAATACACAATCCATTAAGGAAATGATCAATTGGATGACAGTCATGCTCCAAATAATGATATGTTAGTCAATACATGATAATAGTCCCATAAGGTTATAATATTGTATATTTACTGTACCTTTTCTATGTGTAGATGTGTCTAATTATACAAATACCATTGTGTTACAATTGCCTACAGTATTCAATACAGTCACATGCTGTACAGGTTTGCAGCCTAGGAGCAATAGGCTTGTACCATATACAAACCATCTAGGTTTGTGTAATTACACTCTATGATGTTAGCATGACAAAACTGCCTATGGACCTATTTCTCAGAATATGTCCCTGTAGTTGAGTGCCATGTGACTGTATATAAAAATTTTTAAAAATACTTTTTACATGACAAAAGATATCATAAAATGTTACAAGATAAACTGAGAAGATATTTTCAAGGCATGTACTTGGTGAAGGATTCATATTCAAAATGTATAAATAACTTATATAGAAAGAATTTACTAATTTATGTATAATGAATTTCATAAATAAAAGATGTGGGCCAGGATATATACATATGAAGTGAAAGTATAGTACTATCAATAGGATGAATACATATCAACTTCAAAAAATGTAATTTCCTTTGGGATAGAAAGAAAGAAGGAAGGAGGGGGAATAGGAAGAGGGCAACAACTTCCTGCCCAGGGGGCAACAACTCTTTTTTTTTTTTTTTTTGAGACAGAGTCTTGCTTTTGTCCCCCAGGCTTGAGTACAATGACTCGATCTCGGCTCACTGCAACCTCCGCCTCTCGGGTTCAAATGATTCTCCTGCCTCTGCCTCCCAAGTAGCCAGTTAAGGCACCTGCCACCATGCCCGTCTAATTTTTGTGTTTTTTAGTAGAGACGGAGTTTCACCATTTTGGCCAGGCTGGTCTCGAACTCCTGACCTCAGTTGATCCGCCCACCTCAGCCTCCCAAAGTGCTGGGATTACAGGCATGAGCCACTGCGCCCAGCCCACAGCAATTCTTTATAAAAAGATCAGAGGCAACTATGGGAAGACATTAACACTTTTTGTTCTTTGTAGATTGTTAAAAGCTTGTTATAATTTATTTAAAAATCTCTAACATCAATTCCTAGTCTAAAGAATGAACAAATGACACATTTCTTTTCCTTAGTCAATAATAATCTTGTAAGATGGTGTTCACGTGCTTTTCTTTGAGGGCAAAGAAAACACCATTCCCCAGTGTTTTTCCTGGGCAGTGTTTGAATATTATATGATACTCACAGCAGAGATTTTCCTAGTTTGGCTTCTGTTGTAAGCTTGTTTTCTGAGTAGATTTAAATGAGAAGAACAGAAACATATTTGAAACTATGACTATGTATAAGAGCATTTATTCTCCTATAATGAAATCGTGGAAAATGTTTTTAAAAAGTGAGCAAACAAAAACCTCCACACCATTATAGAAACACGGTTAAAAAACTATTGAATAATCTCAAGCCTAGTGTGTAATAATTATTAAGTGTGTCTAATTTGTTGTGCTAAGTGTCAGGAATTGGTATTGTGGAAGGATATGTGAGATCTCATTTTCTCCTTTTATATGGCAGGAGTTTATACAGTATTTACATCTGTCATTGATACTTTTTATGAACAGAAGTTTTGTTTACTTATAACTTCCACAGGGATTATTCATATGGAGCACTGGAAAGATGTAACATTTCATTTGCTTTGATACCTTGTGTTTATTTTAGGTCGAAAAGCATCATGAAGCCAAGTGGTTATTGTTTTGCTTATTCAGTGTGAACTGAGTGAGCCAGGTTTGTATACCAAGTGATTCTCGTGGTGGACAATACCAATATGATTATGCCAAATGCATTGCTTCTGAGGCATCACTCTTTGGGCACATATAGACCCTGCTGATTTCTGCCAAAGCACTCTTCTTAAAGTTCCAAAACATTACCCCAAAACCTCTATAGCCCCCTATTGCCAACAAAATTAAAGCCTTTCTCTTCATTGGCATTAGAAGCCCCTGTAACCCATTGCTTTTCCATTTCCAGCCTCTTTCCAAAATTACCAAACAAACTCTGTATCCTGCAGCCACCAAACTGTACTAGTTGTAATATATTCACTAAGAACAGTGGTCTCTCATTTGTCTCTCTTTTCTCTCTTCTTATATCAGTTAGAATGTAACAGACAACCCAGCTAACACAGAGGCTCATTTTTCTTATGTGACAAGAAGTCTGTAGATAAAGAGTTGCTAGTGTTTTCTTGGGGGTTCAGTGATATCACCTCTGTGATTCAGTTGACCTTCATATCATAGTTGCAAAATGGCTGCCGTAAGTACAAAAACCACACTGACTGCTGGGTGGGAAGGCAACAGAAAATTTGTTCTTGGTGAGTCTTACTCACGTCAAGGAAGTATAATATTTTCCAAAATGCCCCACCAAAGGATTTCCTCTTACATCATATTAGCCAGAACTGGGACATATTATCACCCTTTATCTGGGGTAGAGGCCCACATTTCCACATCAAAGGGAATTTGCTCAATGCCTAAATCAAACTGGAATTCAGTTAAGCAAAGAAGAAACAGAGGAATGGTTTTTGGGTAGGCAGTAAACACTGTCAGCTACATCTCCCTGAAAGCCATCACTCCCTTAAAATATCTTTGCGTAATGTCATCAGTTACTTCTGAACTTTTTCATCCAATGGACAGTGTTTATTTTCTAACTTACTTGAACTTTTTGTGGGGCTTAGCCACACCCTTTTTGAAATTTATGTATTCATCAAATACCCACTCATCACTTACTGTGTATTAGTCACTCTGCTGGGCAAAGAGAATGAAAAAATGAGTCATGCATGGTCCTGAACCTTCACAAGTTTATAGCCTAGTGGGGCAGACAGGTGAATAAATAAGTGCAAAAGAATGTTATAGATACTGTGATAAAATTATGTTTCGTGGGCCGGGTGTGGTGGCTCATGCCTGTAATCTCAGCACTTTGGGAGGCTGAGGCGGGTGGATCACCTGAGGTCAGGAGTTTGAGACTAGCCTGGCCAACATGGTGAAACCCCGTCTCTAATAAAAAATAACAAAAATTAGCTGGGCGTGGTGGCAGGCACCTGTAATCCCAGCGACTGGGAGGCTGAGGCAGGAGAATTGCTTGAACCCAAGAGGCAGAGATTGCAGTGAGCTGAGATCACGCCATTGCACTGCAGCCTGGGCAACAAGAGAAAACTTTGTCTCAAAATAAATAAATAATATGTTTTGTGGGTTTTTTTTTTTTTCTTTGACAGGGTTCTTACTCTGTCACCCAGCCTGGAGTGCAGTGGCACGATTATAGCTCACTATAACCTCGGGCTCCCTGGCTCAAGCAATTCTCCTGCCTCAGCCTCCTGAGTAGTTGGAACTATGCAGGCTAATTATTTTATCTTTTGTAGAAATGGGGTCTTGCTAAGTTAGCCAGGCTTGTCTTGAACTCCTGAGCTCAAGCGGCCTTCCCACATTGACTTCCCAAAGTGCTGGGATTACAGGCATGAGCCACCATGCCGGGCTTAGAATGATGAATGAGATAAAATGGGGTACAAAGAAAGGAGCAGCCATTTCTGGATCTCAGGTGTGATGTCTCTTTTCAGGGAAGGACAGGGGTGATACAGCCATTAATAAAAGCAATCTCACTTTCCTGGTTGGTTGTCTCTTTGCCTCCTCCCCTGGAATAATACAGACCTCTGTAGAAAATCACAGGCAGGGTAGGGATGACGGAGCTGGCCTCCTCCCTTCCCTTGGCCTGACAAATATGCATGGAATTCCCAGGAATGTTCAAGCTTTTTTTTTTTTTTTTTCCAAACTTCAGATTAGAATCCAACTCATGTAGAATCCATGTAGAATCCGACTCAAACAGAATCCATCAGGCATGAGAATTCTGGAATGCCCTTCCTGGTTTATCTACTTCATCTGTGTTCCATGAAGGGCACCTGGTCTCACACCTAGACTCCGGGAGCTCCAGGTCCCTACTCTCTTAGGTTTCAGGGCCTAACCAATCAGGATGGCAAGAAGGATGTATTTGGGGAGATCCAAGCCTGTCTGCTTGGCTGTAGTGTAGGACTGGGGGGAAAAGAAAGGCACAGTAAGGATCAAAACAAGGCTGGAGCAGTAGGTAAAGATGAGTTCATGCCAACGTAGGAGGCTTGAAGATGTTTGGTAAGTCATAGGTTCCCAAACTTTCCAGCTCACTGCATCTGTAGCATCTTCGTAATTTGTTCATGGTGCCCTCAGCCAGAAGACATACTTCACAATTCCATTCGTTAAGTAGGTAAGTCTAAACAACATATTAGTGGTCATTTGTGAGGTGTTTGATAGGTGGGGCTGTATTTCTCTCAAACATTTAAAATATCCCACAGCAACCTTGTGAGTTTGTTCCCTGTGGTGTCCCAGGGTGACCTGATGGGAAATTTGAGAACCATGGTATAGGTCGCTAAAGATTTTTCATCTGGTGAATTAAATATTTGATTTTGTATTTGAGAAAGCGCCATCTTTCTGTAGATTGGAGTAAAGGCGTGGTGGGAGGTAAGGAGACCATAAGTTAGTGGTAGTCATTTAGGAGAGAAGTGATGGGGATATAAAATGAGACATACTAATGAGCATGCTGCTGGATCTAAAATATGTTATGGAGGTAGAATGGAGAGGAGGATTTCCTTATCAATTGGTTTTTGGAGAGAAAGAAAGAGAGAGGTTGATTCCTAGACTGTGGGCTTGGGTTAAAGGGTATATGATAGCAGACATGTTGAAAAAACATATCTTTGGGAGAAAGAATAACATTTTTTGGCATGCTGAATTTGAGACGTGCAAGGATGAGATGGATATAGGGCATTGGAGCTCAGGAGCAGATCTGAAAAATATAAGTTAATTATGAATATATAGATTAGGGCTGACAACATAAGAGTAGACGAAATGGCTCAGGATGAGTGTAGAATAGAAAGAAGCATGCCCATATGTGATGGTCAATTTTCTTTTAATTTTAATTTTTGTAGAGATGGGGTCTCACTATGTTGCCCAGGCTGATCTTGAGCTCCTGGCCTCAAGCAATCCTCCTGCCTCAGCCTTCCAGAGCACTGGGATTACAGGCATGAGCCACCATGATTGGTCTGGATTCCTTATAAAAAATATTATAATGAGTACATCATGTTTAGAGAGCCAAGAAAGGGCAGGGTCCTGCCTAGGAGACAGAGCCAGGACAGGTATCATGAAGCTTGTGTAAAGTGATATGTTTTGGGTGGAGCCAAGACTCTTCCCCTACTGTTGTTCTGTTCAATAGAGACCCTGGGTCTTTCTTTTTCGTTTGTGGTGGCGCCCCCTGGATAGAGCCTCAGAGAGGCAGCATCACAAAGAGCTATGCAAGGAATTGGTTCTGCAGGGGAGACAGTGGAGGGCAAGGTGTGGGGGACTGCGGGGAGGAGGAGGGGGTAGGGGAGAGGTGGTAGCACACAGTGCGAGGATTCTGTGCCATGCCAGTTCAGCCTTATGTTCAAAGCAGCTGTTCTTTCTGGGCTTCCAAGAGAGGAGCACCATTTTTATGCCCACATTGTAACAAACAATGAGATATGTACTGGTTAACAGTATCAAATGCAATGCAGTGATTAAATAAGGAGTGGAGAAAATCTATGGAATCTTACAATTTGGAGGGCCCTGGTGACTTATCTAAATACCTTTTTTGCAATAGAGCAAGTCAGAACCCTGAGGATCTCAGGGATTAACAAGGGAGACAGCCATGTCAAACAAACAAAACCAATGCACTGTGATAAGGTGTAAGGCTTAATATAAGGTGGGATAACTTTCTCTCACCTCTCTCATTCACTAATCACTTCCTATCAGCACCTGTCACTGGTAGGTGGTTTCTGATGCTCCGAAACGCCCAGGTGCGCTGGCTTCCAGCCTAGCTCCTCTCCTCCCTCTGCGTGTTCTTCCTGAGCAATTTCATCCAATTTAACTATCACCTGTAGACCAGTGATTTCTCAACCTGTATTTCTAGTTTCCTGACTTACTGAGCTTGAGTTCAGCATTTTGAACAATGGCCATAGTACTGGGCACATGGAGGTACTCAGTAAATGTCTACTAATTCACTTAAAAGTTGATCCTAAGTAAACTGATGATGTAGGAGTAAATTTGGATCTCAAGTAAACTGAAGTTTACACAGTGAGTAAGCAGGGAAATACTTTCCAATAGATTTGACATAAAACTTCAATTTCTTTTTTTTTTCTTTTTCTTTTTTTTTTAGAGACAGGGTCTTGCTGTGTCACCCAGGCTAGAGTGCACTGATGTAATCATGGCTCTCTGCTGCAGCCTCTAACCCCTGGGCTCAAGGGATCCTCCTGCCTCAGCTTCCTGAGCAGCTGGGACTACAAGTGCAGTCCATCATAGCCAACTAATTTTTTTTTTTTTTTGAGATAGGGTCTCCCTCTGTTGCCCAGACTGGAGTGCAGTGGCATGGTCTTCGGTCACTGCAGCCTTGATCTCCCAGGCTCAAGTGATCCTCTCACCTCAGCCCCCTCGAGTAGCTGAGGCTACATGCACTTGCCACCGTATGTGGCTAATTTTTGCACTTTTTAGTAGAGATGGGATTTCACCATGTTGCCCAGGCTAGTCTCGAACTCCTGGATTCAAGCAATCTGCCCACCTAGGCCTTCCAAAGTGCTTGGAGTATAGGCATGAGCCACCATGCCCAGCCTGCCCAGCTAATTTTTAATTTTTTTGTAGCGATGGAGTCCTGCTATGTTGCCCAGGCTGGTCTTGAACTTCTAGCCTCAAGTGATCCGTCTGCCTTGGCCTCCCAAAGTGCTGGGATTACAGTCATGAGCTACTATGCTGGGTCTAAAACCTCAGTAATTAACCGGAAACCAGATGAGAGTTTCACTATGGGAATTGGGTTAGGTGCAGCTAATCACAGTGAAGAATAGATTAAAATACATGGATTTGCAAATCAGAATGCAGGTTCTGCTGCTAACTTTGGGAAATTCAGCTAATTCTCTGTGTCTTTGTTTCTATGCTAGTAATGCTTTATTTTAAAATGTATTTATGGTTATTAAGATGTAATTCACATACCATAAAATTTATCGATTTAAAGTGTACAAGTCAGTGTATTTACAGACTCATGTAACCATCATCACTAATTCCAGCGTGTTTTCATCACCCTAAAAAACACCCTCATGCCCTCATTCCCCATTCCCCATTACCCCAGTTTCTGGCTACTGCTTTCTATCTCTATATATTTACTATACTGTACATTTCATACGAGTGGCATCATATAATATATGTCCTTTTGTGTCTGGCTGCTTTCTCTTAAGCATAATGTTTAACCATAAAAAAAGTTAGCATAATGTTTTCAAGATTCATCCATCTTACACCATGTATCAATACTTTGTTCCTTTTTATGGCTAAATAATATTCCATTAATTGGATGTATCAGATTTTGTTTATTCATCAATTGATGGACATTTGCATTGTTTCCATTTTTTTGCTATTATGAATTATGCTGCTATGGACAGTACTGTATGTCCTGCATGGACATTACAGAAACTTTTCTGTGTGGCCATATGATGACTCAATGTTTGACATCTTGAGGAGCTACCAGTTGCTTTTCTGAGTGGCTGCATCACTCTGTATTCCCACCAGCACTGTATAAGAGTTCCAATTTATCCATGTCCTGGCCAACACTGGTTATTGTCCATCTTTTTTATTGTTGCCATCCTCATTGATATGAAGGGACACCTCATTGTGATTTGATTTACATTTCCCTAATGACTAATGATATTGAGCATTTTTTTCATGTGTTTATTTGCCATTTGTATATCTTCTTTAGAGGAATGTCTACAAATCCTTTTCCCACTTAAAAATTGATTATTTTTCTTTTTATTGTTGCATTTTAAGAATTCTTTATACATTCTGGATGTTAGAACCATATCAGATATATGATAGGCAAATATTTTCTTCAATTCTGTGGTTTGTATTTTCACTTTCTTGTTAGTATATTTTGAAGCATAAAAGTGTTTAATTTTGGTGATGTCCATGTCCACTTTATTTTTTCTTTTGTTGGTTGTGTTTTTGTTGTCATATCTAAGAATCCATTACCCAATCCAAGATCACAAAAATTAAGGTCTGTATTTTTTCTAAGAGTTTTATGGCTTTAGGTTTTACATTTGGGTTTTTGATCCATTTTGAGTTAATTTTTGTATATGGTGTGAGTTAGGGATCCAATTTCATTCTTTGCATGTGTACATGTAGTTGTCCCAGCACCATTTGTTGAAAAGACTCCTCTTTTCCTCTTAAATTGTCTTAGTGCCCTTGTTGAAATACATTGGCCATAGATGTAGGGACTCCCAATTCTACTCCATTGAACAATATGCTCATGCTTATTCTAGTACCACAACTATAATCCCAGAATGAAAAGGTGAATTACATAGAAGAAATTTCTATTCTCAAATTACTTCATAACTCAAAAGACTTGTGGGCAATTCAGTTCTGGGTTTTCTTTCATCTCTCGTTGGAAAAAAAAAATCTCTGCATCAACCCCATCTAAAATAACTAAATTGTATGCATAAACCTAAATTTAAATACTCATCTGCAGGTCTCGTTTATAGAATCCTACTTATGTTGATGATGTGGGCTTTGGCAATCTCTTTCTCACTGTATTCTATGAAATAGCTTAAAAAGTCAATTATGAATTGAAGCATTCAATTATTAGAATGCATAATACTAGTTTAATTTAAAAGTTAGTCTTCAGTTTCATGCAAAACCCTTCGAATTATTAATTTTAGAAAAAATATGTATTTATTATATCCTGTAGACTTAGACAAAGGATTTAAAATTCCTCTACTTTAAATGCAAGGATTCCCATAATGAAAAATCTCTTGACTGTAGGACCATGGCATCTCCTAATTCAATTTATAGTCTTTGTGTTTTGGTTACTGACACTCTTAATTTTAAAAATGTCTTTAAAATATTCTCTAGATAAGGAGATATGGTAGCATGATGAAGCTCTCATGAAGGCAAAAAGTGGTTCTCTTGGAAATGCCATAGACGGTTGTATTTGGCTCTTTAGCTCATAAGAAAATATTTTTTCTCTAAGTAAACAATCACAAATTCTTTTCTGGTTTTGCCAAAGGGAAGCCTGTGGCACAATGTTTCTATTGAGGTCACTTGCTGAATTATACAGGAACCCTCTATCAACTCTGAAAGGATTTTTGATCTTTCTGATTATTTAGACACTGCTAAATTTATGAAAATTCTCTGCTTCCTATGTCTTATTGGTCATCCTTAGGAACTGTTTTGTGAAAGGCAACCCAGGATAAGAGGAGGAACACTTGTAAAGCTTGATATACCCCAGTGGCTTCCTGTGAGTCTCAGTTTTGCAGTTTCAGAAATACAGGTTTATCAGCTTACCAAGAGGTTAACAGGTATGAAAAACTCGGGTTTTCATAACCAAATGTAAAAGGAGTTGGTTTTCAAACCACAAAACTCAATGACCATTCATCGAGGGCTCCATCTCACCAAAGAATAAGAACCGATTTTATACAATAGTTGTTCTCCTTTCTGATGGGTATTTCTCAGGAGATGAAATGGCAGATTAGAAATATCTGGTGAATATGTACCTGGAATATGAGAGAGAGAGAAAGAGATACAGTTCGGAATTTTAAAATAAAAAATTTAATTATTATTTCAAGAATATTACTAATTTGACTGTTATAATTGGGACTATTCTTATCGTATGAAGTTGAGGAATACTGAGAAGTTCTGCTTCTGTCAAACTCATGATTAGCATCACACACCTCTTTGTGGTTGTTGTAGCCTCCTTTTTCATTTTGCCATTGTTTCAGATTGACGTTGCAATATCCAGTTCGCTAAATATGTTCAATAGAGGTAGCAAAGGTGCCTAACCTGAATTTAATCATGAGGAAACACCAGACAACCTGACGTTTAGGGACATTCTACAAAACAACTGGCCTGTACTCCTCAGAAATGTCAACATCATGATAGTAAGTAAGAGAGATACAGAAAGAAAGAGAGACCCAGGAATTGTTATAGATTAAAGAAAAGTGAAGGACATGACAACTAAATGCAAATAATGGTCCTGGATTTTTTTTTTTTTTAACAAAGGAACTCATGGGAAAAACTAGTGAAATCTGAAGGTCTGTACTTGGGACTGGGACCTAGTTCTAATAATGCTGTATCCATGTCAAGATCTTAACTTTAGGCCAGGCACAGTGGCTCAGGCCTATAATACCAGCACTTTGGGAGGCCAAGGCAGGTGGATCACTTGAGGTCAGGAGTTCAAGACCAACCCCATCTCTACTAAAAACACAAAAACATTAGCTAGGCATGGTGGCACACACCTGGAATCCCAGCTACTTGGGAGGCTGAGACAGGAGAATTGCTTGAGCCCGGGAGGCAGAGGTTGCAGTAAGCCAGGATCATGCCATTGCACTCCAGCTTGGGTGACAAAGCAAAACTTCATCCCCACCACCAAAAAAAAAGTCCTTACTTTGATCACTGTACTGTGGTTATGTAAAATAATACATTAATTTAGAAAGCACACTGAAGTATTTAGAGGATATCATGTCTGCAATTTACTTTCAAACAGATCATGAAAAAAGCACCCAAATATATAAAGCAAATACTATTAGACTTAAAGGGAGAGATAGATTGCAATACAATAATAGTAGGGGATTTCAACACCCAACTTTCAGTGATGGACAGATTATCAGACAAAAACAATCAACAAAGAGACATCAGGCTTGAATTGCACCAAAGACCAAATGAACCTAACAGACATCTGTAGAACATGTCACCCGACAGCTGCAGAATACACACTCTTTTCATCAACACATGGAGCTTTCTCCAGGATAGTTCATTTGTTTGTCCATAAAACAAGTCTGAACAAATTTCAAAGAATTGAAATTATATCAAGTATCTCTTCTGACTACAATGAAATAAAACTAGGAGTCAATAACAGGAAGCACTTTGAAAACTCTACAAATACATTAAAATTAAACAACGTGCTCCTGAATAACCAGTGAGTCAATGAAGAAATTAAAAAAGAAATTAAAACATTTCTTGAGACAAATGAAAATGGAATCACAATATACCAGAGCCTATAGAATACAGCAAAAGCAGTTCTGAGTATATTTATAACATAAACACCTTCATCAAAAAAACTGAAAGATCTCAAACAATCTAACCTTGCCTTTCAAGGCATTAGAAAAACAAGAACAAACTCAACATAAAATTAGTAGAAGGAAAAAGGTAACAAAGATTAGATCAGAAATAAACAAGATAGAGACTAAAAATCACAATACAAAGGATCATTGAAATAAAGAGTTGTTTTTTGAAAAGATAAACCAAATCGACAAACCTTTATCTAGACTAAGAAAAAAAAGAGGAGACTCAAATAAATAAAATCCGAGATGAAAAAGGAGATATTACAACTGATACCACAGAAATACAAAAGGATCATGAGACTTATGAACAACTATAAACCAAAAACGGGAAGATCTAAAAAGAAATGGATAAATTCCTGGACACATACAACCTACCAAGACTGAATCAGGAAGAAACAGAAAATCTGAATGGACCAATAGATCTAAACATTCTTATTTCTTCATGAATACATTTGAAGAATCATGATTGAATCATTGAATCTACCAAGATTGAATCATGAAGATCCAATAGCAGGTTGGTCTCATTACTAGACCAGCAAGTAACAAGATTGAATCAGTAATAAAAAGCCTCTTATCAAAAAGTCTCCCTCAAATTCCAGGACCTGATGCCTTCACTGCTGAATTTTACCAAATACTTAAGAAACCAATACCATGCCAGGCACGGTGGCTCACGCCCGTAATCCCAGCATTTTGGGAGGCTGAGGCCAGCGGATCACTTGAGGTCAGGAGTTCTAGACCAGCCTGACCAACATGGTGAAACCCTGTCTCTACTAAAAATACAAAAACTTAGCTGGGCATGGTGGTGGGTGCCTTTAATCCCAGCTACTCTAGAGGCTGAGGCAGGAGAATCGCTTGAACCTGGGAGGTGGAGGTTGCAATGAGCTGAGATCATGCCGTTGCACTCCAGCCTGGGAAACAGAGCGAAACTCCTGAAAAAAAAAAAAAAAAAAAAAGAAAGAAACTAATACCAATCTTTTGAAACTGTTCCAAAAAATTGAGAAGGTTGGAATTCTTCCAAACTCATTTTGTGAGAACAGCATTACCCGATACCAAAACCAGAAAAGGACAGACACAAATAAAGGAAACTACAGGCCAATCTCCCTGATGAACATAGATGCAAAAATCCTCAACAAAATATTAGCTAACCAAATCCAACAGTTCATTAAAAAGGTCAGAACAGATCAGAAAAAAAAAAGTCGTACATATTGAGAAAGAAAGACAAAAGAGTAACGACAATATTTAGGGAATTTGGTTGAATTCTTTGTACTATTCTTTCAACTTTTAAGCCTGAAATTATGTCAAAATTAACACATTTGAAACGAATGGAAGATTTTTAACGCTTCAAATTGTTTAAAAATATTTAACTATATAGTACATGAGAGTTATTCTGTAATTTTAAAAAATAGAAACAGTATGGCCCAGTGGTTTAGAGAGAAGTCTAGAGAAGGATGCCTGGGTTTGATTCCTTGCTCTGTCACTAGCTGTGTGATCATGAGTAAGTTACATAACTTCTAAATTTCCTTACCTGTAAAAGAGGGATAATAATACTGAAACCTACCTCACAGGTTGTTATGAAATTTAAATGAGTAAATATTTGAAAATGACTTTCAACAGTGTCTAACATAAAGTGTTGTACGAAGTGTTTGTTAAATGAATAAATCTAGAAAATCACTTTAGTCTTAATGATGCTATTATAAAATCACCTTCAGGAATAGCAGTACTTTGAACTTTAAAAACTCAAAAACTTTCTTTAAAAAGTTTTTTTTTTAAACAAATAACTGATTTGGATTTTTATTAGTCTTTTCTTTGACCAACTTGGGATTCCTTAAAGTCTCCCTTGATAAACTCTTGTGCCAATTTTTTGGTCCGCTTCATATTAGGAACCTGTAAAGTGCACTGGCTTTCTTTTCTTTTCTTTTCTTTTCTTTTCTTTTCTTTTCTTTTCTTTTCTTTTCTTTTTTTCTTTTTTTTTGAGACGGAGTCTTGGTTTGTTGCCGAGGCTGGAGTGCAGTGGCATGATCTCGGCTCACTGCAACCTCCGCCTCCCAGGTTCAAGTGATTCTCCTGCCTCAGCCTCCCGAGTAGGTGGGATTACAGGCATGCACCATCACACCTGGCTAACTTTTGTATTTTTAGTAGAGACGGGGTTTCGCCATGTTGGCCAGGCTGGTCTTGAACTCCTGACCTCAGGTGATCAGCCCGCCTCAGCCTCCCAAAGTGCTGGGATTATAGGCATGAGCCACCATGCCCGGCTGACTGCAATGGTTTTTCATAAAAAATATTTAACATAGTTCCTTTATTTTCACTTATCAATTTTCAGTTATCCAACACATTTTATAATTGACTAAGTCAAGTGCTACGGTAAGTTTAAAGATGAACAATGTTTCTAACCTCAAGGAATACACAAATTAGAAGGGGGAATTAAGCACAGAAATGGTTATAATATAATGTGAGATTTGGAGAAGTAAAAAGTGGGAGAGGGCTTACAAGAAGGAAAGATTACATCTAGTTGGTTAGAGCAGGAAAGGTTTCATAGAGGATGAGGATAAAGTTAAAGGAGGAATAAGATTTTAGTAGGTGAGATAGATGGGCGGGTGTTCCAAGTAGCGGGATGAACAAAAAAAGCAAGACAGAGCAAGTGGTACTTTGGGATACTTATTTGAAGTTTAAACAGATTTAAAGTTAAAATTTAAACCATTGTAAGCCATCATTTCCTTATCCACAGACATAACATAGTACCTGTCTTACAGAGTAGGTGAGAGAAAAATGATGCCTGTGTTGTATTTAGCACAGGGTCTAACAGTAAATGTGCATTATATATGCTATCTATTATGCTGTATAATTTTTGGTACACATTTGTTGGAGTTTAGGTTATGGCAGGGAAGCAGGTACGTGGAATGTATTGGATTAATATTGAGTGGTGTGAATGGGGGTGAGAAGGAGAGGACAAAGCTAAAGTTGAGAGACATTGCAAAAGTCAAATCCATGCAACTGACCACAGATAAGAAATAAAAGAAGAGGAAACTTGGGCTGCTAGATGAGGAATAATGACCTGAAAGAGCCACAGGGAAAATAAACCAACTTTTTCTATACCCCATAAATTCCAGGCACTGGGCGAGTACTTGATTCCTGTGATTTCATATTTTAAAATCATCCTTTTGGTGGAATCATACTGTAAATACACGAGAGCACTTGCTATTTACACTATTCTAAGGTGAATCATTCCGTAATTCTACAAAAACTTTTTTTTTCAAATATGGGTTTTATATCAAGTTTGCTTAAAATCTAGATCAGCACCCATACCTATAAATCCCAAAGATAATGTTTATATGTTTTCAAAATTATAATGATGCAACAACTATTTGTTGAATGAACAGTGCGCTGAGTACCAACTTTTTACTAGGAACAACTGTCTTCATGAGTTAGTTGCCTTTAATTCAAGGTAGCAAGGAGGGAGCCATTTCTGGGGCATTTGGTCTGTACCCCCCATACCTGAAATTTTACTGGAATTGTGGAAATGGAGAGCAGTGTTTTCATCTTTTTTTTTTTTTTCTTTCTGAGATGAGGTCTGACTCTGTCACCTAGGCTGGAGTGCAGTGGCACAATCTTGTCTCACTGCAACCTCCGTCTCCCTGGGCTCAAGGGATCCTCCCACCTCAGCCTCTGGAGTAGCTGGGACTACAAGCATGCACCACCACACCCGGCTAACTTTTTGTATTTTTGGTAGAGAAGGGGTTTCGCCATGTTGCCCAGGCTGGTTTCATCCTTATATTATGCCCTGTATGCCACTGCTGGGAACACCTGGAGACCACCAGGAAGTGTGTGATGCTGTCTGGTGGCTTTTCCTGAATAACTCATCTTTACCTTAATGCAAGAGGCTTAGATTCTTTACCTTAATCGAAATCATACCCTCTGATTGAAGTAGGATTTTTTTTCCTTTCATTTATTTTAAACAGAACTGTTCATCTTTAACTTTGTTTGTTTTAGAGACAGGGGCTTGTTCTGTTGCCCAAGCTAGAGTGCAGTGGTATGGTCATACCTCACTGTAACCTCAAACTCCTGGGCTCAAGCCAGCGTCTTGCCTCAGCTCCCCAAGTAGCTAAGACAACAGGCACGTGCCACCAAACCCAGCTAATTTTATTATTATTATTATTATTATTTTGTAGAGACGGGGTCTTGCTATGTTGTCGAGGTTGGTCCTGAACCCCTGGCCTCAAGCAATCCTCCCACCTCGGCCTCCCCAAACCCTGGATTATAAGTGTGAGTCACCACGTCTGGCCTGAGTTTAAAAATTTTAAATGGCATATTTGTCTAACATTTTAGAGGTGAAAAAACATAAATCACACGTTATTTTTTTATAGGCTTATTAATTAGGTAGGGCAAATATTCTTAATTTTATAGAGGAGGAAATAAATGAGCACTTCCCTGAATCATGCAATATTTAGTGCTCTTCCTCCTCCATCTGCCTACCTTGTTGAATTCATTCCACACTGTTTTATTCTCCCCTGTGTCTCTGGGTTCCTCAGTGGATTGTTTGACCGGCCTATTCCCTACCCACAACCTCTGGCAGTCACAGCTGAGGAGTCAAGTCTTCCTTGGGCACCTGCTTACTTTCTTATTTCGAAGCAAATGGCAAGAGGATATTTGTGTCTATTCTAAAATTTTTAATGTTGATTTTTAATAGCTGAGTTCAGAAAGATAGGCGGGACTGCCAATTTATCAGCATTTTTACTGTAGAGATTGAATAGCAAATAACTGTTGCCTCAAGTTGTTTCTGTGAACACATCATGGAAAATTGAAGACTGTGGCTCCCATGCTAATAGCGTTGTAGTCAGGAGATGGAAAATGAGATACAACTTAGCCAATTTACTGAGATAACCATAAGGTCTTTCAGCAGAAGTTTCCCCAGTATACTGAAGAAAGTTAAAGTTCTCCTTCTTACCCCTCCACCCCGCAACCATTTCTAGCTAGATCCAAGATTGTATTGGTCTGGACCCAGGTGAAATCATTGATACTGTTTGCAAATAACACTCTTCTACTAAAGAGATCTGCAGTGATTAAAATTTTAGCTCTGCATTATTAAAGCTATAAAAATGGTTTGAAAGTATTTTCATATACAAAAGAGAGGTTCACAAAGTAAAAAATATATATATAATTTTTGTTTGAACCCACCAGGCAGATTATTGATGCATTATTTTGCCCCCCTTTAGCTTTTCTCTTAAACCATGTCTTTTTAGAGATAATTATCTGAATAATTTCACAAGATTTTCCAACTAAGTGATACAACTTTAAAAAATAATAAAAAAGAAATATACTAATATACCTTAATGCTGATTGCCTTTTTTTTTTTTTTTTTTTTTTTTTTTTTGAGATAAGGTATTGCTCTGTCACCCAGGCTGAAGTGCAGTGGCATAATCACAGCTGACTGCAGCTGCAACCTCAACCTCCCCGGCCTCAAGTGATCCTCCTGCCTCGACTTCTCAGGTAGCTGGGACTACAGGCACACACCACCACACCTAGCTAATTTTTGGATTTTTTGTAAAGATGGGGTCTTCCTATGTTGCCCCAGCAGGTCTTCAAGTCCTGGTGTCAAGCTATCCTCCCGCCTCAGCCTCTCAAAGTGCTAGGATTACTAGTTGTGAGCCACCATGCCCAGTCGAATGCTAGCTTCTGTGATGCTCCTTTTGGCTTGTTAAACATAACTGACCTTAGTCCTCCAGTTTTATATGAGAAGGATACTTTTGGTGAGTAGGAAACGTGGTTTTAAGCTTGAGGCTGGTTGGAAGGGTTCGATTTACTTTTACTCATAAATCAGTTGTAAAATATGATTAGCATTTGTTTTGAGAATTGGTTTCATAATTCTCCTCTTGCTCTTAGAGACATCTGTGTAGTGTTGTCTTTTAACTTATTTCCTGGTGCCACCACCTTCCACTTATTGGGATGACTTCTGTAACTCACTTGATTTAAAAAACAATTCCAAACTTTGTTTTTCTTTGTTTTGAGACGGAGTTTTTGCTCTTGTCACCCCGGCTGGAGTGCAATGGCGTGATCTTGGCTCACTGCAACCTCTACCTTCCGGGTTCAAGCGATTCTTCTGCCTCAGCCTCTCGAGTAGCTGGGATTATAGGTGCCTGCCACCACGCCTGGCTAATTTTGTATTTTTAGTAAAGACGGAGTTTCACCATGTTGGCCAGCTGGTCTTGAACTCCAGACCTCAGGTGACCTGCCCGCCTCAGCCTCCCAAAGTGCTGGGATTACAGGTGTGAGCCACCATACCCGGCTATTAAAAAAAATTTTTTTTAACTGGATTTTTCGTTTTTAACGACTCCGTCACCATACTTCTGAAATACAGAAATGAAGAAGAATTCAGGTCATGCACAATCCTGCTAATGGCAACCCTGTGAGTTGCCTATGCTGTTGGGATGAAGCTGGAAGAATATTATCTGAAAGCCTTGGATTCATGGTATCTGGAAGGTGTTAGATCAGTGTGGTCCATTGTGGCTTGCCTGTTAAGACAGGTGAATCCTATTTGCACAGATCTTCTTGCTTTTCTCTCTTCCTCTCCAAGAAGAAAATAAAATATATATGCCCATTAATCTGCACAGATGAGCCCCATTGATAGGGCATATTCTTAGGAAAAGTAAATTTGCAGTTCAGTTGTGTATAATACACAAAAAAGGGGGCAAAATGCCCAGTTCATTTTACTTTTAGCAGTTATAAAGACCCAAGTGCTAATGAAGCTATAGGACTCATTTATCTTGGGTTATCTTAAAATTAAGAAAAGATAATGTATGTTTCTAAAATTAATCCAGTGGGCTTAGTTTGGCTTTAAAAACTGAACATAAATATTATGGCCTAAGATGAGATAATCACAAAGATTTAGATGACAATGCATTCTTCTCCCTTATTTTTGTTAGTGATCATTCTGCATAAAAGATGTGCTTGATATATACCATTGGAATAAAATGTTCAGAGTCCATTCAATATTTTAAACATTTATATGCTCCTTTGAAGTAGTTTCAAGTGGAGAGGGAAAACAAGGCAGAGCTAAGTAACCGTGGAAACAGCCATTTTATGTAAAATGTTAAAAACTACAGAACCAGGCTTGAAGACAGTTTTAAAACCAATAGTGGTACTTACATAGACAATTTTTTAGCCTAGAATGAGTTAATATTCCTTTCTGAGTTAGTTTTTCTCATCGACTGTTTCTCATTATCTCTCTTGTTAGAAGTCAAATGCTAGTATGATGACTGAAGTGAGGAAAAGATATTGGAGCTGAAGAGATTTACATGAGTAGAACCGTTCCTAATATTACTTTAAACAGAAGAGTAAACATTGAATGATGGGGCAGTGAAGTACACCCGTTGCAGTCTGTTCTAACTGGATAGTCACAAAAACAACAGAGGAAAGGACACTCAGTTTGGTATTTGGAGAAGAAAAGCCAGTACCTGATAGTTTTAGCTCCCATTAACAGGTACATATAATATTACCAAGTACAAAGCAGCATCGTCTAATGAAATGAGACTTCTCATACACTCTGTAGAAGCATTTCCTAGATTGTTTTTTCAAATTCAAAAATTTCAAGTGCACTTCCAAAAGTTTGTTGAAAGTGGCGTGGTGCAGCTTGGCGTGAATTCACAGCTGTTTAACATCTCAACGCTTTCAGGGAACTCGGCTTCTAATTGGTTCCAAAGCCAATTTAAGTTGTCTTACCATGCAACGGGAACTCAAAATGCTGATTGGACCAAGACGCGTCGCTTACAACGTCTATAAATCATGATAGCGATTGTTTTTGGAGGGATTCTGTACAGAGCGGTTTAGTGACTGTTAAAAATTTAAACACGTTCACGTTCTCAAGTGGAAACTCGCAATTATTTGAGGAGAGAAGAAGGGAGAAAAAGAGCGTTTGGAACTTAGAAGTGTACCTTAAAAGGCACCAGGAAACATTCACACAAAGGGAACGATTTTCATTGAAGTATTTATAGGAATGGAGCATGTTTACCTGCAGTGTTTCTGTGCTAAAAATTTGCAGGAGTTAGTATAAATCATTCCTTTTTCTTCTTTAACTTCTCTTTCCTCAAATTGGGTTTTATTTATCCCTCGAGATGTGTGTTTTAAGTGCTATGCTTCGATGTGGGTGTGTAGGCTAATTCCAGGGACGAGGGCAGATTTAGCAATAAACTACAACGCACTGGAACTAAGAAATGTTCCTGTAGCTTTTTTTCCCTGATGTTTCTTTCCAGTAACAAAATGTTAGTGTGAAATCATTGTACTGTATTTAGTACAAAACAAATAGGGATTTCATCTATGCATTTAGTAATACCTGAATATAAAAATAAAGCAGCCAAATAAAATTCAGATGACCTTGGGAATACTACACAAGTAAATCACGAGAGATGAGCGAACGAAGCACTGGGCAAATTGTTCGAAACAAAGGGAAAGTTTCTCAGCTCACAAGATGAAAGCTTTGATTTTCTCATAAAAGAAAACTAATAAGAAATAGTTATTTTCCTGAAATACAACGTTCCAAATGGGAGTTGGCGGGGGGGAGCAACAGTATTTTAATACATTTTGCAATCTGCAATGCTGCTTGATTTTGTTGTATAATTTTGCGATATGCTTAAAAGGTGGAAAATAGAATTAAGAGGGTTGGAAACGTGAAGTAAAATATTTTGGTTCTGATAGTACCAATCAGAAAGCAGAAACAGCCACACACTGCCTTTATTATTCTTCATAAAGGCTGAGGCAGAAGGGGAAAATGACACCGAAGTCTCTGTGGCGCAATCGGTTAGCGCGTTCGGCTGTTAACCGAAAGGTTGGTGGTTCGAGCCCACCCAGGGACGCGCTCTCCTTTTATGAGCTGGTCGCGGGAAGTTTTGCAGAAATCGAGTTCAGGCCTCCGGGATAAGAAGGGGTGGATTTCCAGGGACCAAGCAAAGAAACCACCGACCCTTACACTACGCGGCCAGCCGGCGAGCCCTTCGCTTTCGGCCGGTGCAGAGCGGCCTCCTCTCCCCCGCTGTCCTCTCCCGGCTGCAGGTGAGCGCGGCCACTCCTTCCCCGGGGTCTTCACGGCGGTCTAGGCCTCGCCAGGGTGCTGGAGCGGGGACGCGCAGAGGCCGCGCGGGCCCGTTTGCCGCGCGCGCCCGCCGCTCCAGCTCTGCGCGTCCCCGGAGGCCCGCGCGTACACGGGGAAGGCGGCCCGGGCTGGTCTTGCTCGGCTTCGTGACGCGTGAAATGTAACGGGGCCACCGAAATGCATGTATTTCAACAGTGTCAAGTTCAAGCTGCAAACTGAAAACTCCTACATTTTGTTGAAGCATGGCCGCCCTTTTGTCTGTTCCCTGTCAGCGTAAACATCTCCGTTTGCGACTTAAACATTAATTGTTCCTGGTATTAATGCCTTCAGAAATAATTTTTGTGTAGTAAATCTTTCGTGTGGACAATATTGTAAGAATATATATTATATTTTACTTTTTCTACTAAAACGCTTGAATTTAGTAGAGAATAGAATAAGCCTGCAACACTTCCCATCAAGGCGGAAAAGGAGAAAACCTCTTTTACAATAGTATGACTGTTAAACCTGAAAAAAAAGAATGATGAGAAAGATTGAATGTGAAGCTGCTACCATACTTTGCTTCAACTTTCTACTTTCAACGTCCCCTACCTTTTATTTCCCCAAATGCAAAGCCCTCTCAAAATAGTTTCCTTCTATTTTATTACTTTGAGAAATAATCATAGTTTCATCATAATAATTATTGTTTTGGCTTGGACTACAGAAAATTGAAAGACAGTTTTGAAGAAAAGTGTAAGAACTAATACATCTTATTCCTGTGGATATATTGTTTTATATTCGTTATGTTTCAGCTCAGTTGACATATTAATAAAGGCTTATTTTATTGAGTGCTTTCGTGGAGAAAGGTATGTAATCTTCATAAGTCTTCCAGGTCCTATTATTGCCATTGTACAGATGAGGCAACTGAGGCACAGTGCGACTGAGTAAATAGCTGAGTAATTTGCCGGAAGTCACAGTGAGTTTGGAACCTGGGTAGTCAGGCCCAAGCCCAAGCTCCTCCCTGATGTACTGCCTTCTTGGAAGTTCCTTCCTCTAAAATACAGCTACCTAATTAGTTAATTTGAAACCAAAAGATACTTGAATTGGTTTTTATGAAGTTTCGTTAATATTTTGCTCCAAATCTTGTAAAGGGGGTAAAATAAAAACCAACACAACATTTGTGGCGTGCTAAAGGGCATTGTTAAATTATGCATTCATTGGGCTGCTCAATTTTATTCAAATGAAAGCTGTGTGTGCATAGGAAGTATTCCTGGGGAATCTGTCTTAGGGAAACAATTTGTTAGCATTTAGGTACAGAAGGCAAGATGAGAGAGAGAGGCAGGCAAAATCTGGAAGGAGACAGATTCAGGATAGATTCAGGCCATGGAGTCTAGAGACTAAGGATTCTTTGACCCCAAGCTGATGTTTGGGAATTGGCACATCCACGTAGACCCCTGTTTCAGGACACTTTTGTGAGATAGTACCAGAATTTGTACTTGACCAGGGGCCTAGGTGGCAGTTTAAAATTTGATCTTAAATTTCTAAATACATTCTATTTCACCCTATTTTGGGTATTAATATGATTTAGAGACCAGAAAATGGAGGAGAATTAAATGGGAATGGAGGTGTCACACTGAGTGCAAAACTCCCCTCTAATGTAAGCAGAAGCAGTTGCTGTGATTATGTGGACAAGTGCTTAGGCCATTTCCTTGGCTCTTGCAGGCAGGTAAGATAGGTGGGTCCCAGTGTGGGTGGCTGACACCGGTAGTCTCAGCACTTTAGGAGGCCAAGGCAGGAGGATTACTTGAGCCCAGGAGTTGGAGACCAGCCTGGGCGACAGAATGAGACAGCATCTCTACACAAAATAAAAAATTAACCCAGCATGGTGATCACTTCATTGCACTCCAGCGTGGGTGACAGAGTGAGACCCTGTCTCAAGAAAAAAAAAAAGGTAGGTGGGCAACAATTTGGAAGAATTGCACAAATATTTATGGATGCATTGGCCTTATAAAATTTCAACGTGTCATGGTTGTTGATGTTGCAATAAATGCTATTTCTGAGGAGCATCTTTTTGTCCTTAATTTCTGGGCTCTGTAATACCAGCCAAACCTAGATATATGTCAAGATCATTTAAAGCTTTAATTAAAGGCTGAATAGCATTTAAAAGGCTATGTTGTATATTTGAGTATGTAAATATGTTCCTAATGTTGCTAATAGAGTTGTATACTTAAACTGCGTATACACAATCAGAGGGAAATTCACTGAAGTAACATAATAAAAGGTGAACCAATTGCTATGATTTAAAAATAAAAACTCATTAGAGAATGTACTATTCATCTAATTCAGAAAAGGACAAAACAGATAATAGATAAAAATTAAAGATCTGTCACAAAAGTCATAGAAGTCATTCATTTAAAGTATTTTTATAATGCAAGTGTTTCTTTAGAAAATAATGGAGGCTAGGAGGAAGCCACATGGTTTAACGTGTCTCTGCTTTCGTTTCTAACACTTGTGTCTGATGTCATGCAATGCAAAGTTTAGGAAAAAAAGCCTGAAGAAACCTAACTGCTCTGTTTCTGCATGCATAATACATGATAATGAATAATGCAAATATGAACTTTTATTTCTCTGAATTTTGATGGACACAGGGCCTAAAATGTTCTTCAATTTATAGCTACAACTGAAAACAGCAATGAATTGAGGGTAGAATAAGCTATAATACATTTAACTAGAAAATAGTTAAAGAACTTGAAACATTTTAATTAAGTAAGAATGTTAATTTTATCAACTGTATTATTTCATTTTAAGTCCTTGGGGTTAATCCCTTTTGGTAATGTCAGTGTATTTTATGTTTTTAATGTTGAAACTAAGTGTTGAGCTTACAGGAATAGGGTGAGAATAAACTATGTCTATAGATCACACCAAATACTTAAATCTTAAGTTATTTTTAAAGCCTACATTTTTAAGAAAAATCTTAATATTTTAATTGTTTGAAATATGATTGAAAAGGGAACTTTTCGATTAAGCATAAATACAGAAATGTACACGAATTATTGAGTACAACTGAATACATTTTTACAAAGTTAACACATCTTTGTAAACAATTATCAACATCCCAGAACCCCCCTTTATGTTTTTTTACCAGTTACCAAAATATAAGTTTTAAACTGTAAACATACAGATTATTAGGTTAAAATGTGATTTTTTTTCTTTTTTTTTTTTTTATCCACACAACATATAGATCATTTATTTTCCTTCTAGTCCTGGGTTCAGTACATAGATGGCTTCTCTTCACCCTTTGGGTGGACAGTTTTCTCCAAGTTGCTGCTGATGATATGATAAAGCTCAGCATAGAAGGCCCTCAGGTCCAGCACCATGGCCCTGAGCTCCGCATAGGCTGCCTCATCTCGCTCATGCACCAAGACCCGGTAATCCATTACATGAGTCTCCTTGGAGGCCTTGGCCACTGCATCCCCACGTTCTGAGAAATACTTGGAAATGGTTGTCTGGAAAGCTTCCACTTTGGTCTTGATGGCATTCACCCTCTCCAACACCTTATCCTGGATTGCTACCCCAAAATCATTTCCATCTTCAATCTTGTTAAGCCAGAAGTCTGGACTCTTAAAGAGAAATGCATTCTGGTGATTACATGGATCCAACACCTGATCCCTAAAATGTGAATTTTTAACTTGTCGTCGATCAGTATTGAAAAATAAATTTAAGACTAAATCCTGTGTCTTAGTCTGCTCTGCTCAGCCTACAATAAAAAAACACCACAGACCAGGTGGGTTAAACAACAGACAAAATTTATTTCTCACAGTTTAAAGGATGAAAAGTCCGAGATCAAGGTGCCAGCAAGGTAGGTTTTATTCTGCTGACTCTTCTCTTCGACTGCGGAAAGCTGCCATCTTGCTGTGTGCTTACGTGACCCCTTTTTTGCACATGCACCTGGGAAAGGAATGTCTAGCTCTCTGATATTCTACTCATAAGGACACTAATCCAATCATGAGAGCCACAGCCTCATCACCTCATGTAACACTAATTACTTCTCCAAAGCCCCATCTCCAGCTTCTATCACATAGGGAATTAGGGCTTCAGAATATATGTTTTGGTGGGGACAGAAACATTCAGTCCTTAACACCCTATCAGAGGAATACTTACAGATGAAGATTAGAAAAAATAATAGAAATTAGAAATCAATTTTCCATGCCTACTCACTTATGACCTAGCCATCTATGATAGACTTGGTAAGAAAAAAATGTGTGGTATCAAGGCAGGAAATATGAGAAATTTGCTATTTACTTGAAGGGTTTAATTTTGCCTATAAGCAAATAAAAAGTACTCTTACCCCTTTCCATCAAAGATACAAAACAAAAACAACCTTTTAGAAATGATTATGGCATTTAAGTTAACTCAATTTTATTTTCGGAAATAAAGCGTACATTTTAAAACCAAGATGACACTTGATCATCAAAGTTGCTGTAGGAGAAGAGAACTCAATAATTTCTCAAACAATATAACCAAAAATCTTAAGAATTTTAATCTGGAGTTCTCTATTGGAGGAAAACAATGTCCTGTCATTTTGAAACTATAAAAAAAAAGAGGAAAATCTAGAGCTATATGAAAAAAGCTATATTTAAAGTTGTGGAAAGTCCAGGAATACTGCTGAGGAAAGGCATTCAAGAAGGGATCAGTGTACAAGAATCTCAAGAAAAGGTGTACTTTCTTTGTTCAAACAAAATTATTCGTTGTTATCATTAAAGTGGCAAATGCCTAAGGTTATAATAATAAATATAAAAATTTCAGTACAATTATATTTATTGCAACATTACTTAAAATAGTGAGAAACTATAAACAAGAGATAATATCAAACACTAATGGAAATAGTGAAATAAACTGTGGTTTAGACATTAGACATTAGAATTTATAAAAAGCATTTATACAGACATTTATATAGTGTTCTTCAGAAATAATGCCTTTGGGCAATGTTACAATATGGCATTAGGCACAAAACGCTGGATACAAAACTGTCCAAAAAGTATAATCCTATTTTGTAATAAGACTGAATTACTTACATGGGTGGTCTATAAATATTTCTTGATAGTGAGTGAAATACATCAAAATGAGAGGATCTGATTTTTTTCTTTTTTACACTTTACCTCCCAAGTTATCTACAACAAATATATATTACTTTAATTTGTTAACTTTTTTTCTAATATAAAAATACCTGAACTCATACTCTATATGCAATTTTGAATGCTGTTTTTCTATCTTAAAGTTTATGTATTTGTTTGCGTTCCCCAAAGAAACAGGAACCGTATATATTTCCTTTAAGGAATTGGCTCAAGTGATTAGAAAGGCTGAGAAGTCCAAGAGCTACAGTTGGCAAACTGAAGACCCAGGAGAGCCAATAGTTTAGTTCCAGTTTGAATCTGAGCTGACTGGACAAGGCCTGCCCACACTGGGGAGGGCAATCTGTTTACTCAATCTACCAGTTCACATGGTAAACTCATCCAGAAACACCCTCACAGACACACCCAGGAATACTGTTTTACCAAATACCTGGGCACCCTGTGGTTCAGTTGAGTTGATACATAAGATGAACCATCACAAATTGTACTGAGGAAGACTAGAGAGCCCAGAAATAAATCCCTATATTTACAACAAAATGACTTTTAACAAAAGTGCTGGGATTATTCAATAGGGAAAGGATATTCTTTTCAGCAAATGTTGTAGGAAAACTGAACATCCACATACAAAAGAATGAAGTTGGATCATTGTTTTACGCCATATGCAAAAATTAACTCAAAATGTATTACAGACCTCAATATGAGACCTACAACTATAAAACTCTTAAAATATAGGGGGAAGCTTCATGGCATTGGATTTGACAATGATTTATGTATTTGTTTGAGTAGATATGACACTAGAAACACAAGCAATAAAAGAAAACATAGATAATAGACTACATCAAAATTTAAAACTTCTGTGCATCAAAGGATACTATTAAAAGAGTGGAAAGGTAATTCCCAAGATGAGAGAAAATATTCACAAACTATGTATCTGATAAAGATGTAATATCTAGAATACGGAAGGAGCTCCTACAATTCAACAACCATAAAAAACTAAACAGCCCAATTAAAAAGTGGCCAAAGGGCTGGAGTTGACATTTCCATAAGAAGATGTACAAATGGCCAATAAGCACATGAAAAATGTTCAACATCATTAGCGCTAGGGAAATGCAAATCAAAACCACAGTGAGATACCACCTCACACACATTAGTATGGTTGTTATCCAAAAAAACATAAAATAACAAGTGCTGGTGAGGATATGGGGAAATTGGAACCTTTGTGCACTGTTGATGGGAACTTAAAATCATACGGCTACCATGGGAAAGCAGCAGGCGATTCCTCAAAAAATTAAAAATAGAATTATCACATGATTCAGTAATTCCACTTTTGAGCATACACCCAAAGGAATTGAAGACAGAATCTTGAAAAGATATTTGTACACTCATGTTCATAGCAGCATTATTCACAATACCCACAAGGTAGAAGCAACCCAGGTGTCCACAGAAACTTGGTAAATGATGAATGAATAAACAAAATGTGATAAACACACACACACACACAATGGAACATTATTCAGCCTTAATAGGAGGGAAATTCTGACAATGCTACAACATGGAGGAATCTTGAAGATGTTATGCTTACGTGAAATATATCACTCACAAAAGACAAATTGATGATTTGTATGACTTGTATAATTCTGCTTGTATCAGGTACACAGAATAGTTAAATTCGTAGAGATAGAAAGTAGAATGGTGGTTGCCAGTGGCTGGGGGAAGGGAGAAATAGAGAGTTGTTTTTAAATGAGTGTAAGGTTTCAGTTTTGTATTATCAAAAGAGTTCCAGAGACTGGTTGTACAACAGCATGAATGTACTAATTCTACTGAACTCTACACTTAAAAATGGCTAAGATGTACATTTTGTTGTATGTATATTTTATCACAATTAAAAATGAAAATATGAATTATTTTGAGGGGATTTTCCCCCTTATATAACACAGTGTGATATTGAAGCAAGGATAGATAAGCAGACCAATGGAAACAATTCAGAACCCAGAAACAGATTTAAGCACATTTAATTAAAAAGAAAGTTGAAGGCCAGGCCCAGTGGCTCACACCTGTAGTTCCAGCACTTTGGGAGGCCAAGGCGGGAGGATCAGTTGACGCCAGGAGTTCAAGACTGGCCTGGGCAACATAGACCCTGTCTCTACGATTAAAAAAAAAAAAAAAAAAAAAAGAAAGAAAGAAAAGAAAAGTAAAAGTGAGCCCTCAAGGAAGAGAAGCACAACTCCTGACTCCTTAAGTGACTTCCTTCCAAAGAGTTCAGTATGGAAAGGAGAAAAGAGTAACTTTAAGTGAAGAAATCTGACAAGTACTACCTCAGCCAGGTGATCAAGATCAACATCAACAGTGATAAGTCATGTTGATGGTATGTACCCTTGACAGGATGTAGCTCTTCACCTCTGTGGTCTTCCTTCCAAAAATTTATATTCCCACTCTATTCACAATGAAAACGTCACACAAATTTCAATAGAGGGTCATCCCACAAAGGGGTACCAAACCAAATCCTGATTCCTTTATATTTCCCCTAAATTTTGCTTTAAAACTGTACATTTCTCTTGTTTTTCTATTCTACTCCTCATGTACTTTTCATAGGCAGCTAAAAACAAAACAAAGCAAAATAAAAACAATTAGTACTTTCAACAGTGTGCCTATAAATATCCTCAGCCAGAACTATCAGTTCCTTATGTACGTTTTCTGTTTTCCGCGTTCCTGCAGATGACAGTTTCACCACTGTCTTCGTGGGGTTTGTACCTCCTGTTAATAAATTATAATATGTCCCCTTTCCTTCAGACTCCAATAGCTATTTCGTTACTGTCTTTTAAGCCTTCAGTAATGGGCTCTTTAAGGACTTCCATCTCCTGCTTACCACCTGGTCCCAAGGTAAGGCTGCAAGTTTTTCTTAAGGCAGACACCATTTCCAAATACCAAGTTCTGTCTTATTATCTGTTGTTGCATAATAAACCACTATAAAACTCAGTGAGTAAAAACAACAACCATTTTTTATCATATGTCTTGGTTTTTAAAATTTTTCAAATTTTTTATTATTTGGTTTGAGATCGGGTCTTGCTTTGTCGCCCAGGCTGGAGAGCAGTGGCACGATCATAATTCACTGCAGCCTTAACCTCCTGAGGTCAAGCGATCTTCCCACCTCAGCCTCCTAAGTAGCTGAGACCACAGGTGTGTGCCACCATGCCCAGCTATTTTTTAAATTTTTTGTAGAGTCGAGGACTCCCTACGTTGCCCAAGCTGGTGTTGAACCCAGGACTGCATTTATTACCTGGCTTGTGGAATGTGCCCACTCTAACTATGGCAAATGGGGATGTGATGACGCTTTGGATCCTTTAGTATCAATGTGAATTCAAACCCTTGAAAAGTCAGGAATTCCTATTCCCCCAGTTCACCCACACAAATGGCTATATGTCCCTTTGGAAAAAGGACTGGGGGAATCTATCATATGTACTTGCTGTGGGTGATAGAATTCTTCCTGGGACCTGGTCTATCCTTCAGTTAACGAGTTCCTAGCCGGAGTAGTGGCTCGGATCCAGAAATGAGGCAGAATATGGTCATTTTTATTGGGTTGATTGGTCTCAATCTCCTGAAGATCCGTGGTTGATTTCTTTTCTTTTCTTTTCTTTGCCAGGCTGAAGTTCAGTGGCGTGCATCGTCATGGCTCGTGGCAGTCTCAAACTCCTGGGCTCAAGTGATCTTCCTACCTCAGCCTCCCAAGTAGCTTGGAGTACAGATGCATGCCACCATGCCTGGATAATTTTTAAATTTTCTATAGGGATGCGGGGGGTCTTACTACATTTCCTGGGCTGATCTTGAAACAATCCTCCTGCCTCGGCCTCCCAAAGTGTTGGGATTACAGGTGCGAGCCACCCCTCTTGGCCTCGATTTATCCTGATTGTATAATTTGAGTAATATGCTTATTGGCTGCTCATCCAAGATGTCCCTACAGATGCTATGTTCCATTAACCAGCTTCACATCTCTGTGAGTCAGACACCTCTCCCTCTTTCAATCCAAACTTGCCAGCCATTAGAATAATAGCCCACAATCTGCCCTTATCACTGCAGGACACTATCATCCCCATTGTTATCAGGGAGCCCAGTTCTGTACTAGTATCACCAATATCAGCCCAAGGCCACAGGGGACAGCCACACTGACCTTCACAGAGATGCTGGTGCCCCTCATCCCGATGACTTTATTGCTTTATTAAACAGTGTCCTCTGGCCCCTCCCACAGTCTGTCATTGGTGAGTGGGTTTTCTGGCACTCAACAGGGTATATTCACTCTAGAACATTTTCCTAACCTTTTGATCCTTTATTTTCCTGTCTGCCATGGAAGTTCCAGCACTTTCTCTCACATAATGTGGCCATGTTTTCTACAAGCTTCTAAGATCTTGTAGTGTGTTGTCACCAACTCCTAGGTTGCTTGTCAGGGTTAAATCCTGTTTCACAGGACAATGCTCTGTCTTGATTGACCCTCCTTTATCCAGCCTTATCTTCTACTCACTTTGATCCAACACCAAATATCCTGTCTTGGTTTGTGATGGTATATGTCAGCTCAGTCCTACATCTCCTTTTGAGAGCATCAACTCTTCCCTCTTTCAGCAGGCTGGCTCATGTTATGACTCAACCCTACTCATTTATCTGATGGCTCAAACAGGAGGTAGAAGTGGATCTGAAAGGAATGCCTGTGGCCTTGCAAGGCAGATGACTGCATCATCTTCAAGTGAGCGAGCAGTGCTGGTCTTTAACAGGATGAAGTGGGCCACTTCTATAGGCCCAGAGTCTGGGAGAATGTGGGAATTCAGGATGCCACCATGCCATGCCTTAAGGTCAACTTCTTCCCAACAAGGCCCTCTCCTCATTCAACCTCTTCCGAAGCTCTGTTACTCTTATTGTTGAGGCTCGGGCTTGATTCTTAGCCTCTTTTGGTGTTGGCTCATAGAAGATGAGAATCTCTTTATATGGTGTGGAAGAGGCTGTCTGACTTTGCTGCTTGCCTTTAATTGGTGATTAATTAACCTCAGCCTTTTGTTGTCTTCCTCTAGGGCATCCACTGTTGTCAGCAGCAGCCAATTCCCTAATCCTTGTAATTACCACTTTCTCTAGCTCTCAAAATCCTGATACTGCACCTGCCAGTGCATTCCCTTTTACTGGTATCCAACGCCAGCTCACACCGGGAATGTTTTAATACTTGCACCACTGTCTCATGCCAGAGGTATCCATGCTCCATCTATCCCCAGTGATGGGTCTTCAGTACCTGCCTGCCAGTGGGTGATCTGGCTGTGCCTGCGGTCTCATTTTAAAGCCACTTTCCTAGGATCACTTCCAGCACTAGCTGCTGCAGGTCAGATGCCCGGAGACTCTGAGATTTGCATGTACAGTTTATTGAAGAGTGCTCTCAGAAACAACTCCTTTGAGGAAGCCAGGGAGAAAATAGTACTGAGCAGAGGAAAAAGCCAAACTGAAATGCAGCTGCATCAGTAGCCTCAGCTGGCTCCAGGGGGAGCATTGAGGCTGAAAGAGCATTCAGAGATGTACCAATCCAAGGCACCAGGGCTGGGTCTTTGAATCGCTGCATTGAATTCAGTCATTGGATTGTGGGCTACCCTTGAAGAAGAGACATAAATGTATTGAGGCAACTTCCTTTAACCAAGGTCAATTCCAGAAAATGGATTCAGCTGTGAGCCATCAACAGCCAATAATTACTCCCAGCAACAGCCTTGAACCTGAAGGGGGACTGGGTGAGGGGCCATAGTATCCATGGCACAAGTCTCCTAGGAGTGGTTTCTTTTCTTATTATTTTTCCTTTTATATGTATTATTTCTTCCTGTCTTTTTAGGTCATTGTTGTTGTTTTTTTCTTTTTTGTTACACATTTGCTTTGTATACTTTAATTTTTTAAAAAACAGCAAAGTCATTAAGATTTATATTTAAACGACAGAGATTTTGCTATGCAGTTACATGGTTTGGCTGTGTCCACCTAAATCTCACCTTGAATTGTAATCCCAACTGTTGAGGCAGGGACTGGTAGGAGGTGATTGGATCATGGGGGTGGATTTCCCTCATGCAGTTCTCGTGATGGTGAGTGAGTTCTCACGAGATCTGACGGTTTAAAAGCATCTGGCAGTTCCCCTCGTCCTTGCTCTTTCTCTAGGTCCTGCTGCCCTGTGAGGAAGGTGCTTGCTTCTCCTCCTTCAGCCATGCTTGTAGTTTCCTGAGGCCTTCCCAGCCATGCAGAACTGTGAGTCAATTAAACCTCCTTTCCTTATAAATTACTCAGTCTCGGGTAGTATATTTACAGCAGTGTGAGAACGGACTAATACACCTAGTTACTCCTCTTTACATTATTTTCTAAATAGTCTGTATTTGTTGCTTGCTTTTTGACTTAGAAGTTATTTAGGAGAGACTTAATATTTAACCTTTTTCAAGTGGTTGTTTTTTCCAAAGTTAATTTTACGAATTTATGGTTATATCATGGTGTAGTCAGAGAATGTAGCCAACGTAGTATCTGCTTTTGTCATTTATTACAGTTTTCTGTTTTCCATTAAGTTTTGTTTCCATTTTTCTTGCGTATACCAAGGAAGATAAAAAATAACAATGCAGTTGAATCTGACAAACACATTGGTGTGTAATGAAATGTATGGTGTGCAGGATATACAGAAAAAGCAGAGGATATGTTTTTTCCTCTTTGTCTTTCTTTATATTACCAAAGTTCTTGGCACATAAGAAATGAATATGAGAACAGTATGAAAGTGAAGCAGTTCTCTTTATTCCTTTGTGCCTTCTCATACTGATCAGGGAAAAGAAACCAGGATGATAAGTTTTTGCACTGGTGAAACCCTATCTCTACTAAAAATAGAAAAATTAGCTGGGCGTGGTGGCACGCACCTATAATCTCAGATACTCAGGAGGCTGAGGCAGGAGAATCACTTGAACCCAGGAGGCGAAGGTTGCAGTGAGTCAAGATTGCACCACTGCACTGCAGCCTGAACAACAGAGCGAGACTCCGTCTCAAAACAAAAAAATATATATATACACATACATATATATATAAATAATTTCTGAGTATGTATTTATTGCTTTAAAAATCAAGCAACAGAATTGTTATTGTAATAAGCGTGAGAGGGTTTCCCAGGCAACATTGGATTCTGATTGGCTGAGTCAAGGTAAAATGATGCAGCGCACAAGTTTTGTGTTTTAGACTTGAAGCTCAAGTGTACTTACTTAGTTTTTGATCTCGATAAAATAGTCTTAAGGAAAATCATAAAAAATTTTGATTATGTGGATTTTGGCAAAACAGAGATGGAGTGCACATAGGGCAAGAAGTACTCGTGATTCTTGATTAAACTTCCAGTGTTTTGAAAATCAAGTTAAAATTTCTGAAGATTTATACTCCGTTTAATTGTATTAGCACAATTTATAAATTATTGCAACTTTTCACTAAAATCCTGTCCTTCCTCAGTCTTCATTGTATATGTCTAACCTATATTTTTAGAAGAGTTTTATGTGCCAAACTACCAATGATGAGAATTATATATTTCAAACAAATATTCTAAGTTTTTGAAATAAAACCACAAATAAATTACCTATTGTACATAGAATGTTGCCATCTAGATATTTTTCCAGAAGAGTAGAAAGTATTCTCATTTTGATGCAAGTAGCTTGTTTTCCTTAAAGAGGTTGTTGCCCTGTTTGAGTCTATTGGTGATAATTCAAAGTAGGTTATATATTATCTTTAGTTTTAAAAGATTTAACAAATCTAGATTGAAACAGTTTGAAGACTAAATGTTTACTGTAAATATAGTTGTAGAATAAAGAGTGAAGGAAAAATACATCACATATATGGATTGAGGGGTATGTTATCACTAATTTGTTTTTGTTTTTGTTTTTGTTTTGCAATGTGTTTGTACATGCCAGATGAGGTGTCCCTAAATTGGGTTTCACCGAATGACTTTTATTGGGGTAAAAAAAAAAATCATAGAAGCACAGTCACCTGCAGATAAAATATTGAAACACTGAGTCTGAAACTCTTCTCTGAATATCTGGTACTCATTATGGTATAAACCACACATCGTATAGTGCTTTACATTGTTGTTACTGTTTAATTTTTCTTAGATGTTATGAAAAATTTAAGTGTAGTTTGTTAAAGATAATTTGAAAATATAAAAAAGAAGAAAATAGTTAAACATAGTTCTAACAGTATTATGCATACAATTTTGTACTGTCATTTTCTCTTGATATCTTGTAATAATTTTCCCATATTAATATGTAATATATTTTTCCCTGCTGTGTAATATTTCATCCAGTACATATACCACAGCACACTTAACTATTCCACTATCACCAAACATTTAAGATGTTTCATTTCTTCATGGTCATACATAATGCTGAAATGAGGGTCTTTGTATATAAATATTTTTTTCTTTCATATTTAGGAAAAATTTCTTGTGTAGTGTTTTTATAAGCTACACCACTGAGGCAGAGTATTACTACATTTAAAGTTCTTGATATCTGTTGCTAAACTGCCTTCAAAAAAGGTGGTGTCAATTTGCACTTTCAATGGCTGTATATGAGAATGTCTGTTTTGCCATACTTCTAGCAGCAGTGAGAATTGTCAAAACTATTTTCTAGTTATTTTGAGAAAAATATTAATACTATCTCCTTATTGCTTTAATTTGTATTTCTTTGGTTATTAGCAATGCTGATAATTTCCTCAAGTTTGTTAACTTGCTTTCTTCTGTGATTTGGCTGGGCATACTTTAAAAAGCATCTTATAATAAAGCTATTTATAATGTACAGTGATATCATATAGATAGTATTGTGATAATATATTACACATTGTGTATTGATATAACTCACACACCATACCATTCACCCGTTTAAAGCAAACAGTTGAGTGACTTTTGAGTATATTCATAGGGTTGTGCAACCATCACCACAATTAATTTTACAACATTTTCATCACTCCAACAAGGAATCATGTACCTATTATCAGTCACTCCTTATTTACCCCCAAACCCCTTTACAGACCTAGGCATACACTAATCTCTACTTTCTGTCTCTATATGTCTACTTATTCTGGATATTTTATGTAAATGGAATCGCACAACATATGATCTTTTGTGACTGCATTCTTTCACATAGCGTAAGTTTTCAAGAGGCAACCATGTTGTAGCTTGAGATAGTGCCTTCTTCTTGATTGTCTAATAACATTTTGTTGTACAGATATAACTCATTTTATTTATCAGTTTATCAGTTGATGGATATTGGAGTTGTTTCTACTTTTTGACTGTTATAAATAATGCTTCTATGAACATTTATGTACAGGTTTTGGGGTGGACACATATTTTCATTTGTCTTGGGCCTAAACCTAGGAGTGCAGTTGGTGGGTCCTACGGTAACTCCACGCTGAGTATTTTGAGGAATTGCCAGAGTGTTCATACCTCCTTTTATGCATGTTAATCTATTGGTGTCTTGGTGCTGTTCTTAAAGATTTGTATGAGGTTTTTATATAAGGTCAGTGTTAACCTTGTATACTTGCAGAAAGTATTTTAATCCCCATATATCGCTTGCCTTTAATTTAGGTAATGAGTTTTGTGTGCAAATATTTTTCAGTTCTACATTGTCAGTTCTGTCAATATTTTATTTTCTCTTGTTTCATTGTTACTAAGCTTTTTAAAAAACCATTCCTTGGCTGGGCAAGGTGATGCATGCCTGTAGTCCCAGCTACTCAGGAGGCTGAGGAAGAAGGATTGCTTGAGCCCAGGAGGTTGCAGCAGCGGTGAACCATGATGGTGTCACTACACTGCAGCCTGGGTGACAGAGTGAGTCCTTGTCTCAAAAAAAAAAAAAAAGAAAGTAAAACAAAAAATCAAAAATCAAAAAACTATTCCTCTGTGGAGTTTGAATCACATTAATGTATATTTTCTTGTAATTTTTCTATAATTTAATCTTTTAAAATATTTCATTCCTTTATTTAGGTTATTTGGGTGGATGGTATAAGACTAACAGCAAAATGGATTTTTACTTCCAATTATCTAACCAGTTGTACCATTACCATTTTTCTTAACACTTCCTCTCTTCCCTGCTGAATTTGTCTTGATATTGCCTCTTTTATTGATTATTAATTTTTTTTTACATGTTCTGATGTCTGTTTTGGTCAGCATGCCTATTCCTGCACCAGGACCACATTGTTTAAATTATTGAAGGTTTAGAATATGTTTTGTACCCAGGAAAACAGCCATACTTCCTTCAACCCAGCACCTCATATTTAATTAATCATCTTTTTCAAACATTTCTTAGTGACTCTCATTTTTTTCCAAATGTTTTCCAGGTTTTTCCAAAGTTTTGTTATGTTTTCTAAATACTGTTGGAATATTCATTGTGCTTGCATGAAATGCTCAATTAAACTTCAAGAGACTTGACATTTTAATAGCAGTAAATTTTGTCATCCAGGAACCTGGTATATCTCCCTGGTTATAGTTTTTCGAAAAAGCTCAGCCAAGTGTTGTACTCATTTTATGCAAATCACATATGGTTTACTCCCCACTGGAGCAGATCCAGGTTCTGAGGGGCCTAAAGCTTATATGATTTTTGGGGGTTTTCTTCAAGAAAATGAATACAAAACTACAAATACAAAATTAGGTACCTAATCTTGGAAGGAGCCTGGGTGAGTAGTGGGCTCTGGAGCTGCCTTTATTTTCTAGGCAGTTGGCTTCTTTTCACAGGTATGTCTTTGTTGATCTTGTTATTATATATTTGTAATATATTATCTTGTGTTCCTACAGGAATTAAAGAATCTATGAACTAAACTTAGAAAATACTTCGAAAAAATCTGTTTTCTACTTTTCCATTTTTGAATTTCTATACAAATAATCAAACTATATGTGACTAGCAATAACTTTATATCATCTTCTGTAATATTTTTCTACATCTTAAACTTGTTGAGAAAAAGATCCATATACTGAAGGTCTTTAATAAATGTTTTTAGTGATGACTGATAAGCTAAACAAAGGAGTGTATTTACTGAGGCCATAGCTAGATGAATTTGCTACTCACCGTTTCATGCTTCAGATGCAACATAATTTTGTCCATAATGCAGAGTGTAGGCTACAGACCTGTATGTATAGACTAACACACTTTACATCATAGACTGGGTTTTTAATACAACCTTTTTTTTTTTTTCTTTTAGAGACAGGATCTCACTCTGTTGGCCAGGCTGGAGTGCAGTGGTATGATCATAGCTCACTGCACCTCTGAGCTCCTGGAGTCAAGCAATCCTCCTACCTCAGCCTCCAAAGTAGCTAGGACTGCAGGTACGTGCCACCATGCCCAGCTAATTTAAAAAAAAAAACACAACTTTTTTTTTTTTAAGAGATGGTGTCCTGCTGTATTGCCCAGGCTGGTCTCGAACTCCTGGACTGAAGGGATCCTCCCACCTTAGCTTCCTGAAGCACTTAAGATTACAGGCACGAGACACCACATCCAACCTTACTATAATTTTAATGCTCTAAACTCAGAGTATGTGTATAAAGACTTCTCAACAGTTTTCATTCTAGAAATTATTCAAGAAACTATGTATTTGACCTGGTTTCTTGGATCAAAAATAGCCAAAATGAGAAGAAAAGCTTCCTAATGAAATAGTCCTGAACATAAGTTAATAACTAGGTTTAAAGAGTCTCACTAGGGACTTATTCTATTTACAAAACAAATAAAAAATATTGAAAAGGTTATTTAGTATATGTATCCTACTGCTACGGCATTTTATAAGATAAGGGATCAAATTTTCATAGGCCATTTGAAAATTGCATATTTTAGAAATTTCAGAAGATACATCATTTATCATTTCTGTTTTACTCTAATGTTTTTGAATTCTAATATAGAGATTGTAGGACAACAGAAAAATGGACAGTTCAAGTTATTAATTAAATTAACTGTCATCTTTGTAGTTGATACATATTTTGGAAAACTCACAAAATCCTATAGTACCCACAGCATCCCACCAAGTGCTTTAGAGATATGCAGTACATTGTGGTTTATGGCACTGAGAACACCAACCCTAGCCCCTAATTATCCAAATAATCAAGAATACGGGGAAGTTTTTAGTTAAGACCTTTGGTTTTAGTAACCGAAGATACCTATTCACAATAAAGAATGCTCAGATAATTGTGATTATAACTGCTAGTTAAGTTTAGTTGCATGATTAACTAAATGTTTGAGACATGGGATTAAGAAGGGACATGGTAAAACACAAGCAGCTTTAAGTGACTTAATTAGCACGCCAAACAGATGGAGGGAAAAGCTCACATGCTCACCTTAAACTGTTTTCAGGCCAGGTGCAGTGGCTCACACCTGTAATCCCAGCACTTGGGGAGGCTGTGGCGGAGGGGTGGGGTAGCGTGGGGTAGCGTGGGATGAGGCCAGATTACTTGAGGTCAGGAGTTCGAGACCATCCTGGGCAAAGTGACGAAACTCTATCTCTACAAAAAACAAACAAAAATTAGATGGCATACTGGCAAGTACCTGTAGTCTCAGCTACTTTGTGGGTTGGGGCAGGAGGATCACTTGAACAGGGAGGTCGAGGCTGCTGTGAGTTGAGATTGCGCCACTGCACTCCAGCCTGGGTGATAAAGTGAGACCCTGTCTCAAAAAAAAAATTGTTTTTTGTTAACACGATTTAATACCTATTAGATTTTGTCTTTGTGTAAACATAAGGAAATAACAAAAATGCTATAATTTATATGTGCTTTCAGAATTGGGAACCACAGAAAAATCCATGAAGTTTTAGGATGTTTTTAAGTGTGTGGAGATTTTGAACATTTCTTTTCATAAATCTCACCTTTTTCTACCTCCAAATGGACTTTCGGGGAATAAAAATGGATTATTGTGAATTAATGCAAAGAAAAATATTTATTGAGATGCACAACTTACCACCCAAATCAAAAGCCTATATTTGGAACAAGACAGTTAAGAACATGACAAAACATAATAACCTTTCATTGCATTAAGAGACGAGAAAAGAAAGGAATGAATGACCATGTAATGTTATATCCCTTCCATTGGAGAACTTTTGCATGGAATATTGTGATTAGCATGGTGATTGCGTCAGCTTTAAGCTTTTATCACTGTCTAGGTTTTAAAGCAGGGCATGCAATATTATATCTTAAAAGCTCTTTAATTTTTAAAAACCCCAGAGAGCCTTTAAGTGAGACTTAATTAAAATTCAAATCAACCTTAGATGTATGTCCAAGACAGTTTTCAAAAGACCTGTACAACCTGTGTTCCTTTGATTCCATTCCCTTTCCAGTGTTATCTCCAGTTGCTCTGGGCAGCACCCACTTGGCCAGCGAGTTTGGAAACCTGAGGGCATTCTGGGGTTGACACAATGATTTGATATAGGGTATCACTGACACTTAGAGGAGGGGACCAGGTTTGCCTGATGGCCCCAAAACTTGATTTGGTTCTGCACAATGAAATATGTTCCTGCCCTGCTAGTTTCAAAAGATGCCCTGAGCAATATCCTAGACAAATATGGCAGTAGTACTTTTAATACAGATCTAAGTCAGCAGCCCTTCTGTGTGAAGGCATACTGAAAAGTTTTAAAAGAAGCTACACAAAAAGGCTCCTTATTTAGGGAAAAATTCCTTATGTCGAGGAAAGCTTAAACGACATAAAGATATTGCGTAAGAATTGTCAGACAACTAACTCTTTCTGTGGATCCTGGCTTTGTTAGAAGTTTTGTTTTGTTCATTATAGGGGGTTTTATTGGCATTACTTCGATGTTTTAAAAGATGACATTACAATATTACTGATCTTGATGATTGAGTTTAAATTTAAGGAAACCTTAAATTTTGTGCTCGAAATGAGTGGTTGACTCTTCTCTCTATAGGCATAGCTCTGGTGTTCACAGTTGACAGGGGAAAGGATTTTAGTGCAGCTGCACATTTAGGTGTAGAAGCATGAAAATCAAAATTATGTTGTGTAATTAAGGAGATTTGGAAATTCCTTTACTAGACTAAAAAACTGAATATTACTAAGAAGTAAATGAGATACAGAAGTCATAATACATTTTATTAATAAATGTAATTTAAAAATATTTTGTTGTATTGCCATTCTCTATATTTTTTTAGTACAGTACAAAATTGTGTGAAAATCACAGAAACAATCACCCACAATGTCCCGCCCAAGAAACAACCCACAGACCAGCAGCCCACAAGACAGTACAAAGGATGGGAGCAGCTTCCATTACTTTCAAGGGAGATTTGAGCTCTCTGGGAAGAGCAGACAGTATCCAGCAGATGCATTGGAGCCCCAACCTGGTATTGGAGATGTTAAGGTCATTGAAAAAGCAACTAAGTCTATGCTAGACCCAGCACAGAGATCTCATTTTTACCTTGTAACCCCAAGCTTAGTATTTTTGTGTTTTATATTCGATGGATTACACAAGGCACTACTCAGTGTCGGTGTGAGCAAAAGGTCTAATATTGTGATTGGGAATGAGAACAAGGAAACAGGTACTCTCTATGCTAGCAAATTTGAAGATGTTTTGCCTACCTTCACTGCCCTTGAGATGTCATCAATTCTGCGTCACTGCTGTGATCTGATAGGCATTGCTGCCGGATCGAGTGACCCGATATGCACCAACAGCCTCCAAGTACAGAGACAATTCAAGGCAATGATGATATCCATTGGAAGACCTTTGCATAGTGAAAGTGCTGATTTATTAATTAGCTATAATGCAGGGCCAGCTATAGATTGGATCAACTCAAGACCATGGGTTGGAGGATTAATGTTCACATTTCTATTTGGAGAATTTGAATCCCCTGCGTGCGAGCTACTTGATCAAGTTAAAGTAGTTGCCAGCAAAGCACAGATGATGACCTACTACACTGTGAGAATGTTCCTGGATCAGTGTGTGGATGGTTCCACTGCTTTACCCGCTGTTGTGTTGGAGATTCCAGTTTTTGAGCAGAAGAAACCACTGGCTAAAAAGGTACTTGGAGATTTCTTTGAATTTGGGGGTGTACTTCGCCACCCTGTTATTGGGGTGCTATCACCACAAATGTTCCCAAACCTAGCAACAGCAGCAAACTACTGGGCCAAAAGAAGGAATTCCACATTTTCTGGATTTGAAGCCCTTGACATTATACCAGGATCAACTATTACATTCCCTGTACTTCAAATGGCATCTGCTCAGAAAATCTCCAGAGGAAGTGACATGGATCCATATACACTTAACATCCTTCGCGGTTATGGGATTTCGGGATTTGAATAACAAATACGTGAACTAATCCTTATATATACATATAAAAAGAAATTATGTGAAAATCACATTCTAAAATAGTATCTGAGTGTTGCCTATTGTTTTCAATCTTGGTCTGTCTCTGACATCTATCGCAACTTCTCTATAATCTTTTATTCTTTAAAAGAGTCCATCCAATATTCTCTGGCCACTGAAAGATGTGATCTCCAAAGTCTTTTTAAGTACTGGAGGCCAAAAATATGCTTTGACATGTAGAATTTTGAAATAATTGAAATGTTTTCTGTAGTCACGTGGGGAGTTTTTATTTTATTCTTCATAGATAAGGCCCAGATCATTTTTAAGGTTATTGTATTTCTTCTCTAATTTGTCTTGATTATTTTTTATAATTATGTTGAAATAAATCTGATGCATTATCACTTATCCTAGCACTATTTTTTGTTATGGTTCTAGTGTCCTCCTGTACCTCTGTTCATTTCAGGAGATCTCTTTTATGGAATGACTTATTTTTTCTTAAATCAAAATGTAATCATTAAGTCGATGCAAGGATCTGGCTATTTTAATGGATCTTGTAGTGTAGTCATATCTGAGCATTTACATATTGAAATACATGTTATGAATTATTTTCCTTTTAGTTCTCTGTTAAACTATTGAGATGCTATTTTCATTTCTAAAACATTGTTTATGTAGTTAGATTATATCACCCAGGAATTTCATTCCCAAATATGTGATGGATTACGTTTCCAAAGGTGGCTATAGCAATATCTCCCATTCCACATTTATTTTCTTTCTGTAGACGAAGCCGGGCGTGCGGTGGCGCGATCTTGGCTCACTGCAACTTCTGCCTTCCCGGCTGAAGCGATTCTCGCGCCTCAGTCTCCCAAAAAGCTGGGACTATAGGCGCACGCCCGGCTAATTTTTGGTATTGCCCCAGGTTGATCTCGAACTCCTCGGCCTCCCAAAGTGCTGGGATTGCAGGCGTGAGCCACTGCGCCCGCCCCACAGGTACATTGAATATAACCTCGCCGTTTCACCATCAAGAGGTGGGGTCTGTTTTCCCTTTCCTTGAATTTGGGCTGGTCCTGTGACCTGTTTTGGCCAATAGAATGCAGCGAAATAATGGTGTGTAAGTTTGGGGCTTGGCCTTAAGAGGCTTGCAGCTTCCACCTTCGCTTCCAGGAATGCTCTTTCTTTGAACCTTGCTGCCATGCTACCAGGAAGCCCGAGAAGCCACATGAGAGTTTAACCTGTAAGAGAAGGGTCGTCCTAGGCCAGCATCCCCAGCTGAGCTCCAGGCCAGCAGCCAGTGCCAGCTGAGTTATGTGAGTGAGGCCAGTTTGACTTCTTAGGGGCCCCAGAGCCCCAACTGCCTCTACTTTGTCAAGCAGAACTGCCTAGTCAACCCACAGAATCATGAGAAGCCATACATGCTGTTTAGGATGGTTTATTTCACTCGGTAGATAAAATAGGCTATCAAAGGGAGTCATTACAGCATATTCATTATAAAAAAGTTGTTAAATCTGACATTGTTAAGAACCACTGTCACAGACAGTAAACACGTTCCCCTTAGGACTTTTAAAAGATTCAACAACTTGCAAAGATTTTTTTTTTCTTCTAACAATAGATCACTCAGATTAAAAACTAGTCAATTCCCAGATTTAAAAAGACAACCAGTAAGGCAGAAACTTGCTACATCAATTTCTGAATTTTTATTATTCTCTCACATTTTAAGAGGGAAATTCATTATTTTCTATCGGAAGGCAAAAAACATGGCTAGAGTTAGCTGTAAGACAGTGGTTGCCATCCTATGAGTCAAAAGCTGGCGAAATTTCTCTAACTCTGTGCTTACCAATCATTGTGTGCTAACTCTGAAACGTATACAGATGTTGTTATGATTAGAAAAATACAAATTCACTCAAAAGCACTACTAATTTTATAGTTTCTTTTCTGGTCATTATATAATTTTCAGTTGTGGAGGGATCTGAACATTAAAACGGAGTTCTCATACTTGAAATATTGGGAAACCAACTGCTGGAGGTCCCTAAATCCAGCTGCTAATGGATTTGTAGCTGCTAGTATTCCTTCAGATGAATCACTGTCTTCTCTCTATTTGGTTTCTGGATCTTGAAATCGTTTGGTTTCTTACAGTAAACTGAGCAATGGACTAGGAAAAGAAATTCCATAGAAAAGTTAGATAAGAACTTTTAGTGGCATTTGTAGAGCAACATAGACTTTCATTAACCATCATAAAGAATTGCCTCATGGAGCCATTTTTATAAAGCACAGACTTTTGTCTGTGGTTTCTGGGTTGGTGGAGGTCACTAGGTTGGTGGAGATATAAGTAACTGGGAGTAAATGGAAAAGCTAGTGGTTGTACATGAAGGAATAAAAATTCATAGTAATTTATGGCATTTGAATTGAATGCTGTACACAAATAAGGATATATTCTGGAAGTCCTAAGTCAGGAAATGATATTTATTGAATCTGAGCATACCTTTAAATATTTTAAATACCTTTTAAACACTTTATGCTTCACATTTTTCAAAGAATTTTCCTGACATCTACCTCACGAGTGTCTTGAGGATCTACTGAGATATTATTCTCTGTATTTATAGACCAGGAAACTGAGGGCGCAAAGAGGTGAAGTTATTTTGTCCAAGGTGAATCACAGAGCCCGAAGAGCGGCTCAAGTCTCTGAGCCCTCATTTAGTACTTTTAGAGTAAACATGATCTTTAAGATTAAAGACTTATAAAATGCCTGTTCTTATCAAGCACTGACACTAGATCTACCAACCCTTATTGAGATTAGCTTGATGTCATTAGCCAGGGAGAACTTGCTTCAATACCAGACAGGGGATAGGGGAGGGGGACACACACACATAAAACAACATGAAAAAGCCAGTGAAAGCATCACTATATTCACTTGCGTATTAAAGTGATTTCATATACTTATTTTTCTTCTTTGTTATGGGTGATAGACATTTTCTTAATCGAATAGAGAGAATGAATAAAAATGTCTTTAGAGATCTATTACTGCTATCACCATTAATCTGTAACATACAATTTAAGCAAAGTGTGGTTACTGTGTAATTTCATTTTAAAGACAATTCCTGTAGCTTTCCTCTAAACTAGTCTGCCATCATTAAGCATCTAGGTGGACCCTAGAACTACCAATGTTGACCTTCAATTGAGTATTTGATGCATTTTAAATGGTTTTTCTCCATAATTTAAACATAGACCAACATAGAGGTTTAACAGTGTAAGAGAAAGACTGAGGTTTAAAAGAACTATGTTGAGATTCTCTGGTGTAAAAAAAACTGGAGGACTGTTTTGAGTTAATTTGCATCAATATTGGCAGAAGCTTTAGCTATCATTGATCAGCATGTGTTTGCATTTTTAAAATCTTTTAAATGTTGGTGTCCAATGGAAATCCTTTAAGTTTTAAATTTTGCTAATTAAGATTTAACAGCAGGGAGAGGAGAAGGAGGAAGTAAAGAAAAACTGCTGTCCATTTTCATCACTCTTTCATAAAAGGTGGGACTCAATTTCAAAATAGAGGACAATTGTTTAAATTGAGAAAAGTTGGCTTCATGGACAGCTGTTACATGGTCCTTATTTTCTTGCTATGCTGTCGACTGGTGGAAATTGAATGACAGAGGGAAGTCGCTTAACACGCCTGCACTGGGAACAACAACCCTAAGCCAATCTCTTTGTTTTAAGGATGAGCAAATTAGAATTCCTGCCCATGTATATCTAAACATACTTTAAGAAGCTCAGTAAGGCTGATGCAGAAGTGTTTCTTTTTTTTTCTGAAGAGAGCTTCATTCTCTGCTTGTGCTGGCCAAAGCCCCTTAGAGATCATGTACCTAGAAAGGCCCAGTCATCATTTCCAGTAGCCACTAGAGTTCCTTGATTGTCATGTCAAAAAAGATGCTATTTTTCTGGTAAATAATGGCTTCTTTCCCTTTACATTCTTGCTGGAGTAGTCAAAAAAACTTCTCTGATCTGAAATCTGATTGTTCTGGCTACTAATGTCATTCATCAGAAAAGTGAGGCCACTAATTAATATTAGGAGCATAAATGGAATTTGGGACACGTTTTTATAATTTTGTTCACCAGGCATAAAAGAAATTTTAAGATATTTACATTTTCCCAGTGCCATATATCTTGTTATAACTTCCGAAGTCCATAGAACTTTGTTTTCTTAATGTTTTTACCCTGGCATTTTCAAGATTTGCATGTATAGGAAGGAAAAAAATCTCTTGAAATTGGACATTACCGCCAAACTCTCATCTCTGTTTTTCATTGCCATTTCATTTTCTTTGTCCCTTCTTGCTCATTTTCCTCTACTTCACTCCTCCCAATACATTTCTACTCCCAGAGAAAGTTTCTAAAACACATCTTTGGAAATTCCAGTTTATCTTAATTTCAGCTGAGGAGTTGCATTGTTTTTATATACTGGGAAGTACCTATAATGCTGTCAATCATTTACATTCTAGTATGAATAAGTTCCCAGGCACATTTGTTCCCCACACCCCACTACCCCATCTAGTTTCTGGAGGGACCATGAAGATAATGGGTATTGGAGAAGGGTGCCTTCAAGTGGGGAAAATGGCAAAAGAATGGGGAAGCTAAAAGCATTAGATGTGAATCTCATCAGCTTTACAGTCTTGCTTAGGACTAAGTGTTGTCCCCACTTAAAAAAAAATCCATTGTAATTAGTTAATCAGACTTACCTGCAGATAACTTTGAATAGACAAAAGAGAAATGGGTGTGATGATATTAAAAAATACCCAGTCATTCTTTACAAACAGTCAGCACAAAGGCTTCCGGTTAAACATGGTGGATTGAACAGATGCATTTATTTATGTTCCCTCTATAAATCACACTAAAAGGATATTAAAGGATTAAAAAGAACAAGAAGAATGGCAGAAGAAATGGCAACAGACAAAAGATGTCAACGGAGATGGAAGATCAGGAAAGCAAATGAGAGATAACTGATTTAATAGCACGAATAAGATGGAAACCCACGACCTTGGGTAGGGAGCCAGCCAAAAAAGCCACTTCTCTCTGCAGAACCCCAGAAAGCCACAGGAATTTGTAGGAAGCAGAAACCTCTAAAACAGGGAGTGCAAAGTGGCACTGACATTCAAAGAATTACTTGAAAGGCTTTGGGCTTCCAGGTTACCTCCTTCCCCTTTCAGAGCTGGGCAGCTACCTTTCCCCAACCCCTCAGAAGGTTGGAGGTTTGCTTTGGAGAGTGTGTGAATCAATTCAAGATAGAGACAGAAAAAAAACAAACAAAATAAAATATCTGGGAAAACTTATAGAGCCCTATGTGGCTTAGCTGTGCAGATTTATGGTTGTAATTATGAATCATAGAAAGTTGATTCATTATGCTGTAACTATAATTGGGGGGAAGTAAAATGGTTTGCTTGTTTGGTGGGGGTGGGTAGGTAAGAAATTTTGATTTTCCATAGGAAAAAGTCAAAAGACAATATTAAGAACAACAACAAAAACCCCCACAAGTAATAGAATAGCTGGGTGCCATGGCTCACGCCTGTAATCCCAACACTTTGGGAGGTCAAGGCAGGATTGCTTGAGCCCAGGAGTTCAAGACCAGCTTGGGCAAAGTAGTGAGATCTCATCTCTAAAAAAAAATTTAAAAATTAATTTGGTATGGTGGCTCGTGCCTGTAGTCCCAGCTACTTAGGAAGCTGAGGCAGGAGGATTGCTTCAGCCCAGGAGGTCAAGGCTGCTGTGAGCTATGATCTTGCCACTGTACTCCAGCTGGGGTGATGGAAACCCTGTCCCTTAAACAAAACAGGAAGGGAGAGTGGGAGGCAAGAGGAGGGAAGGAAGGAGGGAAGGAAGGTAGGAAGGTAGGAGAAGGGGTTATTTTGAGATATAGTAATACAAATTAGAAGAAACAGCCGCTTCTATGAAGTGAAATTCCAGAATGGGAAGGAGTACTCCTTATGAAGTTTCAACTGTAACTGAAATTTTAAAAGAAGCATTTTAGGAACTATTTTTTTCCCTGTCCATGTTTTATTCTCTGCTTTTCCATAAAACATGTCATTGTATGTAAATAAGAAAAACTGTTGTTTAAAAAAAGCTATATTTATTGTTCTGAACTTTGACAACTTTCTTTTTCTTTTTTTTTTTTTTTTTTTTTGAGACGGAGTCTCACTCTGTTTCCCAGGCTGGAGTGCAGTGGCGCGATCTTGGCTCACTGCATCCTCTGCCTCCCAGGCTCAAGTGATTCTCCTGCCTCTGCCTCCTGAGTAGCTGGGACTACAGGCACGCGCCACCACGCTGGCTAGTTTTTGTATTTTTAGTAGAGACAGGGTTTCACCATGTTGGCCAGGCTGGTCTCAAACTCCTGACCTCAGGTGATCCACCCGCCTCAGCCTCCCAAAGCACTGGGATTACAGGTGTGAGCCACCGCACCTGGCCAACTTTGACAACTTTCTAAAGAGAAGTGAAGAAAAATATTCCAGAGTGAATCTTCTTTGGAAATTATAGACTTTGTTGCTTGTCTTTAGTTCTTTCTTGATCTTACTAGTTTGATTTTGTGGTTTTATTTTTAACCCTGCTTTGTTCTGTTTTCTTCCTAATAAGAACCAAGTAGTAGCCTTTCCATATTTTGTGTTTCTTTTGAAAAATGCAATGACATGAAACAGAAATTTAGAAAAGCTGAGGTTTATTTCTTTTTGCACCTGGAAATTGAAGGAGATAATAGAATAATCTTGGTTATGGCAGATGTTTTTATAACTGCCTATTCTTTTCTTTTAAGCTTAGATTCGCTGATGTTTTCCATTTGCAAAAATAAACAGGTTTAAAGGGGTGGGGTGGGGAATGGGGCAAAGAAACAAACAACAATAAGCAAAGTCCTGATATGGAAGCTTCTGCCCTGAACTGGATACATTTTAGAGTCTACTCAAAGAAGCAACAGGACCCAAGGCTAACAAACTCCTTCACCAAGGGGACCTGGTTGCCGAGGCAGACAACTTAAAGGAATTCTTATCACTTGCATATAACAAGAATTGGAGAATATACAAATAAAGCTGATAATATTAGAATTCATGTTGTCCCTAGAATGACATTGAATTTTCTAGCCAGTTTGTGAAACTGGAGTTTATCTCAAACTGATAAGCTTATCAAATTCCAGGCTGGAAAAAAAATCTCTTATCAAAACCTTTTCTCCAAACATAAATTTATTTTAGGAAAAGGAAGGCTGGTGTTTTAGATGGTGGAAGATGAGTGTGTGAATGATACACTTAGATGAACATCATAAGAATTATTTTTAATTGTTTTGGAAAATAAACTACGTCATCAGTAAAAAAGCCACTTATATTCTACAGTTATCTTTTTGGAATCTGAGTCAATTAATTGCTTTGGTATTCAGAATTTTTAGTAACATACAGGACTGTTAAATATTACTGTAGAATGTGTATAATTTATATGCTTTAGATATACATAATGACTTGATAGTGTTTACACATAAAACATTTTTAAATTCTGTTATGTGAAATATTATTTGAGCTAAAATACCTAAGCTAGTGTTTTTAGTGTCTTTTTGTTTTGTTGGAAACTCAAAAGAATTGAGTGTTTTGTGTAAAAATATTTGTTAAGAAGGAAAGCCTGGACGGTCCTTGATAGCACACTATTTAACATGAGAAATGGAAGCTCTTTTGCATAGTGTAGGTTACCTGATGCATCTACAGTGAAGATAGCCTGGCATAGTGTGGTCAGGAGACTTGTGCCAGTCTGACTTGCAGAGCGGCTATGGGCATGCCTCTTAACCATTATGTGCCTTATACCATGAATGTTTGGTCTAGATCATTTCATTTTAGTTCTAAAATTATCTGGTAATTAAGTGGAACATCCGATTGTTTAGAAATCATGCCAAGTTGTTGATTTTCCTGAATTTAAAATAATTAATATATGTTTGGAGAAATTTCTGAAACTGTGCCACGGGGAGGAGGAATTGTGTTAACGTGGCTTACTTTCATCCTTTCTATGGTGGAGGTGAGATTTAAATGAAGTTTAGATTTAGGACAAATATTGAGTTTTGACTCTGAAAGACTCATGTAATACTAGTGTTGTCAGATTTTGTGTATAAAACAAAGAGCATGACAGTAAAGATGACATGGTTCATTCAGTGGTGATCTTGATCATGGTGATGTAGGTATGCGCTCTTACTGTATGCCAGGGACTATCTGAAGGACTTCGCATACATGGGATTATTTAATCTTCTCAACACTGTGAAACATAGATAGTAGTATCCCTATTGAATGAGGAAACAATAGAGTTTAGAGTTCATTTCAATTCTTAATAATCTTTAAGCAGATATATTCCATAACGTAGTTATAGTAGTATATATAGAAAAAAAGAGGCTTTGGGTTCCTGGTTCCACGTGTGAGGAACTTGGAAGTCACCATCCTATCCTAACAAGTGAAAATTTCAACCACACCTCTTGGATGTGTAAGAGAAGTGAAGTCACAGGGCAAAATGTTGTGCTTAAAATTGGAGAAACAGACAGGCAGACACAGAGAATCATAGCATATGGAGGAGAAACCTCCTCAGAAATCCTGAACTGTAATTGAAAAACTGACAGAGGCTAGATGTAGACATGTCTGAGAGTTAAAAACTCCAGGGGGACCCAGTCATAGAGTTTCTGTGTTTTACGTCTAGGAGCTCAACCAGGTGCTCACAGTAAATATCAGAGAAAAATTCCCTTGTGCTTTGGGCAGGGGAAGGAAAAAGGAAGCATTTTGAAATATGCCAGAGCACTTGGTTCTTCCTAACAAGGTCTGCCCTCAGGAGAATCTATTTAAGCAGAACTTAACCTTGGGTTTATCAGAGGTTAACTGACCTGGAGGAAGGGGCATATCCATCCAGTTCTAGCCATCCTGTCCCACTAAAGGGTGGAGAAAAAACAGAAACACTTGTGAAGTTCATAGTCTAAAGGTACAGGCTTACTAAACGATGGAGGCCTAATTATAGGACTAATGAATGCTTCCTCTTCATCCATACCGTCCATCATATTACGAAAGGCCTATTATGGCAGTCATTTTTACCCAGTACATCCTGTCTATCCAGAAAAAATTACCAGGCATACTGAAAGACAAAAAACAGTTCGAAGAGACAAAGCAAGCATTGGAACAAGGCATGACAGGGATGTTGAAATTATCAGACAGGGAATTTAAAACAGCTATGATTAATATGCTAAGGGCTCAAATGGATAAAACAGCATGCAGGAGCAAATGGGCAATGTAAGCAAAGAGATGAAAATTCTAAGGAAGAACCAAAAAGCACTGTAGCAGAATTGGGAAATGCCTTTGGGCTTCTTAATAGACACAGCTAAGGAGAGAATCTCTGAGCTTGAGGATATCTCAATATAAACCCTCAAAACCAAAAAGCAAAGGGAACAAAGACTGAGAAAAACAGAATATAATATCAAAGAATTGTGGGACAGCTACAAAAGGTGTAACATATATTAAACAGGAATACGAGAAGGAGAAGAAAGAAATGAACAGAAGAAATATTTAAAATACTAATGAGAATTTCCTCCAAATTGATGTCAGATACCAAACCACAGATTCAGGAAACTCAGAAACCATTAAGAGGGATAAATGCCAAAAAAATTGCCCTGAGGCATATGGAAAAATTGGAGAAATTGTAGTTTGAATTTTCAAACTACAATAGATCAAAGATAAAAAAATCCTGAAAGACACCGGTGGTGGGGAGAAAAACCTTACCTATAGGGCAACAAAAGTAAGAATTACACTGGACTTCTCTTCAGGCACCATGCAAGCCAGGAGACAGTGAAATATTTAAAGCTGTAAGGAAAAATAACCACCAACCTAGATTCCTGTATCCTGTAAAATTATCCTTCAAAAGTAAAGGAGAAATAAAGACTTTTCTCAGACAAACAGAAATTGAGGGAAATATGTTGCCAGCAGACCTGCCTTGCAAGAAATGTTAAAATAAATTCTTTAGAGAAGAGAAAAATAATATAGGTCAGAAACTTGGATCTACATAGAGAAAGGAAGAACAACAAAGACGGAATAAGAAAAGGTGAAAAAGAGTTCAAGACCAGTCTGGGCAGCATGTTGAGACTTCATCTCTACAAAACATTAAAAAATTTGCCAGGCATGGTGGTGCATGCCTGTAGTCCCAGCTACTTGGGAGGCTGAGGTGGGAGGATTGCTTGACTCCAGGAGGTTGAGGCTGCAGTGTGCCATGAATGCGCCACTGCATTCCAGCCTAGGCAACAGAGTGAGACACTGTTAAAAAAAAAAAAAAAAAAGAAAAGGTAAAATAAAAACTTATTTTTCTTATTATTAGTTGATCAAACAGATAACAATTTGTTCAAAACAATAATGGCAACAATTTGATTATATATGCTTATGTATATATCTTATCTGTGCCTATGGGATATAAACACATAATACATATATATACAGTATACATATACATATGTAGTCATGCACCACATGATGTTTTAGTCAATGAGAGACCACATATACAATGGTGGTCCCATAAGATCATAATAGTGTATTTTTATTGTACTTTTTCTGCTTAGATATGTTTAAATACACAAATACTTACCATTGCATTAGAATTACCTACAGTACTCATTATAGTAACATGCTGTACTGCTTTGTAGCCTGAGCAATAGGCTACACCATACAGCCTAGGTGTGTAGTGGGCTAGACCATCTAGGTTTGTGTAAGTACACACTATGGTGTTCACACAATGACAAAATCACTTAATGACACATTTCTTAGACTGTAGCCTTGTCATTAAGCAACACATGATTATACATATATATATATATATTTTTTTTTTTTTTTTTTTTTTTTTGAGACGGAGTCTCGCTCTTTCACCAAGGCCAGAGTGCAGTGGCACGATCTCGGCTCACTGCAAGCTCCGCCTCCCAGGTTCACACCATTCTCCTGCCTCAGCCCCCCGAGCAGCTGGGACTACAGGTGCCCGCCACCGCGCCCGGCTAATTTTTTGTATTTTTTTTAGTAGAGGCGGGGTTTCACCGCGTTAGCCAGGATGGTCTCGATCTCCTGACCTCATGATCCGCCCTCCTTGGCCTCCCAAAGTGCTGGGACCACAGGCGTGAGCCACCGCACCCGGCCTCATATATATTTATATATGCTATATTTAAGTGAAATGAATGACAGCGATGATACAAAAGACAGGAGGGAATAATTAGGATTATTTTGTTTTTGTAAGGCATTCACACTATCTAGGAACTGGTAGTGTTATTTGAAAGTGGGCTTGGATTAGCTGTAAATATATATTGCAAACTCTAGGACAACCACTAGAAGTTTTTTAAAAAAAGAAGTATAATTGGTATGCTAAGAAAGGAGAGAAAACAGCTGGGTGCCATGGCTCATTACCTGGCTAATGCCTGTAATCTCAACACTTCAAGAGGCCGAAACGGGAGGGTTGCTTGAGTCCAGGAGTTCAAGACCAGCCTGGGCAATATGGTGAAACACCATCTCTACCAAAAAATACAAAAAATTAACTGGGCATGGTGGTGCTTGCCTGTAGTCCCAGACCTGGGAGGCTGAGTCAGTGAGCCAAGATTGAGCCTCTGCACTCCAGCCTGGGCAATAGAGTGAGACTTTGTCTCAAAAAAAAAAAAAAAAAAAGGGAGAGAAATGGAATCATATAAAATGCTCAGTTGAAACCACAAAAGCCAGAAGAAAGAGTGAAAGGTGTTAATCCAACTATATCAACAATCACTGTGAAAATCAATGGTCAAAAATAATGGAGATTGTCAGAGTGGATAAAAAAACAAGACTCAACTATATGGTGTCAATAAGAAAACCACTTAAAAGATACATATATACCCTGCTAATACTAGTCAAAAGAAAACAGGAGTACCTATATTAATTTTAGACAGAGGACTTCACAGCAAGTAAAGTTATCAGTGTGAAAGAGGGGCATTACATAATGATAAAAGGGACAGTTCTCCAAGAAGACATAATAAAATTTTTTTTTTTTTTGAGATGGTGTTTCACTCTTGTTGCCCTGGCTGGAGTGCCATGGCGTGACCTCGGCTCACTGCAGTCTCCACCTCCTGGGTTCAAGCAAGTCTCCTGCCTCAGCCTCCCAAGTAGCTGGGATTACAGGCGCACGCCACCACACCCAGCTAATTTTTGTATTTTTAGTAGAGATGGGGCTTCACCATGTTGGCCAGGATGGTCTCGATTTCCTGACCTCGTGATCCACCTGCCTTGACCTCCTGAAGTGCTGGGATTACAAGCATGAGCCACCGTGCCCAGCCAACAATTCTTAATGTGTATGCACCTACCAACAGAACAGCAAACTACAGGAGGGAAAAAGTGATAGAACTGAAGGAAAAATAGATGAATCCACCATTACAGTTGAAGACTCCAACTCGCTCTGTAAGAAATGGACAGATCCAGCAGGCAGAAAATCAGTAAGGACATAGCTGAATTCAACACCATCAATCAACTGGGTATAACTGACGTCTATAGACAGCTTCATCCAACAACAGCAGAATGCACATTCTAATCAAGGTCACACAGAACATTCACCAAAATAGACCACATTCTGAGCCACAAAATACACCTTAACAAATTTAAAAGAATTGATAAAGGAATGTCATTACATATAGACCAGGTGAGATTTCTTGTTCCTAGCTTTATCTCCAGGTGTTTACCAGGAGAAAACTCCACTTCACATTATAGTTATGTGAACTGTGTTAATAATAGCTGTGGCTCCTTGTTCTTTGTGGAGAACTCTTGAGACTTTCATAATGGGGAGCATAGGAAACTCCAACTCTCTTATTCCTGCATTTTGTTCATCAGTCTCCTCCCCTAGAATTAACATGCTTCTCTTGCTGCCCTGCAGCCTTTCTCAGCCCATTTCCTCTGCTCCAAGAAGGCAGAGTTCTTATATATATGTTACATGGTTGTCTGGTTGTAATATTAATTTTCAGTGACTCAAAACACTGCCTGACATGCTTCCTTATAGAGCAGCCTACGGCACCAGAGTAACGTCTGCTCAAAGATAGCCATTTCATTCACACATAGGTTTAATTATATTTTGGGGGGTTTGTTTAGGGATTTGTTCAAACTATTAGGAAACCTCTAAAAATGCAGTGTTTCCAGGCACAGTGGCACATACCTGTAATCCCAGCTACTCAGGAGGCTGAGGTGGGAAGATTGTTTGAGCCCAGCAGTTCAAGACCAGCCTGGGCAACACAGCAAGACCCTGTCTCTAGAGCAAATGAATTTTTAGAAATGCAGTGTATGGAGCAGAAGATAGATTATACAATATCCTCTTATAGGATGTCAGACTCTGCTCCAGCCTAGTGGTAGGACAATGTACAGGATATGTTACATGTGTACAGAATACTTAAAAATTTGTGCATTTGAAAAACAGTTGATTTGATTGTCATACATGCACCAGAAAAATTGCATAGATGCTGGATTTTATGAATAAATTTATTTTTAAATTATATACAAAAATTCATGTTTTAAGCCCAAAGGTGATTTCTTTGTAATGTGAAGAATAATAATTAATTTTTTATATTTTTTAAAGAATTGGATATGTTCTATATCAGGCTCTCTTATAAGTGAGGCAAATAATTTTAGTGCATACAATGTGAGATATACTAAAGGATACAAAAATTTTCAGATGAAAATATAATACATTCTTGGGTCAATAAGTCATATTTTAATTTGCTGTGCATTTAAATTGCACTAACTAAAAAAATTTATGGCAGCACAAACTCTGTATAATCTTCAAAAACCTTACATTTATAACACATTCAAAATATGCCAAGATCAGAGTTCAACTTATTCAAAGTTTAACAATTCAAATTTATTGCTAAGTTATTGAGTTAAATGATATGCTATTACATGGCTTCAATTTGTTCTGAATTGAAATAAATGAAAGAAAATAACTCTTAGAAAATTGCAAGAAAATTGAGGCTAGTTTTTGAGTCTGGTTTTATTTTAAAATCAATGGCAGTTTCTCAAACTTCAGCATGTATCAGGATCACCTGGTTAGAACACAGATTTGCCTTGCCCTGAGATGTTCTGATCAGTAGCCAAGGGAGGGAGCCTTTGTCTTTCTTTCTTTTCTTTTCTTTTTTTTTTTTTTTTTTTTGAGCCCAGGCTGGAGTGCAAGTGGCACAATCTCAGCTCACTGCAACCTCTGCCTCCTGGTCTCAAGTGATCCACCTACCTCAGCCCCCGAAGTAGCTGGGAGTACAGGTGCACACCACCACGCCTGGCTAATTTTTATGTTTTTTGTAGAGAAGGGGTTTCACCATGTTGTCCAGGCTGGTCTCGAACTCCTGAGCTCAAGTAATCCACCTGCCTTGGCCTCCCAACGTGCTAGGATTACAGGTGTGAGCCACCATGCCCAGCCTGAGCCTTGAACATGAATTTCTTACAAGTTATCAGGTGCTGCTGATGCTGCTGTTACCTGGATCACACTTTGGGAACCACTCCTCTGCTCTGAAGCATTGATGAATTCATTTTCTTCCATTCATACCAATGATGACTTGGTGTCATTGCTGGCTTTGTTTGAAATCTTCCTGGTTCTAAAAAGCAGCTACTTCTTGTTAGCATTTAAGGCAAGGAAGTCAGTGCTAATGACCTCCATCATTTTCAGTTACTCTTTTGATTCTGAAATGGTGATGAGGTAACCCTGCTCACCACCAAAGTCCCTGTGCACCAGTGCCTGTAACTATGGAAACACCATGTTTGGTACCCCACTAATGTTAGATGGATGACTATTTAATATATCTTAATGTTTGGTTCTGATGTCCGTCTGTATTTCAACTTGATTACCTAATGATAGCAGTGTTTATTTTTCAAAGTATTTGTTTACATGCATGCTTAGTGGTGTCGGTAGCTGGTCCATAGTACTTACTTTGGCCAACTAACACGGAAACATTTACTGGATTCATCATGAGTAACTAATAAATTAATGTAGGCAAAAGGAGTAGTTAATTAGCTGTAATCTTTGCAGTAAGGATCATTAGCGTTTAATGAGAATGAATAATTTCATAAGACCTGGAAATATATTGCCCCAAGCCAAATAGTTTATAACCATAGAATTGCAAATTGCTATTTGAAATTAATGAGTGACATTTTCACATATTGTTAGATGATCTATAATATTTTTATGTTATACCTCTAGGTCCAATAGGGTGTATACAAGGGTCATATAATTTCATTGTAAATTATTGCAATTAAACAGACTTGAGATTCTGTCTTAATGTGAAATGCTACCCCTCTTTTCCTGGCTAACACCTACTTCAGCTTAAATACTGCTTTGCAGTGGCTTTCTCTGATACCCTTCCTCTATCCCTCCCTCATTCTCTCTCGTGGTGCCTGACTCTTACACTTTCAGAACAATTACTGCAATGTGTAGACATACATTTACTCTATGTTTTTATATAGTTAATGTTTCCTTCTCTACTACTCATACCCATGAAGGACAAAAATGACTGATTTGATGAATGAAAACTGTAAGTGTGAAGGACACTAGATACCCCAAAGTCTCGTTTTCTCTCCTAGCTATAAATAGATCAAGGATTCATTGGATGCATCAGGTCTGATCAACTTGAAAATTTCAATAACCAATACTGAAGTATGGTACTCTTAAGAGCTTTAGGCTGCATTACCAAATATTACCTCAGACTTTATCCTGAAAAAAAATACTTACATAAAACCAAATACTTATCCAGTTAATGTCATTTACCTTTGATTGTGGTATTGAATAAAGATCAGTGATGACCGTTTACCTCTCTTACCTGCCATTCTTATGAACAGTGTTAAAACTTAAAACAAATTCTAATGTCATCTTAACTGTGATACCGGATCAAGGATCCAGTGGATCAAGGGCAAACATTGTTATTTGTTCTCTTTGAGAGCAGTCGACACTGCCCTCTGTGATTCTTTCATGGTGTCCTGTGTTTTAACAGGATATGCCCTGATGATGCTTTATTTTCAAGAGTAGCAACTTTTACAAACTGTACTTAGGCTAAATCCAAACTGAGACAGCAAAAATGGCCTCTTATTCTAGTTTGAAAACATCACCACTTTAAATAGGGTACAGTCACATGACAAAATGTGGGCATCAGTACTCTACTGTGACAAATAATCCCCACACCCTCAGGGTATTGATGGGTATTGATGTCCACATTACATCCTTTGGGAGGCTGAGGCAGGAGAATTACTCGAGCCCAGAAGTTTGAGCTCAGTCTAGGTAACAGAGCGAGACCTTGTCTCTACGAAAAAAAAAAAAAAAAAAAAAGCCGGGTGTGGGTGCATATGCCTGTGGTCTCAACTACTTGTGAGGCTGAGGTGAGGTGGGAGGATCGCTTGAGCCCAGGAGGTTGAGGCTGTAGTGAGCCATGTTCATGCCACAGCACTCTTCAGCCTGGGTGACAGAGTGAGATCCTGTCTCAGGGGAAAAAATGAAGTAAAAGGAATTTATTTTAATAGTATGAAAATTAGGTATTTTTTGGACCTAATCACCTATCAAATGTAAGAAAAAAATGGATTAAATCCTTAACACTTGGTATATCAAGCAGAAATTGCCAGTTAATATAATGGAATTAAAATTAAGAACACTTTAAATTCATGGTTTGTAATAGGCACATAAATATCTAGTGGCCTAACCTAGAGTAAAAGAACATATTAATCTAGAGTTTATTCTTATAGAAAATAAATATATAACATAACAAATTAATATCTTTAATTTTTATATTGTGGTGCACTTGATACACATGTGTCAAGTACCTGTGCTGAAATCTTAGTGTATTCATGTTACTTTTCAGCAAAATTTGCTAAGCTAAGAATAGCAAATGAAGGGGATCAGAACATGGCACTTCAAAATATGGCACATTGGCACATTGATTACTTTGAGCTGAAGGCAGTTGAGAAACAGAAGATGCAGGAAGGGCTTTCTGACTTGCTCTTTCTACTTAAAAGCAGGACATAAATTTCTAGTGAGAAAGGTGTCCTCCCTGGAGAGGAGAACATTTTTATCACTGGAGACAGATAATTGATGCTGAGATAAATCTGTATAAATAAATCTTACTAAAATAATCCTTACTGTTGATTAGTTTCCCTTATGTATTTCCTCGTCACTTTCCCACAATTTACCACCCTGGCCAAACCTCCTTTTTGTTTGTCTTGTCACATATGCACAACTTATCACTCTTTGTTAAGATAGTATACAAGCTCTCAGGCCTATCCACTTCTTTTGGCCTTTCTTTTATACGAAGGCTGAAGGCCCCTATGTACGTGAAAATATTAACATCAAATAAAATATGTATGCATTTCTCCTGTTTATCGGTTTTTGTCAGTTTCATTCTCAGGCCCAGCCACAGATCTTAAAAGGATATAGGAAAAGTCTTTTCTTCCCTACATAAACATTTTATGACCAAGACTTCTTTTCCTAAAGCCTTGAGAACCCTGGAATGCAGTGTATGTGGGTGGGGAGGGGGCAGGTGTGAGTGTGTGGGGTGTGTGTGTGGAGTGTGTATGTTGGGGGTGTGTGTGTGTATGTGTGTGTGTGTGTGATATGTGTGTGTGTGTGTGTGTGTGTGTGTGTGTGTGGTTTGAGAAGGAGTCCTGATGATAACATCTCTAAGCACAGTAGGGGAGAGGAATCTGCTGGGGCCTGTGCAATTGCTATAATTTGCTGAGGGATGGAGATCAGACATTTTCTTCAGACCTAGCTAGTGCCTTTCACAGCATCAATGATCTCTACTCAGGTGGCTTGCTCCACCTTGGTTAAGTCCTCACGTTATCCTCTCGAGCACCAGTTCTGCATTTCCCACTATAGGTGAAGTTGGATGTCCTGATGCTAAGTTAAACATCTTTAGCACTGAACTCATCATTCCCTGTCCCCTATATCCTATCTTGTTTATTTTGACTGTCAAACTCAGGACCACATTACTGTCTCTAAAGAATGTTACAATAACTACCTCACTTTTATCTCCTCACTGCCATCTGTACTACAGTCTGCTGTCAGATTAGCTACCTTTCAAATCACGAATCACATCACGTTTGTTCAAAAGCAGCCTGAACATCCATGTCCTCTACCATGAGGGAACCACTGTGACATTATCAGCACACAACTGAGTCTTCATGGCCAGAATTAAGCAGATGGCAGGGTGATCATCTGTAATTTCTAGAGCATTTGAAACAACTTGATGAGCCTCACCAGACACAAACATCCCACTGGCTTTTGTCTCACTGGTCAAACTAGTCAGGATTAAAAAACAAGTATGTTCTGGCTTTTTCGGTGCTTGATGTTTTTGTTCACTGGTAAATATTTAAGTTCCATACTGTGTCAATTCAACACACAAACATATTTTTAAGTTTTACATATAAAGTAAAAGAGTTAATAGAAATTCAGCAAATTTTCCTCAAGAATAAACTACAGAGGGGGAAGGAGGCAGGCAGTGTCAGGCAGCTGTTTTGGAGAGCTCCTTTTCTTTGTGTGATTTAGTTTGACTTTTTATATTGATCAAATTCACAAAATAATTTTTTAGCTCACTTAACTTTGCCTGGGAATCACAGCTTTAATTGGATTCTGACCAGTCATTAGGAGAAAACATTTTAAAATATCTTTATTTTATTTTAATTAAGTAATTAATTATTTTTAGAGATGGAGTCTTGCTATGTTGCCCAGGCTCAAACTCCTGGGCTCAAGCAATTCTCCCATCTCACACTTCCAAGAAGTTGCGACTGCAGTCGTGCACTACCATGCCCAGCTTGGATAAAATTTTAAATATAGTCTGAAATTCCTATTAGACTCATACACAGTTTTTGTTTTGTTTTGTTTTTTTACCTCCACTTCCAACCAATCACCAATAACATTAATCAGTGAAGAGTTAGAATGGAAACATTGAAATACTTTTTGTTTCCTAGTGCAGGCAAGCCTCACATATCACATATATTATTTCAAGATTATATTCATTTGAGATTAATTTAATACAAGAAGAGTTGGGCTTACCTGTTATTGGCCTTACTCATTAAAATACAACCTAAGATTTGGCTTCTTAATCAGACAGCCTTCTTCTCCTGTTACTAAATTGTGTTAACTATTGATGCCAAAATTAATTATTCAGCATTTGCAAATTCTCAGTTAACAATGAAGGGAGCATCCCACTAATTGGTAGCTGTTCTTGGTTTATTTATTTTACTCCATCAATCTATTGCACTTAGGAATGGCTATTCCTTAAATTTATTTTCCTTAAAAATGCATATTTATTTCATCTAAAACTCTTCGGCTTGAATCCTGTTTTAGCATAGAATGAGGCCCTAACTCCATGCCTCGCTGAGCACAGAAGATTATGAAGTTGCCCTGTACCTTCTCCAAGTTACAGAGGAGGAGGAAGAGTGGTTGGACCAGGAGCAGGCATCCTATAACAACAGCTTTTGTCTTTTGCAGGAGCTGCCTAGGATCAGAAAATTTTTGTTCTAATTCTAGCTCTGTCTCTAAGTATGCTTATTTATTTATTATGTTTTTAATAATGTAACAAATAGCCTCAAACCCACCATGCAAAACAAAAGTAAGAACCTTGACAAACAACCTAATCTTAACCATATGGCTTCCTCTCCATTTCATCTCATTCCTTCCCTGACCTGAAGTTACCCCTGTCCTGAATCCTATGTTCATACGTCTTTCTTTTTTTTTTTTTTTTTTTTTTTTTTTTTGAGACGGAGTCTCTCTTTGTCGCTCGCCCAGGCTGGAGTGCAGTGGCGTGATCTCAGCTCATGGCAAGCTCCGCCTCCCAGGTTCACACTATTCTCCTGCCTCAGCCTCCCGAGTAGCTGGGACTACAGGCGCCCGCCACGGTGCCCGGCTGAATTTTTTGTATTTTTAGTAGAGACGGGGTTTCACCGTGGTCTCGATCTTCTGACCTCGTGATCCGCCCGCCTCCGCCTCCCAAAGTGCTGGGATTACAGGCGTGGGCCACTGCGCCCAGCCTCAAAAGTCTTTTTTTTTGCGGGGGGGGGGGTACCATTTAATATAGTTTTAGTGCTTCTATATCTTTCCTTGAAAGTATTTTCTGTTTTAGTTGTGTTTAACATTAGAAGGGCATCAGTCTACCTCCTGACTTATACGTTGTATGCTAGTGTGTTATTGTTTAAGCCAGTTTGGGCTGGGTTTTTCTGCTACTTGCGACATAAAACTTATAACCGATTCAGTGGCTGATTTTAACTGGAAATGAAGAACTCCGTCATCTTCCACAATAAGTCAAATGAGCTGAATTTATGGAGAGCCCTGTAGTTCCCTCCTTCTCATACCAAAAAGAAACCAGCCTGACTCTTAGGCTTGGAAGAGAATTCTCCTGTCCTCTCCTAGACAGGATTTTTATCTATGCTATTTCTTTTTTGTTTTCTTTTGTTTTTTGAAACGGAGTCTTGCTCTGTTCCCCAGGCTGGCATGCAGTGGCGTGATCTCGGCTCACTGCAACCTCCACCTCCTGGGTTCAAGCGATTCTCGTGCCTCAGCCTCCGGAGTAGCTGGGATTACAGGTGTGCACCACCACTCTCAGCTAATTTTAGTAGAGATGGGATTTCGCCATGTTGCCCAGGCTGGTCTTGAACTCCTGGCCTCAAGTGATCCACCTGCCTCGGCCTCTCAAAGTGTTGGGATTACAGGCATGAGCCACTGTGCCGGGCCCATCTAGGCTTTCTCGATGCTTACATTCCCTCAATTTGTAGTTCCCTCAATATTCCTAAATTTAAGGGTTGGATTTAAAGCTAGTGGCAGTGAAGGGGAAAAACCCAACTGTCTTACTGTAACTGAAACCCTCATTATTCTAGGAAAATAAAAAACAATATGTGATTCCTTTCTCTTTTTTCATCAAGGAATTTTTTTTGTTTTGAAGATACAGCTTAGCTGTTGATGTCAACTGTATTTTGTGATGGATTCACTGATATCAGAGTGCAGAGCTAGATGAACCAGCACGCTAACTCAGGATGGTAGCTTTTATATTCTTGCAAACAGTGAACTAATTAGTTACTTAATATTATTTATTCAACAAACATTTCTTGAAGATCTACCATGTGACAGTATTTTCAAAGGTACTCAGAATTTGTTTAAATCAATAATAGTAAAACATGCTGACACAGAAAAGACTTCATGTAAGAAGTTTATACTCACAGTTCCCTGGAAACAGGGGGCACAACAGACCACACAGGGGACCTCAGGGGAAGTACCAGGGTCCGTGAGGAGATGGCATGTAAAGAAAAATGCGGACAAAAGCTTTTATTGTGGTTTCTGTAGAAGAACAGGGGAAGCAGGGAAGCAGGCTTAGGACTGGCTGGTTTGAATAATTTCAGTGGGCACTGGGGTATAGGGACTGTCCTAGTTGTCTGGTACCTGGTGCCGAGGTATTAAGGTTGTATAATAGTGGCCTGGACCATAAGAGTCCTGTAAGAGCCCAGTAAAGGAGGTGGTTAGGGGTATGGGTTTTGGATTGGTTGGTTTGCATACAAAAGGTGTACTTGCATTTGAGTCCCTTATTGTCTCTAGGAATTAGCTAGCCCCGGGAGGGGGCAGTCTCTCCTGGGTCAGCAAGGCCCCAGATATCAAAGCAAGAGAATAAAAAGATGCCTGGGCACAGTGGCTCACACCTGGAATCCCAGGACTTTGGGAGGCTGAGGTGGGAGGATCACTTGGACCCAGGAGTTCGAGACCAGCTTGGACTACAAAGTGCGATCCTGTCTCTACAAAAAGTTTAAAAATTAGTCAGGTGTGGTGGAATGCACCTGTGGTCTCAGCTGTATGGGAGGCTGAGGCAGGAGGATCTCTTGAGCCCAGGAGATCTACGGTGCAGTGAACCATGTTAGGGCCACTGAGCTCCAGCCTGGTTAACAGTGAGATCCCGTCTCAAAAAAAAAAAGATATATTTAATACAGACAAGCACTGTTTGATGATGAGAATAAATAAGATACAGGTGGAAGGTGCTGGGAAAATCAGGAAGGACTCTGGAAGTAATGATGCCAGAGAACAGAGAACCGAAGTAGGCATTATCTGGACAAGAGGGCTGGTAAGAGAAATTCTCGCTTAGAGAAGGGCATGAATAAAAGAATGGTGGCAAACAACATGGTTTGTAAGGCAAACATGAAACTGTAAATGTTCAAGTTTAAGATCAAAGACAGAGACAGACAGCGTTGAGGCTGGAGTGGTAGGCAGAGACCAAGTCAGAGGGCTTTGCATTTCTTGAGGTTTTTAACTCTTATTCTGCAGACCAGGGTCACTCTGAACCGCATTCTAACGACAGCTTATGTGCTGCAAGGCAGTAATAGTTTTTTGTTTGTTTGTTTTTTAAAGGATGACTTAAGACTATTACAATGAGGTCAAGGCTATTGTAGCCTAGGAGAGAGACTCTTTGACTCTCAGATAGTCCTGTTTTAACTCAGACCCTCTCTGCAATCCACATTGGCATAATAAATTTTCTGAAAAGTGAAAGCCAACCCAAACCTCTGCTTACTTAACTCAGTGAATCCTAAACTTTTTTTTTAAATTACAAAACCTCTTTTTTTTCTCCTGTTAAAACACAGTACGCATCTTGGGAAATAGTACCAGTGACCGATGACCCGTGAATCAGTTTTACACTGGTGGGGATATCATTAACTTTGACTCTTATAGATTGCTTTATAAATGATTCCACCTTTTGAAACAGCAATACTGATAGAAATGGAGAAACAGAGCTGGATTTAGGAATTATTAGGGAGATAAAAGAGCAGTGCTTTACTGATTAGAAAGAGGTAGGGAGCCCAGGTCATGGAATGGTTATGACACTTCGGGTTTGCAGAGTCTGTCTGACCACAAGGCAGTTCAGGTGCACTCTTGAGTGAGAGATATGTAACAGCATTTGAAACTATAGAAGTTCGGTTTGATTTCACTAGGAAAGTTTGTCAAGAAAGAACATCATTGGACCCCAGTGAACTTTAAGTCGTAAGCAAGAGGAGAAAGAAGATTCCAGGAAGGTGACAGGCAAAGATGTAGGAGAAGTCTCAAAGGCGTGTAATATCATGGAGTATCAGAGAATGGGAAGTTGAAGTAAAGAGTGATTGACAGATTCTCATGCAACAGAGGATTTCAGTAAGATTACAATGGTGTGCTAGGGCAGGCTCATCATGGCTCAGAAATGCCAATGTTAAATTTTCAGAAGTTTTGCAAACCAGTTGACGCCAAGTTGGTAGCTGAAAGCAGTCATGGTGAATGTATTTGCAACACTTAATGAAAGAGGAATGTACTACAAATCTAGGCTCCCCGACCTCTGCTCTGAAAAGCTGATTATTCAATATTTTACTGGCACATCACTGGATAAACACTAGAAAATGCTCTTTGGATTTTTAGATAGGAAGTTATTTTAGAAAGGGTTTTAAAATTCTAAATAGATTGCAGTGGGTTAGGGAGTGAGTGGGAGGTAAGGAAATGGAGAGGTTTAATGAGAAAGAAGGATATACGTTATATAATAGCCAGAGGGTAATATGAATTCAAGGGAAATGAGAAACAAGCCGATTTATAGTTCAAGGGGATGTTTCCAACAGAGAGTGAAAGCCTGGCTGAAGGTACAAGGTGACATAAGGCGAAGGTCTCATGTGAGGGACGAGAGGATGGTCTCAGGGCACTGGGGTAGGGTCCTCGAATAGAAGGAGGGACAGCTCATTATTGAAGACTGGGAGGAAGATGGGATCTCTGAGAAGGAACCAACATTTACCATTCAACCCACATTTAAACGTGTGGAACGCTACATCTCTCCTCAAGGAACCTTGGCTGCTTCTGACTTTGGAAGCTAACAGTTGCTGCTACTTGTTTTTTCCTCTGGGCAACAGCATGGATCTTTTTCTTAGTTACTCGCATGCAACACCAGTTTAAAAATTCTTTGTAGGCTAGGTGCAGTGGCTCACGCCTGAATCCCAGCACTTTAGGAGGCTGAGGCAGGAGGATCACATGAGCCCAGGAGTTTGAGACCAGCCTGGGCAACATAGCGAGACCTCGTCTCTACTGAACATTTTAAAAATATAGCTGGGCATGGTAGTGCGTGCCTGTAGTCCCAGCCAGTCAGGAGGCTGAGGTGGGAGGATCACTTGAGGCCAGGGGATTGAGGCTGCAGTGAGCTATGATTGTACCACTGCACTCCAGCCTGGGTGACAGAGTGAGACTCTGTCTTTAAGAAAACAAACTCCTTTATTAAGCAATTAAGGAGAAATAAATGGACTTTAAGGAATCTAAGGAAATAAAAACTGTGGATATTTTAGCTATCCTACTTTTCTGGGTTTAGTTGTGTAATGAATGAAGCCTGGATTTAATTTCTCACCCCAGTTTATCCTGCTCCTCCTGCCATTTTCACTACCTTGATTCAGGTTGCTGTAACTGCTTACATTAATCCGCTCTTGACCTAGCAAGGTCCTCTCACTGTGGAATGTGAAGTTGGGATCATGGATACCATTCTGTTCCTTATTGCCACTTCTAACACTGGGAAGGCCAACAACTCATTGAGACTGGAAGGAAAGATTTGTGAGTGCAATTTTCTGAGCCAGGATTGTGTCTTCTTTATATCCTCATTCATCTGTTTATTCATTCCATAAATATTAAGAGCACACTATTTTCTGGGCAAAGTGCCATAGGCTAGGGATGATGGGGAAATACACAGAGCTTTTAGTACAATGAGAGAGACATATATTAAGTAGCCATATAAGTAAATATATATAATTACATGAGGTAGTAAGTGTTTTGAAGGAAAAATGAAGAGTTGCATGAAACATTTTAAAAGAGCGAGCCGGTGCTGTGACTCATGCCTGTAATCTCAGCACATTGGGAGGCTGAGGTGAGACTAGGAGCTCAAGACTGGCCTGGGCAACATAGTGAGACCCCATCTCTACAAAAAATTTAAAAATTAGCTGGGCACAGTGTCATGTGCCTGTAGTCTCAGCTACTCAGGATGGAAGATCGCTTGAGCCCACGAGTTCAGGGTTGCAGTGAGCTATGATTGCACCACTGCACTCCAGCCTGGGCAACAGAGCAAGACTCTGTCTCTTAAAAAAAAGGAGGAGAGAGAAAGAGAGCTGACTGAATTGTGAATTTCTGGAGTTGTGGGAGGGCTTCCCCGGATAAATAGGAGTTTTGCAGGAAAAGTGTGAGGCAAAGAGCATTCCAGGCAGAAAGAACAGCCATTAGACGGACCCGAGGCAGGAAAGCTTTGTCATCTTCTGGAAAAAAGAAAAACAAAGTGAAAAAGAAAGCAGGGTGAGTAAAATCTAGTGAAAAAAAGAAGGGCTTGAAGAAGTAGACTCTGTTAAAGCTTCTGGATTTTATTGTGGGTGCAATTATAAACCAGCGAAGAGTTTAAGACAAGGCTATTACATAACCTAAATTGTGTTTTGAAAAGATTATTATGCTTATGAAATGCAAAAGGATTGGGAAGGAACAGAGTAATTCTAGGGAGTCCACTTTGGAGGGAAATTTAGTTGATCAAGTGAAAGAAAATAGTGTCATAGACTAGGGAGTTTGCCTTGGAGGTGGAGAGAAATGGAATATTTGGATTAGTGCATCACACCTGTACACCATTTTATTGTGTGTCTTAGGAACAATAAGATAAGAAAAATAAATTAAGAGTACAGGACTGGAAAGTAAACAATAAAGAATGTCATTATTTGCATACCCAAAAGAACCTACAGAAAAGTTAGACATAATGCGAGAGTTTAGTCTAACTAAACTCTTTCAAAAGTTAGAAGTAATGTCAGAGTTTTTAGGAAAGTGTCTAAACACAATATTTAATTTTAAACTGAGTGGAGGAAGAAGTGTAGAAATGAAAGGTAACAGTTAGAACATAGAGGGATATAGGTTTAAAAGATAAGAAAAAAGGGAGAAAAGAGAAAAAAAGGAAGAAAGGAAAGAGGTAAAGACAAAAACCATTATAGTCCAAGTAGTTGAACTAGAACTACAGAAACTCATGGTGAGAAGGGGCATACATGAATTAGCGTCATTAATATGATGCCGTTCCTAATCTAGGTGTGTCTTGGCCGGGGGTTATTGAGGTGAAGAAGTCACTGAAGATGAGGCAGCTAAGGAATTGAACAGCTTGTTGATGGGTCACCCAAGGGTATGGTGAAATGACTCAGGATGATGGCAGGATTTGGGATGGAGAAAGCCTGAGCAAAGCACTTAGTCTTTCATGAATGAGGGGTGGTAACCAGGGGACAGTAGGAGATTGCCATGGAGAGAGGAAGAGGGAGATAGAAGCAGATCATTGATTCTCAAAGGCACAAGAGTTTTACAAAAGGGAGAGGAAATAATATGCTGGTAGTGATGATAGGGAGAAAGAAAGATGTTTAGATGGGACTTTCACTTAATAGGACTGTAGAAGACACGGTATCCCTGAGGGATGACTCTGTTATGGCAAGAAATAAAAAAGACCATTCAGAAAGGATGCTAAAAATAGAAGAGATTTTGTTCACTGTAGGTCAGAATTTTGAAAAGCACTTGACCAAGTGTCAGTGCATAGTAGATGCCTAATACATATTTGTTGCTTGGATTCATTAATTAATGATGAATGCAGTAGAGAAGGCTGATTCATCTTGAGCCCATAACCCTACCCAGCTTGCATGAGTGTCTCAGCTTTGCTTGCTTTATTTTAAAACTCCCTTCAAACATTCTAAAGATCCTCAACTCTGAGTCCAAGAGACACTGCCCATCTTGGAATTCTTTGTTCCTATATATGGCAGAGGGTAAGTGGTTGTAGTCAAAAAGTATACATTTTCTCAGCATTATCTTATAATAATTATTATTCCAATAACAGGGTTCAATCTGATTCTCATGTTTCTGCCAAATTAAAAGTATTCAGTGCCTTTAAACAGTACCTCATCTCAGAAGTCTTCATGCTTATTTTTATTTTTCTCCACTGTCATCCTGAAATGCTTTTTGAAACACATTTTTAAAGTTGTATCTTAGTCTTCAGACTTAGTAATATACTTTGTTTCTGTACATGTGTCAATATATAGCATCAAAAGTCCTCTATAACAGCTATAAATATTTATAAATCCACTATTTTCCTGAGGTGAAAATTGACCATTGGAGGTTAATAAATCTTGGCTTTACCTTGGGGTAACATCTCATTAAACCAATAATTAATCCTATAAAAAAGATCTATGTTTATGTCTTAAACCAAACCTTTGAAATTCCAAATGATTTTTTTAAACCACATACTGCCTTAACCCTCTATATCTTAAACAAAATATGCATTATTTCTAATGGTGGTATTTATAGTTTACTTTAATACGTTTTCTGACAGCTTTATTGAGGTATAAATGACACACAGTAAAATGTACATATTTAAAGTCTACAGATACTCAAGAAATTATCACCACAATCAAGATAATGAATTTATCACCTCCAATAGTTTCTTCCTGTCTCTTTCTATTCTTCTCTCTCTAACCCTCCTTACAGTCTCAGGAAACCACTGATCTGCTTTGTATTACTATAGATTAATTTTGCACTTTCTAGAATTCTATATAAGTAGAATCATAAGTATGTACTTGTCTTTGGCTTTTTTCACTCAGCATAATTTCGAGATTTGTTGATATTGTTGGATGTATCAGTAATTCATCCCTTTGTATTGCAGAATAATACTCTGCTGTATGGATATACCACAACTTATTTATCCATGGTGGACACGTGGATTGTTTTCAGTTTTTGGCTATGAAAAATCTAGCTGCTATGGACATTCATGTACAAGTGTTTGTATGGACATATGCTTTTATTTTGGATAAATACCTACGATATGAATGGTGGAGCAATATGATAGGCATATGTTTAACTCTTAAAGAAATTTTTCAAACTGTTTTCAAAAGTGATTATAACATTTTACTTTCTCACTGGCAGTATATGAGTTCCATTTTTTTCCACATCCTTGCCAACACTTGGTATGGTTAGTCTTTTTAATTTTAGTAATTCTAATAGGTGTATAGTATTTTCTTATGGATTTTCAAAGTTCAAATTACCTTTTTAACTAATGATGTTGAATATCTGATCATGTGCACATTCGTCATTCATATATCTTCTTTGGTGAAGTGTTTGTTTATGGTATTTCCATTTTTATGAGGTTGTCTGTTTTCTTATTGAGTTTTGAAAGTTCTTTATATATTCTGCATGCAAGTGTTCAACAGGTATGCAATTTGCACATTTTTCCCCTCAGCCTGTGGATTGTCCTTTCATTCTGTTAACAGTATCTTTTTAACAGTATCTTCTTAATTTTGGCAATGTATCGATTGTTTTGTTTTATGAATTGTGCTTTTGGTGTCATAGCTAAGAAATCTCTGCCTAACCCTAAGTCACAAAAATTTTCTCCTAGAATTCTTATCTTTTTATTTTTTACATCTAAGTCTGTGATCCATTTAAGATCATTTTTGTAAAGGTGTGAGATACAGATCAAAGTTTTTTGCTTGTTTTTGTTTTGACATGGATAGCCAAATGTTCCAGCACCATTTGTTGAAAAGACAATTCTTTAGCCAGTAAAGTGCCTTTGCATCTTTGTCAAACAAAAAAATTGGTTATATATGTGTGAGTTTATTTCTCGCAGACTCTATTCTGCTCCCCTGATCTACCTGCATATCTTGATGCCTGTCTTAGCTCACTTTGTGTTGCTATAAAGGAATACCTGAGCCTGGGTAATTTATAAAGAAAAAAGGTTTATTTGGCTCATGATTCTGATGGCTAAAAAGTTAAAGATTGGGCATCTGGTGATGGCCTCAGGCTGCTTCCACTCGTAGTGGAAGGTGAAGGGGAGTTGGTGTGTACAGAGACCGTGTGTCAGGAAAGGAAGTAAGAGAGGTGGGAGGTGCCAGACTCTTTTTAACAACCAGCTCTCATGGGGGAACTAATAGAGTGAGAAACCTGCAAGGGAAGGCATTAATCTATTCATGAGGGAGCTGCCCCCATGACCCAAACACCTTCTATTATGTTGAAACACTTTCAACATTAGGATCAAATTTCAACATGAGGTTTGTGGGGAACAAATATCCAAACCATAGCAATGCCAATAGCACACTGTCTCTATTATAATGCCTTATAATGATTCTTGAAGCCATATAGTAAAAAGCTTCCAACTTTGTCATTCTTTTTCAATGGCATTTTGGCTATTCTAGATCCTTGGTATCTCCAATATATCAGCTTGTCAATTTCTAAGGCAAAAACAAAACAAACAACAACAACAACAAACCTGCTGTGATTTTGAGTATGGTTGCCTTAATTGGGGGAGAATTGACAACTTAACAACATTTGAGTTATCCAGACCAAGAACTCGGTATATCTCTCCACTTAAGTCTTTTCCAATGTTTCTCAGCAATGTTTTGTCATTTTCAGGGACAGATCCTACACATCTTTTATCAGATTTATCCCTAAACATTCCATACTTTTTATACTACCCTAATTTTTAAAATTCCAGTTTCTGATTGTTCATTGCTTATTTATACAAATATAATTGATTTTTGTATATTGGTCTTGTATCCTTCAGTTTTGCTAAACTTGGTTCAGTGGATTTTATTTTTTATAGTTATGTTATTTATAAATAAAGACTGTTTTACCTCCTTTCTAATTTAGATGGTTTATTTCTTTTGTTTTTGCTTTTTTGTACTGGCTAGAACCTAGAAACTCAGTACAATGCTGAATAGAATTAATGTTAGTAAATATAATTGTCTTCTTCCTGATTTGGAGAGGAAAGCATTCAGTCCTTTGTCACTGAGTATAATGTTAGCTCTAGTTTCTCATAAATGTATCATTTTGCAGAAATTTCCTCTTATTACTGACAGTTTTTCTCAGGAATTGATGTTAGATTTTATCACATACTTTTTCTAGGTCTATTGAGATGGTCATGTAGGTTTTCTTTTTTCATCTGTTAATATGGTAAATTGCACTGCTTGATTTTTAAATTTTTAATCAACCTCACATTCCTGGGATAAACCTCACTTACTAATGATGAGTTATCCTTTTTATACATTACTAAATTTGATCTGCTAAAAATTTTTTAAAGAATTTTTCATCTATGTTCATGAGATATATTGGTCTGTTATTTTATTTTCTTGTAATATTTTTGTCTGGTTTCATTATCAGAGTAATACCAAAATCTTGTAGAAGAAGTTGGGAAGTATTTCCTTCTGGAAGAGTTTTCTAAAATAGTATTTAAAAAAAAAATAATTGAAATCATTCACCAGCAAAGCCCGTAATTTTCTCTGTGGGAAGAGTTTTCCTACTAATGCAATTAATTTCTAACTACTAATGCAATTTCTTTAATAGGTATAGGGTTATTCATGTTAGCTATTTCTTCTTCTTTTTTTCTTTTCTTTTTTTTTTTTTTTTTGAGACGGAGTCTCACTCTGTCACCCAGGCTGGAGTGCAGTGGCATGATCTCGGCTCACTGCAAGCTCTGCCTCCTGGGTTTACACCATTCTCCTGCCTCAGCCTCCCGAATAGCTGGGACTACAGGCACCCGCCACCACGCCTGGCTAATTTTTTGTATTTTTAGTAGAGACGGGGTTTCATCGTGTTAGCTAGGATGGTCTCAAACTCCTGACCTCATGATCCGCCCACCTCGGCCTCCCAAGTACTGGGATTACAGGCGTAAGCCACCACGCCTGGCCCCAGCTATTTCTTCTTCAGTGAGTTTTGATTATTTGTGTCTTCCAAGGAATTTGTCATTTCACTTACATTCTTGAATTAACTGGCATACAGTAGTCCCTTATTATCCTTTTAGTGTCTGTAGAATCTGTAATGACATCATTCTCTCATTTTTGTTCATGGAAATTTGTATTTTCTCTATTTTCCCTTGATCAGTTATAATTTTATCATTTTTATAGATCTTTTCAAGGATCTATAAAAAGATTAAACTTTGATTTCATGAATTTTCCTCTATTTTTCTGATTTCTAGTTCATTGATTCCTTTTCTGAATTTTATTATTTCCTTTCTTCTGCTTCCTCTTCTGCTTCCTTTGGGTTTCACTGACTTTCTTCTAGTTTTTTAGGGTAAAACCTGGGTCATTTTGAGGACATTTTTCTCTTCTAGTATGGATATGTAGTGCTACCAAATTCCCTCTAAGTACTGTATGACTTGTACATTTTATTTTTATTTTCATCTAATTTAAAGTACTTTCTACTTTACCCTTTAATTTTTTTAACCCATGGCTTACTTAGAAGTGTGCTATTTAATTTCAAAATATTGGTGAATTTTTCAGATAGTTCTATATTGTATTTTTAATGGCTTTTACTGATATGTAATGCATGTACTATCAATTCCACCCATTTAAAGTATAAAATTAAATATTTTGGTATATTCACAGAGTTGTACAACATCACAGCAACCTAATTTTAGGACATGTTCATTATTTTCAAAAGAGACCTTGTACCCATTAATGGCCACTCCCTGTTCTTCCTCTGCACCCCCAACCCTACCTCCCTAGACTGAGACATCCACGAATCTACTTTCTCTATACATTTGTTTATGGTGGACATTTCATATAAATGGAATTGTATAATACCTGGTTTTTTGTGACTGGCGTCTTTTACATATCATAGTGTTTTTGAGATTCATACATGTTGTAATATGTATCAATATTTCATTCCTTTTAGTAGACAATTATTATTGCATTTTATGGTTATATGGTGTTTTATTTTTAATTTACTTAAATTGTGGTCAGAAGTCATATTTTGCATGACTTGAAAACTTAAATTTATTAAGACTTGTTTCGTGACCCAGAATATGTACTCTCTGGTAAATGTTCCACATGCACTTGACAAGAATTCACACTCTTCACTTGTTAAATGGATGTTCTATAAATGTCAGCTAAGTCAGTTTGGTTGATTGTATTACGCAAGTCTCCCATATTCTTTCTGATTTTGCAGGTTTCAACACCCTTCTATCAAATATAGACAAAACGGTGTGTTGAAACCTGCAATTTTAGTTGTGGATTTGTCTATTTTTTCTTGTAGCTCTTATCATTTTTTGTACTATTAGGAGCAAAAAATGTTCTGTTAGGTATATGAACATTTAGGATTTGTGTGTCCTCGTGTTGAATTGATCCTTTTATGATTATATGATCCTCTTTATCCCTGGAAATTTTCTTTGTTCTAAAATAGCCCCTGATATGAGTATAACCAGTTTTAGTTAGTGTTAACATGTTATATCTTTTTTTAATATCATGACTTTTAACCTTCCTGAGTCTTTGTGTTTAAAATGGCTTTCTTGCAGGTAGCACATAGTTGGATCTTTCTTCTTTAATCCTATGTAATAATCTTGCCTTTTACTTTGGGTGGTTAGACCAGTGGTCCCCAAATCCCGGGCCACAGACTGGTATCTGTCCGTGAACTCCACCTGAGATCCACCTCCTGTCAGATCAGTTGTGGCATTCGACTCTAATAGGGTATGAACCCTAATGCGAAGTGTGTATGCAAGGGATCTAGACTGCGTGCTGCTTATGAGAATCTAATGCTTGATGATCTCCGATGGAACAGTTTCATCCGAAAACCATCCCCCTCCCCCACCCCGGGTTAGACCATTACATTAATTTGTATGATTGGATCCAAACACACTTTCTTGTTATCTGGCTTCTATTTTTCCCACCCCTATTCTTTGCATCCCCTTTTCTCTTGTTCAGCCTTATTTTGAATTATTTGAGTTTTGCATAAAATTAGTATTATTTCTTTTTCAAATGTTTAGATAAAATTGTATTCTATTTCCTTTGTTGGCATATTAACTATAACTTGTATTATTTCAGATGTTAATTTACACTTTACAGTACACATCCTTATGAGTCTACTTTTAACCTTTAAGGGATATTATGCCACTTCTTATTTAGGGTAAGAACCTTGTAGCAGTATGCTTCCATTTGCCCCCTCAAGCCTTTATGCTATTGCTAAACATTTTATTTCTGCAGATTACATAAACTTCACAAAATATTGTTATTTCTGCTCCAAGCAGTTTATTATCTTTTAAAGATAATTAAGTGGTAAAAAAGCATTCTGTTTTATTTAGCCACATAGTTATTATTTCTAATGCTCTTTATCTCTTGGTGTAGTTTTCCGTCTAATATTTTCTTCTTCCTGAAAGACTTAAAGCAAAATGACATACAGCAAATCCTTAAAAAACATCATTTCATTAAAACAGTGATGAGCAAAAAAAACCTGGATTTGTTATATGTCATTTCACTTAAAGTTACAGTTTCCAAGAATCTATCGATGACCTTAAGTGAGGACTATCTTCTTCTCTTGCTGTTTTTAATAATTGTTCTTTATCAAAGATCTTGGCAATTTGTGATAAACCTTAGTGTAGTTCTCATTTTTCTTGGGTTTGGGGCTCGCTGATCTTCTTTTGTCTATGGTTTATAATTCTGTCTAATTTGGAAATATTCGGGACACTTTTTCTTAACTATTTTCTGTTCCTCACCCCCCTCTTTCACTCCTTAGGTGGCTCCAATTACATATACATCGAGCCACTGGAAGTTTTACTGTCCTCACTGATGCCTTCTTCATTTTTTCTCGTCTTTTCTCTCTCTCTTTCTTTTTGGATAGTTTCAGTTGCTAAATCATCAGGTTCACTAATCTTTCCTTCTGCAATGTCTGATCTGCCATCCATACCATCCAGTGAATTTTTCATCGCAGACAATGTAGTTTTCATCTCAGAGGTTTGATTTGAGTCTTTTGAAATATTGTGGGTTGTTTTTTAGAAACAATTTCACTCTGTCATCCAGGCTGAGTTAAAAGAATATACCCACATTATAGATGTAGAAATGGCATTTCTGGACAGATATGCACAGTAAGGTGAAAGAAAAAAACAAAATAGTATGGTATCTGAGTAAACTTATTAAATCCCCCTCCCCTAAGTAAAAAGAAAAAAATGAAATGTAACATGCAAGATAAAGATAAAAAATCTGTTCTGGAAGAATATATGTAATTTAAACATTTTAAGTAACCAAAATAAAATGCTTTTTAGAAAATAGATGAAATGAGCTGTAATAATACATTGTAATTACCCATTACCTAAATATTATTTCAACATGTAATCAATACAAAAATTATTGAGATATTTTGCATTTATATATACAAAGTCTTTGAATTTGGTGTATAGTTTACACTTACAGCACATCTCAGTTAAGAGTAGTTGCATTTCAATTGCTCATAGTCTCTTGTGGCTTGTGGTTACTATATTGGATAGTGTAGCTACAGAAGAATTTAATGAAAATTTTAAAAATTTGAAAGATAAACAATGAGAGGAAACAACAATGCAAAGGTGAAAAGGGAGTTTGCTGCTAATGTCCCAAGCACATTCCCTCCACCTTGCCCCCTCTATGCCTCTTCTTTTTTTTTTTTTTTTTTTTGACTGTGTCTCCCTCTGTTGCCAGGCTGGAGTGCAGTGGTGCGATCTCGGCTCACTGCAACCTCTGCCTCCTGGGTTCAAGCAATTCTCCTGCCTCAGCCTCCCGAGTAGCTGGGGCTACAGGCGTGCACCACCACGCCCAGCTAATTTTTATATTTTTAGTACAGACGGGGTTTCACCATCTTGGCCAGGATGGTCTCAATCTCTTGTCCTTGTGATCCGCCCACCTTGGCCTCCCAAAGTGCTGGGACTTCAGGTGTGAGCCACTGCGCCTGGCCCTATGCCTCTTCTTTATGTACCTGTGATTTCTGTAAAGACCTGAGATTGCCCAAGGTATTTTTTCTGACCAAAGCAGAGAATGTCTGTTCAATTCGGGGCAAGTGACAAGTGCCAGAGTGTGACTGTTCCCCAGTAACAGCCTATAGCCAGTGACAGACAAGAAGTTGATAGGTAAATGCTTCTGCTTCTTTGCCTGTTGGTTGAGATAACTCTGAGACATGTTCTACAATGTTTCAAAGAGCTCCCCAGAAGGTTTTAGCTCTAGTTGTCCACAGTGGTAACTTGGTGATAATATTATTCGATTTCTTCCCTCTCATGCTATACCTTCCTGCTCTCCATTAGTGTTTTCTGGAACTGCCTCTCAAATAAACTACTTGCACTCAAATTCTTGGGTCTGTTTTAATGCAAACAATGACACATAGTTTAGGAAAAAAATTAAGAGCCAAAACAACTTTCTTACAGAGCCATTAAAAAAATTAGAAACAGCAAAGAACAGAACAGACACAACCTAAGATCAAATGACTGATATGGGAAAGGCTTGGCAAACACAGCGTCTGAAGACTTTTTTAAAGACAAAGACACTAAAGCAATTTAAAGAGAAGAGAAGATGTCTCAAAGACAAAGACTAATCACAATAAAAGCAATCAATGTCTTGGAATTAAAGAAGCTGTCAAATGAATCAGAAAATATACTTAAAAACCAACAGAAGAGTTTTTTTTTGTCCTGATTAGAGGAAAGAATTAATCTAAAACATCTTTTTCCTGAAAAAAAAAATTGATATAGGAGCACCAACATTGAGATATATCCTAGTTGGTTTGCAATTCATTAAGACAAAATTATTTAAGTATCCAGACATATACTTCTTATTATTATGTATTTTTTGAGATAGAGTCTCACTCTATCACCCAGGCTAGAGGGCAGTGGTGTGATTATGGCTCACTGTAGCCTGTATCTCCTGGGCTCAAGTGATCCTCCCACCTCAGCCTCCCAAGTGGCTGGGAATACAGACATGGGCCACCATGGCTGGCTAATTTTTAAATTTTTTATAGACATGGGCTCTCACTATGTTGCCCAGGTTGGATTCAAACTCCTGGACTCAGGTGATCCTCTTGCCTCTCCCTCCCCAAGTGGTGGGATTATAGGTGTTAGCCACTGCACCCGGCCCAAATACTAATTATTTACCAGGAAAATAAAATCAGAATAGCCTCAGACTTCTCTAAGAATTATTCAATATCTGCCACATATTGAGAAAGAGAAGAGTATTTTTCTCAATCAAGCTGACATTCAAATATAAAGGCAAGAGACAGACAAATAGCCTTAACCATAAACAAACCCAGGAACCACATGCCCTTTTAGAAAAAACACAAAAAATCAAAACCAAACAACTAGGAAGGAAAGAGAAATATCACACTAAAAAAGTCTGGTAAGAAGGACTCAATTAATTTAAATATAGAATTAAGACTAAAAAATGATGGGAAACATGGTTACAGAATATAAGTGTTATAAGCTTTGACAATGTAAAAAATGATAACATAATATAAATCAGGTATGGCATGAAACAGAGCGAGATCATGTCATTTGCAGGAACATGAATGGAGCTGGAGGTCATTATCCTTAGCAAACTAATGCAGGAACAAAAGACCAAATGCCGCATGTTCTTACTTATAAGTGGGAGCTAAATGATGAGAACACATGGACACATAAAAAGGAACAACAGACACTGGGGCCTGCTTAAGGATAGATGGTGGGAGGAGGGAGAGGATCAGAAAATATAAGTATTGGGTACTAAGCTTAGTACCTGGGTGATGAAATAATTTGTACAACAAAGCCCCATGACACAATTTTACCTATATAACAAACCTGCACATGTACCACTGAGCCTAAAATGAAAGTTAAAAATAAAATCAGGCATAGAGGGGAAAGGAGAGAAATGGGAGGAGGTTTATTTGTGATCATTTCTTTGATATTCCTGTATAACTAGAAATCAACAGATGCAGTCTGAAGTTGCTAAATCAAGAAGTAGAGAGTTAGTGATAGTAAAGTTATGACTGCCTCAGAAAATCCCCCAATTGCAGAAAACAAGCTTTCAAAATTATCCAAAGAAGTATACACACACACACCTCTAAGACCAAATACAAAAAAGATTATACATATATATGGTAGCAGTAGTGATAATAGTAAACCTAAGATGAAGTGGAATAAATACTAAATAAATATCATATATTAATGTGTATAAATGGGAATAAGTTCACCCAATACAGAAATCTACAGAGTATATAAAAGAAAAAATTCACAAAATCCAATCATGTATTCAGAAGAAAGAAATACAGTAGAATTGTGGAGGAGAGCTGGTTCTTTAAAGACAGAAATACAGACAAAAGCCAAATAATCCCCTGCCTAGTGGGTCAATGGAAGCAGCTGAAAAAGCTACAGAAGATCTTCTTAAAATCTCAAGGTCCACTTGGTTTCACTGTTGATTCTTTAAAAAGTTTAAGGGTAAATTGGATAGAATTTAAAATGTTCCAAAACATCAAAAGAGGAAATCCTTCATATTATATTTGTAGAAGTTTAACACTGACATCAAAACTTGACAAGACAGAGCAAAGCTCACGTATCAACATTTATGTAAAAATCTCAATAAAACAAGGGCAATTGTAATTCAGCAGTACTTAAAAAAATACCTCATTACCAATTGAGTTCCTCCTGCACTGCAAAGGTGAGTCAATATTAGGAAAATTGTGAATATATTATACCTTATTAATAACCCAAAGAGGCAAAATGTACATAGTTACTTTATGCAGAAAAATTATTTGACAAAGTTCAACATCCCACATGATTACTAAAATAGAGAATAAATTAAAAATAGCTGACAACAGCAGAATACACATTTTTCTCATGTGCATGCACAACATTCCCCAGGATAGACCATATGTTAGGCCATAAAACCATAGAACAGATTTTAATACATTTTAAAATATTGAAGTCATACAAAGTACTCCAATAATAATGAAATAAAACTAGAAATCAGTAACAGAAAACTGGAAATTTCACAAATACGTGCAAACCAAACAAAATATTCTTAGGCAACCAATGGATCAAAAAAAAGGTCACAAAGGTAATTAAAAACTACCATGAGCTGAATGAAAATAAAACATCACATTGCCAAAACTTATGGAATGCAGTGCTAGGGAAATTTATAGATATAAATGCATACATTGAAAATGACCTCTATCATATTAAGGAAATTTTCTTCTATTCCTAGCTTATTGAGTTTTTTTATCATAGTGCTGAATTTTGTCAAATGCTTTGTCTGCATTAACTGAGATGACCATGTGGGGTTTGTTTCCTCCCTTCTATTAATGTGGCATATTACATTGATGCTTTTCTTTATATGTTAAACCATCCTTGCATTCTGGGAATAAATCCCACCTGCTCATGGTATATAATCCTTTTAAGGTACTGCTGAATCCAGTTTGGTATTATCTTGTTAAGGATTTTTGTATTACTATCCATCAGAGAGGTTGGTCTGTAGTTTCCTTTTCTTGTAGTGTCTTTGTCTGGCTTCAGTACCATAGTAATGCTGGCTTCATAGAACAAGTCAGGAAGTGTTCCCTCTCTGCAGTGTTTCGGAAAAGTTTGAGAAATTTGATAATTCTTTAAATGTTTGGTAGAATTTACTAGTGAAGTCATCTGGTACAGGGCTTTTCTTTTTTAGGAGTTTTTTGATTACTGATTCAATCTTCTTATTAGTTACAGGTCTACTCAACTTTTCTATTTAAGATTCAGTTTTCGCAGAGTATATTTCTAGGATTTTGTCCATTTCATCTGGACTACCCCATCAATTGATGTACAAGTGTTCATCATATTCTCTTCTAAGTCTTTTCATTTTTGTAAAACTGATAATAATATTCTCACTTTTATTTTCATTTCTGGTAATCTGACTTTCATCTCTTTTTTTTCCTTAGTCATTCTAGCTAAAGATTTGTCACTTTTGTTGATCTTTTTAGAGGCATCTTTTGGTTTTGTTGATTTTTGCTTGTTTTTCTATGCTCTATTTTATTTATCTTCGTCCTAATCTTTATTGTTTCCTTTTTTCTTTTTCTTTTTTTTTTTTGAGACAGTCTAGCTCTTGTTGCCCAGGCTGGAGGGCAATGGCGTGATCTCAGCTCACTGCAACCTCTGCCTCCCGGGTTCAAGCAGTTCTCCTGCCTCAGCCTCCCAAGTAGCTGGGATTACAAGCATGTGCCACCAAGCCTGGCTAACTTTGTATTTTTAGGAGAGATGGGGTTTCATCATGTTGGTCAGGCTGATCTTGAACTCCTGACCTCAGGTGATCCACCCACCTTCACCTCCCAAAGTGCTGGGATTACAGACATGAGTCACCATGCCTGGCCTATTGTTTTCTTTTATCTGCTAGTTTTGGGTTTAGTTTGTTCTTCCTTTTCTAGTTCCTTAGGTATAAAATTAGGTTGTTGATTTGAGATCTTTCTTCTTTTTTAATGTAGAAGTTGATAGCTATAATTTCTGTGTTTTTTTTTTTTTTTTTGAGACGGAGTCGCGCACTGTCACCCAGGCTGGAGTGCAGTGGCACTATCTGGGCTCACTGCAACCTTTGCCTCCCGGGCTCATGCAATTCTCCTGCCTCAGCCTCCTGAGTAGATGGGACTACAGGTGCGTGCCACCACACCCGGCTAATTTTTTGTATTTTTAGTAGAGACAGGGTTTCACAGTGTTAGCCAGGATAGTCTCAATCTCCTGACCTCGTGATCTGCCTGCCTTGACCTTGCAAGGTGTTGGGATTACAGGCGTGAGCCACCGTGCCCGGCCATAATTTCTCTTGGCACTGATTTTGCTGCATCTCATACATTTTGGTGTGTTGTATTTTGTTTTCATCCAGCTCAAGTTATTTTCTAATTTCCCTTGTGATTTTTTGTTTGACCTGTTAATTAAGAATGTTTTTCCAGTTTTCCTTCTATTTTTGATGTCTAGTTTATTTCATAATGATCTGAAAAGATACCTCATATGCTTCCAATCTTGTAAAAGTTACTGACTTTTTTAATGGCCTAACATATGGTCTATTCTGGAGAATGTTCTATGTGCACTTGAGAAAAAATGCATATTCTCCTGTTGTTGGGTGGAGTGTTCTATATACATTTGTTATCTATCAATTTGTCTGTCTTTTTTGTCCATACATCCATCCACCTGTCTTTCTATTTGTCTTACAAAGAGGATTTCATAGCTGTTATGCCCTTGGCCAGGAAATCCGCGCCCCTAGATGTTCATATGGCTGGCTTTTCCTCATGACTCAGATCTTTCCTCAACTATAACCTCAAAGACATTTTCTCTGATCACAGTATCTAAAATTGCACCCCAACTCACCACACCCCAGCCACTCTCTGTCTTGTTTCCTGGTTTGTTGTTTTTATAACATTTATCTCAATCTGAAATTATATGCTTCATTTGATTCTTTACTTTTTTGTTCTCTATCTGTCCCAGTAGAATATAAGCTTAATGAAAGTGGAGATAGTCTGTCTTGTTCACAGCCGGAGCTTAGTAAATATTTGATGAACATGTATTTGTTAACATTTGTTAAATATCACCATGCTCTTCAAATAGCACACTGTTTTTTACTTAAATAAATTTGTTTATATGGTTTTTCATGCTGAGAGACTTGAGAGGCAATTCTCACGTCCTGTGTAGTTTGTTGTTATGCTTTTACCCTCTCTGAAGTTACTACTTTTTGACTTCTGTTTAGTTTGGAGTTGAAAGTTGTATCATCTATCAGTTTACACTATATCCTTTATAATATTGCATGTTTCAGTAAAATCCTTACTAACTTTTTTCTGTATTGGTATCTTAGATTTTAGCATAGTTTCTAGAAAACCTCTTTTTCACAAGCAAATCGTTTAAGCAACATTGCTATTTTTTTCTCAATATTAACACTAATTATATTTTAGTACAGTATATATTTCCTAGGGTGATTATTCATTAACATAAGTGAAGTTATTTAAGGGGATCTTAGAATTTCATAGAATAAGGAAACATTGATTTATTGTTTGGTATTCATACAAATTTTCTTGTTCTATTGAACTGCTAGTCATAAATAATGATATAAATAATAAAATTGATAATATAATAGATGATATAAATTCATTACTAGAAGCTCAATAGAACAAGCAAAACAGAACTTCTAGTATTGAATTTATATTATGTAAAATTATATATCATTATACTGTGTGAAATTAAATTATACATACATCACATTATGCAAAATTGAGTTATGTGCAATTTATTTCACTACTTGGAAGTTTGGCTAATTGAAATGACTACTCTACATCAAGATTATAAGTTTTGTTTTCATACTATCTCTTAGTAACCTGTAAAGAAGAAATATACTATTCACTGTTTTTACTTTGTCTCTTACTATTTTTGAAGTTCTTTTTTATCATATCATTGTCTCTTTCTCTGTTTTCATTTCCCTAGAGTAACTCACATTCTCATAGGCTTTGATCCTCAGACACCACCAAATGTTGTACTTGGCCAATACCTGGCACTTTTTGTGTCTCTGCACTTGTTCCTGACAACTTCACCTCTCTAAGAAATATTTTATAATCTGTTTTTAAATTAGCTTAATATTTAAGAAGCAAGAAATTATGACAGATTGTTTAATACAACATGGTGTCAAACTACTACTTTGTTATTTTCTCCCCGGGCATATTCCTTTTGTTGATAATGGAAAAATAATGGCTACTGAAGCAGACATAGCTCCTAAGTCATGAAAAGAATTTTAAGAAAATTCTCTTATTTAAAAATAGGATTTTCTTCCCCTTAGTTTTCACCGTATTTTCAAATCCTGCCCTTCTTGAAGTTAAGCTTCTTATTCTACAAAGCTTTCTCTTTTGTCTGCATTCCTTTACAGGATCATCATTTATATCACACATTCTAGTACATTCTAGTATTGTCATTGTTCATGTTGTGGTATTGTTTCCATGAATGCCATAAGCATCTTCTTCTTCCTGTTTGTAAACAGATCTAGCCCCAGAAAGATGGGACCAGATTGTTTTTGGAAAGTGTGCTACAAAAACAAACAAAATATGAATGTTCTATTATAAGCCAGGTTACAAAGAAAAGATGGGTTAGAGTGGGATATTTTCTTCCAGAAACAGAATTTTTGAAGAATCCCAGTGTTTCATTTGTACCCATGAGATTTTAATTTATGAGGTGACTGATGACACAGAGAGGCTAATGCTATCGAGAGAAGAATTGATTACTTACATTTTCCAAGAGAAGGGGGCATGCAGGGCCACTCAGTGCCACGGGAGAAAGCACCAGTTTTGGTCAGAAGGAAGGAGTCAAGGAAAGCCATAGGCCACAGCCTTTATTGGGGTTTCTGTGGAAAAGGCAGTGCAGGGCAGAGTAAACCGTTTAGGACTGGCTAGTGTGAATAACTCTGGTGGGCTTTGGGTCATACGGTGGTCTCCAGTATCCTGCTATCTGGCCTTGGGATGATTTAGGGCAGGGGAAATATTGACTTGGAGTGTGGGTTAGATGAGATGTTTGGGGTGTATAGACTGTGAATTAGTTGGTTTGCACATGAAAGGCAAGCTTTGCTACTGCAACTGAGTCCAAGCTCATTCTGTTTACTGCACAAGAGTCAGTAAGTTGAAAGCAAGGAATTGGAGCAAGGAAAGCGACTTTATTTCAGAGAACCAGCAAACTGAGAAGATGGCAGACTAGCATCCTAAAGTACCATCTTAGAATTATGCAGGCTTTGCCTTGTCTTTTATGTCTAGGAAAGGAGGGGGCTGATAATGGCATATGTTTAGGCGCCAGCAAGGGTCCAGGGAGGTTTGTGAAACTTTTGTCCTTGGGTAATGGTGTCTTATATGATGCTAGCCAAACTTCCTGGTTCCTATAAAGCTTTGACAAAACATAGTTGTTTACATACTTCTCTTTTAATTCCAGAGTTAGCTTCAAAAGCTACTTAATTGCTGTTTTTGCATTTTATCTCAATGCTCTAAAATTATCCCTGCCTATACTCACCAATGAGTAAAGGCCCCTTAAGCAAAAGTGAAGTTAGCTATGTGTGTTCCTTTGCTGTTTCACTGTTACACTACCTCTAAGAACTGGCTAGCCCTGGAATTGGGGCGTTACTTTTCCCCTGACAGTGGGAAATGGGTCCCACAGTGCCACAAGGATTTTTATCATTTTGGGAAAGAATGATGGGTTGAGTGTTCTACCTATGTTTTCTTAGATTTTGTATTTGTCTGTTTGGCATCCATTCATTCCTCACAGGGCTTCTATGTTAACTATATTTTCTTACTTTCTGTATTCTTAATGTTCTGCCATTTGAGGGCCACATATACCCTTAAAAAAAGGCACTTGGGAAGTTCCTTGGGTGTGAGACTCAAAGAAGACATCAGTATAGCCACTTTCTAGTCCATGACAGGATTTCTGAAAGTTGGAGACTTTTTTTTTTTTTTTTTTTTTTTTTTTTAGACAGGGTCTCGCTCTGTTACCCAGGTTGTGGTACAGTGGTGCAATCATGGCTCACTGTGGCCTTAAACTTCTGGGCTCAAGCAATCCTCCTGCCTCAGACTCCTGAGTAGCTGGGACTACAGGTGTGCACCATCATGCCCACAGATTTTTAATATTTTTTTATAGAGATAGAGTCTCACTATGTTGCCCAGGCTGGTCTCAAACTCCTGGGCTCAAGCAGTCCTCCTGCCTCTACCTCCCAAAGTGTTGGGATTACAGGCGTGAGCTACCACGCCAGGCCTGGAGACTTTACAGACATGTACAAAGGCTGCTACCATCATCAGGGCATGGAAAATTGGGTGCAACCAGAATCACATGTCAAATTTTCCAGGAAAATACTGCTCAGGAATTTGAGTTGCATTAAGGCAACTCTGGTGATGTCCATCACAGCCATGAGGAAGAACCAGCCCATCTGGCCCACTGTGGTGGCCTTGACACAGCCCTTAGTGATAGTAAAGCCCACAGTAGGCACACCACCACCCAAGTCAAGTCCCAGGAACACTGTTGCTCTTGTCCGCTAGTGCTTAGGAGTGGAAACGGGTTCTGCTGTGTCACAAGGGTGCAAAAATGCCCAGGACAAGGGCAGTGGAGAGGTGGATGTGCCGTGGTTTTGGGGAACAGTACAAGGAGTAATACAGCCAAGAGACAAGGCTCCCCATCATCAGGAGAGTGATGTCTGAATAGCCCAGTTTGGAATATGTCCAAAACTTTCTCTGAATGAGAATAGGTGGTATGAAAGAGCTAGGAGAAATTGAGACAGAGCACTGCACCCAACAAGAGCATTCTCCAAGCCACCTTCTCCTGTGGATGGGGCCATGAAATGAATATTTCGTCTGAGCATGGTGAAGATTTCCAGCATGAAACCAAGCAGATGTCTTTAGACAGTGCCAGTTTCTGAATGGAGTGGAGATGCTCTTTGAGTAAGCCTGAGGGCGGGCGTGAGTGGTCCATTGTCATGTAGCAGGCATCAGTGTACTTCAAGTCAGGGAGCCAGCATTTGGGATGATCTTCCAATGTCCCTCCCGGATCTTGTACACAAACTCCTCCATTTTCTCCATGGGATGTTGGGCTTGCAGGGGAAACATCAGTACCTGTACCACCTTCTCTTTCTCCTGAGACCCTAGATCTATTCCCTCTTCTTTAATTTTGGGTTGGCGATTACCTGTTTGCTCTTCTCTTCTAGCAGGGAGTCCCAGTTCAACCAGTTCCACCATGTCAGGTTTTTTTGTTGTTGTTGTTGTTGCTGTTGTCCTGCCTCAGGTTGATTTGTACAAATAGCACAGGAGGACACCAGCCCCATGCAGATGGCAGCCCAGGGGTCACACCAGTCCCACTGTCCTCATGCCGACAGAGGCTTCTATTCCAAAGTCTTTGTGGGGATCTGGGCACCTTTGGGAGCCTGAGCCAGAGCTGGAGCTAGACCTGTAGCTGGAGCTGAAGCTGCAGCCTGGGCCTTGGTTTAATCCTTGGTCTTGGCCTTTGGCTGGCAGAGCCTTAGACCCTTGGCAATATGGGCATAAGCATGCTTCCCAAGCTTGGGGTGGGCAATGTAGGCAAGTCAAGTGAGCTTGAGGCTGACACCCTTTGGGATTTTGGGCTTAACATCCTTGGGCTTTATGAGGCCATGATAGCCTCTGCACTCACACTCATGGCCTTGCCATTATTGGCCTATGATATGGTTTGGGTGTTTTGTCCTCTCCAAATCACATGTTGAAATGTGACCTCCAATGTTGGAAGTTGGTCTCTGGGAGGTGTTTGGGTCATGGGGGTGGATCCCTCATGAATGGCTTGGTGCCCTCCCCATGGTGATGAATGAGTTATCGCTCCATTAAATTCATGTGAGAGCTGGTATTTATTTATTTATTTATTTTTCAGAAGGAGTCTTGTTCTGTCACCCAGGCTGGAATGCAGTGGCATGATCTTGGCTCACTTCAACCTCCGCCTCTCGGGTTCAAGCAATTATCCTGCCTCAGCCTCCCAAGTAGCTGGGACTACAGATGTGTACCACCACACCTGGCTAATTTTTTTGTGTTTTTAGTAGAGACGGGGTTTCACCATATTGGCCAGGCTGGTCTCGAACTCCTGATCTCAGGTGACTCACCTGCCACAGCCTCCCAAAGTGCTGGAATTACAGGCGTGAGCCACCGCACCCAGCAAAGAGAACTGATTGTTTAAAGGAGCCTTGCACCTCCTCTTCTTTCCCTTGCTCACTTTCTTGCCATGTGAGATACGTGCTCCCCCTTCACCTTCCACCATTAGTAAAGGCTTCCTGAGGCCTCATCAGAAGCTGAGCAGATGCTGGTTCCATGCTTATGCAGCTTAGCAGAACTGTGGCCTAAATAAACTTTTCTTGGTAAATTACCCAGTCTCAAGTGTTCCTTTATAGCAACACAAGACTGACTGACACAGCCTGCATTTTCTTCAGATCCTTCTTGTGCTGCTTGGCAAAGAGCCAAAGGAACTTGGGGTCCACCCCCTAAAGAAATTCGTATCTTTGCAACTGATGTTTCTTGATGGCATTTCTGTGCTATTTTGGGGACTTGTTATGTGCAGTGTGGTTCTTGGACTTGGCCATGTCTGCAGCGTAACCCATGGCTCCTAAAGTATCTATGACTGGAAGAAAAAGAACCATGTCAGTTGCCCTGTGCCACCACAGATCCTTTGTGGGAAGGCATCTGGCTGGTAGCTCAATGCTACATAGTTTTAGCTTGAGGAAAGGTTGGGGCCTCTCAGCCCAAGAGGTCAAATCTCTGTCTGTGATAGTAGACAGGCGAGGTGGGCATGCCCTGTTAGGAGCCACAGGTACCTGCTGGAGGCAACTTGCAGCTAAGTGGCCCCAGATCTTCGGCACTATCTCTGTGCCACAAGGGGCATGAAATGAGGTCTCCTTTACTTTTGAAGGAAAATTTTGCTGGAAACAGAATTCTAGATTGGTGGTATTTTTGCTTCAATATTTTAATTATTTCACTCAACTCTCTTCTTGCTTGCATGATTTCTGAAGAGAAGTTCCACGTAATTTTTATCTTTTCTCCTTAATAGTAAGATTTTTCCCCTTCTGGTATCTTTCAATATTTTCCTTTTGTCTTTGACTTTATGTAGTTTGAATATGATATGCCTAGCATAGGGTCTGTTTTTGTTTTTGTTTTGGTATTTATTCTGCCTGGTGTTCTCTGAGCTTCCTGGATCTGTGGTTTGGAGTCTATCATTAATTTTGGAACATCTCATCATTATTGCTTCAAGTATTTCTTCCATCCTATCTCTTTCTTCTCCTTCTTATTTCCATGAAACATGTGTTATCTCTTTTGTAATTGTCCCACAGTTCTTGGATATTGATATGGTTTTGCTGTTTCCCCACCCAAATCTCATCTTGAATTGTAGCTCCCATAATCCCCATGTGTCATGGAAGGGACCTGGTTGGAGGTAATTGAATCGTGGAGGTGGGTCTTTCCCATGCTGTTCTTGTAATAGTGAGTAATTCTCATGAGATCTGATGGTTTTATAAAGGGCAGTTCCCCTGCACATGCTCTCTTGCCTGCCGCCATGTAAGACGTAACTTTGCTCCTCCTTTGCCTCCTGCCTTGATTGTGAGGCCTCCCCAGCCATGAGGAACTGTAAGTCCATTAAACCTCTTTTTCTTTATAAAGTACTCCATCTCAGGTATTTCTTATAGCAGTGTGAGAACAGACTAATGCAGATATTATGCTTTGACTTTTTATTCTTTTTCTCTTTGCCTTTCAGTTTTGGAAGTTTCCATCAACATTTCAAGTTCAATGATTCTTTCCTGGCCATGTCTAGTCTATTGATAAGCCCATAAGGCATTCTTCTTTTCTATTACAGTGTGTTTTATTTCTAGCACTTCCTTTTGATTGTTTCTTTGAGGTTCCATTCCTCTGTTTATATTAACCACCTCTTTTTCCATGTTGTCCACTTTTTCCATTATAGTCTTTAGTATATTGATCATCATTTTTTAAATTTCTGCTCTGATGATTTCAATATCTCTGCCATATCTGAGGTTGGTTCAAAGCCTGTTCTGTCTCTTCAAACTATTTTTTTTTTGAAAGCCAGACATGATGTACTGGGCAAAAGGAAATGAGATAAATAGGCTGTTAGTGTGAAATTTTATGTTGATCTGGTTAGGGGTTAGACTATGTCTACCATTTGCTCTAGCTGGGTTGTCAAAGGCTAGAGTTTTCTCTGGTTTTCTTGTTTCAGTCTTTGTTGTTGTCTTTGAGTTTCCCTAGAGACTTCTTCTCTTTTTTTTTTTTTTTTGAGGTGGAGTCTCACTCTATCGCCAGGCTGGAGTGCAGTGGCACAATGTCAGCTCACTGCAACCTCTGCCTCCCGGGTTCAAGCAATTCTCCTGCCTCAGCCTCCTGAGTAGCTGGGACTTCAGGCACACACCACCACGCCCAGCCAATTTTTGTATTTTTAGTAGAGACGGGGTTTCACTGTGTTGGCCAGGATGGTCTCGATTTCTTGACCTCGTGATTCGCCTGCCTTGGCCTCCCAAAGTGCTGGGATTACAGGCATGAGCCACCGAACCCGGCCCCGACTTCTTCTTAAATAAGGCTTGAGAAATGTATTTCTTTCACTGATATTCCCCTGTTATTATACAAGAGCCCTATTGATGAGATGGTAAGATCCTAGAGGGAATGGAAGTGTTCCATAGTGCTCTGATTAGAGCTCAGTCTTCTAGTGAACCTGTGCCCCTTGGCTGTGATGTTTACAGGTGCTTCTCAATTTCATTTTATTTGTTTCCCAGTTAGGGGAGACAAGAAGGCTAGAATGGGCCAGAATTGGTTATTTCCCATCTTCCACATTGGCTAGGCTCTGGTAAAACCCCAGTTAGTTAGGGTCTGGTAAACTAGTATCTCTTGAGAAAAGACCTTGTTAGAAGAAGAACAGAATTATCTGGATGTATTTCAAATGGTATATTTTTCCTCCCCCTGCCAGAAGCACGTGGGGATTTTTCTCTAATCTTCACTGTGAGAACCTGGAAGGACTCTTGAGGGCAAAACTCACAAAAGTGTGCAGGGCCTCCTAAGACTCTTTTTAACCCTCAGACTTGTCCAAACTGAGCCTCCAGCAATTCATCAATTACAGTCCCAAAGCTCTTCTCCTGGGTTTCTGCTCCAGGAAGTAGTATGAGTACATCTATTGCTCTGTGACCTCAATTCTCTCATAGATAAAAGAAGAATTGTTGATACTCAATTTGTTCAGCTTTTTGTTGTTGTTGTGAGTTCAGAAGTAATGACTCCTAAGCTCCTTGCATGCTGGATAGAAACCAGAAGTCCTTCACTTTTATTTTTCTCTTGTTTTATTTCAACTGTGCCTGATTGATATTTTAAAGAATTTGGGGGTGGCCTACAAAACTGATTGTGTGCATGTTATTTAAGTGGAAATTAGAAATTAAAGCTCTGAAAAGAAGGAAGCAAGCATGCTGTTTATTTGAGCTGCGATGGTTACTGTGCCTGAGCGATATATTGGGCCTGGAATTTCCTGATAGCAAAGTCAAAAGAGGGAAATAGGATAGGTTACATAGTTATCTTTGTCTTTCAGAGTAAGCATGCAAATTTTTGGGTAAAGGCAATATTCTCCTGCTTCTAAATTCTAAGGTAAATTTGCCATATGGAATAAACAAGAGGAGCATTGAGTAACAGACATATAACAGACAATGTTGTCATTAACAGTCAGCAGAAACATATGTTAATTATTTAGCCCTTTTTCTTAGTGACTTCCAGTAAAAAGTCAACATTAATGTTTGACTCAGTGAAGGCAATTCTGAGAGGGCTGACATTAACTTGCTCTAGATATATATTGTCAATATAATGTGACATTAGGCTAGAACTTTTACAGCTTTAAGGAGTGAGTGAATGTCTTGGGAATCTGTCTAATTTTATTAAATATGACTTTTCTCAGTCCTGCTTTAGTAGTTGTTGGGTGTTATATGGGGCCCAATAAATGACACTCCTTTTTACCAACCACATTCTGAATTGATTGTAAAATAAAACATATTAGTCAGGCCAGACACAGTGGCTCATGCCTGTAATGCCACCACTTTGGGAGGCCAAGGCAGGGGGATCCCTTGAAGCCAGGAATTCAAGACCAGACTGGGCAACATAGTGAGTTGCTGTCTCTACAAAAAATAAAAAATTAGCCAGATGTTGTCACACACCTGTAGTCCCAGCTAGTTAAGAGGCTGAGGTGGGAGGACTGCTTGAGCCCAGAAGATCAAGGCAGTGAGCTGTGATCACACCACTGCACTCCAACCTGGGTAATAGAGCAAGACTTCGTCTCTAAAAAAACAAAAAGAGAAGAAACATATCAGTTAGCGGATGAAAGACATAAATATCACTTTCATTTTCAAACGGCTGATTTTGGAAAATGTGGCCTTTAAGTGTGGGCAAATGAACTCCCCACTACTGAACCTCAGAAACAGAGTGACAAATCCACATGGTGCCAGGCAGCCCAGGACCACAGAAGTCCTCCCACAAAGGGTTCCGGAGAAGCGGATAACAGTTGATCTTCTCCCAAGTGAAAGCAGGAGAGTCTCCCTATGTATACCTAGTTTCTCCTTCCAAATTCCCCAGTCAGTTTAGCTCCTTAGAGCAGAGAGAAGCCAGAATGTTATGTTATTGGGATTGTTCCACTAGGAAGGAAATCTGGGAAGTAGGAAAGAAGCGTTGGCAAAAGTAGTATCTGGATAGGTGATTCAAGACTCTACACTCTGGCAACAGCTTTACAGCAATGACTGCTGATTCAAGACATATTTATAGTATTAATAATATTTCTGAATATCCTATCTGCCTTTCTGTTATAAAAGTGGATAGGCTTGAGCAGTAGGTCCCTTAGATGAGAGCTGTCCCATCTTAGCCTGGACAGAGCCACCTACAAAGAAAAACCAAAATCCTCCTCAAGAAGCACAGGCAAGAGCTAGATTGAGGCTCCATGCTTCTAAGCGATAGTGGACAAATGAAGTAATTTGGGCCTAGAAAACAATGCTTGGTCTGCTTTTAAGGCAGTAGCACAAGGTCAGTGATTCCTGGAGAAATGCCAGATTCCAAGCATAAGCTCTTGGTATGAACACTCAATTGGGTTCGCTGAAAAATGTTCCCCCGAGGTAAAAAACACAGAGACTTCCTGAATCAAGCAAACAGGGAATTTAGAATTCTGAAATAAAACTCATATTTGGAATAGTTGGAGGTTCTGTGGACAAATACATTTTATTTTAAAGGAAAAGAGGATATCAATATAACACATATATAGGATATACTTTTTGATTTGCTGCCAAAATATTAACCAAATTGTATCTTATTAAACAACTCAGTAATTTAATGAGTTATGTTAGTTAACCACAATCAAATTTTACTGAGATAGCTATACAACAGACAAGGGTTGGAAACTATGCAGAATTGAACTTCAGCAGGTTTGTCCAGAGCAGAATTTCTGCTTTTTGCAGTTTTGCTTCAGAGGGTTCCGCTTGTGGAAGCTGGCTATAAGCAGCTGAAAAGTGTGAGTAACTGTTAGTTCTTCCATTCCTCTCAGCAAAGAGATTTAATTAGGCTTAATTCATACCCATAATTCACACATCTTTGATTGTTCTTTCTAAGCCCCTTTCAATATTGCCTTGGCTGCTAATTGCAGCCTGCCTGCAATGAAGGGGAAAGATTTATGCAAACAAAACATTCTGTTTTTTCTTTCTTTACTTAATAAAGATGCATCTGATAAACACATCCAGTAATTAGAGGAGCCGGTGTATGTATGTCATGGAAAAAGGAGATTTGGACAATAATAATTTCATAAGTTAGCAAGAGTCACTATTATTATATACTTACTGGTCCACAAAGAACTTAATTCTTGGCTGGGCATGGTAGCTCATGCTTGTAATCCCAAAACTTTGGGAAGCTGAGGTGGGAGGATTGCTTGAGACTGGGAGTTCAAAATCAGCCCTGGCAACACAGCAAGACCCCATCTCTATTAAAAAATAAATACAAAAATTAGCTGGGTGTGGTAGTGCACCACTGTAGTCCCAACTACTCGGGAGGCTGAGGTGGGAGGATCACCTGAGCCAAGAGGTGTAGGCTGCAGTGAGCCATGATGGTGCCACTGCACTCCATCTTGGGTGACAGAGTGAGACCCTGTCTCAAAAAATAAAACAATACAAAATAACCTGAATTCTTATTTCTTCTTGTTTGTTGGGGGTGCCAAACAACATTGTTTCAACTGTCTGCATTTGAGTCAAATTAACTAGATGCCAAGTTATTCACTAGCTAAATAAAGTATAAAAGAAAGAAGAAAACTGCCAAGTTCTGGTGAATTTCCATTATCTGTAGATTCTATTCACTGCTCCCAAACTCACCTACTTAAAGCCAGATTTTATTACATTTATCTGAAACAAACAAAAAAAAAACCTTTGAAGCTCTCTACTCTCCAGACAGTAACTCCTATAAAAGCAAATTTGGTGAAAGAATTCAAAGCCTTCTGTAACTTAGCCTGATTCTACCCTTATTAGCATCTAGTCATATTAACATCTAGTCATATTAACCTATGGCTTTATTAGCATCTAGTCATATTAACCTATTAGCATCTAGTCATTTGAACCTATGGCTTTCGTTCAAACCCTGCCCATCTCCCGTTCCTGCTATGGTTTGCTCAATCAATTCTTCATGCAGTGCCACTTAGTGGTTGCAAGCACAGCATCTGTATGACAAACTTTGTTCCACTGCTCAGTGGTTGAGCAATCTTAGATAAGTCTCTTAATCTATCAGTGCCTCCGTGTATTCATCCAAAAAAATGGTCCTTTGGCTGGGCAGAGTGGCTCATGCCTGTAACCCTAGCACTTTAGGGAGGCCAAGGCAGGAGGATCTCTTGAGCCCAGAAATTTGAGACCAGCCTGGGCAACTAGTGACACCTTGTCTCCTACAAAAATTTTAAAAATTAGCCGGCACAGTTGTGTACACCTGTAGTCCCAGCTACTCGGGAGGCTGAGATGGGAGTATTGCTTGAGATCGGGAGGTTGAGACTGCAGCGAGTCAAGATTGTGCTGCTGCATTCCAGTCTGGGCAACAGAGTGAGACCCTGTCTCAAAAAAAAAAAAATGGGACTAAAGATAATGTTTATCTCATAATGTTGTTATGAAAATTAATGAAATAAGGCATATGAAATGTTTAAAAACAGTGTTTGGCTTGTAGTCAGCATGGAATAGAAACTAGCTGTGATGAATGTGATGATGATGATGCTGATGACAATGGTGATGATGGTGGTGATGATGACACGAATGCCCTTCCCCCAGATATACTTATTAAAATGTTACTCATCTTAAGTCCATTCAAATTCTACCTTCTCTAATAAACCGTCTCTCCATTCTCCACACTTGCAGTTTGTATTTCAATGGACTAAAATACACGAAGTGTGGTGGTATATGGGAGAAGATAGGTAGGTTCACCCTCATAACAAAACTGAGTTTTACTGAAAATTTTGAAATGAAATGACCATTCATGTAGGTTGTCTAAGAGAGGAATGGCCCAGCCTGAGTGAAGAGCAGGATGGGGTGATGTGAGATGGGAAAGGGCAGAGTATTTATGGGGAAAGGTCATGAGTCTTTGTTTGGCTGTACCTGAAGTCACCCAAAGGGAGATGTGATTCCGATGCTGGGGAAACAGGATGGAGTTACAGAGATTATTTTTATGAATAGTTGTGTGCCACGTAACAATGTTTTGGTCAATCATGGACTTCATGTATGATGCTGGTCCCATAAGATTATAATACCATGTTTTTACTGTACCTTTCCTATGTTTAGATATATGTTTAGGTACACAAATACCACTGTGTTACAACTGCCTACAGTATTGAGTACAGGAACTTGCTGTGCAAGTTTGTAGCCTAAGAGCAATAGACTATACCATGTAGCCTAGGTGTGTAGTAGGCTAGACCATCTAGGTTCGTTTAAGCACATTCTGAGTGTTTGCACAATGACAAAATCTCTTGACAACATATTTTTCAGAATGTATCCCCATTGTTAAGCAATGCATGACTGTAGTTGTGAAGCTTTTATTTTTCTTTTTCTCCTTTTTTTTTTTTTGAGACGAAGTCTTGCTCTGTCACCCAGGCTGGAGTGCAGTGGTGTGATCTTGGCTCACTGCAACCTCTGACTCCCAAGTTCAAGTGATTCTCCTGCCTCAGCCTCCCAAGTAGCTGGGACTACAGGTGTGCGCCACCATGCCTGGCTAATTTTTGTATATTTAGCAGAGACAGGGTTTCACCATGTTGGCCAGGCTGGTCTCGAACTCCTGACCTCAGGTGATCCACCTGCCTCAGCCTCCCAAAGTGCTGGGATTACAGGCATGAGCCACTGCACCCGGTATGTAGTTGTGAAGTGCTAATGAACAGACCTTAACAAATCTTTCACTTTCCTCCATGACATAGATTTTGTTTTGATGCATAAATGCTTACATACAACACATTTTTATGAGAATATCTTCTTTGCATTTATAACATATTGGTATTGTTAACAAGAGGCAAATGAGATACCTGCTTTATAGAAAGCTGACTGCAAGAAAGCAAAAGCATGCCCAGGTCTCAGGTCATTAGCAGGGAAGTCAGGGTGTCCTTTTCCAGGTCACTGAGGATCATATCAAACAGTATAGCCCTGGCATAGACCTCATGGTGCTCCATTTAAGTCTAGTGAGCTGGATAAACCACCCTGTGGGCTGCAGTCATGCAACCAAATTTTTCCCTAAGACTTTCTACAGATAGTAGTACCTCAACTGCATGTTCTTCATTCATTACAATAGAATTCCCATCCTACTCCAACACTTTTTCAACCCTGAAAGAGGTAAAATCTATTATAGCAAGAATGGTTTAGTCCCACTCAGCAGTAGGCAATGAGGACCTTTATTTACAGGCTAAAGAAACACCACTGAATTCATCAGTCAATCCCAGTAAGGCTGCCATATTGAGTGGATTTATCCATCTGCTGCCAAGATAGAGGATTAATCTTCTACAAGAAAACCTACACAGTATTTGGGCACTCTGAGCATGCACATGCCTCCTCCTAATCTTGCTGTGTTCACTAGGCTTTCCTCTTGGTCTTCTTATTTGTACAAGGACTTGTGCCTTCCCTGAACTTCAAGTCAGTTGTGCAAGGCTCTGATACTTGGCCTACCCCTTGCCAGACCCTGTTCCTCAAAGATTGTGTCCCCCAGGAGATGGCTAAGGTTTTTCCTCTTAACCAGATATATACCACTAGCAACAATGACACTGCCATGAATCTTTTTAAAAATGTATTTATTTATTTATTTTAAGTTCAGGGAGTACATGTGTAGGTTTGTTACATGGATATATTGTGTGATGCTGAGGTTTGAGCTTCTATTGAACCTGTCACCCAAATAGTGAACATAGTACCCAATAGGTAGTTTTTCAACCCTTGCTCCCCTCCCTCCCTCCGTCCCTTTTTTGATGCCCCCAGTACCTATTGTTCCCATCTTTATGTCTGTGTGTACACAATGCTTAGCTTTCACTTATAAGTGAGAACACGCAGTATTGGGTTTTCTGTTCCTGCATTAATTTGCTTAGGATAATGGCCTCCAGCTCCATCCATGTTGCTGCAAAGAACATGATTTCATTCCTTTTTATGACTGTGTAGTATTCCATGGCATATATGTACTACATTCTCTTTATCCAGTCTATTATTAATGGGCATCTAAGTTGATTCCATGTCTTTGCTATTGTGAAAGGTGCTGCAATAAACATATGAATGCAGGTGTCTTTTTGGCAGAATTATTTATTTATTTTTGGCTATATACCCAGTAATTGGAATGCTAGGTCAATGGTAGTTCTATTTTTAGTTCTTTGAGAAATCTCCAAACTGCTTTCTACAATGGCTGAACTAATTTATATTCCTACCAACGATCTATAAAGCCTTGCTTTTTCTCTGCAACTTTGCCAACATCTGTTATTTTTTGACCTTTTAATAATAGCTATTTTGACTGGTGTGCAATAGTATTTCATTGTGGTTTTGATTTGCATTTCTCTGATGATTAGTAAGGTTGAACAATTTTTCATATGCTTGTTGGCCGCATGTATGTTTTCTTTTGAAAAGTGTCTGTTCATGTCCTTTGCCCACTTTATAATGGGGTTGTTTTTTCTTGTTGGTTTAATTTCCTTATAGATTATGCAGAGTAATCCTTTGTCAGATTAATAGTCTGCAAATATTTGCTCCCATTCCCACTCTGTTGATAGTTTCTTTTGCTGTGCAGAAGCTCTTCAGTTTAATTAGGTCCTAATTGCCAATTTTTGTTTTTGTCGTGTTTGTTTTTGAGGACTTGGTCATGAATTCTTTGTCCAGGCCAGTGTCCAGAAGAGCATTTCCTAGGTTTTCTTCCAAGATTTTTATAGTTTCATGTCTTACGCTGAAGTCTTTAATCCATCTTGAGTTACTTTTTCTATATGGTGAGAGATAGGGGTCCAGTTTCATTCTGCAAATGGTGAACTGATTTTCCCAGCACCATTTATGAACTACCATGGCCATGGTTCTGTTGTCATTCTCTGCCAGCTGGACTGGACCATCTTTGACACCAGCACGAGCCCAGATAAATCCTGGGGTTATTACACATACTGGACCTTGACTTGGGATCGTTTCCCTGTAACATCTCTGCCCATTGCAAACTAGTCTGCTGCTGAGAGCCCAGCATGCTTGAAGCTTGTGCCTGCCCAAGACTCTTGAGGTAAATTTACCCTCTGGTCTACCTGACCCTGAGCTCTCTTCTTTAAAAAAATATGTGGGGAAAAAAGAGATGTATCTTGTAGGCTGGTTGAATATTTAGCAGAAGTCTGCATTATATTCAACACTTTCTCTTGTTTTACTTTAACTTCTTATTAGTAAGGATATATGGTAACTTTAAACTATTTTGGATACAACAGTAGATTTTTAAAACCTTCTGTTTCCTACATCACAAGTATCTTTAATTTTCCACAACTATTATTGAAAGCTCTTTCTGGTGGTTTTAAATTCTTTGTTGTTTAAATTCTTTGGTGTTGTTATTGACAAGTGTGTCCCTTCAACTGTTGCATCATACAGCCAGACTTACTAGACAGATTCACGTTCTAGGATTTGAGCCCCTAGGTGGCTCAGTCAAGACTGTAGGTACCAAGCCAAGATCTGATATATGCAAGGAATGCTTACCCCTACTGAAGCACTGCAAATAGACACAGCAACTTTTTGCTTGAGGGGTTACTTATTCCAGTGCCTATGAGTTAGCTAGAGACTTTATTATATTTTCTTAATTTGCTTATTATATTTTTGTAATTAACTTATTTGCTTATTAAGTATTGCCATTACCATTGCCAATCCTTGTCATCATCATCATCATCATCATTTCAATTGACCTTCTTCAGGTGTAAGCCTATAACTTTTGTGCATATTTAATTTCAGGAATACGTTCCCAGTGAATAAAGTTCTGTAGATGAGTGGCAATTGGAATAACCCTGTAACAGTGAGTGGGTTTTAATTTTTATGTACAATTTTGGTTCAGAGGATACATGAACGATGTAACATGATAGAAGGTGTCAATTCAACATATTAGAGGTGCACTGTGTGAAAGCCTACTAGGAGCTGGAAATTGGACAGGATGCTGTGCTCCCCAGCCTGCCCTCTCACTGTAGACCTGGCAAGAGAATTCAACCATCACACAAAGGCGAGAAACAGTGGACGCACTTTCACACCTTGTCCAAGTTTAACTAGGACTTGCCTTGCTTGAAGAGGAATAAAGAGAAACAAAGTCAGGAATCACATCAGCAAGATGGCAGACAGTTTTCTGTCATCATCTCTCCACAATGCATGGATTTTGACAACCACCCATAGACAAGAGTACCTTTGTGAGAGTCCTAAAGACCAGTGGAGAAGTTCCAGCATACTGTTGGAAAAAAAAATCCTGGAACAGACACATTGAAGAGGGTAAAACAGTTTCATTTTAATTGAGTCAGCCCTCCCACAAGGTGGCACAGCTCAGTGCCAAGAGAAACCACCCCCTGAGCACACCATTCTTTGCACAAGGGAAAGTGAGAGCGTAGTGAGTGCCGGGCTACCCTAGCTATACCTGGGACCTGCCAAAAGGCCCACCTCTTCCTTGTCCACCCAGAATACAAAAGGAATCAACACAGCTGAGTGGCTGGGAGAGGCTGTGATCAAGTAAGAGAAGAAAGGACCTACAGCAATGAGGGCTTGAAACTTGACAAAGGGCCTTAAATTATACTAACCGCTTCTGGGACTCCATCAGGAGTCCTCTTGAGATGCCTGTCTGGAGGCTCCCTTCTTCCAAACTGGCCCACAAGTGCCCCCAATGCTCTGAGTGAATCACCCTTCTCTCCTGATAGTGGCCAGTTTTCCATGTGTGCCCCCAAGACAGCAGATGTGAGCCTTTGCAGAAAGCTAGACTCTGTGGGATTGGGAGAAGGAACACAAACCTGAAAAGAAAATTATAGATCAATATCCATGATGAACATAGGGACAAAAATTCTCAACAAAATAATAGAAAACCAACATCAACAGCACATTAAAATGATTGTGTAAACCATGATCAAGTGGGATTTATCCCTGGGATGCAAGGATGGTTTGATATATATAAACTAATAAATGTGATCCACGGCATTAACAGAATAAAGGATAAAAACCAAATGGTCATCTCAGCAGATGAAGCAAAAGCATTTGACTCCAACATCCTTTCATGATAAAAACTCTCACCAAATCAGGTATAGAAAGAATGTGCCTCAACTCAATAAAGGCCATATATGACAAGCCCACATCATATTCAACAGTGAGAAGCTGAAGCTTTTTCTCTGAGATCAGAAACAAGACAAAGATGCCCATTCTCACCACTTCTAGTCAACATAATACTGGAAGTCCCAGCCAGAGCCACTAAAAGAAATTAGGCCACAGAAAGAAATAAAAGGCACCCAAATCAGAAAGGAAGATGTAAAATTGTCTGTTTGCAAATGACGTGATCTTTTGTATAGCAAACCCTAAAGACTCCACCAAAAAACTCCTAGAAATAATAAACGAATTCAATAAAGTTGCAGGATACGAAATCAACATACAAAAACCAGTTGCATTTCTACACACTAACAAACAATTAACTATCTAAAAAAGAAATTAAGAAACAATCTCATTTACAATAACCAAAAAATTACATAGGAGTAAATCTATTTATATATTTACTTATTTATTTAGAGAGAGTGTCTTGCTTTGTCACTCAGGCTGGAGTAAAGTGGCACTGCAGCCTCAAACTCCTGTACTCAAGTGATCCTCCCACCTCAGCCCCCCAAGTAGCTGAGACTATAGGTGTATGCCAGCACACCCAGCTAATTTTTAAATTTTTTTTGTAGAGACAGCGTCTCACTCTGTTGCCCAGGCTGATCTTGAACTCCTGATCTCAAGCAATCCTCCCACCTTGGCCTCCCAAAGTGCTTGGATTACAGATATGAGCCACTGCATCTAGCCAGAAATGTATTTAACCAAGGATGTGAAAGATCTGTATACTGAAACTGTAAGACTCTGATGAAAGAAATTGAATGAGGTAAAAATAAATGGAAAGATGTCTCATAATCAAAGCAGTATGGTGCTGGTATAAAAACAGACATATAGACCAATAGAACAGAATACAGAGCCCGGAAAGAAACCCGTACATATAATGTCAAGTAATTTTCAAGAGAAGCACCAAGAATACACAATGGAAAAACGATAGTCCCTTCAATAATTGGTGTTGGGAAAACTAAACCTGAATATCCACATGCAGAAGAATAAAATTGTACCCTTATACCATATTAAAAAGTCAAGTCAAAATATATTAAAGACTTAAATGTAGAACCTGACACTGTAAAACTAACAGAAGAAAACCTAGGGGAAAAGTTTCTTGACAGTGGTGCAAGCAAAGAGTTTTTTGGATATGAGCTCAAAAGTATAAGAAAAATAGACAAATTGGATTCCATCAAGCTAAAAACATTCTGCACAGCAAAGAAAACAATCAGCACAGTAAAGAGACAATTTACAGAGTAGGAGAAAATATTTGCAAAGTATGTATTTGATAGGAGGGGTTAATATCTAAAATACGTAAGGAACACACACAACTCAATAGGACAAAACCAAATAATCTTTTATTTAAAAGGTTTACATTTTAAAATAAGCAAAGGTCCTGAATAGATATTTTTCCAAAGAACATATGTATATAAGCCAGCAGATTTATAAAAAGGTGCTCAACACCACTAATCATCAGGGAAATGCTAATCAAAAGCACAGTGAGAGATCATCTCACACCTGTTAGAATGGCTATTGTAAGAAAGCCAAAAGATAACTAGTGTTGTTGAGGATGTACAGAAAAGGGAACCCTTGTGCACCATTGGTGGGAATGTAAATTGGTACAGTCATTGTGGAAAACAGTATAGAGGTTCTTCAAAAAATTAAAAATAGAACTACCATATGATCCAGCATTCCCACTTCTTGGCACATATCCAAAGGAAATGAAATCACTCCATATTTACAGCAGCCAAGATATGAGATCAACCTAAGTGTCTATGAATGGATGAATGGATAAAGAAAATGTAGTGTGTGTGTGTGTGCATGTGCAATGCACTATTCCACCTTTTTTTAAAAAAGGAAATCCTGCCATTTGCAACAATATAAATGAAACTGGAAGACATTATGCTAAACAAAATAGACCAGACACAAAAATATGAATACTAGATGGTTTCACTTATACGTGGGATTTTTAAAAGTTGAACTTGTAGAAACAGAGAGTAAGGCTGGGTGCAGTGCTCCACACCTGTAATCCTACCACTTTGAAAGGCTGAGATGGGAGGCCAGCCTGGGCAACATAGACTAGCCTTGGGCAACATAATGAGACCATGTCTGTACAGAAAATAAAAATATTAGCTAGGCATGGTGGTATGCATCTGTAGTTTCAGCTACTCTGGAGGTTGAGGCAGGAGGATCCCTTGAGCTCAGGAGGTTGAGAGGTAGAGGCTGCAGTGAGCCATGATCGTACCACTGCACTCCAACCCGGGTGATAGAAAGAGATCCAGTCTAGAAAAAAAAAGAAAGACAATCAAGAGGAAAACATAACAACCTAAAACAAAGGGAGCCAGAATAAATCATCTAAGTTCTTGTGTATGTTTGCATCTAGTTTTAGACTGTGTATTAATCTGCCACTGTTCTATCCTGGTACTACTGCCACAATCTTTATTATAACTTTTTAATATATTAATATCTGACAGGGCAAGGCTGACCTCATTATCCTTCAATATGCATTTATAATTGTAAAAATCTCTCAGCAAAATATAATAAAAGGAAAATTCCTTCTTCTTATAAAGTATATCTAACAAAAACCTGCAGCAAACATATTTAATGGTGAAAAGTTTAAAGCGTGCTCTTTAAGTTAGGAACAAGACAAGAAAGCCAGCTGTCATTGCTTCTATTCAATATTATTAGAGAAGTTCTACCCAGTAAGGTAAAAATAGAAATAAAAGATGTAAAGATTTGAAAAGAAGAAACAAAACTGGCATTATTGTCAGATGATATGCCTATGACAGGCATTCAGAGAGAATCTACAGGAAAACTATTAGAATTAAGAGGTGTGCTCACCAACCTTCCTGGATACAGTATCAAAATATAGAAACCAATTTGCTTCCTGTACACTTAGAGCCAGGGACCCAGTCCAGAAGGACTTGCTAGGCTTGGTCGGGGGAAGATGATAGGAGGGAGGTCTTTATAGGTTTTGTTTGTTTGTTTTGTTTTGAGATGGAGTCTTGCTCTGTCGCCCAGGCTGGAGTGCAGTGGTGCAATGTCAGCTCACTGCAAGTTCCGCCTCCCAGGTTCACACTATTCTCCTGCCTCAGCCTCCCGAGTAGCTGGGACTACAGGTGGCCACCACCATGCCTGGCTAATTTTTTGTATTTTTAGTAGAGATGGGGTTTCACCGTGTTAACCAGGATGGTCTTGATCTCCTGACCTCGTGGTCCGCCCGCCTCAGCCTCCCAAAGTGCTGGGATTACAGGCATGAGCCCCCACACCCAGCCCTTTACAGATTTCTGAAGAAGACAGTGTCATGATCACAATTTTGTAGTAACAGGTTCCTTTTGGCTGCTGTGAGGAGAAGGAACTAGGAGGGATGGGAGGGGAGGCAGGGAGTCCCAGAGATCTGGCTGCTGATACAGGTCAGATGAGAAGTGGCAGTTGCTAGGTGTGCATGGTGGACGACGTAGAGATGGTAAGAAGTTTATGTATTATACAAACATTGAACCATGACTCATACAAATAATTCATTTAAATTGGCATAAGTGCTAAAAAGAAAAAGAAAAAAGTTTTAAAGTACTAAAATTGAACATATCAGGGAAAAATAGTTGCCACCAGATGGCAAAGAATGAATAGCTTACTATATAAAGAACTTAGTCCATCTAATAGGAAAACACAAAGTCCGTAATAACCTGTCCACTCTGCTTCCCTTGGTGAGCCGGTTGGTTCTCATTTACAAACTTCAAAGCATATTCTATACAAGTATGTTGATTTTAAAAAACCCAGTGACATCCAGAGAGAAAAGAGAAACTTTCCAAAATTGACTGAATTCATTTGCTGGAACAGAAAGGGTTGCACTTCTAAGAGACATCTGCAACCCCATGTTTATCACAGCACTATTCACAACAGCCAAGATAAGGAATCAACCCAAGCGTCCATCAACAGATGAATGGAAAAGGAAAATATGGTACCTATACACAGTGAAATACTATTCAGCCCTAACAAGGAATGAAATCCTGTCATCTGTGGCAACACAGATGGAACTGGAGGACATTACGTTACATGAAATAAGCCAGGAACCAGAAGTTAAACACCACATGTTCTCACTCATATGCAGAAGTTAAAAAAGTGGATTTCATAGAAGTAAAAGATACTAGAAGCTGGGAAGTTTAGGGAGAGGGAGAAGATAGGAAGAGATCATTTTACATAAGAGAGATCCTTTAAAAAAAGATTCTTTTTGTTAAAGGATACAAAATTACAGCTAGATAGGCAGAATAAATTCTAGTGTTCTATGCTTAACAATATGTTGTACAGTTTCAAATAGCTAGAAGGAGGATATTGAATGTTCCCAATACAAAGAAATGATAGCTGGCAGTGTGTCCGGAGTTGGTTCCTTCCAGTGGGTTCGTGGTCTTGCCGACTTCAAGAGTGAAGCTGCAGACCTTCACTGTGAGTGTTATAGCTCTTAAAGGTGGCACAGACCCAAAGAGTGAGCAGCAGAAAGATTTATCATGAAGAGTGAAAGAACAAAGCTTCCACAGCATGGGAGGGGACCTGAGCAGGTTGCCACTGCTGGCTGGGGTGGCCAGCTTTTATTCCCTTATTTGTCCCTTCCCGTGTCCTGTTTCTGTCCTACAAGAATGCCCTTTTCTCAATCCTCCCCATGATTGGTTACTTTTAGCATTCTGCTGATTGGTCCATTTTACAGAGTGCTGATTGGTCCATTTTACAGAGCACTGATTGGTCCATTTTACAGAGCACTGATTGGTCCATTTTACGGAGTGCTGATTGGTCCATTTTACAAACCTCTTGCTAGCTACAGAGCTCTGATTGGTGCATTTTTATGGAGCATTGATTGGTGCATTTTACAAACCTCTTGCTAGCTACAGAGCACTGATTGGTGCATTTTACAATCCCCTTGTAAGACAGAAAAGTTCTCCAAGTCCCCACTGGACCCAGTCCAGCTGGCTTCATCTCTCAATCCCCCCTCTAAGCAGGACACCCCAACTACTGTTGGGAATTGGGCGATGACAACTCTAGCTACTTCCTGCTGGATAGGGGTGAAGAAGGGGCCGTGTAGTTGTAGTGTCCTCTAGAGGGGAACTCTGTAGGCCAAAGGGCCAGTGGGTTGGTCCGGGGGTCCTCGGTAGAAGCTATGAGTTGAGCTCATTTGGGGTTCCATTTGTAAGACCATTTGTAGCTTGATGGCATCAATTTTGAAGGAAACAAATTTGACAAGGAGGTTAAAAACACAGGGCCTGAAGGCGAGTAATAGCAAGATGGCTGTCACTGGACCTAGAAAGGGGAGAAGCCATGACGCCTAACTCCAGAGGTTGGTATAAGAGTTTGAAAGGCATTGTCTGATTTCAGAGGCCTTTTTCTGTAAATGCCAGGTGGTGTCTCATACTATCCCTGACTGGTTAGTGTAAAAGCAACACTCTTCCTCTAAGAAGGTGCAAAGTCTTTCTTTCTCACCAGAGAGGAGGTCTAGGCCTTGGTGGTTTTGGAAAGTCACTGCTGCCAAAGAGTCTATTTGGGATTGTAGAGTAAGGATAGATTTTGTTATTTCTCACAAACTGTCTAAGAAATCCTTTGAGAGTGTGCAGTAGTAGGATAATGAAGTGGACAAACCTCTATTCTGGTTCCTGTAGCAGTAGCCATTCCTAACCCTATAATTAGGGGTATTAGTTGTATGGCCTGGCACTGACGGACTTGAGCTTTGAGGGGCACAGATAGGGTCTGATGGTCTGATTTCCACAAGAGTAGAAGTTAGGATAATACATGTTACACTGTTAACTTTTAGCAAACTTTATTTTTGTAGAAAACCTTGTAAGTTTGGGATTTCAATTATTCTTTGCTATTAATATGACCTCGTTCAGTACATGTTAACTTACAATTGGTATAGATGGCTCCTTCCTGATTCTGTAAGTACTTTAAGATTTGGCTGAGTGCAAACAGCTGGCACATTTGAGCAGACCAACTATTAGGCAATTTTCCTAACTCTGCTTCTACAAGAGTTTCCTTATCGCTTACTGAATACTCATTGTGACTTTTCCCCTTAATTGCCCAGGAGGAACCATCGATTGTCCTGAAGGGAGTTCCTCCTGGGTCTGGTCAGACCTTTGTATGGTAATTAATTAAGATTTAGATCCCCTGTTAGGAAATCTGCTGGGTTAAATCATCTTTTTCTATCAGAATAGCACCATACTTTAATATTTTTGAGTAAGTAGCTACCTTTTTTTTTTTTTTTTATTTAGAATGATTTTGACCTGGTGAGGTGTGCTCACAATGAGGTTACCTCTAAAAGTTATCTTCCTACTTTCTTCTGTTAGCAAAGCAGTTGCCACTACAGATTAAATGCATGTGGGCCATCTGTGGGTTACTGGGTTAAGGATAGGTAGGCTGTGGGTTTTCAGTGGCCTCAGTGCTTTCGGGCTACGTCCTTGTTCACACTGACAACAAGGTAGTATTGGAGTGTTATAGGGTTAAGAGAAGACCATCAATTATCAATTATAGGTTTTAAATTTACCCTGGCTTTTAAAGGAATAGGGTATGCTGTTTTTTTTCTTTACTACTTCCATCTCTCTTTCTTTTTGACTCCCTCTTTGTCTCTCTGTGTCTTCCTCTCTCTGACTCCCTCTTTGTCTCTCTATCTCTTCCTCTCTCTTTCTCTCTCCTCTTTGTCACTCTGTCTCTTCCCCTCTCTCTTTGATGGCTTCAGCAGTATAAGACTTCCACCTCCTTGGGTTTTTGCATTGCGTGAAATAACTTCATGATTTCCTTGTGGCATTTAATGGGGGTTCCCCCAGAGGTTAGGAACGCCCTTTCTTTCCATATTGCAGCATGGGCGCATAGGATTAGATAAACATACTTGCCATCTGTATACACATTTATTCTTTTTCCCTTTCCCAGTTCGAAGGCTTGGGTAAGCGTAACTAGTTCTGCTAACTGGGCACTTGTCCCTGTGGGAAGAAGCTTACTTTCAAGTACTGTTACATCACTAACTATGGTATAACCTGCCCTTCATATCCCATTCTCCACAAATGAACTTGCATCAGTATATAGGTTAAGGACAGGATTAGCTAAGGGGACTTCTAATATATCCTCTTGGGTGGCTTAAGTCTGGGCAACAATTTGTTGGCAGTCATGCTCGATTGGTTCTCCATCCTCTGGGAGAAAAGTGGTAGGGTTGAGGGTGGCAGATGTGCATATTTGAAGCACCAGTCCCTCAAGGAGTAGCACCTGGTATCTGACAGCCATAAACTTCCTTTGGCACCTAGTATGCCATTTATATCATGAGTAGTTCAGACAGTGAGATCCTTTCCTTGTATTATTTTGATAGCCTCTGAAACTAAGATGGCCACCGCTGCAACTACCCATAAACAGTGAGGCCAGCCTTTTGCTACTACATTGATTTCCTTACTTAGGTATGCCACTGGTTGTGGGGTTGTCCCACGAGTCTGAGTAAGGACTCCAGAGCTATTCTCACTCTCTCTGTGATGTATAAAGAGAAGTTTTGTCTTGTGGGAAGATTTAAGGCTGGAGCTTGTACTAAGGCCTGCTTTAAGGTTTTGAAGTCTTTTACTGCCTCTGGTTCCCATTCTGCTAGATGAGTATTTGCCCTCTGGGTCTCCTTGATTAGAGTACAGAGTGGCCTGACCATCTCGCTGTATCTGGGGATCCATAGTCAGCAAAAACCAGTGATTCCAAGGAACCCCTGCAACTGTTTTAATGTCTTAGGGTGAGGATAAGCCAGTGTAGGCTGTATTCATTCCTTGCTGAGGGCCCTGATTCCTCTGGCTAAGATTAGGCCTAGATATTTAACTTGTTGTAGGCAGAGCTGGGCCTGTGATTTAGATGCCTTGTACCTTTGATTAGCTAGAAAGTTCAAGAGATCTAGAGTAGCCTGCTGGCACGAGGCTTCCGAACTGGTTGCAAAAAGTAAGTCATCCACATACTGAAGGATCAGAGTGCCTGGACTTGAGAAGTGGCCTAGATCTTGGGCCAGTACCTGACCAAACAGATGAGGGCTATCACTAAACCCTTGGGGCAAGACCATCCACATCAGTTGGGATGTGTGGCCTGTGGGATCCTCAAAGGCAAAGAGGAACTGGGAGTCAGAGTGCAGGGGAATGCAAAAGAAGGCATCCTTGAGGTCTAGAACAGTGAACCATTCTGCTTCCTCTGGTATTTGAGAGAGCAGGGTATAGGGGTTGGGTACAGCTGGATATAGAGGAATTATTGCTTCTTTGATGAGTCTAAGATCTTGCACTAGTCTCCACTGACCATTCAGTTTTTGTACTTCTAGAATTGGGGTGTTGCAGGGACTGCTGCATTTTCTTACTAAGCCTTGAGCTTTTGAATGTCTAACAATATCCTGTAATCCTTGATGCGCCTCAGGCCTTAAAGGATATTGCCTTTGATAAGGAAAAGCGGTGGGGTCTTTTAGCCTGATTTGGACTGGGTGGGCATTTTTGCCCTTCCAAATTGTCCAATGCCCAGACTTCAGGGTTGATTCCCTCCTCAAGTAGGGGACAACAAATGGGCAACTTGTTCCCCATATTCATGTAGATAATAGCTCTAGCTTTGGCAAATATGTCCCTCCCTATTCAGGGTGTGGGACTTTTAGGCATAACAAGAAAGCCATGTAAAAAGAGCAAAGTCTCCCAATTACAACTGAGGAGGTGGGAGAAATACTTGGTTACAGGCTGTCCCAGGATTCCTCGGATGGTAACGGACCTTGGGGACAGCCATCTGGGACAGAAGATTAACACTGAGAAGGCCACACCAGTGTCCAGGAGGAAGTCAATTTCCTGGCCCTCAATGATTAAACGTACCCAGGACTCAGTAAGGGTGATGACATGACCTGGCGCTTGCCCCGGGCACCCTCAGTCATATTGTTGGATCATCTGGTTGGGGGCTTCTGGCCCAGAGAATCTTTGTCTTCTGGGGCAGTGCACCTTCCAGTGATTGCCTCAGCATAGTGGACATGGGCGAGGGGGTGGCTTGTTTCTCATTGGACAATCTTTTTAAAGGTGTCCTTGCAAACCACACTGATAACCAGCCCCACCGGGTTATTGGCCTGCTCCATTTTTTGTCGTCTCTGAACTACCAAGGTTTGTTTGTCTGAGGGCCATGACTAAGGATGCAGCCTTAAGCCTTTCTCTGATCTCGCTTTTCCTTTTTGGCCTGTTCCTCTTGGTTCCTATTATAGAACACCAAGGTTGCCGGGCTTAATAACGCCTCCAGATTTTGTTCAGGGCCCAGGGCTCGCTTTTGGAGCTTTCTCCTGATATCTGCAGCTGATTGGGTAATAAACTTATCTTTTAGGGTCAATTGACCCTCCAGTGAGTCGGGTGACAGGACTATATTTTCTTAAGGCCTCCTGTAGCCGCGCAAGGAAGGTGGTAGGATTTTCTTCCTCTCCCTGAGTTATGGTGGACATCATTGAATAATTCATGGGCTTTTTCCTAATTCTCCTTAATCCTTCTAGAACACAGGTTAGCAGATGTTTACAGCTCCAGTCCCCATGATCTGAGTTGAGGTCCCAGTGGGGTCCAAACTGGGGATGGCTTGCTGACTGGTAGGGAATTTGTCCCTTTCTTTGGCTGTCATTCTATCATTTACTTGACTAATATGCCAGGTATCTCCAAACAGGCTGCAGCTAAAGCCGCATTCTTTTCATTAAAGGCCAGGGTTTGATCTAACAATAGCATGACATCTCTCCAAGCGAGGTGGAAGGTTTGCCCTAGACCCTGTAGGACGTCTATGTATCTATCAGGATCATCTGAAAACTTCCCCAGGTCTACCTTGATCTGCTTTAAATCAGAGAGGGAGAAGGGGACATGTACCCAGGTCCGGCCAAATTCCCCTCCCCCTACAGCTTGAAGGGGATATAACTGATAACCTGGGGGTTTTTATGGTCCCTTGGAGATTTCTTTGCTTGTTTCCTTCTGGGTGGGGGAGATTAGAGGAGGCTTATCATTAATAGGAAGGGGAGCTGTAGGGAGGCTAGGTTATGGGGGTAAGCTGAGAAGTCCTCTGGTGGAATGTAAATTGCAAGCTTTGCATAGTTGTGGATTCTCCTTCAATGAAAAGAAAGCTTGGACATAAGGTAGTTCACTCCATTTGCCTTCCCTCTTATAGAAAAGGTCAAGCTGCAGGATAGTACTGTAATGTATACTTCCCTCAGGTGGCCATTTATCCCCATCAGAGAGAGAATATTGGGGCCAGGCCATAGTGCAGCAAAAAGTGAGCCCCCTCTTTTTCAGAGTTTGCAGGTCAAATTGGTCCCAGTGGCTTAGGATGCATTTCAAGGGTGAGCCTGTTGATGCCTGAGTGTTTCTCATCTGAAAGAGAAAACTGCCCGCCATTTTGCTTTGTTTGTTTCCCCCCTGCCCAAGAACCTGCAACAGTCCCTGGACCCTGCTGACTGGAATAGTTGTGCTCAATGACGCAGCAGCAGCAGAAACACTAGTTTTCCTCTTAGACCACAAAGAGGACTGAGGAAGGTCAGATTTAGTGGCCCTTACCAATGCATTCTCAAAAACCTGCACTCTTCCCTTTCCTCTGAGACCACAAAGAGGACCAAGAAAAATCGGATTTAGTGGCCCTTACTGACGCATTCTCAAAAACCTGTTAGAGTCCTAAACATTTTCTCTTGTTGGTACTGGGAACTTACCCTTGTCCTATAAAGATATTATGCCTCAAAATGGAGTGGAGGGCCATACCCTGAGGGAGGGAAGGGATCTCTAGGGTTGGAAGAGTGACACCTTTTGTTCTCACTTCTCCTCATATGAATAGGAGGGATATCATTTCTGAGGCTCCCCATATTCTAGCTTCGGGATAGCCTTTGTTAGGCCTGCTTGTCTGAGGAGGAATCCTAAAAGGATAAATGGTATTCCAGATAGTCCCCCACAATAGAGCTTTGGGCAAAAATTATGTCTTTCTGATTGGTAAGGCTGGGTGCCTAAATAAAGGAAAAGAGTCTTGAAATTTATACTATAAATCATTCTTATAGGAGGAACTAGAAAAGCGCCAGAGACAGGGAGTGGTTTTTAGAAGCATGCTAGCCTTGGAGAAGAGAGGCAGAAGGAAGTTTGTCTGACAGTTGTTAGAACCCAGGAGGCAAGGGTCAGGATAGATAGGATATAGATGGACAAGTCTCGCTTGGGCAATGTGACTTTGAGAGTTCCACTCATGGTTTCAGGGTCAACCAACTTTTTGTCAGGACCCTGGAGCTGAATGGCTTTCCTCTCTGTCGTCCCTTGGCTCAGCCCAGAAGTACAGGAAAAGCAGAAGCTTGTTCCAGGCAAACCAACCCTCCCAACTCCAAAGAGTCGGGGTTGTTAGCCCTTTCCCAGAAAGCCTGACACCCGTGTCTTTAGTCTGGCAGCTCCACTAGTCGCTTTTAACCAGCTCACAAGTGCTTGGTGTTTAGCCCCCAAATTATAAGGAAAAATAGGACAGAATAGCAAGCAAAAGGGGTCCAGTGGTGCTCATCGCATGGCAATATCCCAGACAAACCCCCAAGATGTGTCCAGGGTTGGTTCCTTCTGGTGGGTTCACGGTCTTGCTGACTTCAAGAATGAGGCCATGGACCTTCGCAGTGAGTGTTATAGCTCTTAAAGGTGGCATGGACCCAAAGAGTGAACAGCAGCAAGATTTATTGTGAAGAGCAAAAGAACAAAGCTTCCACAGCGTGGAAGTGGACCCGAGAGGGTTGCTGCTGCTGGCTGGGGTGGCAAGCTTTTATTCCCTTATTTGTCCCCTCCCATGTCCTATTTCTGTCCTATCAGAATGCCCTTTTCTCAATCCTCCCTGCGATTGGTTACTTTTAGAACCCTGCTGATTGGTCCATTTTACAGAGTGCTGATTGGTCCATTTTACAGAGCGCTGATTAGTGCATTTTACAAACCTCTTGCTAGCTACAGAGCACTGATTGGTGCATTTTACAATCCCCTTGTAAGACAGAAAAGTTCTCCAAGTCTCCACTCGACCCCGGAAGTCCAGCTGACTTCATGTCTCAGTGGGTGGCTCACGCATGTAATCCCAGCACTTCGGGGGGGCCCAAGGTGGGTGGGTCACTTGAGCTCAGGAGTTTGAGACCAGCCTGGGCAACATGGTGAAACCCTGTCTCTGTAAAAAAGTTATCCAGGCATGGTAGTGCACACCTGTGGTCCTAGCTACTCAGGAGGCTGAGGTGGGAGAATCGCTTGAGCCCAGGAGATTGAGGCTGCAGTGAGCTGAGATCACACCACTGCATTCCAGCCTGGGTGAAAAAGTGATATCCTGTCTCAAGAAAAAAAAAAAAGAAAGAAATGGTAAGTGTTTGCAGTGATGAGTATGCTAATTACCATGATCTGATATACATTGTTTGTACCCCAACATCACTATGTACTGTGTAAACATGCACACTATTATGTGTCAACTAAAAAAAAAGTTTAGTCTTTTAGTATAACAAAGTAAACTGCTAAAAGCTACCTCAAAAAAAGAAAAAAAATAAGGCTGGGCATGGTGGCTTACGCCTGTGATCCCAGCACTTTGGGAGGCTGAGGTGGGTGGAGCATTTGAGGTCAGGAGTTCAATACCAGCCTGGCCAACGTGGTGAAACCCCATCTCTACTAAAACGACAGAAATTAGCTGGGCATGATGGTGCACGCCTGTAATCCCAGCTACTCAGGAGACTGAGGCGGGAGAATCGCTTGAGCCCGGGAGGCGGAGGTCGTAGTGAACTGAGATGGCGCCACCGCACTGCAGCCTGGGAAAGACAGTGAGACACCCTGTCTCAAAAAGAAGAAAAAAAAGAAAGAAAGAAAAAAAGAAACAGGAAGAAAAAAGGTCACACTTCATTTCTGAGAGGCAAAACAATTCCAAACACTTAAAATTTTAAAAACATAAATAGCATATTTAAATTTAATCAAGAGTATGTGAATCAACTTTTCCTTCTAGTTTTTATTATTGTAATTTTTAAACATTCCAGATGGAGAGTTTCATATGTAGAAAATCTAGAAAACTGAAAGGAAAGGCAAGTCAGTGCTGAAGGGGCCCCACCTGACAGCAGCAGTTTCAGCAGGCAGATGAGATGTCCGCACCCAGGGCAATAGGGCCCGCCTGAGGGGACAGCACTGGCCAATAGTCACTGCCCAGCAGAAGGCTGGAGTAGGAGACAAAAAGAGCATGACAGGAGTGAGATCATTAGCTGGACATGGGTATAAGCTCTCCTAGGAGCTCACAGGAATCTTCTGGAGACTTTGCTAGGGTATGAAGTTGTTACCCTAATTAATTTCCCACTCAAAGAATTATTTTGAAAAGCAGAGTAAAACACCACTGAAAATAAAGGTCATATTTAGAGAAGCTTGAGTTTGAACATCAGACAAAGCAAGTGCTTGTTCATCTCTACAGAGAACCAAAGGATATAATTCACACTGGTAGCATCTGTGCCTGCCTGGTTACAACAGACCTCCTTTACACTTAAAAAAAAAATAGGCATGTGACACGTTCCGTGCAGAACCAGTTTATGAGTCTACAGGCAGGTGGAGAACCCTAATTAAACCTTTCTCAGACCCTGCCTCCTCCACTTGCTAGGTGTATGAGCACCGCAGCTTCTTAACCCTCTTGGAACCATAAAACGCTTAGGACACGGCTTCAAACAATCTTTATTATAATTAAAATTAGCTATTGAGAAAAGAGACAACAGCTTGCAGAGAGTTGGCCTAAAAGTAAAAGTGACAAAATACCTAAATATATATTGTCTATGTTATTTATAAGTTAGGACATTTAAAACTACTAAAGCTATACTGGTGAGAGAGTCAGGGGAAATGAAATGATACAGTTTGAGCATCAAGAACCTATCTCTTGGCCGGGTGCGGTGGCTTATGCCTGTAATCCCAACACTTTGGGAGGCTGAGGTAGGAGGATTGCTTGAGGCCGGGAGTTAGAAGCCAGCCTGGGGCAATAGAGCAAGAATCCATCTCTGTTTTAAAAATAAAAATAAACAAGAACCCATCTCTTAAACACCCCAGCAAATCTTAGCTCACCATTTTGGGAGGTAGGAGGAGTAACTGTGAACATTGGTGCTTAGTTTTGTATTGTTTCATTTTAATGACGTTGTTTTTGATTTGGGCTGTTATCAAAAAGAATTGAGGTGATCATCTGCCTTTTAAGACAGAAGCACAATGCTGGTGAAGAAGAGAATTTGTGGGTGAATGCAGGGCCTTGAGATCCAGCTAGTGTTTATGCCAAGACACACTTCCCAGGGATATACCAGCTTTGGAGCCCTGCCTTATAAATAATGTTCTTTTACTTCCCTGGCCTGTGACCCTGGACATTCTTGGAAAGTATTGAAATGATACTGGAAAGCTCAAATGATTGAGGGGGATGCTGGAGCTCTAGCTTTGGGGAATGAGCAGGAGCCAGGGATGATAGGAAGCAGCAGGGACCAACCCAAATACTGCAAAGAACCAGGCTGTGGGGCCAATGGGCATCCTCCCCATGTCCCCTGTGAGCCCTTCAGTGCCCCACGGCCAACACAGCTAGGCCCATGCTGTCCCCTCGTGCTGGCCGGGCTGTCTTGGCCTTATGTCCCTAGCACTTGATTCATGCATGGGTGACTCAGTCAGGTAAGCTTAGACCACATTCCTTCCCCCAGCTGCTTAGGAGGCTGAGAACATGAGGATTGGAAATTTCGGCAGCATTTCCCACTATGACTCTCACAAGATTGAGAATTCCCCAAACGGAGGAGTTCTACAAAACCCCAATATGACCCTTAAAAAGGTCCCTTAAGTGTCCCTTAAGGTCCATGTTTAAGATGCAGAATACAATTAATTGCTGCTGCAGCTCAAAATACAGCAAAAGTTTGTACCAAAGTGTGTTCAAACTCCATGGTGCCACTGCACTCCAGCCTGGGTGACAGAGCGAGACCCTCCCTCAAAAATAATTGAATGAATGAATGAATAAAAATTAGAAAATAAAGAAAAGCCCTAACCGATCGTTAGAAATGCGGGACCTTCTCATTTGCTCTGTACTAACAAGGAAGTCACTCTGGCCCTCATGCCGCCAAGTGAAACTTGAAGAGCTTTTCTGCCCCTCCCTTCTGTGAGCATGGACAAATGAGCACACTTGGCTGCTGACCCAGCATGTGAGGGAGCACGGGTCCACAGAGCCTGAGAATCAGCCTCTGAACAAGTTCCACTCTGACCCCAGTGGCTGATCTCGACAACCTTGAATATGATGGGATCAAGGGAGAGTGAATGTGGAGGAAACGTGCTTGAAATGATGCCTGGCGTGTGTGAAGGAGAAACTACATTGATAGACCAAACTAAAAAACCAAAGATGTTTCTTTCCATCTTCATGTTTTGTAAAACAGACGTATAAATGCTGACATTATTTGACAGAGACAGAAATTCTCTTTTTCTTTTTTTTTTTTGAGATGGGGTCTTGCTTTGTTGCCCAGGCTGGAGTGTAGCAGTGTGATCATGGCTCACTGCAGCCTTGACCTCTCTGCAGCCTTGACCTCTCAGAATCAACCCATCCTCCTACCTCAGCCTCCAGAGTAGCTGGGACTGCAGGCATGAGCCACCGTGCATGGCTAATTTTTTCTTTCTTTTTTTTGTACAAAAAGGGTCTCACTGTGTTGCCCAAGCTGGTCTCGAACTCTTGGGCTCAAGCCATCCTCCTGCCTCAGCCTCCCAAAGTGCTGGGATTATAAGCATGAGCCACCACGCCTGGCAGGGAAATTCTTTAGCAGGACTACCTGCTAAGCGTTGTCTCTGTGTAAACCAACCCCTATACAATGCAGAACATGAGACACTCGAAATAGATCTGGATTGGGGCTACACTGCATCTGTGCATATCTTGTGAAGATATGAATGGGAGAAGAAAAAGGAAAGTAAAGGAAGGAAAAAGTATGACTCCAGAATACAACAAATCGTTTAAGCTGTCCAGCATTTGTTACTGTGGGCAATATTCAGCCAAGGATATTGGTCATAAAGTGTTTTTTTCTTTGTTTGTTTTGTTTGAGGCAGGGTCTCGTTCTGTGGCCCAGGCTGGAGTGCAGTGGTGCAATTATGGCTCACTGCAGCCTCTACCTCCTAGGCTTAAGACATCCTCCCACCTCAGCCTCCCAAGTAGCTGAGACTACAGGTATGCACAACTACACCTGGCCAATTTTTTGTAATTTTCTGTGGAGATGGGTTCTCCCTATGTTGACCAGGCTGGTCTTGAACTCCTGGGTTCGAGCACTCCTTCTGCCTCAGCCTCTCAAAATGCTGAGATTACAGTTGTGAAGAGTGTTTTTTCCCCCCCAATGAAAGTGTGTATCAGGCAACTTTCTCATGGTTTGTGGATTGCAGCTGGAGCACTCTGTCTCCACTGGGTGGTCAGCCGCCTATCTTAAAGTTTCCCTTGTCACTTCCTTTCTTACAAAATCTAAGTCACAGACAGGCCTCCAGACTTCAAGGTGTCTTCCTTTTGCAGTTGCTGACAGCTGACTCATGCTCATGTTCACTTAACGTCTGTTCTCCTTGTTTACTGACATGTTGGAGATGTGCCTTACGGATGGCAGGTTGTTTTACCGTTGGCTTCCAACATGTCGTGTCAATCAGTGTGCACTTCAAATACACTGAACAGCAGTGGATCTAGGTAGGAAAGGGTTAACTCTTGGGCTGAGAAAGCTTTATAGCATTTTGGGCGGTCAGGCTAGAGGGCAGATGTTGACCTTCACAAAACCTGTGCTTTCAAAAAGAGGAAGTATTTTTTCAGAACCTAGTAGTAGGGAGATAAAACCAGAATAATTCAGTTTAGCTACTTAGGCCTGGGGTTCCTCAACAGATGTGATAACAGAATGTAAATATTGAGATCCAGCTGTCAGCCTATTGGCCTTATGCACTGAGGTTAGGAGAACTTGGCTTCTCTTGCTGAGAGCCGGCTATGAGCAAGCAGGAAATTCTGAAGAGAAGATATATATTTATAGGGTTTTTTTTCCTTCTAAGTTTGATGCTTTAAAAAAAAAAAAAAAGACGGAGGAAGTGCAGGGTTTCCTCCCCGTTGAGTCTTGTGTGCGCCACCCTAGTTTTCCCATCTGTCCCCGTTCCAAGGAAGTCAGCAGTCAGCTGTTTGTGAGCATTTTTCTAATAGGCAAAATTAAACTTTGATGAGGAATGCCTACTCTGACTTAGCTAGAAAGCACAGAACTTGACCTTGGCCTTGAAAGCTGCAGGCTGACCCCTGGCCCATCCCCTCATGGCAGCCTGTATTTAAAGCCCTCCAACGGGGTCCCACCACTTCATGAGGTCTTTTCATTTGATTTACATTCTGACAACATAAATTTTTTTTTAAAATGTGTATAATGGTGAGGGGTATCACTTAATAAAACAGAAGAGAAGGAGGAATGATGGAGGCTGCCTTAGAGAGGTAGATCAGGGAGCGCCGGGTGAGCAGGTGATTATTTTCACTAAAATGGAAAGAACCAGACGGCCTTGTGAAGATTTAGGCCAGAAAAATAGCAGAGGGCCCCAAAGCAGGTATTTGAAGAACACTGGAGCCAGAGGGAAAAGAGAAGTCCTGGGGACTGAGATGCATTAGTGGCACTGGGCATTGTGGAGACTTGAAGACTGCAGTGAGGACTGTAGATTTTATTTCCTAAGTGATGATAGAGATTCAAGCAGGAGAGTTATGTAATTTTGGTGTGCAGTTTTTAAAAACCTCCCTGACTGCTATGGAAAGAATGGATTGTGGGGGGTGGCAGGGAGGAAGTGGAATAGTGATCACAGTGACAAGACTTTTACAGCAGTCCAGGAAAGAGACGCTGTCAGCCTAGGCTTGGGAGGCATTAGCAGTATGGACGGATCTGGGATGTGTTTTGGAGGTAGAAGTGACAGACCTTGCTGCTGGACTGCATGTTGGAGGTAAGGGAAAGGGAGGACTAAGGATAGGTTTTTGGCTCAAGTAACTGCGGAAACAGCAGTGCCATCTCTTACGGCCAGGAAGACGGGAGAAAGCGCAGATTCGTAGACGAGGGGACACAAATCCTTCAGATTTGGCCAACCAAGCTCTGAGATGCCCATCAGAAACTGAGGAGGAGGCGTTAAGTAGCCAGTTGTATGTGCTACATCAGAGTTTATGCCAGGAACTGCAGGTCAGGTGGGACTACAGTGTAAACTTTAAAATGAAAAAAAAAATGCTAAAAGAAAACGGTTATTATAATCACAGAATATTATAAAAAGGTTTTTATAACTTCAAATCACAAATAAAAGGACTGATGGATTTGACTAATTAAAAAAGTTTTAAACTTCTATGCTATTAAATAAGTATAAGAGCAGAGATAAAATATTTGCAAATTAGATAAAGAGGTTTATTACATTGAAAAACATCTAAAAAGTCAAAAACTTTAAATGTATACCCAATAGAAAAATAAGCCAAGAATTGTGAGCCATAAATTCAAAATAGAATATGGTTGCTAAGTATGTGAAAAGATCTTCAATCATTTTCTTTCAGCTTTTGATTGGGTTCATCATATTCAATTCAATCATTTTTAATAACTGTTATTTGAGATAGAATTCATATATGATCAAACTCACCTGATATTCATTCTTACTAGTAATCAAAGAGGTGCAAACTAAAATGAGATTCTTTGATCAGATTGGCAAAGATTAAAAGAATTGAAATACCCAAAGTTGGTGAAGGTGTATATAAACAGTACAAGTTGTTTCTTGCTTTTTGGAGTAGGATTGCCAGAGTTAGCAAATAAAAATACAGACATGCAGCCAAGTTTGAATCTCAGATAAACAACAAATACTTTCCAAACTATAATTATGTCCCAAGTATTATATTGGACATATTTATACTAAAATTTTAATTGCTATTTATTATTTATTATTTAGCTGGATGTAAAGTGAAAGTTTATCCAGTAACCCTGTTTTCAGAGGGCATTTGACTGTCACACTTTTATATGGCAATTTCATTTCCAGAGATTTATCTTAAAGAGCTAAAAAGGAAATAGGCAAATGACTTTTATAAAACTACATATAGAAAGATGTTTATCAGAATATTACTTATATTATTCTCCAGTTGAATATTACTCAATGTGATATCCACTATCAATATAATATATGCTATGTTAATTTCCATTAATATGAGATTCACTAAATAACTATGGCACATCCAATCAATGAAGTACTATGCAGCCATTAAATATGGCGAGATTGGTCTATAACTTATTGACATGAAAAAAATACATAATATAATGTTAAGTGGGAAAAAAGTATATCCTAAAAAGAATATATAATGCAATTCAGTTTATAGAAATTATATATAAGTATATATACAGAGTTTTTAAAAATGTATACCAAAATATTAAGAATATTTATTCTGGGGCCATGGGATTTAAGATTACTTATGCTTAAAAAAATTCTGGGGGGCGGTTCCAAGATGGCCAAATAGGAACAGCTCCAGTCTACAGCTCCCAGCGTGAGCGACACAGAAGATGGGTGATTTCTGCATTTTCAACTGAGGTACCGGGTTCATCTCACTGGGGCTTGTCAGACAGTGGGTGCAGGACAGTGGGTACAGCCCACCGAGCATCAGCCGAAGCAGGGATAGGCATCACCTCACCCAGGAAGCACAAGGGGTCAGGGAATTCCCTTTCCTAGCCAAGGGAAACTGTGACAGACAGCACCGGGAAAACCAGGTCACTCCCACCCTAATACTGGGCTTTTCCAACGGTCTTAGCAAATGGCAAACCAAGAGATTATATCCCACACATGGCTCTGAGGGTCCCACACCAACGGAGCCTTGCTCATTGCTAGCACAGCAGTCTGATATCGAACTGCAAGGCAGCAGTGAGGCTGGGGGAGGGGCGCCCGCCATTGCTGAGGCTTGAGTAGGTAAACAAAGTGGCCTGGAAGCTTGAACTGGGTGGAGCCCACCACAGCTCAAGGAGGCCTGCCTGCCTCTGTAGACTCCACCTCTGGGGGCAGGGCATAGCTGAACAAAAGGCACCAGAAACCTCTGCAGACTTAAATGTCCCTGTGTGACAGCTTTGGAGAGAGTAGTGGTTCTCCCAGCATGGAGTTTGAGATCTGAGAACGGACAGACTGCCTCTTCAAGTGTGTCCTTGACCGCCGAGTAGCCTAACTGGGAGGCACCCCCCAGTAGGGGCAGACTGACACCTTACACGGCCGGGTACCCCTCTGAGACGAAGCTTCCAGAGGAACAATCAGGCAGCAACATTTGCTGTTCAGCAATATTCGCTGTTCTGCAGCCTCCGCTGCTGATACGCAGGCAAGCAGGGTCTGGAGTGGACCTCCAGTAAACTCCAACAGACCTGCAGCTGAGGGTCCTGACTGTTAGAAGGAAAACTAACAAACAGAAAGGACATCCACACCAAAACCCCGTCTGTATATCACCATCATCAAAGACCAAAGGTAGATAAAACCACAAAGATGGGGAAAAACAGAGCAGAAAAGCTGAAAATTCTAAAAATCAGAGTACCTCTCCCCCTCCACAGGAATGCAGCTCCTCACCAGCAATGGAACAAACCTGGACGGAGAATGACTTTGATGAGTTGAGAGAAGAAGGCTTCAGATGATCAAACTTCTCCGAGCTAAAGCAGGAAGTTCGAACCCATTGCAAAGAAGCTAAAAACCTTGAAAAAAGATTAGACAAAAGGCTAACTAGAATAACCAGTGTAGAGAAGTCCTTAAATGACCTGATGGAGCTGAAAACTATGGCATGAGAACTACGTGACAAATGCACAAGCTTCAGTAGCCAATTTGATCAACTGGAAGAAAGGGTAAGTGATGGAAGATCAAATGAATGAAATGAAGCAAGAAGAGAAGTTTAGAGAAAAAAGAGTAAAAAGAAACGAGCAAAGCCTCCAAGAAATACTGGACTATGTGAAAAGACCAAATCTATGTCTGATTGGTGTACTTGAAAGTGATGGGGAGGGGGGAGGAGCCAAGATGGCTGAATAGGAACAGCTCCCGTCTACAGCTCCCAGCGTGAGCGACGCAGAAGACGGGTGATTTCTGCATTTCCATCTGAGGTACCGGGTTTATCTCACTAGGGAGTGCCAGACAGTGGGCGCAGGCCAGTGGGGGCGCGCACCGTGCGCGAGCCAAAGCAGGGCAAGGCATTGCCTCACTTGGGAAGCGCGAGGGGTCAGGGAGTTCCCTTTCAGGGAGTCAAAGAAAGGGGTGACGGACGCACCTGGAAAGTCGGGTCACTCCCACCCGAATATTGCGCTTTTCAGACCGGCTTAAAAGCGGCGAACCATGAGATTATATCCCACACATGGCTCGGAGGGTCCTACGCCCACGGAATCTCACTGACTGCTAGCACAGCAGTCTGAGATCAAACTGGAAGGCGGCAGCGAGGCTGGGGGAGGGGCGCCCGCCATTGCCCAGGCTTGCTTAGGTAAACAAAGCAGCCAGGAAGCTTGAACTGGGTGGAGCCCACCACAGCTCAAGGAGGCCTGCCTGCCTCTGTAGGCTCCACCTCTGGGGGCAGGGCACAGACAAACAAAAAGACAGCAGTAACCTCTGCAGACTTAAGTGTCCCTGTCTGACAGCTTTGAAGAGAGCAGTGGTTCTCCCAGCACGCAGCTGGAGATCTGAGAACCGGCAGACTGCCTCCTCAAGTGGGTCCCTGACCCCTGACCCCCGAGCAGCCTAACTGGGAGGCACCCCCAAGCAGGGGCACACTGACACCTCACACGGCAGGGTATTCCAACAGACCTGCAGCTGAGGGTCCTGTCTGTTAGAAGGAAAACTAACAAACAGAAAGGACATCCACACCGAAAACCCATCATCATCATCAACATCATCAAAGACCAAAAGTAGATAAAACCACAAAGATGGGGAAAAAACAGAACAGAAAAACTGGAAACTCTAAAAAGCAGAGCGCCTCTCCTCCAAAGGAATGCAGTTCCTCACCAGCAACGGAACAAAGCTGGATGGAGAATGACTTTGACGAGCTGAGAGAAGAAGGCTTCAGGCGATCAAATTACTCTGAGCTACGGGAGGACATTCAAACCAAAGGCAAAGAAGTTGAAAACTTTGAAAAAAATTTAGAAGAATGTATAACTAAAATAACCAATACAGAGAAGTGCTTAAAGGAGCTGATGGAGCTGAAAACCAAGGCTCGAGAACTACGTGAAGAATGCAGAAGCCTCAGGAGCCGATGCGATCAACTGGAAGAAAGGCTATCAGCAATGGAAGATGAAATGAATGAAATGAAGCGAGAAAGGAAGTTTAGAGAAAAAAGAATAAAAAGAAATGAGCAAAGCCTCCAAGAAATATGGGACTATGTGAAAAGACCACATCTACGTCTGATTGGTGTACCTGAAAGTGATGGGGAGAATGGAACCAAGTTGGAAAACACTCTGCAGGATATTATCCAGGAGAACTTCCCCAATCTAGCAAGGCAGGCCAACGTTCAGATTCAGGAAATACAGAGAACGCCACAAAGGTAATCCTCAAGAAGAGCAACTCCAAGACACATAATTGTCAGATTCACCAAAGTTGAAATGAAGGAAAAAATGTTAAGGGCAGCCAGAGAGAAAGGTCGGGTTACCCTCAAAGGGAAGCCCATCAGACTAACAGCGGATCTCTCGGCAGAAACCCTACAAGCCAGAAGAGAGTGGGGGCCAATATTCAACATTCTTAAAGAAAAGAATTTTCAACCCAGAATTTCATATCCAGCCAAACTAAGCTTCATAAGTGAAGGAGAAATAAAATACTTCACAGACAAGCAAATACTGAGAGTTTTTGTCACCACCAGGCCTGCCCTAAAAGAGCTCCTGAAGGAAGCGCTAAACATGGAAAGGAACAACCAGTACCAGCTGCTGCAAAATCATGCCAAAATGTAAAGACCATCGAGACTAGGAAGAAACTGCATCAACTAACGAGCAAAATCACCAGCTAACATCATAATGACAGGATCAAATTCACACATAACAATATTAACTTTAAATGTAAATGGACTAAATGCTCCAATTAAAAGACACAGACTGGCAAATTGGATAAAGAGTCAAGACCCATCAGTGTGCTGTATTCAGGAAACCCATCTCATGTGCAGAGACACACATAGGCTCAAAATAAAAGGATGGAGGAAGATCTACCAAGCAAATGGAAAACAAAAAAAGGCAGGGGTTGCAATCCTAGTCTCTGATAAAACAGACTTTAAACCAACAAAGATTAAAAGAGACCAAGAAGGCCATTACATAATGGTAAAGGGGTCAATTCAACAAGAAGAGCTAACTATCCTAAATATATATGCACCCAATACAGGAGCACCCAGATTCATAAAGCAAGTCCTGAGTGACCTACAAAGAGACTTAGACTCCCACACATTAATAATGGGAGACTTTAACACCCCACTGTCAACATTAGACAGATCAACGAGACAGAAAGTCAACAAGGATACCCAGGAATTGAACTCAGCTCTGCACCAAACGGACCTAATAGACATCTACAGAACTCTCCACCCCAAATCAACAGAATATACATTTTTATCAGCACCACACCACACCTATTCCAAAATTGATCACATACTTGGAAGTAAAGCTCTCCTCAGCAAATGTAAAAGAACAGAAGTTATAACAAACTATCTCTCAGACCACAGTGCAATCAAACTAGAACTCAGGATTAAGAATCTCACTCAAAGCCACTCAACTACATGGAAACTGAACAACCTGCTCCTGAAATGACTACTGGGTACATAACGAAATGAAGGCAGAAATAAAGATGTTCTTTGAAACCAACGAGAACAAAGACACAACATACCAGAATCTCTGGGACGCATTCAAAGCAGTGTGTAGAGGGAAATTTATAGCACTAAATGCCCACAAGAGAAAGCAGGAAAGATCCAAAATTGACACCCTAACATCACAATTAAAAGAACTAGAAAAGCAAGAGCAAACACATTCAAAAGCTAGCAGAAGGCAAGAAATAACTAAAATCAGAGCAGAACTGAAGGAAATAGAGACACAAAAAACCCTTCAAAAAATCAATGAATCCAGGAGCTGGTTTTTTGAAAGGATCAACAAAATTGATAGACCGCTAGCAAGACTAATAAAGAAAAAAAGAGAGAAGAATCAAATAGACACAATAAAAAATGATAAAGGGGATATCACCACCGATCCCACAGAAATACAAGCTACCATCAGAGAATACTACAAACACCTCTACGCAAATAAACTAGAAAATCTAGAAGAAATGGATAAATTCCTCAACACATACACTCTCCCAAGACTAAACCAGGAAGAAGTTGAATCTCTGAATAGACCAATAACAGGAGCTGAAATTGTGTCAATAATCGATAGTTTACCAACCAAAAAGAGTCCAGGACCAGATGGATTCACAGCTGAATTCTACCAGAGGTACAAGGAGGAACTGGTACCATTCCTTCTGAAACTATTCCAATCAATAGAAAAAGAGGGAATCCTCCCTAACTCATTTTATGAGGCCAGCATCATTCTGATACCAAAGCCGGGCAGAGACACAACCAAAAAAGAGAATTTTAGACCAATATCCTTGATGAACATTGATGCAAAAATCCTCAATAAAATACTGGCAAAATGAATCCAGAAGCACATCAAAAAGCTTATCCACCATGATCAAGTGGGCTTCATCCCTGGGATGCAAGGCTGGTTCAATATACGCAAATCAATAAATGTAATCCAGCATATAAACAGAGCCAAAGACAAAAACCACATGATTATCTCAACGGATGCAGAAAAAGCCTTTGACAAAATTCAACAACCCTTCATGCTAAAAACTCTCAATAAATTAGGTATTGATGGGACGTATTTCAAAATAATAAGAGCTATCTATGACAAACCCACAGCCAATATCATACTGAATGGGCAAAAACTGGAAGCATTCCCTTTGAAAACTGGCACAAGACAGGGATGCCCTCCCTCACCACTCCTATTCAACATAGTGTTGGAAGTTCTGGCCAGGGCATTTAGGCAGGAGAAGGAAATAAAGGGTATTCAATTAGGAAAAGAGGAAGTCAAATTGTCCCTGTTTGCAGACGACATGATTGTATATCTAGAAAACCCCATTGTCTCAGCCCAAAATCTCCTTAAGCTGATAAGCAACTTCAGCAAAGTCTCAGGATACAAAATCAATGTACAAAAATCACAAGCATTCTTATACACCAACAACAGACAAACAGAGAGCCAAATCGTGAGTGAACTCCCATTCACAATTGCTTCAAAGAGAATAAAATACCTAGGAATCCAACTTACAAGGGATGTGAAGGACCTCTTCAAGGAGAACTACAAACCACTGCTCAATGAAATAAAAGAGGATACAAACAAATGGAAGAACATTCCATGCTCATGGGTAGGAAGAATCAATATCGTGAAAATGGCCATACTGCCCAAGGTAATTTACAGATTCAATGCCATCCCCATCAAGCTACCAATGACTTTCTTCACAGAATTGGAAAAAACTACTTTAAAGTTCATATGGAACCAAAAAAGAGCCCGCATCGCCAAGTCAATCCTAAGCCAAAAGAACAAAGCTGGAGGCATCACGCTACCTGACTTCAAACTATACTACAAGGCTACAGTAACCGAAACAGCATGGTACTGGTACCAAAACAGAGATATAGATCAATGGAACAGAGCAGAGCCCTCAGAAATAATGCCGCATATCTACAACTATCTGATCTTTGACAAACCTGAGAAAAACAAGCAATGGGGAAAGGATTCCCTATTTAATAAATGGTGCTGGGAAAACTGGCTAGCCACTTGTAGAAAGCTGAAACTGGATCCCTTCCTTACACCTTATACAAAAATCAGTTCAAGATGGATTAAAGATTTAAACGTTAGACCTAAAACCATAAAAACCCTAGAAGAAAACCTAGGCATTACCATTCAGGACATAGGCATGGGCAAGGACTTCATGTCCAAAACACCAAAAGCAATGGCAACAAAAGCCAAAATTGACAAATGGGATCTAATTAAACTAAAGAGCTTCTGCACAGCAAAAGAAATTACCATCAGAGTGAACAGGCAACCTACAAAATGGGAGAAAATTTTCGCAACCTACTCATCTGCCAAAGGGCTAATATCCAGAATCTACAATGAACTCAAACAAATTTACAAGAAAAAAACAAACAACCCCATCAAAAAGTGGGCGAAGGACATGAACAGACACTTCTCAAAAGAAGACATTTATGCAGCCAAAAAACACGTGAAAAAATGCTCACCATCACTGGCCATCAGAGAAATGCAAATCAAAACCACAATGAGATACCATCTCACACCAGTTAGAATGGCAATCATTAAAAAGTCAGGAAACAACAGGTGCTGGAGAGGATGTGGAGAAATAGGAACACTTTTACACTGTTGGTGGGACTGTAAACTAGTTCAACCATTGTGGAAGTCAGTGTGGCGATTCCTCAGGGATCTAGAACTAGAAATACCATTTGACCCAGCCATCCCATTACTGGGTATATACCCAAATGACTATAAATCATGCTGCTATAAAGACACATGCACACGTATGTTTATTGCAGCATTATTCACAATAGCAAAGACTTGGAACCAACCCAAATGTCCAACAATTATAGACTGGATTAAGAAAATGTGGCACATATACACCATGGAATACTATGCAGCCATAAAAAATGATGAGTTCGTGTCCTTTGTAGGGACATGGATGAAATTGGAAATCATCATTCTCAGTAAACTATCGCAAGAACAAAAAACCAAACACCGCATATTCTCACTCATAGGTGGGCTTTGAACAACGAGATCACATGGACACAGGAAGGGGAATATCACACTCTGGGGACTGTGGTGGGGTGGGGGGAGGGGGGATGGATAGCATTGGGAGATATACCTAATGCTAGATGACGAGTTAGTGGGTGCAGCGCACCAGCATGGCACATGTATACATATGTAACTAACCTGCACATTGTGCACATGTACCCTAAAACTTAAAGTATAATAAAAAAAAAAAGGAAAAAAAAAAAAAAAAAAGAAAGTGATGGGGAGAATGAAACCAATTCGGAAAACACTCTGCAGGATATTATCCAGGAGAACTTCCCCAATCTAGCAAGGCAGGTCAACATTCAAATTCAGGAAATACAGAGAACACCACAAAGATACTCCTCAAGAAGAGCAATCCCAAGACACATAATTTGTTAGATTGACCAATGTTGAAATGAATGAAAAAATGTTAAGGGCAGCCAGAGAGAAAGGTCAGGTAACCCACAAAGGGAAGCCCATCAGACTAACAGTGGATCTCTCGGCAGAAACCCTACAAGCCAGAAGAGAGTGGGGGCCAATATTCAACATTCTTAAAGAAAAGAATTTTCAACCCAGAATTTCATATCCAGCCAAACTAAGCTTCATAAGTGAAGGAGAAATAAAATCCTTTATAGACAAGCAAATGCTGAGAGATTTTTTGACCACCAGGCCTACCATACAAGAGCTCCTGAAGGAAGCACTAAATATGGAAAGGAACAACTGGTACCAGCCACTGCAAAAACATGCCAAATTGTAAAGACCATCGATGCTAGGAAGAAACTGCATCAAGTAACAAGCAAAATCACCAGCTAACATCATAATGACAGGATCAAATTCACACATAACAATACTAACCTTAAATGTAAATGGGCTAAATGTTCCCATTAAAACACACAGACTGACAAATTGGATAAGGAGTCAAGACCTATCAGTGTGCTGTATTCAGGAAACCCATCTCACGTGCAGAGATACACATAGACTCAAAATAAAGGGATGGAGGAAGATCTACCAAGCAAATGGAAAACAAAAAAAGGCAGGGATTGCAATCCTGGTCTCTGATAAAACAGACTTTAAACCAACAAAGATCAAAAGAGACAAAGAAGACCATTACGTAACGGTAAAGGGTCAATTCAACAAGAAAACTAACTATCCTAAATATATATGCACCCAATACAGGAGCACCCAGATTTATAAAGCAAGTCCTTAGAGACCTACAAAGAAACTCAGACTCCCACACAATAATAATGGGAGATTTAACACCCCACTGTCAACATTAGACAGATCAAAGAGACAGAAAGTTAACAAGGATATCCAGGAATTGAACTCAGCTCTGCACCAAGCGGACGTAATAGACATCTACAGAACTCTCCACCCCAAATCAACAGAATATACATTCTTCTCAGCACCACACCGCACTTATTCCAAAATTGACCAATAGTTGGAAGTAAAGCACTCCTCAGCAAATGTAAAAGAAATTATAACAAACTGTCTACACAATGTACCAGAATCTCTGGGACACATTTAAAGCAGCACGTAGAGTGAAATTTATAGCACTAAATGTCCACAAGAGAAAGCAGGAAAGATCTAAATTGACACCCTAACATCACAATTAAAAGAACTAGAGAAGCAATAGCAAACGCATTCAAAAGCTAGCAGAAGGCAAGAAATAACTAAGATCAGAGCAGAACTGAAGGAAATGGAGACATCAATAACCCTTCCAAAAAAATCAATGAATCCAGGAGCTGATTTTTGGAAAAGATCAACAAAACAGATACACCGCTAGCCAGACTAATAGAGAAGAAAACAGAGAAGAATCAAATAGATGCAATAAAAAATGATAAAGGGGATGTCACCACTGATCCCACAGAAATACAAACTACCATCAGAGAATACTATAAACACCTCTACGCAAATAAACTAGAAAATCTAGAAGAAATGGATAAATTCCTGGACACATACACCCTCCCTAGACTAAACCAGGAAGAAGTCAAATCCCTGAATAGACCAATAACAAGTTCTGAAATTGAGGCAGTAATTAATAGCCTACCAACAAAAAAAAGTCCAGGGCCAGATGGATTCACAGCCGAATTCTACCAGAGGTACAAAGAGGAGCTGGTACCATTCCTTCTGAAACTATTCCAAACAATAGAAAAAGAGGGAATCCTCCCTAACTCATTTTAAGAGGCCAGCATCATCCTGATACCAAAACCTGGCAGAGACACAACAAAAAAAGAAAATTTCAGGCCAATATCCCTGATGAACATCAATGCGAAAATCCTCAATAAAATACTGGAAAACCAAATCCAGCAGCACATCAAAAAGCTTATCCAGCCCGATAAAGTCAGCTTCATCCCTGGGATGCAAGGCTGGTTCAACGAACGCAAATCAGTAAACGTAATCCATCACATAAACAGAACCAATGACAAAAACCACATGATTATCTCAATAGATGCAGAAAAGGCATTCAACAAAATTCAACATCCCTTCATGCTAAAAACTCTCAATAAATTAGGTATTGATGGAACGTATCTCAAAATAATAAGAGCTATTTATGACAAACCCACAGCCCATATCATACTGAATGGGCAAAACTGGAAGCATTGCCTTTGAAAACCGGCACAAGACAAGGATGCCCTCTCTCACCACTCCTATTCAACATAGTATTGGAAGTCCTGGCCAGGGCAATCAGGCAGGAGAAGGAAATAAAGGGTATTCAGTGAGGGAAAGAGGAAGTCAAAATGTCTCTGTTTGCAGATGACGTGATGTATATTTAGAAAACCCCATCGTCTCAGCCCAAAATCTCCTTAAGCTGATAAGCAATTTCAGCAAAGTCTCAGGATACAAACTCAATGTGCAAAAACCACAAGCATTCCTATACATCAATAACAGACAAACAGAGAGTCAAATCATGAGCAAACTCCCATTCACAATTGCTACAAAGAGAATAAAACACCTAGGAATACCACTTACAAGGGATGTGAAGGACCTCTTCAAAGAGAACTACAAACTACTGCTCAAGGAAATAAAAGAGGACACAAACAAATGGAAGACCATTCCATGCTCATGGATAGGAAGAATCAATATTGTGAAAATGGTCATATTGCCCAAAGTAATTTATAGATTCAATGCTATCCCCATCAAGGTATTCACAGAATTGAAAAAACTACTTTAAATTTTATATGGAACCAAAAAAGAGGCTGCATAGCCAAGACAATCCTAAGCAAAAAGAACAAAGCTGGAAGCATCACGCTACCTAACTTTAAACTACACTACAAGGCTACAGTAACCAAAACAGCATGGTACTGGTACCAAAACAGATATATAGACCAATGGAACAGAACAGAGGCCTCAGAAATAACACCACACATCTACAACCATCTGATCTTTGACAAACCTGACACAAACAAGCAATGGTGAAGATTCCCTATTTAATAAACAGTGTTGGGAAAACCGGCTAGCCATATGCAGAAAGCTGAAACTGGATCCTTTCCTTACACTTTATACAAAAAGTAACTGAAGATGGATTAAAGACTTACACATAAGACCTAAAACCATAAGAACCCTAGAAGAAAAGCTAGGCAGTACCATTCAGGACATAGGCATGGGCAAGGAGTTCATGTCTAAAACACCAAAAGCAGTGTCAACAAAAGCCAAAATAGACAAATGGGATCTAATTAAACTAAGCCTCTGCACAGCAAAAGAAACTGTCATCAGAGTAAACAGGCAACCTACAGAATGGGAGAAAAATTTTGCAATCTATCCATCTGACAAAGGGCTAATGTCCAGAATCTACAAAGAGCTTAAACAAATGTACAAGAAAAAAACAACCCCATCAAAAACTGGGCAAAGGACGTGAACAGACACTTCTCAAAAGAAGACATTTATGCAGCCAACAAACATATGAAAAAATGCTCATCATCACTGGTCATTAGAGTAATGCAAATCTAAACCACAATGAGATACCATCTCATGCCAGTTAGAATGGTGATCATTAAAAAGTCAGGAAATAACATATTGGAGAGGATGTGGAGAAACTGGAATGCTTTTACACGGTTGGTGGGAGTGTAAATTAGTTCAACCATTGTGGAAGACAGTGTGGCAATTCCTCAAGGATCTAGAACTAGAAATACCATTTGACCCAGCAATCCCATTACCGGGTATATACCAAGAGGGTTATAAATCATTCTACTATAAAGACACATGCACACGTATGTTTATTGCGGCACTGTTCACAATAGCAAAGACTTGGAACCAACCCAAATGCCCATCAATGATAGACTGGATAAAGAAAATGTGGCACATATATACCATGGAATACTATGCAGCCATAAAAAAGGATGAGTTCATGTCCTTTGCAAGGACATGGATGATATTGGAAACCATCATTCTCAGCAAACTAACTCAGCAAAGAACGGAAAACCAAACACCACATGTTCTCACTTATAAGTGGGAGTTGAACAAGGAGAACACTTGGACACAGGGAGGGGAACATCACACAGCGGTGCCTGTCAGAGGGTGGGGGGATGGGGAGGGATAGCATTAGGGGAAATACCTAATGTAGATGTTGGGTTGATGGGTGCAGCAAACCACCATGGCACATGTATATCTATCTAATAAACCTCCAAGTTCTACACATGTACCCCAGAACTTAAAGTATAATAAAAAAAAACACTAATAAAAAAATGAAAAAACAAAACAAACATAAAAGAGACGGGTAGATGCTCCCCTGTCTACTCCATTATATTGTAGCAGTATAAACAAACCCAAGTCCCTCCTTGATGTTTACTGTGCTATGTTTACAACGGGAGAAACTTCCTTATGCAAACTTATACCATCAAAAACCTTATGACTTTACTAAAGGTTTTCCAGTTCAAAAGTTACTTTTGGTCAGGCACGGTGGCTCATGCCTGTAATCCGAACACTTTGGGAGGCCGAGGTGGGCAGACTGCTTAAGTCCAGGGGTTCGAGACCAGCCTGAGCAACAAAATAAAACCCTGTCTCTACACAAAATACAAAACATTAGCTGGGTGTGGCGGCACATGCCTGTAGTCCCAGGTACTCAGGAGGCTGAGGCAGGAGGATTACCTGAGCCAGGAGGTAGAGGCTGCAGTGAGGCATATTTCACCAGCGTACTCCAGCCTGGGCAACAAAGTGAGACCCTGTCTCAAAAAAAAAAAAAAAATAAGTAAATAGAAGTTAGTTTTCCTAGTGGCATCATTATAGGAGATGATCTTAACAAAACAGTATAACAAAACAAAACAGTAGTGGATCAAATATCCCAGAAAGTCAGGATTTCATCAGCTCTACTCACATGCTCATAGACATAAAGTCAACTGTTACCATTGAAATAAAACAAAATATCCCCTAGCATCCAGCCCAGTGCATGGCACACAATAAGTGCTCAATGATAGAATAAACTAGTGAATATGTATAAGAAAACAATGTTAAGTATTATTATGATGTACACTTATATTTAAATGTATTTTATTGCCTTCTGTTAACTGTAATAAACTATTTGTTTAAAGAAAAGGATCTACCTTGAAACTCATTCTTGTCTCAAAAGAAAAAAATTCACTCTTGTTTCAAAAGTCATAGTTGCCAAGAAGCTGAGAACATACAAGTTTTGGGGATTATAGATTCAGGGCAGAAGCTTTTACTTAAAAAACAGAAACAGACTGCAGAAGATGTGAAGGCATAAAGTGCTATTCATGACTTAACTAGTTTTATTTAGTTAAATATTATTTTTAAGGCTCTTAGCTGATATAACCTGATATAAGATCTCTAGAGATAAACTATGTTTATATAACTTGATTTGTGTAAATGTCATAGCTAAAAGTCAGATTGTTGCTAAATTTCATATAAGAGCAACAAGGAAATTAATGTCTCACATTTAAACTGGCTTAAATGTTTTAAAACTTTTATGTACAGAAAAAAAAGCTGATTGACAGATTATATTGCATTTTCCCTTTGATCATGAATATGTACCTCTGGCAGAGTTCATAACCCTGATTTGAAATGTAACGTTACAAAATTGAAGTACTATTGTGAAGTTTAAATGATCATATTCTGAATTGTAATGAACGGTTTATTATACTAACGCCATCCATTAGTTTAAAACTCAAGTAGTCTATTTATTAAAAGTGCAAACAGAGGAAAATATGCTTCTAGTCCTTTCAGGTTATTTTGTATTATTCATTCTATCAAAAAATATTTATTAGCACCTATGCTATGCTAGCCACTATGGGAAGTGTGTATGCATACATGGTACATTGGTGGTGAGGGGTGAGCAGCTACCTTTGGCCATGAGAATGAATGCTATGCAGATTAGTGGTGGAGCTAAAGGATCAGAAGACCCTGAGTTCTTGGTTATGTCATTAAACACCCATATCAGCCTTGGACTGCCTTTCTCTGGGCTCCTTGATGTGTGAGACAAACCCTTTAAGTCAAAGTTGTGTCGGGTTCTGTGTTACTTCCAGTCAAAACCAATATTGATTAAAACATTTAGTGAATGAATTTTAAATGTTCTCCTTTGCGTCACAAAATGCTGTTATGGATTTCATGTTAAATTCATGCCTCACCTTCTTTTGAAAAATGTTCTGAGGTGGCTTAGAATAACTGACACAAATAGTACAAGAGTCTTTAAACCATGATAGCAGAATAAGAGCTAAGTAAGAAAAGAGAAAAATAGTTATTCTAGAAAACCTGGGTGAAAGACAGCAACTGATGTTAAAACTAAAATTCACCCCTAAGTTTTCTGGCATCAAGCTCTTATTATCTAATACCTGAAAGCATACCAGTTTATCAATTTCTTCCTAGCAGATAGTTCTAAGAAAAACATAGCAGGTGAATCTAATAAAAAGGCTACTGAAAATTGTGTCTTCAAAAACATATAGCAATTTTATCATACATTAGCTAATACCAATTCCCCATGAAAGACAAAGTTCTAAATGTTAAACTGTAATACAGTGTAGCATCCTACCAAAAACTATAATCTCAAATTGTCTGCCGCATTCTTTTTGTTTTTTTGGGTTTTTGTTTAGACAGTTGGGAGAAACAATATAAAATGGAAGAGAATTGTAAGGACATCCAGTCTCCCCTTGTCCCCTTCATAGTCTGTTTTTCACTGGATTAAGCTAGCTCCAAAGAGAGGTCTCAGATTGGAACACCTTATTTTGAGCTTCACAGTTACCTTCAACATGTTTGGCATTACTCACTTGGAATGTATTGAAGGACATTCTAGTAATCTCATACCAAGTTAGCTACTACATTCATCATTCAGGAGTGGTGAGGACATTAGGCACAGCAGTTCTCAGTAGTTCATATGAAAAACCAGTAGTTCATATGAAAAACGTTTTTTCCCAAGTTTGAGGATATGTACTTGTGGGGGTTTTTTTCTCTGAAGAATTTGTGTGTTTTCTTCTTTTGGACAGCATAGATTGTTGGTAATCTTATTTCTCTTTTTCCTTTGGTCTCCAAGAAACTTCAAAGGAAATTTGCTTCCCAGGTTTATCTTTATGTTGATCATTTCTGTGTACTATTCATCTCTACACTCAATTTTATTTATAATTTAAATCAATTATATAATTCAAATTATTTGTTATATATAAAATTACACAAACACGCAAATTTCAGGCCAGACATGGTGACTCACACCTGTAATCCTAACACTTTGGGAGGCTGAAGTGTGAGGATCACTTGAGGCCAGGGGTTCGAGAGCAGCCTGAGCAACACAGTGAGATCCCATTGCTACTAAAATTCAAAAAAATTAACCAGGTGTGGTGGTGTGTGCCTGTAGACCCAGTTACTTGGGAGGCTGAGGCAGGAGGATTGCTTGAGCCTGGGAAATCAAGGCTACAGTGAGCCATGATCACACCATTGCTGTGATCAGAGCAAGACTCTGTCTCAAAAAAAAATTTTTTTTTAAATCTCTTCCTCTGATGAATAGAAGCAGTGAGAGTGGGCATCCTTGTCTTGTTCCAGTTCTCAGAGGGAATGCTTTCAACTTTTCCCCATTCAGTATTATGTTGGCTGTGGGTTTGTCATAGATGGTTTTTATTACATTGAGGTATATCCCTAGTATGCTGATTTTGCTGAGGGTTTTAATCATAAAGGGATGCTGGATTTTGTCAAATGCTTTTTCTGCATCTACTGTGATGATCATGTGATTTTGCTTTTTAATTCTGTTTATGTGGTGTATCACATTTATTGAGTTGAGTATGTTAAACTATCCCTGCATCCCTGGCATGAAACCCACTTGGTCATGGTGAATTATCTTTTTGATATGTTGTTGGATTTGTTTACCTTGTATTTTATTAAGGATTTTTGCATCTATGTTCATCAGGGGTATTGGTCTGTAGTTTTCTTTTTTGGTTATGCCCTTTCCTGGTTTTGGTATTAGGGTGATACTGGCTTCATAGAATGATTTAGGGAGGATTCCCTCTTTCTCTATCTTGTGGCATAGTGTCAATAGGATTGGTATCAATTCTTCTTTGAATGTCTGATAGAATTCAGCTGTGAATCCATCTGGTCCTGAGCTTTTTTTTGTTGGTATGTTTTAAAATTACCATTTCAACCTCACTGCTTGTTATTGACTTTTCAGGGTTTCTAATCCTTCCTGCTTTAAGCTAGGAGGGTGGAGTCTTTCCAGGAATTTATCTTTCTCTTCTAGGTTTTCTAGTTTATGTGCCTAAAGGTGTTCATAGTGCTGGAAGTTCTAGCCAGAGCAATCACACAAGAGAAAGAAATAAAGGGCATCCAAATCGGTAAGAAGGAAGTCAAACTGTCACTGTTTGCTAATGATATGATAGTATACCTAGAAAACCCTAAGGCTCCTCCAAAAAGCTCCTAGAACTGGTAAGTGAATTCAGCAAAGTTTCAGGATACAAAATTAATGTACACAAATTAGTAGCTCTGCTATATACCAACAGCAGCCAAGCTGAGAATCAAATCAAGGACTCAACTCCTTTTACAATAGCTGCCAAAAAAATAAAATACTTAGGAATATACCTGACCAAGGAGGTGAAAGACCTCTACAGGGAAAACTACAAAACACTGCTGAAAGAAATCATAGATGACACAAACAAATGGAAACACATCCCATGCTCATGGATGGGTAGAATCAATATTGTGAAAATGACCATACTACCAAAAGCAATCTACCAACTCAATGCGATTCCCATCAAAATGCCACCATAATTCCTCACAGAACTAGAAAAGGCAATTCGTATGGAACCCAAAAAGAGCCTGCATGGCGAAAGCAAGACTAAGCAAAAAGAAAAAATCTGGAGGCATCATATTACCTGATTTCAAACTATGCTTGAAGGCCATAGTCACCAAAACAGCATAGTACTGGTATAAAAATCGGCACATAGACCAATGGAACAGAATAGAGAACCCAGAAATAAACCCAAATACCTACAGCCAACTAATCTTCAACAAAGCAAACAAAAACTTAAAGTGGGGAAAGGACACCCTATTAAACAAATGGTGCTAGGATAATTGGCAAGCCACACAGAGGAGAATGAAAGTGGATCCTTATCTCTCACCTCATACAAAAACCAACTCAAGATGGATGAAGAACTTAGATCTAAGACCTGAAGCTATAAAAATTCTAGAAGATAACATCAGAAAAACCCTTCTAGACATTGGCTTAGGCAAAGACTTCATGACAAAGAACCCAAAAGCAAATGCAACAAAAACAAAGATAAATCGGTGGGACTTAATTAAACTGAAGAGCTTCTGCATAGCAAAAGGAATAGTCAGCAGAGTAAACAGACAACCCACAGAGTAGGAGAAAATCTTCACAATCTATACATCCGACAAAAGACCAATATTCAGAATCTACAAGGAACTCCAACAAATTAGCAAGAAAAAGATAAACAATCCCATCAAAAAGTAGGCTAAGGGCATGAATAGACAATTCTCAAAAGAAGATATACAAATTGCCAACAAACATATGAAAAAATGCTAACATCACTAATGATCAGGGAAATGCAAATCAAAACCACAATGTGATACCACCTTACTCCTGCAAGAATGGCCATAACCAAAAAACCAAAAAATAAAAGATGTTGGCATGGATGTGGTGAAAAGAGAACACTTCTACACTGCTGGTGGGAATGTAAACTAGTACAACCATTATTGAAAATAGTGTGGAGATTCCTTAAAGAACTAGAAGTAGAACTACCATTTGATCTAGCAATCCTACTACTGAGTATCTACCCAGAGAAAAAGAAGTCATTACACAAAAAAGATACTTGTACACACGTTTATAGTAGCACAGTTCACAACTGCAAAAATACGAAACCAGCCCAAATGCCCATCAATCAACAAAAGGATAAAGAAGTTATATATATATATATGTGTGTGTGTGTGTGTGTGTGTGTGTGTATACACACTATATATATACATATATATACACACACACACAATGGAGTACTACTCAGCCATAAAAAGGAAATGAATTAATGGCATTTGTAGCAACCTGGATGGAATTGGAGACTATTATTCTAAGTGAAGTAACTCAGGAATGGAAAACCAAACATCGTATGTTCTCACTCTTAAGTGGGAGCTAAGCTATGAGAATGCAAAAGCATCAGAATGATACAATGGACACTGGGGACTTGGGGGAAAGGGTGGAAGGGGGTGAAGGATAAAAGACTACAAACTGGGTTCAGTGTATACTGCTTGGGTGATGGGTGCACCAAAATCTCACAGATCACCACTAAAGAACTTACTCATGCAACCAAATACTACCTGTTCCCCAAAAACCTATGAAAATAAGATAAAATAATTTTTAAAATCTCTTCCTCTGAGTTTTCCCTGGATATGAATCTTTAAAACATATATTTCAGCTGGGCGCAGTGGCTCACACCTGTAATCGCAGCACTTTGGGAGGCTGAGGCGGGCAGATCATGAGGTCAGGAGATCGAGACCATCCTGGCTAACATGGTGAAACCCCATCTCTACTAAAAATACAAAAAATTAGCCGGGCGTGGTGGCGGGTGCCTGTAGTCCCAGCTACAGGGGAGGCTGAGGCAGGTGAATGGCATGAACCCGGGAGGCAGAACTTGCAGTGAGCCGAGATCGCGCCACTGCACTCCAGCCTCAGCAACAGAGCAAGACTCTGTCTCAAAAAAAAAAAAAAAAACAAACCCATATATTTCATTATGCATACGTGGCTTCAAATAGTTGGTAGAATATGGTAGGGTAGAAATAACTAAATGTAGAAGTCAAAATAATCTATCCAAGTATGTGATTTTCTGGTTATCTGGTAATAAAAGGGTAGAGCTGGAGAATCAAGGCATGATTAGTTAACATTCCCCTCTTGAATATTGACAGCGTTAGCCAAGCTTTTGGCTGTGTTTAGAAAGCACCACCAAACCCAGTGGAGACCACCATCATTCACAAATGCTGAATAAGAGGCAGTGGTAAATCCTGTCAGCAGCCATGTGTACCAGATGAAATTTCTTTCTTTGGTTCTTTGGTTCTTTCATTCTTTCACAGGTTCTCTTTCTGTCATCCAAGCTGCAGTGTAATGGTGTGATCATGGCTCATCACAGCCCTGACCTCGACCTCCTGGGCTCAGGTGATCCTCCCACCTCGGCCTCTCAAGTAGCTGGGACTACAGGTGCACACCACCATGCCAGGCTAATTTTTGTATTTTTTGTAGAGACAGAGTTTTGCGGTGTTTCCCAGGCTGGTCTTGAACTCCTGGGCTCAAACAATCTGCCTGCCTCAACCTCCCAAAGTGTTAGGATTACAGGCATGAGACACTGCGCCTGGCCTCTAAGTAACTTCATGTGTTACCTCATCTATCACTCATAGCAACTCCCCTGTGAGGTCAGTATTATTATTATCATCTCTGTGTTTATAGATGAGGAAACTGGGTACAGGGAGTTCCTCTGGTTACCTGGAAAGATAGTCATGGGTTATTCAGGAACCAGGGAAAGAAAGGTTGATTGTTGCCATTTAAGGTAAACAAACTTGGTGGTGTGTTCTCTCCAGCCCTCATCTTGGGAAGCATCTTTGAATCTGCTCAGATGCTCACTGGTGCCTGGTTAAAAACCCTGACTTCCGTAAGCTAAGCACAGAAAAGATCACCATGGTCTGGAAAACCTTGAGGGACAAGTGGTAACAATTATCCTCATCAACTATAACAGCACCTCTTCCAAACGCCTGTGAAATGTTTGGCTTTGAGCAGGGCTGTGTTCAGACCAGCTCTGATGATTTAATTCCCAAACCCACTATTAAAATAAGCATAAACCAGAAAAGTCCTAGGGCACACAGAGGCTCTGAGGAGTGATCTCACCAACTCTCAATTCCCCAACAGGTGACACCTAAACTGCATCCCCACAGCAAGTCCCCAGATTCCACAGAAGAAGCTTTAAGCGTAGGGTCTTCAGAAGAATCATGTTGTCTACAATCTCTGAAATATTGCCGTTTGTGTCTCATTTCTGTGCATACACAGTAGCCTCTTTCACTGCTGCACATGCCCAACAGCTTCTGAAAACATTCTTTAGGATCACACACTCAGACGGACCATGCAGAAAACCTCTAAGATGTGGGCACAGATGCAAGAAGTAAGAGCAGGCCTCCTGGAGTTTAGCCGGGAGCTATAGCTTCATACAAAATGATCTTAGTTAGCCAGCATGGAAAAACAGATTTTTGCATTTCACCCACAGCCTGTGCTCCCCTCCCCAGCTCGTCTTCCAGGGTCAAGTCAGGTCCCTGTAGCTTGCAAATATCCAGCTAGCAGGTTCTAGCCGTAGTGCTGCCTTCTGCCTTATTCCCTGCACCCCCCCCCCACCACCCCCAAGGGTATAATTGAGTGAATCTCCCTTTTTGTTATTGCAAGACAGGTAAGTCTCTTCGCTTCTCCAATAAGATAAATATCCATGGGCAAATAATCTGGTTGAACAGGAAATAATGCCATTTCCCCAATTATTTCATGGCCAAGTTCTGTATTTTAAAATAAATATTTATGGTTGTCAGTGTGCTAATGAATGGGCAACTATGAATCAGAGCACCAGAAAGATAATGGAAGTTAATCTGACACCCTGAGAGTCAAGAGAGTCGTGGGCAACATCATCTTCCAGGGTCTGGGTCTTCTCTTGCCACGGCTCCCAACTCTGTATCATAAGACAGAACTTTAAACATTTCCTTGGCTGTCTCCCAGATGCATTAATAAGGCGTTTCTGTTCTGAGAAAAGCTTCAGAAAACAGATTGAAGTCTAAGCCACCCAGGGGGATAGGGGAAAGAGAAGTGGGGGAGATCCAGGGCAAACACACAGCCAGGGGTCTGAGCCCTTTCCTGGTAGCCTGGCCCTGCAGTGCTGCTCAGTTCTCCATTTTCAAGGATATTAGGATGGGGGCTGGGGTTGGGTGAGAGAGGAGGGGTTGGGGATAGGGCTTGGAGGCTTGACCTGAGGGCTTGGCAACCACGTCAGGGATGCACAGGATGCTCTCCTGGTAGGGATCTATGGGCCAGAGAAGAAAATGCCAACCTCACGAAAGCTTCTCTTTTTTTTTCTTTTTCAAATTTTACTTTAGATTCAGGGGGCAGTGCATTTGCAGATTGCTACCTGAGTATATTGCATGATGTGAAAGCTTTATTTTTGAACACTTGGAGCAAAGCTTTGCCTTAAGTGAACAGCAAGAAAAAGTAAAATGACCAGCATCTCACAGTACCCCCAATGGAGCTTCCAGATGACCTTTTCTATCCCCAAACCAGAATAAGCCACCAGCTCAGCAGATGCCACATCCTAGGCCTACTGTGCTTATTCAGGAGGCAAGGTGGGGAGATGAGGGCTGAACTCACATTGCACCTGTTCCCTGTCCCTCGTTCACTATCCCTTCTGCTTTTACAACTAGCACTGGAGGACTATGGGATGTGGTAGCGGAGGAGAGGCTAACTCAGGTTGGGGTGAGATGATAGAGATGAAGTATTCCAGGAGCAGACACTAGACACTGAATGTGAGGTACAAGATATTTATTTTCCGTGAAGGGAAAGGAAAGGAAGAAGGATTGGGCAGAAGGAGAAGTTAGACAAACAAAGGTATTCCTGAAAAAGCCTTGGGCTACCGGACAAGAGCTCTGGAGCAAGAATTGCCCTATGGAGTTGTTCTGTGCTGAGTCTGAATGATCAGGCCTTCGTACTCTGACTCACTTGGTCACCAAGTGCAGGAAATCCAGACCAAAGCAGACCATCAAGGGGCTGCCAGCCGCAGATTGTCTGATGATCCCACTTTCTGCAGCTGGGCAGGCTGTTCTTCCCTCAAGGGAGATCTGGGCAGTGCAGCTCCATGTCCATCATGAAAATAAAGGAAAGGAAATTCCAAGCAAAAATCCTGAAAAGGAAGGGGCTGTCACATTACCGTGTTACTTCCAAGCAGCTATTTCAGGGTGTCCTATTATATAAATATCTTAAATTGGGTATATACAAATCTGACATGCCTATACTACAGCTAGCTGTTATTATGAATTTAGTTATATTCTACATAGCTATTTAAAAAATTTACTCCTCATAGAATTATTTCTGTGGGTTCTAAGCTTGTAATATTTTTAAATAAAATTACTTTCCTAATGATGTTTAAAGCTTGAAGGCTTCCTTTGGCATTTTTCTTGCACATAAAATATTATGGCATTTTATAGTAATCTGGTAGTAGTAATGGGGTAACTAATCCCTATGATTTGAGTGGTAAAAACCCCTGGCCCCACCATATATGTAGATTTAATTACCTAAGAAGGGCTGGAAAAATCATTTTGAATGTAGGTTTCTAATATATGATTGATTCAATAAAGAAAAAAGTGGTGTAGTAGTCTGCATATGTAGTAGTCTGCATATCCAATCAATTTAGTGGTAGAGTCTGGGTTGAGAAAAAGGGTGATAAGGAAATATTATAAAGCAACTACCAAAAGCAGGGTGATTCTGTGCATGCCAAAGCTCAATTGGAGATACTCATTGTCCCAAGAAAGTTGACTAAAAATGCTTGAGAGTGGAAAAACCATTTAGTAGATAGAAGGGCCCTGAAAGTAAATGAATAAGAATACAGTTATGGACAACATTAAAAGTCAAGAAATAAAATCCACACATTTACAGTCAACTGATCTTCAACAAAGGTGCCAAGAACACACAGAGGAAAGGACAGTCTCTTCAATAAATGATGTTGGGAAAATTGCATATCCACATGGAGAAGAATGAAATTAGACTCCTCTCTCACCCCACATATAAAAATAGACTCAAAATGGATTAACAACTTAGACATAAGACCTGACACTGTAAAACTATTAGAAGAAACTCTAGGGGAAAACCTTCTTGACACTGGTATAGGCAAAGATTTTTTGGATATGACCCCAACAGTACAAGCAAAAATAGATAAATAGGATTGCATGAAAATAAAAAGCTCCTGCATACCAAGGGAAAAAAAATCAAGAGTGAAGAGACAGCCTATGGGATGAGAGAAAATATTTGTGAACCATACATCTGATAAAGGTTAATATTCAGACTATATAAGGAACTCAACTCAATAGCAAAAAAAAAAAAAAAAAAAGCCCAATTAACCTGATTTTAACATGGGCCAAGAACCTGAATAGACATTTTTCTAAATAAGACTACAAGTGACCAACAGGCATATAAAACAATGCTCAATATCATTAATCATCAGGGAAATGCAAATTAAAACCACAATGAGGCCGGGCATGGTGGCTCACGCCTGTAATCCCAACACTTTGGGAGGCCGAGGCTGGTGGATCACTTGAGTTCAGGAGTTCGAGACCAGCCTGGCCAACATGGTAAAACACCATCTCTGCTACAATACAAAAATTAGCTGGGTGTGGTGGCGTGCATCTGTAATCCCAGCTACTCAGGAGGCTGAGGCAGGAGAATCACTTGAACCCAGGAGGCAGAAGTCTCAGTGAGCTGAGATCGCACCACCGCACGCCAGCCTGGGTGACAGAGTGAGAATCCATCTCAAAAAAACAAACAAACAAAAACCACAATGAGATATCACCTCACACCTGCTAAGATGGCTATTATGAAAAAGACAAGAGACAATTGTTGGTGATGACATAGAGAAGAGAGAAACTCCTACTCTGTTGGTGGGAATGTAAATCAGTATAGCCATTATGGGAAACATTATGGAGGTTCCTAAAAAAATTTTGAATAGGGCTGGGCGCGGTGGCTCACGCCTGTAATCCCAGCAGTTTGGGAGGCTGAGGCGGGTGGATCAAGAGGTCAGGAGATCGAGACCATCCTGGCTAACACGGTGAAACCCCGTCTCTACTAAAAATACAAAAAATTAGCCGGGCATGTTTGCAGGCGCCTGTAGTCCCAGCTACTGGTAGTCCCAGCTACTGGTAGTCCCAGCTACTCAGGAGGCTGAGGCAGGAGAATGGCATGAACCCAGGAGGCGAAGCTTGCAGTGAGCCGAGATCACACCACTGCACTCCAGCCAGGGCGACAGAGCCAGACTCCGTCTCAAATAAAAAAAAAAATTAAATAGAACTATCATGACCCATCAATCTTACAACTGTGTATATATCCAAAGGAAATGAAATCAGTGCATCATAGAGATCTGTGTTTCCATGTTCATTGCAGCATTACTCACAAAGACATTAAATCAATCTAAGTGTCCATTGACAGATGAAAGGATAAAGAAAATATGGTATATAAAGACAATGGAATACTATCTGGCCTTTAAAAAGAAAGAAACCCTGTTGCTTGCAACAATGTGGATCAACCTGGAGGACGTTAAGCTAAGTGAAGTAAGCCAAGTACAGAAAGACAAATATTGCATGATCTCACTTGTATGTGGAATCTAAAAATGTCTATCTCATGGAAACAAAGTAGAATGGTAGGGAGAGTGGGAGGATGGGGAAAGGGCAAATCTTGGTCAAAGGGTACAAAATTTCAGTTAGACAGGAGGAATACATTCAGGAGATCTATTGTATAACATGTTGACTATAGTTAATAACAATGTACTGTATGTCTGAAAATTGCTAAGAGAGTAGATTTTTAAATGTTCTCACTACAAAAACTAAGTAAGGTAATGGGTATGTTAATTAATTTGATATAGACATTTCACAATGCATGCATATATCAAAATATGTTGGACACCATAAATATAATTTTTTATTTGTCAATTTAAAAACGAATTAATTGAAAAATTGTACATAGGCTACTGAACTTGACAAGGTTCAACCTCAGAGAACACAATTTCCTATACTGATGGAGTATAGACCATGAAGAAACAATGTTCTATTATTTGGTTGGCTTTTCATTAATTTGTAACCAGAAAACATTAGTGATATGGTTTGGATATGTGTCCCCTCCAAATTTCATGTGGATATGTGATTCCTAATGTTGGAAGTGGAGCCTAGTAGGAGGTGTTTAGATCATGAAAGCAGATCCCTTATGAATGGCTTGTGCCATTTTCTTGGTGATGAATGAGTGCTCACTCAGTTCATGAGAAAGCGGACTATTTAAAAAAGCCTGGCATCTCTCTTGCTCACTCTCTCACCATGTGACACACCTGCTCACCTTCACCTTCCGTGGTGAGTAAAAGCTTCCTGAGGTCTCATCAGAACCCGGGCAGATGCTGGTACCATGCTGCTTGTATAGCCTGCAGAACCATGAGCCAATTACACCTCTTCTCTTTATAAATTACCTAGCCACCGGTATTCCTTTATAGCAATACAAAACAGACTAACGCAATTACAATGTCATAAAGGAAAGGCAAAAATATAAACAATAAACCCAAGAGAGAAAAAATATATACAATAAATAAATATATACAATAAACCCGAGAGAGAGAGAGAGAAAACACACCCAGAAAACAGCTAATGAGAAGGAGCCAGAGTACAAGGTTAACATTAAAATGGAATCAGGGTAGCTGTGAATAGAGCAACTCCTTGATCTTGGGATCTTGGTGGAAGGAGAAACTATCAAGGACAAAGTATGTCCCCACACCCTACATTAGGGACATGAGCAATGTATTAAGTAGCATTGCAGCACTAGGTTCCTACAGCATGTGTCTCTGATTTGCACCCTGGTGAATGATGCAGCCTAAAAGGAGCCAAAGAAACTCTGGAGAGACTGTTATGCAGTTTTTGAGGAAACTTGTAAATATTATTCAATCTTTGGAAAATACTTATTGAGCATCTACTATGTTCCAGGCACCATTTAAGACATGAGGCATAAAACAATAGCAAAGGGTATGAAGTCTTGCAGTTCAGTACCTGCAGTTGAGTCCCTGCAAAAGACCTTTAAGCTCAAGGATCTTGCAGTCTACCTGAGGAACTTGCTACTAGTTTGTTTTGTTGAAAGATGAATAAAGTTAACGGTTGAGGGTAAATTTTAAGCTGTGGCTTGTTTCCATTTCTTTAGGCCAAGTTTTTCCTTCCATCTGTTAATATAGGCAATCCAGAATCACCTATAGAGGTATAGTTGTTGTCACTTCATTACTGGAAACAACAAAAGGTTTTTTGGTACTGTATGTATGTCGATTTATGTTTGTAATTAAAACTTAAAACACGTCATTTGAAATAAATAACCAGTATATTAGGTCATTTTGCATTGCTATAAAGGAACATCTGAGACTGGGTAATTTGTAAAGAAAAGAGGTTTATTTGGCTCACAGTTCTGCAGACTGTACAAGCATGGCACCAACATCTGCTTGGCTTCTGGTGAGGCCTTAGGAAGCTTTTACTCATGGCAGAAGGCACAGGGGAAGCAGGTATGTCACGTGGTGGGAGAGGGAGCAAGAGAGATGCCAGGCTCTTTTAGCAACCAGCTCTTACATGAACTAATAGAGTTAGAACTTACTCATTACCTCGAACACAGCACCAAGCCATTCATGAGGGATCTGTCCCCATGACCCAAACACCTGCTACTATGCCCCACTTTCAACCTTGGGGATCACATTTCAACATCAGACTTGGATACGGACAAACATCTATACCATATCAACCAGCTGGGTATAAAACTAATGTAACGGCATCGTGTAATAAAACACTGCAGAGATGTGCGGTCTTCTGCAAAGTTGTCCACACAATTCCATGGAAACGAGTCCCCCATCCCCACCACCCATAAAGTTGGGGCTAGAAATTAACACTTTCGCCCCTCCCCACAAAGAGCTGGAGTGGACACTCAGCTCTGTAGCCACCCTCGCCAAAGAAGTTTCTTCCACAAACTTCCTGCAAAATTATCTTCCACATTTTAATCCTTGTTCTCTAAATGGGAGAGGAGAGTTAAGAGTCACTGATAAATGACTCCTGTGTTCAAACGGAGAATTCTGCACTGGGTGGTGGGGGTGGAGGCTTGGTTTGTCTCCCATTCATGTGGGTATTCCGATTTCCACTGTACAGTGGACACTGAGGTCAGAAGAGTCTCACGTCCTATTTCACCTGCATCATCTCATTTAATCCTGTGATAGTGATGAGGGATTATCCTTATTTTACATAAAAGAACACTGATGTGTATAGAGGTTACGTAGGTTGTAACACTAGATGTTGGATTCAGATCTTTCTAACCCTAATCTGTGTGCTCTTAACTCCCAGACTGGCTTTTTAGTTTAAACTAAATGAAAATTGTTTTGAAGCCAAATAAAATTTAAATGTTTGGGTTTATTTTGAATTGTACTAAATGAAAAGAAATACAGCTTCAAAGGAGCACCAAATTGTTTTGTTGGAATGTGATTTTTTTTCACTTAAACCCATTGCTCTAAATCATATTCAGAAACTACAGGATTCTGAAACTCAACAGAACAAATGCTGTTATATAAATGAGCCAAAGATGGTCTCTGCGTATTGGCCCCTCAGTTGTATATTTCTTCACTGAAGGCTAAAACTTGTTAGCTCAAAGCCCACTGGTGCCAAACTCAAATCTTTACACATCCAACTATTTGAAATATAGCCCAAACGAGCAAACTGTTAGCATTTAGAGCCTGCATGCTTTATGTATCCTTTGAAACTGCATTCTGGTGTGCTGCTATTGGTAAGACAGAGCTTTGCGGGTGTAAGACCTCAAGCTGTTAGTGCTTTTCAGAGCTCCCTGACCCAGAGACTCCATGCCATGCTGCTGAGCAACATCACCCAGACACGAAAGCTCCCTCTCTGATCCTCCTCACCCCTGGAAGTTACCTTGTGCTCCTCCCTTTCTGGGTGGTGGTCCCCATGCTGTGACCCCCTTCTGTGATGGACTTCCTTCACCTGCAACCTTAAGCACCACTCAATAATGCTTCTTGTGTGTTACTGCCTCTTGTGGTCAAGATCAGCTCCACATCCCTCAAACCTTAACACAAAGACAGTGAGTAATAACTTCAGGAGTGGAAAGAGAGATTACCCATACCACTATTACTTTTCCTTTTTTAATTTTTTTTTTTTTTTTGAGACAGGGTCTTGCTCTCTCACCCAGGCTAGGGTGCAGTGGCATGATCATAGTTCACTGCAGCCTTAAACTCCTGGGCTCAAGAGATCCTCCCACCTCAGCCTCCCAAAGTGCTGGGATTACACGTGTGAGGCACTGTTCCTGGCCTACTTTTTCCTTTCTTAGTTCAAGTTCCTTAGTATTACTGGTGCATTCTTTTTCTCATTTCTCTAAGTGTGGGGGTCACTGAAGGCTTGAAACATTTATGAGCATGTCTGAGCTCTTATCTGTAGGTTGGCCTGCCCGGGGTGGATTCCAACAGCATCACCTACTAGCCTTGTCTTAAGTGTTAATATTGGCAGAATCATGGATTTAATGTGTTGGTTCATATTTCTAACGTGCATAATAAACTCAACATTACTTTTTTTAAATGCCCATGTATTCATTAAAATAGTCTTCATTGCACACTGTGGGCAACACTTTGCCTCAGTGACCACGTGCTAACTCTTTAGTGTGGCTCCCATGGGCACTCAAGGACTTCCTGCTCCCGCTACCTTTTTAGACATTTGAGCTCTGGAAATCCAGAACTTCCCTGGACTTGTTATATCACGAAACTGCCTTCGTACATGTTATGCAATCAGAAAGCGTCCTTCCCCCTTGTCAGTGTGACACAGTCTTGTTTAGATTTTGAGGCTGAGCTGGTACCTGTTCCCCGTGGCAAAGCTTCCCCTCTCCACCCTCGCAGCAGACCCCACTGCCATCGTCCTAAGTCAGAGTTGCGCCCACCCCCAGCCCGCATCTCCCCTTGCAAGGGGTACATAACACTCATCGTACACTTATCCCATTGCCTGTTGTTTGCCTGTTTCTTTGCTACTGGTCTTTGGGCTCCCAGGAAGTTAGAGACTTACAGAGTTTTTCATTTTTGATGCCTATAGTAATGCTGAACACCGAGGACTCAGTAAATGTTTTTTGTATCCATGAAAAAGTGAGAGAATGAGCGTCATGAAGATAACTGCTATTCTGTTTTCCTTTTCTTTCTTTTTTTTTTTTTTTCCTTTTTTTGAGACAGAGTCTCACTCTTTTGCCCAGGCTAGAGTGCAGTGCTGTGATCTCAGCTCACTGCAAACTCCACCTCCTAGGTTCAAGTGATTCTCCTGCCTTGGTCTTCCATGTAGCTGGGATTACAGGCGCCTGCCACCATGCCCGGCTAATTTTTGTATTATTAGTAGAGACAAGGTTTCACCATGTTGGCCAGGCTGGTCTCAAACTCCTGACCTCAAGTTATCTGCCCGCCTTGGCCTCCCAAAGTGCTGGGATTACAGGCATGAGCCGCCGCACCCAGCCTCTTTTATTTTAATAGACTTTGTTGACTTGCAGTTTGCCTGGGTGCTGAGAGTATGGAAGTAGAGAGGGCGCCGAAGGGGAGGCGGAAGGGTAGGGGAGGGAGAAGAGATTTCATGGCCCACTTTTTATGATGCTGAATCCTTGAGAAATTATTGGCTTCTAGTTCAAGACAGAGAAATGAGTGTTCTATTTACTTTTCCTGACTTCCAAAGTCCCATTAAACGCTCTGAAATGATTTATTTTTTTTGAGAAATGAAAACATAACTGGGAAAACAAGAAGGGGAGTCAACATAGGACAGAAAGTCTCAGGAAATCCTGAATGAGGAGACAGCAGGACAGGAAGCTTGAAGAAAACAACAAGTCATGGCATCCCAGTGCTTCAGAAGGCCGAGGCAGGAGGATTGCTGGAGGCCAGGAGTTTGAGACCAGCCTGAGCAACGTAGCAAGACCCTGCCTTTACAAAAATAAATTTTTTTTTAACTCACCAGGCGTGGTGGCATGCACCTATAGTCCTGGATACTCAGGAGGCTAAGGTGGGAGAATCATCTGAGCCCAGGAGTGTGCCATTGCACTCTAACCTGGATGACAGAGTGAGACCCTGTCTCTAAAAATAAATTTAAAATAAAAATAAACCTATAGCCCAAAGCAACCCTTCCCCAAGCAAGCCCTGCCCATGGCTCCTCAACAAATAAAATGCATGAGGGAGAACTGGCAGCTAACCCAGGGCCACTCATTGATGAAACTTATTCAGGACAGCTGAGACTCTGAGACCCTTGTCCCTGCCCCACTGCTCTCTCCTCTTAGAGTGCCGGCTTTGACAGAACAAGGGCTGCCCTCTAAAGCCAGCGACTTGCCTTTTGGGGCTCCTAGAATGGGGTGGGGCTTTTAAAAAGGCAAAGCAGCTTGAAATAACTCTGGACCCCCACAAGGCATAAAAGAAGAAATAAAAGGGCAGGTCTGCTTTGCCCCAGAGAGACATGCAGTCAAGTCTTCCTTGACAGATTAATGGCAGTCCTTATTTTCACATCTGGGTTGAGATGGGGCAGCTGGCCTGCTTGTTGATGCCCATACAAAGCTAAAATAAAGCCTGCCAGTTAACACAACCTGCCCATTCAGGAACTCCTGTGGGGAACCTACCTCCTGTACCGCAAGGAACAGCTGGGCCCCCTAACCATAGAACCAACCTGATCCTTGAGTCATTAATGTGAGTAGACCATCCAGAATGACCAGATATTTTAGGACAAGCAGCAGCGTAAAACAAAAGGACCAAGATGAATTTGCTGATCAACTGTCTCCAGGGAAAATGGGTCATTTAGAGAAAACATTCTTATTAATATCCACTGAATTTCAAGACATTATATCCATAAAATGTGACAGAACCGCTATTAAAAAAAAAAAAAAAAAAAAAAAGAGCAATAGAAGCCAAGAAAAAGTGCTTGGCAATGAAAAGTATGATTGCCCAAGCAAATCATGCCCTGGAATGGCTCCACAATAGGGGTAAAGAATAAACTGGGAACTTGGAAAAGGAAGTTTAGGAAACATCCAAGATTATAGAAATAATAATAAAGGAATGGGAAATATGAGAGAAAAGTTGAGGGGCATGGATGATATATCCAAAAGTTCAATTGCTGTTTAATAGTAGTGCCAAAAAAAAAAGAAAGAAAAAAATAACTCAACACTTGAAACAAGTAATCAAATAAATATCTAAAAAATATATATTTGAATTAAAGAAAGACATGAATTTTTAGATCAAAGAGGTCCACTACTTTTTGGGCAAAATGAAGGAATAAAAATTCACACTTAGACATAGCTTAGTAAAATTTTAGAACTCCAAAGAAGATTCTGAAAGTTTACAGAGAAGAAAAAAACTCAGATCATTTACAGTGGAATTAAAATCACATTGGCGGTAGACCTTCACCAGCAATATTGAGCGCTGGAAAACAGTACAGCAAAGCCTTCAAAAACCTTGAGGAAATTATTTTAAATCTAGAATTCTATAACAAGCCAAAATATCAGCCAAATGTTAACATAAAATAAAGACCCACATAATTATATGAAAAAAATTCCACTGGCAGTTACTCCATCAATGTGAACCATTAAAATAAGAAATGGAACAACATCATACAGTACCAACTGAGTATGAAGTAAAAGAATTAGCTGGGTGCGGTGGCTCATGCCTGTAATCCCAGCACTTTGGGAGGCCAAGACGGGCGGATCACTTGAGGTCAGGAGTTTGATACCAGCCTGGCCAGTATGGTGAAAGCCCATCTCAACTGAAAATACAAAAATTAGCCGGGCATGGTGGTGCATGCCTGCAGTCCCAGCTACTAGGGAGGCTGAGGTGGGAGAATCGCTTGAGCCTGGGAGGCAGAGGTTCCAGTGAGCCAAGGTTGCAGTGAGCCAAGCTTGCACTACTTACTCCAGCCTGTGTGACAGAGCAAGACTCCACCTCAAAAAATAAAAATAAAATAGAATTAAAGAAAATGCAAAATATATTAAAATAGCATCTGGTGATTCTTATACATTAGACATTCTCCTTCAAGCAGTAAGGGTTTATCGACTCAAGATTACAAATCTTTCTCCATGCATTCAATCACACTTCTTGATTCTGCAACAATATAGTAATGTAATATATTGTGGATTTAAAGTTTTAAGATTCTATTTAAAAAGCATAGAATACTTCTTATCACTGAAGATAGTGCAAATATTATACATGGTACCAATGTAAAATTAGTAATACAGCTAACAATAATCAGGAACATGGAGGTAGAAGCAATGGAAAGAAATCATCTTGTTAAATTTTTATCTTTCATAGTGGGGAATTAATTGATGACTACTAAGTTGACAAAGAAATATAAATGTAGGAATATTATTTAAAGTTGTAATGAGAACTGTTAGAAAGGCCATATGATGGTTAATTTTATGTGTCAACTTGACTGGGCCATGGGATGCCCAGATAGCTGGTTAAACATTATTCTGGGTATGTCTGTGAAAGAGTTTCTGGAGGTTAACATTTCAATTGGTGGACTGAGTATAGTAGATGGCCCTCCCTGAGTGGGTGGGCATCATCCACTCCATTGATGGCCTGAATAGAACAAGAAATTGGAGAAAGGTGGGAGTCAACTTCTGCCTGACTACTTGAGCTGGGACATCAATTTTCTGCCCTTGATGCTTCTGGCCCTCAAACTGCACCACTGGTTTCCAGCTTACAGATGGAAGGTTGTGGGGCTTCTCAGCCTCCATAATTGCATAAGCCAATACTTATATCTATGGATCGATAAATCGATAGATAATCCTATTAGCCCTGTTTCTCTAGGGAATCTTAACTAACAGCACATCCTGGCTGCGCTCTGGAATAAACATTTCCACTTGGCAAATGAGGCTTTTGAGGCCCTTCTCACCTTGTTCATTGTTGTCGTTGAGTCTGAGTTGATCCACCCCCAAAATGGGATATTGAACCAAGACCTCTGTAAGTCAGGGTGTTCAGTTTTGACACAAGCTCAATAGCAGGTCAATAGCTGCTTCTCGAAAAGATCTGTGTACGTTTTACACAAACAGCTTTGTCCATCTTGCTCCTGACCCCTCTGGACAAAAGGCTTGGGTGCGAGTAGGAGATAGCTGGAGAAAATCTGAAGTTACAGCTGCTGGAATGGGACTTGCATCTTTGTGGTGGTGGAGGGTAGTGGCCCCAGCGCTAGGGAAGTACACACCCTAGGATCTCACACCCTGGGAAGGAACACACCCTAGGACTTCAGAAGGTACAGGGGAGAGAAGGACATTATCTTTTGTCTTTCAGAATCCCCCCCGCCCCTGCAAGACTTTCTCATGAAGGAAAACACCTTGGTCTGGCTCTGCAAAACTGCAAGTGCCATAAATATAATTGCTGGATCTGCAACTCTCGCTAAATGGCTCTTACCACTATTAGATGCTGTTCCCCTTAACCTTACTGAGATGTCTGTTGGAAACTGCAAGGGATGACCCCAGGTCCTGGACATCCCACACAGAACTCTTGTCCACGCTTCCAGATATCTTCCCCACACTTCCAGATGTCTTCCCTACCCACATTCCCATAGCCATTGCTTAGTCAGTCCATGGTATCTGGCTGGTGGCATGGACAAACAGGACAGACTCAATTATTTAAACTAAATTGAGAACCTTAAAGTCTATCAGCTGGCCAAGAGGCCACATTGGAGGCGCTGCCAACCTGTACCCTCCAATTAATGAGGATCCTACCTGGTGGGCTCCAGCAACTGTAAGCATCACCTTCTTTCTGGGGGTACCATGTTTGCTGCTAGGGCTGTACTTCTAGTGTGGAGGTCAGGCATCAACTTGTCTGCCTGCAAGACCATAGCAACTTCATGCTAGGGGTGGTCATAAAAGACCTTCAAGTGCTAAGGAAACACTACTGGATCATGGAGCTCACAGGGAACTGCAGGTATCTTTCTGAAATAAGACTGCCCTCAGGTACAAAGGGAAGCTCCCCTGAGGGATAACTGGCTCATTTATGTATACCCTGTAGGCAATTATCTCTGTGATGAGTCATGAAGTTAGAAAAGGTAGTAAGAGGCTGGGCATGGTGGTGCATGCCTATAGTCCCAGCAACTCGAGAGGCTGAGATGGGAGGATCGCTTGAGCCTGGGAGGTGGAGGCTGCAGTGAGCCATGATCGTGCCATTGAACTCCAGCCTGGGTGACAGACCAAGGATGGGGAGGGAGGGAGGGAGGGAGGGAAGGAAGGAAGGGAGGAAGGGAGGGAGGGAGGGAGGGATGGAGGAAGGAAGGAATGAAGGAAGGAAGGAAGGAATGGAAGGAGGGAGGGAGGGAAGGAGGGAGGGACTTAGGGAGGGAGGGAAAGAAGGAAGGAAGGAGGGAAGGAAGGAACGAGAAATGAGTCCGTGACTTTAGCTGAGGTAATCAATGATACCTTCTGGCTCTAGAAGGCATCCACCTTCTAGAAGGCCAGCTTTACCTCACTGACCAGAGTTGTGATGGAGGATAGACTTGTCCTAGACATGCCCCTGCCAAGACAGGGTCTCTGCTAGGGCTAATTCATTCTGTATATGGATTAATGCCTTGGGCCAACTGGAAAGATCAATACAGAGACTTAAGGAGAAAACCACTTGGCTTTCCAAGGTAGGCTCTGATGGTTTATTGGATAAATCCAGGACCCCTGTGGACATGACCGAGATCAGTACTGAAGACTGGCCTTATTCTTCTGCATAGAGTCCTGATACCAGTAGCTTTAACTAAATGCTATGTGAGAAAACTTGAACAGATTTAGTGGCAAGCTGTGTTGTTCAGGTTTATCAAAACAGCCAACAGGGTAGCTTACTCTGTGAAAACCATGTAGAAGCCAAGACGATGTTAAACTGAGTGGTAGGTAGCATTGGAAGACACTCCTCCATGGGTCTCTCCTGTTCCTACATATTTTGCTGAGTTTGCCAAGGCCCTGACAATTCTTTACAGTTGCATTTGTGGCAAGCAACCTTGAAGAATGAGATAATATCTCCTTCTGAGACAAGAAGAAGCTTTGCTTACTGGCTGCTATGAAACAGAAGGTTTGCCACGCTCAGTGTTCCTTTCTGTAACACAGCCCACTGTATGGGACGGGGGTGGGCATTTTTCTAGGCCTGTCTACACTGTCCCCTACAAACTGGGGCTTGCAACTGATACAAACATGTTCACACTCTAGACACTGTTTTTGTTGTGAGTAATAAAGTCATCTTGATGCAGGAGTCTCGTGTCTCTGTTAGCATCCATGAAACAGTGGCAAGCTAACTTGGTAACCTGCAAGTAGCATAAAATCTCAAACCCTTCCCAGTTCTTGACATAAGGCTATCATTATTTGCAGATGGCATGATGTAGGTGACATGACATGTACAGAGAAAGTATAAAATAATCTCCAAATAAGTTACGAGAATAAGTAAGAGAATTTAGCAAAGTTGCAAGATACAAGGTCAGTATACAAAAATCAATGTTATTTCTCCGTGTTAAAAAAAGTAGAAAAGAAACACCATATAAAAACTACAATAAAATAGCACACACACGCAAAAGTTAAAGGCCAAGAAACATACTTCACAAAAAACCCACAAGATTTTAACACTGAAATTGCAAAACGTTGCTGAGAAAAATTAAAGTTAATAATTTTTAAACAGAGTGATAACATGATACTCACAGATTAAAATGTCAATTTTGCCCAAATTTGTCTATAAATCCAATTATATCTCAAGCACAATTCTAACAGGTTACTTGTGAAAATTAACAAAGTAATTCTAAAATTTATATAGAAATACAGAAGACCTAAATAGCCAAGCCAGTCCTAAAGAACTCAGATGGAGGGCTTTAACTACTAGATGTCTACAGTCATAAAATTAGTGTGGTTAAGAAAGTGCGGTGATGACATTCAAATAAGCAGATAGATGGAATGCAACTGACATCTCAGCAACACACCCATGTATATATGGTTACCTCAGAGGTTGTATTACAAGTCACTGGGAGAAAGAATGATGGGTAAAGTGGATACTTGGAAGAACTTGGAAGAACAAAAAGAATCTTGACCTCTACTTCACATTGTACACAAAAATTTATTCAAGATAGATCTTAAACCCAAATGTGAAGTGTAACACAATAAGCACTCTACAAGAAAACATCAGAGAATATTTTCATGACCTTGGAATATATAAAGATTTCTTAGACAGGAGCCAAAAACATATTGATAAGTTCAACTCATTGTTACCTAACCAAAAGATATGAATGCTTATGTCCACAAAATGACATGTTCAAGGATGGTCATAGCAGTATTATTCATAATAGTCAAAAACTGGGAACAGTCCAACAATATAATGGAGAAATTGTGATATATAATGGAATATTACACAATAATGAAACAATAAACCACTGATATACTTAAGCATGGCTGAATTTTATTTTATTTTATTTTATTTTATTTTATTTATTTTTATTATACTTTAAGTTCTAGGGTACATGTGCACAACGTGCGGTTTCTTACATAGGTAAACATGTGCCATGTTGGTTTGCTGCACTCATCAACTCATCATTTATATTAGGTATTTCTCCTAATGCTATACCTCCCCCAGCCCCCTGACCCCCTGACAGGCCCCGGTGTGTGATGTTCCCTACCCTGTGTCCAAGTGTTCTCATTGTTCAGTTCCCACCTATGAGTGAGAACATGCAGTGTTTGGTTTTCTGTCCTTGTGTTAGTTTGCTGAGAATGATGGTTTCCAGCTTCATCCATGTCCCTGAAAAGACATGAACTCATCCTTTTTTATGGCTGCACAGTAGACAATGTTGCGTATGTACCACATTTTCTTAATCCAGTCTATCATTGATGGACATTTGGGTTGGTTCCAAGTCTTTGCTATTGTGAATAGTGCCACAGTAAACATACGTGTGCATGTGTCCTTCGAGTAGCATGATTTATAATCCTTTGGGTATATACCCAGTAATGGGATTGCTGGATCAAATGGTATTTCTAGTTCTAGTTCCTTGAGGAATCGCCACACTGTCTTCCACAATAGTTGAACTAATTTACACTCCCACCAACAGGGTAAAAGTGTTCCTATTTCTCCACATCCTCTCCAGCATCTGTTGTTTCCTGACTTTTTAATGATCACCATTCTAACTGGTCTGAGATGGTATCTCATTGTGGTTTTGATTTGCATTTCTCTGATGACCAGTGATGATGAGCATTTTTTCATGTGTCTGTTGGCTGCATAAACGTCTTCTTTTGAGATGGGTCTGTTTATATCCTTTGCCCACTTTTTGATGGGGTTGTTTTTCTCTTATAAATTTGTTTAAGTTCTTTGTAGATTCTGTATATTAGCCCTTTGTCAGATGGATGGATTGCAAAAATTTTCTCCCATTCTGTAGGTTGCCTGTTCACTCTGATGGTAGTTTCTTTTGCTGTGCAGAAGCTCTTTAGTTTAACTAGATCCCGTTTGTCAATTTTGGCTTTTGTTGCCATTGCTTTTGGTGTTTTAGTCATGAAGTCCTTGCCCATGCCTATGGCCTGAATGGTATTGCCTAGGTTTTCTTCTAGGGTTTTTATGGTTTTAAGTCTAACATATAAGTCTTCAATCCATCTTAAATTAATTTTTATATAAGGTGTAAGGAAGGGATCCAGTTTCAGCTTTCTACATATGGCTAGCCAGTTTTCCCAACACCATTTATTAAATAAGGAATCTTCTCCCCGTTTCTTGTTTTTGTCAAGTTTGTCAAAGATCAGATGGCTGCAGATGTGTGGTGTTATTTCTGAGGCCTCTGTTCTGTTCCATTGGTCTATATATCTCTTTTGGTACCAGTACCATGCTGTTTAGGTTATTGTAGTTGTGTAGTATAGTTTGAAGTTAGGTAGCGTGATGCCTCCAGCTTTGTTCTTTTGGCTTAGGATTGTCTTTGTAATGTGGGCTCTTTTTTGGTTCCATATGAGCTTTAAAGTAGTTTTTTCCAATTCTGTGAAGAAAGTCATTGGTAGCTTAATGGGGATGGCATTGAATCTATAAATTACTTTGGGCATTATGGCCATTTTCACTATATTGATTCTTCCTATCCATGAGCATGGAGTGTTCTTCCATTTGTTTGTGTCCTCTTTTATTTCATTGAGCAGTGGTTTGTAGTCCTCCTTCAAGAGGTCCTTCACATCCCTTGTAAGTTGGATTCCTAGGTATTTTATTCTGTTTGAAGCAATTGTGAATGGGAGTTCACTCATGATTTGGCTCTCTGTTTGTCTGTTATTGGTGTATAGGAATGCTTGTGATTTTTGCACATTGATTTTGTATCCTGAGACTTTGCTGAAGTTGATTCTCAGCTTAACGAGATTTGGGGCTGAGACGTTGGGGTTTTCTAAATATACAATCATGTCATCTGCAAACAGAGACAATTTGACTTCCTCTTTTCCTCACTGAATACCCTTTTTTTCTTTCTCTTGCCTGATTGCCCTGGCCAGAACTTCCAACACTATGTTGAATAGGAGTGGTGAGAGAGGGCATTCTTGTCTTGTGCTGGTTTTCAAAGGGAACGCTTCCAGTTTTTGCCCATTCAGTATGATATTGGCTGTGGGTTTGTCATAAATAGCTGTTATTATCTTGAGATATGTTCCATCAATACCTAGTTTATTGAGAGTTTTTAGCATGAAGGGCTGTTGAATTTTGTCAAAGGCCTTTCTGCATCTATTGAGATAATCATGTGGTTTTTGTCATTGGTTCTGTTTATGTGATGGATTACGTTTACTGATTTGCGTTTGTTGAACCAGCCTTACATCCCAGAGATGAAGCCGACTTTATTGGGGTGGATAAGCTTTTTGATGTGCTGCTGGATTCGGTTTGCCAGTATTTCATTGAGGACTTTCGCATTGATGTTCATCAGGGATATTGGTCTAAAATTCTCTTTTTTTGCTGTGTCTCTGCCAGGCTTTGGTATCAGGATGATGCTGGTCTCGTAAAATGCGTTAGGGAGGATTCCTTCTTTTTCTATTGATTGGAATAGTTTCAGAAGGAATGGTACCAGCTCCTCTTTGTACCTCTGGTAGAATTTGGCTGTGAATCCATCTGGTCCTGGACTTTTTTTTGGTTGGTTGGCTATTAATTACTGCCTCAATTTCAGAGCCTGTTATTGGTCTATTCAGAGATTCGACTTCTTCTTGGTTTAGTCTTGGGAGGGTGTATGTGTCCAGGAACTTATCCATTTCTTCTAGATTTTCTAGTTTATTTGTGTAGAAATGTTTATAGTATTCTCTGATGGTAGTTTGTATTTCTGTGGGATCAGTGGTGATATCCCCTTTATCATTTTTTTATTGCGTCTATTTGATTCTTCTCTCTTTTCTTCTTTATTAGTCTTTCTAGCAGTCTATCAATTTTGTTGATCTTTTCAAAAAACCAGCTCCTGGATTCATTGATTTTTTGAAGGGTTTTTTGTGTCTCTATGTCCTTCAGTTCTGCTCCAATCTTAGTTGTTTCTTGTCTTCTGCTAGCTTTTGGATGTGTTTGCTGTTGCTTCTCTAGTTCTTTTAATTGTGATGTTAGGGTGTCTAACATCACAATTAAAATCTTATTTTAATAGTCTAATTTTAGATCTTTCCTGCTTTCTCTTGTGGGCATTTAGTGCTATAAATTTCCCTCTACACGCTGCTTTAAATGTGTCTTAGAGATTCTGATACGTTGTGTCTTTTTTCTCATTTGTTTCAAAGAACATCTTTATTTCTGCCTTCATTTAATTATTTACCCAGTAATCATTCAGGAGGAGGTTGTTCAGTTTCCATGTAGTTGTGCAGTTTTGAATGAGTTTCTTAATCCTGAGTTCTAATTTGATTGCACTGTGGTCTGAGAGACAGTTTTTTGTGATTTCTGTTCTTTTACATTTCCTGAGGAGTGCTTTACTTCCAATTATGTGGTCAATTTTAGAATAAGTGCGACATGGTGCTGAGAAGAATGTATGTTCTGTTGATTTGGGGTGGAGAGTTCTGTAGATGTCTATTAGGTCTGCTTGGTGCAGAGCTGAGTTCAAGTCCTGGATATCCTTGTTAACCTTCTGTCTCGTTGATCTGTCTAATATTGACAGTGTGGTGTTAAAATCTCCGATTATTATTGTGTGGGAGTCTAAGTCTCTTTGTAGGTCTGTAAGGACTTGCTTTATAAATCTGGGTGCTCCTGTATTGGGTGCATATATATTTAGGATAGTTAGCTCTTCTTGTTCCATTGATCCCTTTGCCATTATGTAAAGCTCTTTGTCTCTTTTGATCTTTGTTGGTTTAAAGTCTGTTTTATCAGAGGCTGGGATTGTAACCCCTGCTCTTTTTTTGCTTTCCATTTGCTTGGTCGACCTTCCTCCATCCCTTTATTTTGAGCCTATGTGTGTCTCTGCAGGTGAGATGGGTCTCCTGAATACAGCACACCAATGGGTCTTGACTCTTTATCCAATTTGCCAGTCTGTGTGTTTTAATTGGGGCATTTAGTCCATTTACATTTAAGGTTAATATTTTTATGTGTGTATTTGATCCTGTCATTATGATGTTAGCTGGTTATTTTGCCCATTAGTTGTTGCAGATTCTTCATAGCATCAAGGGTTTTTACAATTTGGCATGTTTTTGCAGTGGCTGGTACCAGTTTTTCCTTTCCATGTTTAGTGCTTCCTTCAGGAGCTCTTGTAAGGCCAGCCAGTGGTGACTAAATCTCTCAGCATTTGTATGTAAAGGATTTTATTTCTCCTTCACTTATGGAGCTTATTTCGGCTGGATATGAAATTCTGGGTTGAAAATTATTTTCTTTAAGAATGTTGCACATTGGCCTCCACTCTCTTCTGGCTTGTTAAGTTTTCTGCCAGGTGATCTGCTGTTAGTCTGATGGGCTTCCCTTTGTGGGTAACCTGACTTTTCTCTCTGTGTGCCCTTAACATTTTTTCCTTCATTTCAACCTTGGTGAATCTGACAATTATGTGCCTTGGGGTTGCTCTTCTTGAGGAATATCTTTGTGGTGGTCTCTATATTTCCTGAATTTGAATATTGGCCTGTCTTGCTAGATTGGGGAATTTCTCCTGGATAGTATCCGGAAGAGTGCTTTACAACTTGGTTCCATTCTCCCGTCACTTTCAGGTACACCAATCAAATGTAGATTTGGTCTTTTCACATAGTCTCATATTTCTTGGAGGCTTTGTTCATTTCTTTTTTACTCTTTTTTCTCTAAACTTGTCTTCTTGCTTTATTTCATTAATTTGATCTGCGATCACTTATATCCTTTCTTCCACTTGACCGAATCAGCTATCGAAGCTTGTGCATGCATCACAAAGTTCTCGTGCCATGGTTTTTCAGCTCCTTCAGGTCATTTAAGGTCTTCTCTACACTGTTTATTCTAATTAGCTATTTGTCTGACCTTTTTGCAAGGTTTTTAGCTTCCTTGAGATGGCTTAGAACAGTCTCCCTTAGCTCTGAGAAGTTTATTATTACCGACCTTCTGAAGCCTACTTCTGTCAACTCATCAAAGTCATTCAGCCTCCAGCTTTTTGCCATTGCTGGCGAGGAGCTGTGATCCTTTGGAGGAGAAGACGTGCTCTGGTTTTTAGAATTTTCAGCTTTTCTGCTCTGATTTCTCCCCATTTTTGTGGTTTTATCTACCTCTGGTCTTTGATGTTGGTGACCTACAGATGGGGTTTTGATGTCAATGTCCTTTTTATTGATGTTGACGCTATTCCTTTCTGTTTGTTAGTTTTCCTTCTGTCAGGTCCTTTAGCTGCAGGTCTGTTGGAGTTTGCTGGAGGTCCACTCCAGACGCTGTTTGCCTGGGTATCACCAGCGGAGGCTGCAGAACAGCAAATATTGCTTAACAGCAAATATTCCTACCTGATCCTTTCTCTGGAAGCTTCTTCCCAGAGGGGCACCCACCTGTATGAGGTGTCTGTCAGCCCCTGCTGGGAGGTGTCTCCCAGTTAGGCTACATGGGGTCAGGGACTCACTTGAGGAGGCTGTCTGTCTGTTCTCAGAGCTCAAACACCATGCTGGGAGAACCACTGCTCTCTTCGGAGCTGTCAGACAGGGATGTTTAAATCTGCAGAAGTTTCTGCTGCCTTTTGTTCAGCTATGCCCTGCCCACAGAGGTGGCATCTATAGATGCAGTAGGCCTTGCTGAGCTGTGGTGGGCTCCACCCAGTTCGAGCCTCCTGGCTGCTTTGTTTACCTACTCAAGCCTCAGTAATGGTAGACACCCCTCCCCCAGGCTGCTGCCTTGCAGGGCGATCTCAGACTGCTGTGCTAGCAGTGAGCAAGGCATCGTGGGCCTGGGGCCCCCCAAGCCAGGCACAGGAGAGAATCTCCTGGTCTGCAGGTTGCTAAGACCATGAGAAAAGCACAGTATTTGGGTGTGAGTGTCCCGTTTTTCCAGGTACAGTCTGTCACATCACAGCTTCCCCTGGCTAGGAAAGGGAAATCCCCCGACCCCTTGCATTTCCGGGTGAGGCGATGCCCCACCCTGCTTCAGCTCACCTTCTGTGGACTGCACCCACTGTCCAACCAGTCCCAATGAGATGAACCAGGTACCTCAGTTGGAAATGCAGAAATTACCCGTCTTCTGCATCGATCACACTGGGAGTTGCAGACTGGAGCTGTTCTTATTTGGCCATCTTGGAACAGGGATCCTGAATTTTAAATACATAATGTTGAGCAACAGAAATGCAGACAGAAAAGAGTATATACTGTGTGACTTTGTTTTCACAATGTTTAAACACTTGCAAAACACTATTGATAAAGATGATTATCTTTAGGGATACAGTACTGATTGAGAAGGAACCCCCAAGGAGTTAGCTTGATTTGGGTAGCAGTTAGCAGTTACATGTTTGTAGACATAAGTAAAATTTATTTGCACTGACTTATGATTTGTATATCACTTAATGTATGCAAGCTAAACCTGAATTAAAAGGAAAAAAGGGCCAAGTGTGGTGGCTGACGCCTGTAATCGCAGCACTTTGGGAGGCCAAGGAAGGTGGATCACTTGAGGTCAGGAGTTCGAGACCAGCCTGGGCAACATGTTGAAACTCCGTCTCTACTAAAAATACAAAAATCAGCTTGGTGGGCTGGCACCTTTAGTTCCAGTTACTCAGGAGGCTGAGGCAGGAGAATTGCTTGGACCCAGGAGGTGCAGGTTGCAGTGAGCCAAGATTGTGTCCCTGCACTCCAGCCTGGGCAAAAAAGAGAGACCCTGTCTCAAAAAAAGAAAAAAATGAAAGCGCTAAGTGTATTATTTAAAGTTATACTGTCAACCCTTAGAACAACTTTTAAAAAGTGAGAAGAAAAAGAGCCACTTATCAGGACCGACTTGGGAAATAAAAATTTTACTTTTTATTTTATACTGCTCTATGAAATTTGCATTTTATTTGTTTATTAGTGGCTTTTGTATAGTACACAAATATTTCTTAATTTTGTAAGGTATCCTTTAAAAATTTTATAAATATTTTATATGTGTATTATGATTTATCATCTTTTATATTATCTTATACATTATTAAAAGTTCTTCCTAGAAGGGTGAATTTATGTTTTTCTTTTTCTACTTTTCTATAATGTATGACTTTCAGGTACATAACTTTGAAAAATGAGGGGTAAAAAGCTTCCTTTTTAAAAAAAGAAATAGGAAAAACCATTTAGAGAAATGTTGCCTACTCTTTCAAGTTAAAAAATATGTCTAGACCAATTTTAAACAAAATTGTCCAGAATTTTCAGAAGAATGGTGGTAGTAAATGGTGTGTTTTGTATGCGAAGACATTGCCTAATTTAGATTTAATGGTAAATTTGTTCATATTATGAGATACTAAAAAGGAAATCGTTTTATTTAGAGGAATAGGATTAAGATCACTTAATTTGATTTAATTTAGCAACTACTACCTTTATTACAAAATTAAGAGAATCTTGTTCTTTTCTTAACAAAAACTACGATTAAAAATTTTTTCCATTATATGAATTTTTAGGAAATTAAACTAAAAGAATAATATGTCACCTTTAGGAGTGCTGAAAAAGAAAATGGTTTTCAAATTTGGCAACCTCATCACTCCTATTGCTGCTTTCTGTATAAAATTCATTTTAAAGTATTTACTTTTTTTCTTTAATAAGGACTTCAGTGTATTTACAAGAGGAGAACTGATAAATGAATGAGGTGCATCATGATCACTCGTTTACTCAACTTAGCAGCTTGCTTTTCATTGTACTATTATAATGTAGAAACTCTTTTGATTTGCTTTGATTTTTTGTTACACACCTACACAGGTAAAGACTATTTGGAAAAGCTTTTAGGTGATGTTTCTTCAGTGTGGCTCAAGGCTAACCCCCCACAGAATCACCTGAAATGCCCCTTAACCGTACCCAGTGCTGGGCTGAACCTCAGAATTCCTTGGGGCACATTTGAGAAACTGCTGTGAGTCTTTATCCATGAAAATTTTAACCAGATACAAACTCAGGCCACGCAGATAGGGTAAAAGTGAAAGGATTTGAAGATTGTTTGGCCTGGTGTCAACTGGAAAAAGTGTATTCTACTCAAAGTCACTCATATTCAAATTTTTACAAGAACACCATGCTAAGCAAACCAAGCACATCTGCAGGCCCCAGGCAGACTATTGCTGCTGGAGGGGTAATGACTCACTGTAGATTGCCGATCAGTTTACTACCTTAAGTTGTTGGTTATCCAAGCACAGCTACTATTGTGACAGATGGATTCACAGATTTGCCATTAATTGATATTAATTAAACAACCTTTAGTAGTTTAATAAGAAATCAAAATGCAGAAAGAGAAAAAAAAGAAGAGAAGAGAGATTATCGAAGTGGAAGGACTATGGAGGCAAAAGACAATTTGTTAAAAAAGAGAAGAGTTGCTATTGATGAAAACCAAATTACAGCTTCAATCTAAAGATTTTCTTGTTGAAATAAAAGCACACAGTATATTTGTTTCTATGTAGAAATCCAGAGAAGACTCTTATAAAAACTGAAAATAGTAAACAGCTAGAAGGGCCCAGATGTTTGTTTAGGCTTTGCTGGTCTCCCAGGAGCCCGGCTCATATTTCAGCCCGAGAGCATGCAGCGTCCTTGGCCTGGGGCCACTGTTTGCCTCATAGTGAGACAAGCCAGGATCAGGGTTTGGCTTGACAAACATTTTGTTAACTTATAATTTATTTAGAGACATTAATTGAACCAGGATGATTAAAACTTTTTGAATTAACAGAGTTTAGGATGTGTAACTCAGCGTCTTTGCAGTTTTCCAATACACAGTTTTCTATATTGGAATTTAAAAATCTGATGTAAAATTTCAATACACCATTTTAGTTTATAGATGGACTTAGCTAAATTTAAGTAAAAATTATACAAGTTCTCTCTTGTGGTAACTTTAAACTACAAACCCTAACCTGGATTGTAAATACCTTCTAATCCCTTTTGGGAAAATTAAAAATATGTAGTAGTTCATGGCAGAGTTTTTACTTGAAAGAAAAATGTTTTTAGGATTCAACTTATTTTAAGAAATAATTTGCTCTCATTATAACTCTTTAACTAATTATACACTTCAATTAGTTATGTATATTTAACAGCAATACCAATAATCATACACTATATAACCTTATATTACAACACAGTTTATATATTTAATATTTTGTTCCTGTGCCCTGAGGCAATGATATCAAAGTTACAGGCTTAAAAATCAAATTAAAGGACGATTTCTGAGCTTCAATTTCTGACTCTGTCCTCTATAGATTCCAAGGCCACTCAGACAACTGCCTACTATTGTTGAAACCTTGAGGAGCCACTACATACCTAGACAGCATTGAGTTCTGAGGCAGAAGTTATGGGTTGAGAACATCACTGTTTGCAAAGTTAGGATTCAAAAGCTGTGAAAGAGGCTTGTCTTGTGGTGAGCTGGGCTGAAGACATAAATCCCATTGTGCCTCCAGAGAGGGGCACCAGCTGGCATCGGTAGACCCCTCTCTTCTAACATTGGCAGATAAACCTGAGTTCTCCACCCACTGAGGGATTTTAAACCTAAAGATATGAATCAGCCAAAAAGAGCACTCACATAATTCAGGAGGATGCTATAACTTGAAGGGGGCATGCTACCAGACAACCAAAGCAGTTGGCACCTAAGAAGCTGACTTCATTTAAGAAATCAAAGAGAACTTTAATAGTAATGTAGTGAGTGTTGAAGGACATAGCAGTAAAGCACAAAAGAAGTTTTCTGAAAGGACAGAACTTGACTGTGCTTTTTTTTTTTTTTTTTTTTGAGACAGAGTCTTGCTCTGTTGCCCAGGGTGAAGTGTAATGGCGCGATCTTGGCTCACTGCAACCTCTGCCTCCCGGTTTCAAGCAATTCTCCTGCCTCGACCTCCTGAGTAGGTGGGATTACAGGCGTGCACCACCATGCCTGGCAATTTTTGTATTTTTAGTAGAGATGGGTTTCACCATGTTGATCAGGCTGGTCTCAAACTTCTGACCTCAGGTGATCCACCCGCCTCGGCCACCCAAAGTGCTGGGATTACAGGTGTGAGCCACTGCGCTTGGGCTTAACTGTGCATTTTAAAGTTCAACAGGTGAATTGAAAAACAAAATGGTCACTGCTGAACACGCTGTCAGAGTTGTAGTAGACTGAATGGAGAACATATTCCATCACACAGAACAAATTCATGAGTCATGAAGAAAAGTTTACAAATTTTAGAAGTCCCAGAAGGAAAAGAATAAAGAAAGACTTGGGTCTTTGTATTGACAGCAATCTCTGAGATATGAACCAGAACAATGAAAAAAAGACAGTCATATCTTGGTGAAACTTCTATATTCCAGGGACAAAATCTTACAAGCTTCCAGTTGGAGAGAATGGGACTTTATAAGGGAGAAAGAATTAAACAAGTATCAGTCTTCTCACCTACAACACTGGAAGCTAGAAAATATCAAAACCACTTTTGGAGGGCAGTGAGAGATCCAAGAATCCTTTATACAGCCAAGTGATGGCAAAAGAAAAGGCATTTTTAACACACAAAGAGCTCTTAGGAAGATGGAGAACCATGTTCTTTTTCTGAGGAAACACCCCAAGGAACAACTGCAGACAAGCTGAAATCAAAGAATATCTCAAGATAGTAAAATAATAATAATAATAATAATAAAAGTACAAAGAATAAGACTGGGCATTGAATCTTGTGCTATCTCTAGTTAAATATAAGTGGATGGTGATTGTGTGTCTGAGAACTGCAGTGTAACCATTAAGTGGGGGTGCTTCTCACAGATGTTTCCACCGCATTTACCCTCTCCTTCCCACATCATCACTCTTCCCCTTCTTACAAGGGCAGCGTTACAAGTATGGTTGAGAATCCCCTGTCTAAAACCCTTCTCTGACCCCTTCCTCCCTCCCTCTGCAGACATTCCCATTTCTGCTGTTCCCATTCCACAGCAGAACTTCTCTTAGTTCCTGTCTCCTATTCTTCACCTCCCATTCTCTCATTCCTTTGCTGAAATTTCTCTTGTGAACGTCACTACTAACCTTCTTGTTACCAAAGCCAGTTGATATGGCTTGGATTTGTGTCCTCACCCAAATCTCATGTGGATTGAATCCCCAATGTTGGAGGAGGGGCCTGGTGAAAGGTGATTGGATCATTGGACAGATTTTCCCCTTGCTGTTCTTGTGAAAGTGAATGAATTCTCAGGAGATCTGGTTGTTGAAACGTGTGTAGCACTTCCCCCTTCTCTTGCTTCCTCCTGCTCCAGTCATGCTTCCCCTGCCTTCCATCATGATTGTAAGTTTCCTGAGGTTTCCCCAGCCATGCTTCCTGTACAGGCTGTGGAACCATGAGCTCTCTTTTCTTTATAAAATACCCAGTCTCAGGTATTTCTTTATCGCAGTGTGAGAACAGACTGATATGCCAGTGGTTATTTCTTTTTACCCATGTGTACTGCACCTCTCCACTTTTCTAACATTGTCGGATACCTCAGTTATCCATCCACTGAGGAATTACATAGCGAAGGATATAAATCAGCCAAGAAAAACCACTAATCATTTAGGAGGATGGTATAACTTGAAGGAGGCATGCTACCAGATAACCAAAGCAGTTGGCATCAAAGAAGCAGGATTAACTGAAGGAGTAAATGAGATCTGTAGGATTTGACATGGCTCTGGCCATGGACAGTTCCCTCTTTCTTAAAATGCTTTCTTCTCTTGCATTTCATGACATCACACTATTGACTTCAAGGTCTCCTTCCTTGTTAGCATGGAACAGGGCTAGCATACTGGTGTCTTTCTTGGTTTCCGCCACAGCAACTCTCTAAGCTCCTCCAATCCTATGGATTTAAATGCCATATATATGCCAATGATTTCCAAAATTTCTATCCCAACTCCTAACATCTCCATCAAGTTCTACATTCATATTCCTAATGACTTACATCTCTACTTGGTTATCCCAAGAAGAACACCCGATTTATCTATACAGAAAAAAGAAACACAAGAAAATGAAACAACCAAAATCTACTTCTTCTCTAGTCTTCTCCATTTATAGCACCACCATCCACCTAATTTATGAAGCCCCCAAATTAGGTAGTCACCTGTGATTTTTGTTTATCCCTTATTTCCCACATCCAACTCATCAAAAAGTTCTGTAGTCTCTACTGCCATCACAAGCCAGGATTCATTAATTTTTTCTATTTCCATTACTACCACCTTAGTTTAAGTAACCGCCCTCTCCTTAGGATGTTTGCAATGGCCTCAACTTTCTGCTTTCAATCTTCTGCAACTCCCCACCCCCGATCCATTTTCGACATGTCACCCAGGTATAAATCAGATATCACTTTTTTCCTACAAAAAATCTCTAATGAACAATCTAATTTTTCATCTCTAGGGCATTGGTTAGATACACTATGGCAATATCCACAGGATGATGTGCTCTGCAGTTGTAAGAGCAGTAGAGACTATTTCTACTGATGATCTACACTGATGTACAGTCTTGGTCCAGATTATTGTTTGGTGAACAAAGCAAGATGGAGAAAAATGTGGATAGTGTGCTACTATTTATGTAAAAATTGGCCAGGTATAGTGGCTCATGCCTATAATCCCAGCACTTTGGGAGGCTGAGGCAGGTGGATTGCTTGAGCTCAGGTGTTTAAGATCAGCCTGAGCAACATGGTGAAACCCTGTCTCTACCACAAATACAAGCCTGGCATGCACCTGTGGTCCCAGCTACTCGGGAGGCTGAGGTGGGAGGATTGCTTGAGCCTGGGAGGCAGAGGTTGCAGTGAGCCGAGATCACGCCACTGCACTCCAGCCTGGGTGACAGGAGACTCAACCTCAAAAAAAAAAAAAAAAAAAAAGATAGTAAAAAATTATCAATTGCCTATTTTCTTCCATTTTAAACATTTTTAGTATATGAATTACAGCATTAATGATATTCACAATGTTGTAGAGTCATCACTACTCTTTATTTCTAAAACTTTGCCATCACCCCAAACTGAAACCATATCCATTAAACAGTGGCTCCCCTATTTTCCCCTTACTTAAGACCTAGAACCTCTAATCTATTTTTGATCTCTATGAATCTTCTTATTTAAAATATTTCATATTTGTAGAATTATACAATATTTGTCCTTTTGTGTGTGGCTTATTTCACTTAGCATAATGTCTACAAGCTTCATTCATGTTGTGGCATATATGAGAGCTTCATTCCTTTTTATGGTTGAGTCATATTCCATTGTATGGACAGATCATACTTTGTTTATTCATCTGTTAATGGACAGTTGGGTTGTTTTCATCTTTTTGCTATTGTGAATAATGCTCCTATGAACAAGTATAAAAGTATCCCCTTGAGTCTCTCCTTTCAATTCTCTTGTTTATATACCTAAGAGTGGAATTACTGGATAAAGTAATAATTCCATGTTTAACTTTTTGAAGAATTACTAAACTTTGTGGCTTCACCACTTTACATTCCCACAGGCAATGTACACGTGTTCCAATTTCTCCACATCCTCACCAACACTTGTTATTATTTTTAAATGGAAGCAAAATCAAACATCAAAAAATTACCTATGGGAAGAGAAAGAGTGGGGTGGAGGGGTGGAGGTGAACCTATCCCCAAATCTACCTTGTTTTGCAGTTTTAACTTTGTACCATGTGAATACATTAAATAACTTTTGAATAAAAATTAAAACAATCTCTAAAAACAAAAAAAATTTTTTGAATAATGAACTTGACTGTATATTGACTTGATGGCATATACAAATAAAGAGGAATTACTTCAGATGAATGCCTCATGAGATACCTCCAAAGTACAAAAAGAACTGAATAAATTATTATTATTTAAGATAGGATCTCACTTTCACTCAGGCTGGAGTGCAGTGGTGTAATCACAGCACACTGCAGCCTTGAACTCCTGAGCTCAAGCTATCCTCCTGCTGCAGCCTCCCAAGTAGCTGGGACTACAGGCATGTGCCACCATGTCTGACTAATTTTTGAAACTTTTTGTAGAAATGAGGTCTCACTATGTTGCTCAGGCTGGTCTCAAACTCCTGTCCTCAAGAAATCCTCCCACTTCAACCTCCTAAAGTGCTGGGATTATAGGCATGAGCCACTGCACCAAGCGAGAATTGAAGAAATTCTGAAACTGCTTTAGTAATCATATTGTTAGCAGTAGTGTTGGGTATTGTCACTGGAGATTGTTCTGTAGATGAACTGTGTGAAAAAGCAAATGATTAATTATGGTGATGTCACTAATTGAATTAGTTGGTCACAGAAGAAAGGAAATACAAATCAAAGAGTTTAAATAAGAATCTATAGTCTTGAATTTGAATCTGAAGTATCAATATAAACTCATGGTGTATGAGAGGTTTTTTTTAAAATATATATATATAAAAAACATTTCTTAGTTTTGTGTCCTAAGGAGATCTGGAGAAAACAAATGGTAATGAGTACACTGTTGTCCTTAGTGTTGACCATTCCCACTAAAGGGAGCCAGGGTAACTGGGAGAAATGGCTGATTCCTGACCTTGGAAAGGAAATTAAAGATGAATCTAGAATGTCCTGTCACATCAGAAAGTAAGAAAATTATCAAGGACACTAAGCCCAAGGCAAAAGGACTCAAGAGCCAATGGGAAGAGGCTTTCAATTGCCAAAAATAAGATTATACTTGTATCATAAAAATAATAACTGCAGATTGCTGGCAAGATGGTCAAATAGGAACAGCTCCAGTCTTCAGCTCCCGGCTAGATTGATGCAGAAGGTGGGTGATTTCTGCATGTCCAACTGAGGTACCCAGTTCATCTCATTGGGACTGGTTGGACAGTGGGTGCAGCCCACAGAAGGTGAGCTGAAGCAGGGTGGAGCGTTGCCTCACCCACCAAATGCAAGGGGTCAGGGAATTTTCTCCCCTACCCAAGGGAAGCTATGAAGGACTGAACCTGAGGAACTGTGCACTCCAGCCCAGATACTGCACTTTTTCCACAGTCTTTGCAACCCTCAGAACAGGAGATTCCCTCTGGTGCCTACCCCACCAGGGTCCTGGGTTTCAAGCACAAAACTGGGTGCCATTTAAGCAGACACCAAACTAGCTGCAGGAGGTTTTTTTTTTTTTTTTTCCATACCCCTGTGGCACCTGAAAGCCAGTGAGACAGAACCGTTCACTCCCCTGGAAAGGGGTGCTGAAGCCAGGGAGCCAAGTGGTCTGGCTCAGTGGGTCCCACCCCAGTGAAGCCCAGCAAACTAAGACCCACTGGCTTGAAATTCTTGCTGCCTGCATAGCAGCAGTCTGAGATTGACTTGGGACTCTCAAGCTTGGTGGGAGGAGGGGCGTCTGCCATTGCTGAGGCTTGAGTAGGCGGTTTTACCCTCACAGTGTAAACAAAGCCACTGGGAAGTTCAAACTGGGCAGAGCCCACTGCAGCTCAACCACGCCGCTGTGGCCAGACTGCCAGATTTCTCCTCTCTGGGCAGGGCATCTCTGAAAAAAAGGCAGCAGCCCCAGTCAGGGACTTAAAGATAAAGCCCCCATCTCCTTCAGACAGAACACCTGGGGGAAGGGGCAGCTGTGGGCGCAGCTTCAGCAGACTTAAACATCCCTGCCTGATGGCTCTGAAGAGAGAGCGGACCTCCCAGCACAGAGTTTGAGCTCTGCTGAGGATCAGACTGCCTCCTCAAGTGGGTCCCTGACCCCTTTGTATCCTGACTGGGAGATGCATCCCAGTAGAGGCTGACAGACACCTCACACAGGAGAGCTCTGGCTGGCATCTGGCAGGTGCCCCTCTGGGATGAAGCTTCCAGAGGAAGCAATCTTTGCTGTTCTGCAGCCTCCGCTGGTGATGCCCAGGCAAACAGGGTCTGGAGTAGACCTCCAGTAAACTCCAGCAGACCTGCAGAAGAGGGGTCTGAGTGTTAGAAGGAAAACTAACAGAAAGGAATAGCACGTCCACTGAAAGACCCCATCCACAGATCACCAACATCAAAGACCAAAGGTAGACAAATCCACAAAGATTGGGAGAAACCAGCTCAAAAAGCCAGAAAATGACAAAAACCAGAATGCCTCTTTTCCTCCAAAGGATCACAACTCCTTGCCAGCAAGGGAACAAAACTGGACAGAGAATGAGTTTGACAAATTGACAGAAGTAGGCTTCAGAAGGTGGGTAATAACAAACTCCTCCCAGCTATAGGAGCATGTTGTAACCCAATGCAAAGAAGCTAAGAACCTTGAAAAAAAGGTTAGATGAATTGCTAACTAGAATAACCAGTTTAGAGAAGAAAATAAATGGCCCGATGAAGCTGAAAAACACAGCATGAGAACTTTGTGAAACATACACAAGTATCAATAGCTGAATCGATCCAGCAGAAGAAAGGGTATCAGAGATTGAAGATCAACTTAATGAAATCAAGCGAGAAGACAAGATTATAGAAAAAAGAATAAAAAGGAACAAACGAAGCCTCCAAGAAATATGGAAATATGTGAAAAGACCAAATCTACGTTTGATTGGTGTACCTAAAAGTGACGGGGAGAATGGAACCAAGTAGGAAAACACTCTTCAAGATATTATCCAGGAGAACTTCCCCAACCTAGCAAGACAGGCCAACATTCAAATTCAGGAAATACAGAGAACACGACAAAGATACTCCTCGAGAAGAGCAACTTCAAGACATGTAATCATCAGATTCATCAACGTTGAAATGAAGGAAAAAATGTTAAAGGCAGCCAGACAGAAAGGTCGGGTTACCCACAAAAGGAAGCCCATCAGATTAACAGCGGATCTCTCGGCAGAAACCCTAGAAACAAGAAGAGACTGGAGGCCAATAGTCAACATTCTTAAAGAAAATAATTTTCAACCCAGAATTTCATATCCAGCCAAACGAAACTTAATAAGTGAAGGAGAAATAAAATCCTTTACAAACAAATGCTGAGAGATTTTGTCACCACCAGGTCTGCCTTATAAAAGCTCCTGAAGGAAGCACTAAACATGGAAAGGAACAACTTGTACCAGCCCACTGCAAAAACATACCAAATTGTAAAGACCATCGATGCTATGAAAAAAACTGCATCAACTAACAGGCAAAATAACCAGCTAGCGTCATAATGACAGTATCAAATTCAAACATAACAATATTAACCTTAAATGTAAATGGGCTAAATGCCCCAATTAAAAGACACAGACTGGCAAATTGGATATAGAGTCAAGACCCATTGGAGTGCTGTATTAAGGAGACCCATCTCACATGCAAAGACACACATAGGCTCAAAATTAAGGGATGGAGGAATATTTACCAAGCAAATGGAAAGCAAAAAAAAAAAAAAGCAGGAATTGCAATCCTAATCTCTTATAAAACAGACTTTAAACCCAAAAAGATCAAAAGAGACAAGGGCATTACATAACGGTAAAGGGATCAATGCAACAAGAAGACCTAACAATCCTAAACATATATGCACACAACACAGGAGCACCCAGATTCATAAAGCAAGTTCTTAGAGACCAAAAAAGAGACTTAGACACCCACACAATAATAGTGGGAAGCTTTAACACCCCACTGTCAATATTAGATCAATGAGACAGAAAATTAACAAGGATATTCAGGACTTGAACTCAGCTCTGCACTAAGCGGACCTAATAGAAACCTACAGAACTCTCCACCCCAAATCAACAGAATATACATTCTTCTCAGCACCAAACAGCACTTATTCTAAAATTGACCACATAATTGGAAGTAAAACACTCTGCAGCAAATACATAAGAACAGAAATAATAACAGTCTGTCAGACCACAGTACAATCAAATTAGAACTCAGGACTAAGAAACTCACTCAAAACCACACAACTACATGGAAACAGAACAACCTGCTCCTGAATGAATACTGAGTAAATAATTAAATGAAGGCAGAAATAAAGATGTTCTTTGAAAGCAATGAGAATGAAGACACAACATACCAGAATCTCTGGGACACATTTAAAGCAGTATGTAGAGGGAAAGTTATAGCCCTAAATGCCCACAAGAGAAAGCAGGAAAGATCTAAAATTGACACCCTAACATCACAATTAAAAGACCTAGAGAAGCAACAGCAAACACATTCAAAAGCTAGCAGAAGACAAGAAATAACTAAGATCACAGCAGAACTGAAGGAGATAGAGACACAAAAAACCCTTCAAAAAATCAATGAATCCAGGAGCTGGTTTTTTGAAAAGATCAACGAAATTGATATACTGCTAGCTAGACTAATTAAGAAGAAAAGAGAAGAATCAAATAGACACAATAAAAAATGATATAGGTGACATCACCACTGATCCCACAGAAATACAAACTACCATGAGAGAAGACTATAAACACCTCTACACAAATAAACTAGAAAATCTAGAAGAAATGGATAAGTTTCTGGAAGCATACACCCTCCCAAGTCTAAACCAGGAAGAAGTCAAATCCCTGAATAGACCAATAACAAGTTCTGAAATTGAGGCAGTAATTAATAGCCTACCAACCAAAAAAAAATCCAGGAACAGGTGAATTCACAGCTGAATTCTACCAGAGGTACAAAGAGGAGCTGGTACCATTCTTTTTGAAACTATTCCAATCGATAGAAAAAGAGGCAATCCTCCCTAATGCATTTTATGAGGCCAGCATCATCCTGATACCAAAACCTGGCAAAGATACAACAACTAAAAAATTCAGGCCAATGTCCCTGATGAACATCAATGCAAAAATCCTCAATAAAATACTGGAAAACCAAATCCAGCAGCACGTCAAAAAGCTTATCCACCATGATCAAGTCAGCTTCATACCTGGGATGCAAGGTTGGTTCAACATATGCAAATCAATAAACGTAATCCATGGTATAAACAGAACCAATGACAAAAACCACATGATTATCTCAATAGATACAGAAAGGCCTTTGACAAAATTCAACATCCCTTCATGCTAAAAACTCTCAATAAACTAGGTGTTGATGGAATGCGTCTCAAAATAATAAGAGCTATTTATGACAAACCCACAGCCAATATCATACTGAATGGGCAAAAACTGGAATCATTCCTTTTGAAAACTGGCACAAGACAAGGATGCCTTCTCTCACCACTCCTATTCATCATAGTATTGGAAGTTCTGGCCAGGGCAGTCAGGCAAGAGAAAGAAATAATGGTATTCAGTGAGGAAAAGAGGAAGTCAAATTGTCTCTGTTTGCAGATGACATGATTGTATATTTAGAAAACCCCATTGTCTCAGCCCCAAATCTCCTTAAGCTGATAAGCAACTTCAGCAAAGTCTCAGGATACAAAATCAATGTGCAAAAATCACAAGCATTCTTATACACCAATAATAGACAAACAGAGAGACAAATCATGAGTGGACTCCCATTCAGAATTGCTATGAAGAGAATAAAATACCTAGGAATCCAACTTACAAGGGATGTAAAGGACCTCTTCAAGGAGAACTACAAACCACTGCTCAACGAAATAAGAAAGGACTCAAACAAATGGAAGACCATTCCATGCTCATAGATAGGAAGAATCAATATTGTGAAAATGGCCATTCTGCCCAAAGTAATTTATAGATTCAATACTATCCCCATCAAGCTACCATTGACTTTCTTCACATAATTGGAAAAAACTACTTTAAACTTCAAATGGAACCAAAAAAGAGGCCGCATAGCCAAGACAATCCTAAGCCAAAAGAACAAAGCTGGAGGCATCACGCTACCTAACTTCAAACTATACCTCAAGGCTATAGTAACCAAAACAGCATGGTACTGGTACCAAAACAGATATATAGACAAATGAAACAGAACAGAGGTTTCAGAAATAGCACCAAACATCTACAGCCATCTGATCTTTGACAAACCTGACACAAACAAGCAATGGAGAAAAGATTCCCTATTTAATAAATGGTGTTGGGAAAACTGGCTAGCCATATGCAGAAAATTGAAACTGTACCCTTTCTTTACACCTCATACAAAAATCAACTCAAAATGGATTAAAGACTTAAATGTAAGACATAAAACCATAAAAATCCTAGAAGAAAACCTAGGCAATACCATTCAGGACATAGGCATGGGCAAAGAATTCATGTCTAAAACACCAAAAGCAATGGCAACAAAAGCCAAAATTGACTAATGGGATCTAATTAAACTAAAGAGCTTCTGCACAGCAAAAGAAACTGTCATCAGAGTGAACAGGCAACCTATAGAATGGCAGAAAAATTTTGCAATCTATCCATCTGACAAAGGGCTAATGTCCAGAATCTACAAAGAGCTTAAACAAATGTACAAGAAAAAAACAACCCCATCAAAAAGTGGGCAAAGGATATAAACAGACACATCTCAAAAGAAGACATTTATGCAGCCAACAAACATATGAAAAAATGCTCATCATCACTGGTCATCAGAGAAATGCAAATCAAAACCACAATGAGATACCATCTCAGACCAGTTAGAATGGTGATCATTAAAAAGTCAGAAACAGTAGATGTTGGAGAGGATGTGGAGAAATAGGAACACTTTTACACTGTTGGTGGGAGTGTAAATTAGTTCAAACTTTGTGGAAGACAGTGTAGTGATTCCTCAAGCATCTAGAACTTAGAAATACCATTTGACCCAACAATTTCATTACTGGGTATATACCCAAAAGATTATAAATCATTTTACTATAAAGACACATGCACACATATGTTTATTGTGGCACTATTCACAATAGCAAAGACCAACCCAAATGTCCATCAGTGACAGACTTGATAAAGAAAATGTGGCACATATACACCATGGAATACTATGCAGCCATATAAAAGGATGAATTTATGCCCTTTGCAGGGACATGGATGAAGCTGGAAACCATCATTCTCAGCAAATTCTCACAAGAACAGAAAACCAAACACCACTTTTTCTCACTCATAAGTGGGAGTTGAACAATGAGAACACATGGACACAGGGAGGGGAATATCACACACAGGGGTCTGTCAGAGGGTTGAGGGACAGAGGAAGGATAGCATTAGGAGAAATACCTAATGTAGGTGATGGGTTGATGGGTGCAGCAAACCACCATGGCATGTGTATACCTATGTAACAAACCTCCAAGTTCTGCACATGTACCCCAGAACTTAAAGTATAATAAAAATTAATTAATTAAAATAATAATAACTGCAACAATTTAAAAACGTTTATTGGCCAGGCAGTATGGCCCACACCTGTAATCCCAGCACTGTGGGAGGCCAAGGAACGAGGATCCCTTAAAGCCAGGAGTTCTAGACCTCAATACCAGCCTGGGCAACACAGCGAGACTCCCCCTCTACAAAAAATTAAATAATTGGTCAGGCATGTTGGCCCATGCCCATAGCCCCAGCTACTCAGGAGGCTGAGGAAGGAGGATCGCTTGAGCCCAGGAATTCGAAGTTGCTCTGTGCTATGATTATGCCACTGCGCTCCAGCCTGGGCAACAGAATGAGATTCTGCTCTAAAATCAATCAATCAATATTCAATGAGTTCCTATCACACTTGGAATAAAAGTCCTCATTCCTTACCTGAGCCCTTCAAAGCCTTTCAAAAACTGCCTGTGCCCACCTCTAAGACCAATCCCACACCATATAATCATCATACATTCAATTCCCTCTGGCTGAGTACTCTTCCTGCTGGTCCCCTCGTGGCTTCTTCTACTTCTGCTCACAGCCTCACCTGGTCACTTTCTATCACTTCCTGTCAGCCTATTTTTTAAAATATATTTTGTTTTCTTGTTGTCTTGTTATCTAACTTCTCTACTATACTTATATATGGCAGTATGTAGAGCCTAAAGACCACTGGCATACATTATGTACTCAATAAATATTTGTTGATGAAATATTTAAGTGAGGAGGTTGCCTACTAAGGAAAGCTTAATAATGACCTGAAACCAACATTATAAATTTTCTTAGCAAAACCAAGGAGTTATTTTATTTGCTCATTTATTTGGCATAGAGTGTCAGATGAAGGGGATCAGGCTAGTAACAGAGATTGGGGAAATAAAAATGTTCTGAAGTCTTAGTGTGGAAAGGGAACGAGAAATAAAATTTTCTAGCTGGGGAAAGATATAAGTATTTTATTCTGTCATATGTATGGAGAAATAATGACTTAACTATGGCTATTTGAAGTAGTAGGATGAAACTTTAGATAAAAGCCTCTAAGGAAAAAAAATAGCTACCCACTAATTACAAACATATAGTAGATCTTTTAAGATACCAGAAAGATTTTAAAAATTAAAAGCATGGTCAATGCAAACAAAAGCACAGAGAGAAAAAAGATGATTTTAAACAAAGCATGATAAATAATAAACATTAAATAAGGTGAAATGAATAAAACAAAAACACAATAAATATTAATGAATTAAACTTCCCTAACAGGAGAGTGTAAGTTTGATATTTACAAAATCTTAACCATATGCTATTTATAGAGAGGACAAAGAAAGGCTGAAATAAAAATTAAGATAAATGTGAAAGGTTTAAGACTGCTGTGAAGATGTTTCAGGAACATTCCATTGCTCTCAAATTTGCAAACACATATCCAAAGAATTGGGGACAGTGAAATGGTGGCTTTTAGCCCACTGGAAAGGGATTATACTACTCAACCTGCCTATAGCACTTGCAGTTCCAAGAATACACCACACTCTCCTGCCTCAACCTTGCCCAGGTTGTTTATCTTCCTAGAACAGCCTCTCTTCCCTCCTCCTTTTCCCTGATTCCTAGTAGACCCTTTGTTTAGAAGTTCCCCTCCCATGAAGACTTCCCTGATTCCTAAATATGGAAGCCATCCAATAGACTCCATAACATCTTGTGCTTATCCCTACTGTAGCACTTGTCACACCGACTCATAATTGCCTATTTACTTGACCGTCTCTCTATATACCTATACATTCCTGGGAAGAGGGAATGTGTCATGTTCACTTGCATATCCCCAAGGTCCAACCAAAGAGTAGCTACTTAATAAATATTTGTTGAGAGGTGAGTATGATTTTCTCTCACCCATGACTTCTTTTAAAATCTTTAATGCAATTTCTGTCCTAGGAGGATGTAGGAGACACCTTAAAGTTTACCAGACACAGCCTCCTATTTAGGACTTGAATTCCCTGCAGTCACCTACACCAGGTAGTTATTTAGCCTCTGCTTAGAGCCTCTAATGATGAGAAGCTCATTCCTATGAAAAGAGAATTTTGAAATCTTTGAGTTCCTCTAACTATAGGAAACATGGTTTAGAGTTTACACTGCCTGCCTGTATCAGATTGTTAAAGACTCTCACTGTAGTTACCTTTACTTTTACTCTTTCATTCTGGATGTTTCCTTCCTTAGCCATACATATTTGATTGGGGTAGATGATTTAGGTAAATAATGTTGAGTAGTAAGGAAGGAGGAAAAAAGCAAGGCAAGAAAAAAGAGGAAATGATCTTAAAAGTAGCTATAATGCCATTTTAATTTGAAATTTCTTAACAAAAGAATCTGTAATTTATATTGGGCAAATACAAATCAGAGGGCTACTGGTTCTAGGTAAGATGATGTAAACATACTCCACCCTGTCTCTCAGTAAATGCAGCTATGAAATCTGGAAAGAATGCATGAAGTGGCCACTTGGCCCAGAGAAGTTGCATCCCCATGAAAGGTTTAAAAGAGACCCTTAGGATCTCTAGCCAGATTGGTTGGTAAAGGTGTTTTCAACATGAAGCCAGTTCATAAATACTGGGAGAGGTAGCTATTTTTTTCAAATGCAAAAATGATAATAAAATAAACAAAGCATAAAAAGAATCAGGGAAACATGGCCCAATCAAAGAATCAAAATAAATCTCTAGAAACCAACCCTAAAGAAACACAGAACCATGAATTACCCAACAAAGAATTGAAAACAATCATCTTGAGGAAGCTCAATGTATTACAAGGGAACATCGACAATTAAAACCAGAAAAATGCCAGATCAACAAAATGAGAATAACAACAAAGAGAGGGAAACTGTAGAAAAGTGCCAAACAAAAATTCTGGAGTTGAAGAATCCAACAACTAAATTGAAAAATTCCCTGAAGGGAAATCAAGAAAGAATCATCAAAACAGGTCATTTGAAATTATTAAGTCAGAGGAACCAAAAAATAATAATAATGAGGAAAATTGAAGAAAGCCTAAGCATTAAGCAGACCAATCGACATATTATGGGCAACTCAGAAGGATAAGACAGAAAAAGAATGGGTAGAAAGCTGATTTTAAGAAATAATGGCCAAAAATGTCCCGAATCTGAGGAAGAAAATGGACATCTAAATTCAAGAAACTCAACACTAGGATGAACCCAAAGAGGCTCACACTAAGACATATTATAATCAAACTGTCAAGAGTTAAAGACAAAGAATCTTGAAAGCAGAAAAAGAAAAGTGATTTGTAACAAACAAGGAGAGCTTTCATAGATTTCTCAGTACAACATTACAAACGAGAAAGGAGTGCACTGATATATTCAAAAACCTGAAAGAAAAACAACTGCTGGCCAGGCGTGGTGGCTCACGCCTGTAATGCCAGCACTTTGGGAGGCTGAGGCGGGAAGATCACGAGGTCAGGAGATCGAGACCTAACATGGTGAAACCCTGTCTCTACTAAAAATACAAAAAATTAGCTGGCATGGTGGCGGGTGCCTGTAGTCCCAGCTACTCGGGAGGCTGAGGCAGGAGAATGGCATGAACCTGGGAGGTGAAGCTTGCAGTGAGCCGAGATCGTGCCACTGCACTCCAGCCTGGGTGACAGAGTGAGACTCCATCTCAAAAAAAAACAAAAAACAAACAAACAAAAAAAACAAAAACAAAACAAAGAAAAAGAACTGCCAACCAAGAATACTATCTCTAGCAAAAATGTCCTCCAAAAATGAAGGAGAAATAAAGTTCTTCCTGAATAAACAAAAGCTGAGGAAATGTATCACCACTAAACCTGCCTTACAAGAATTGTAAAAGACAGCCCTTCAAGTTGAAGTGAAAGAATGCTAGTAGCAACATGAAGGTATATGAAAATATAAAGCCTTTGGTAAAGGTAAATATGTAAACAAATACAGAATTCTGTAAATACTATAGTGATCGTGCATAAATCATTCTCAATTCAGATACAGAGTTTAAAATACAAAAGCATAAGAAACAGCTACAACTATAAAACTATGTGTTTCCATCCATTTTGTGGTACTATAACAAAATATCTGAGACTGGGTAATTTATAATGAACAGAAATTTTGGCAGCTCACAGTTCTGAAAGCTGGGAAGTCCAATATCAAGGTGCCAGCATCCAAAAAGGGCCTTCTTGCTGCGTCATCCCTTGGCAGAAAGTAACAGAGTGAGAGGGGGCAAGAGAGAGCAAGAGGGGGCCAAAATCACCCTATCATAACAGCACCAATTCCACCCATGAGTGCAGAGCCCTCATAGTCTAATCACCTCTTAAAAGTCCCACCTCTTAATACTATTACAATGGCAATTAAGTTTTAACATGAGTTTTGGAGGGGACAAACATTTAACCATAGCGCTATGGTAATAAATACCAAATATAAAAACATAATTTGTGACACTGATAACGTTAAGTGAGGAGAGGTAAAGAAGCACAGATGTGTATGCAATTGAAGCTATTGTTATAAGATATTTTATGTAATTCTCATCATAACCACAAGGAAAATATCTATAGAAGATGCACAAAAGAAAATGAGAAAGGAATCAAAGCATGTCGCTATTAAAAATTCAACAAAACACAAAGGAAGGCAGCAAGAGAGAAAAAGGGGAACAAAATAACTACAAGACATATAGGAAACTATGAACAAAGTGGCAATAGTAAATCATTATCATTTCCTAACAATAATTACTTTAAATGTAAAGTAATTAAACTATCCAATCAAAAGGAATAGAGTGGCTGAATGGATTTTTAAAAATCAAAATTCAACTATATGTTGTCTACCAGAGACTCATTTTAGAAATAAAGACATTCTCCACTTTCAATAATGGGTAGATCAACCAAATAGATGACCAACAAGGAAAGAGAGGACTTGATTGACACTATAGACCAATTAGACCTAACAGACATAAACAGAACATTCCACCCAACAGCAGCAGAATACACACCCTTTTCCAGAATAGATTATCTGTTAGGTCATGGGATAAGTCTTAACAAATTTAAGATTGAAATTATACCAAGACTCTTTTCCAACCACAATGTAGTAAAACTAAGAAATCAATAGCAAAAGGCAAAATGGAAAATCCAAAATATGTGGAAATGAAACAACACATACTTTAACAACAAATGGGTCAAGGAAGAAATCACAAGGGAAATTAGAAAATATCTTCAGACAAATTAAAACAAAGACACAACATCTCAAAAATTATGAAATACATCAAAGGCAATAGTAAAAGAAATTAATAACAGTAAACACCTAAAGTTAAAAAGAAGAGTGATCTCAAACTAACAACCTAACTTTACATCTCAATCTACTAGAAAAAAAAAAGAACAAACTAAACCCAAAGTTAGTAGAAGGATAGAAATAATAAAGATTAGTTAGAGCCAAAAAGCTTCCAATGAAAAAAGCCCAGAACCTGATGGCTTCACTGGAGAATTCCACCAAACTTTAAAGAAGAATTAACACCAGTCCTTCTCAAATTATTCCCAAAAATTGAAAAGAAGGGAACACTTCCAAATTCAATCAATGAAGTCAGCATTACCCTGATACCAAAATCAGACAAAGATGCTATAGGAAAACTAAAGATCAATATTCCTATTGACTATTGATGCAAAAATCCTCAGCAAATATGAGCACAATAAATTCAACAACACATTAAAAGGATAATACATCATAACCAAAGGTGACTTATTCTTGAAATGCAAGGACAGCTCAGTATATGGAAATTAATGTAATACATTACACTAACAGAATGAAGGATAAAAATCATCTGAATAAATACAAAAAAGCATTTGAAAAAATTCAACACAATTTTTTTATTTTAAAAAACCAACAAACTAGAAATAGAAGAAATTACCTCAACATACTAAAGGCCATATAGGAAAAGGCCATAATAACATCATACTCAATGGTGAAAATCTGAATTTTCTGTTTAAGATCAGGAACAAGGCAAAGACACCCTTTGACACCCTTTCTTGCCACTTCTATTCAACATAATCCTGGAAGTCCTAGTCAGAACAATCAGGCAAGATAAAGAAATAAAATGCATCCAAATAGGAAAGAAATAAGAAAAATTTTCCCTGTTTGCAGATGACAGGATCTTAGATGTAGAAAACTATAAAGATTACACAAAAAACTTAGACCTAGTAAACAAATTCAGCAAAGTAGCGTATGAAATCAACAGACAAAAGCCAGCTGCATTTCTATACATAGTGAACAATCTGAATAGGAAATTTACAAATGATCCCGTCTACAATAGCATCAAAAAGAATAAAATAGGGATAAAAACCAAGAAGTCTAAAGATTTGTACACAGAAAACTACAAAACATTACTGAAAGATATCGAGGAAGATAGAAACAAATAGAAAGACATACTGTGTTCAATGGATTGGAAGACTTAATATTGTCAAAATATCCATACTATCGACAGCAATCTACAGATTCAACACATTTTCATCAAAATATCAATGGCACTTTTGCAGAAATAGAAAAAAATCCTAATATTCATATGGAATCTCAACCCTGAAGAGCCAAACCAATCTTGAGAAAGAAATACAAAGCTGGAAGCCTCCCACTTCCTGATTTCAAAACATATTATAAAGCTACAATATGGTACTGGCATTAAGATAGACATGTACACCAAAGGACAGAATAGAAAACCCAGAAATAAATGCTCATGTATATGGTCAAATGATCTTCAACAAAGGTGCCAAGGCTACACAATGGGGAAAAGATAGTCTCTTCAACAAATGATGTTGGTAAAACTTAATATCCACATAACAAATGAAAGAAGTTGGACCCTTACCTTACACCATATGCAAAAATTAAGATGGATTCAAGTCCTCAATATATAACCTGAAAACTGTAAAAATCCTAGAAGAAAACAATGAAAGGCTGCATAACATTGGATTGGCAATGATTTCTTGGCTATGTCATCAACAGCACAGACAACAAAAGCACAAATGCACAAATGGGAGTACATCAAACTGAAAAATTCCTGCAAAGCAAAAAAGCAACCACCAGAGGGAAAAGTCAACCTATGTAATGGCAAAAAATATTTGCAAACCATATCTGCTAATGAGTTAATGTCCTGAATATATAAAGAACTTCCGCAACTCAAAACACACAAAACAAACAACTCAAAATGGGCAAAAGACTTGGATTGACATTTCTCTGAAGAAGATATACAAATGGCCAACAAGAATATGAAGAATCCCCAAATCACTAATTGCTGTGATTTGAATGTATCACCTCTAAAATTCAAATGTTGCCAGTGTGACAGTGGGGGATGGGTGGGTCTAAGAGGTGATTAGACCATGAGGGCTCCTCCCTCATGAATGAAATTAGGGAAAAGCTTGAGGGAGAGGGTTCATCCATGTTTCCCCTTCCAGCTTCTGGCATGTGAGGACACAGCATTCTTTTTTTTTTTTTTTAGAACAAAATATGAAAATTTTGTGAATTTAGATTTTTTTTATTATACTTTAAGTTTTAGGGTACATGTGCACAATGTGCAGGTTTGTTACATATGTATACATGTGCCATGTTGATGTGCTGCACCCATTAACTCGTCATTTACATTAGGTATATCTCCTAATGCTATCCCTCCCCCCTCCCCCCACCCCACTACAGGCCCTGGTGTGTAATATTCCCTTCCTGTGTCCATGTGTTCTCATTGTTCAATTCCCACCTATGAGTGAGAACATGCGGTGTTTGGTTTTTTGTCCTTGCAATAGTTTGCTGAGAATGATGGTTTCCAACTTCATCCATGTCCCTACAAAGGACATGAACTCATCCTTTTTTATGGCTGCATAGTATTCCATGGTGTATATGTGCCACATTTTCTTAATCCAGTCTATCATTGATGGACATTTGGGTTGGTTTCAAGTCTTTGCTATTGTGAATAGTGCCGCAATAAACATACATGTGCATATGTCTTTATAGCAGCATGATTTATAATCCTTTGGGTATATACCCAGTAATGGGATGGCTGGGTCTAATGGTATTTCTAGTTCTAGATCTCTGAGGAATCGCCACACTGACTTCCACAATGGTTGAACTAGTTTATAGTCCCACCAACAGTGTAAAAGTGTTCCTATTTCTCCACATCCTCTCCAGCACCTGTTGTTTCCTGACTTTTTAATGATCGCCATTCTAACTGGTGTGAGATGGTATCTCATTGTGGTTTTGATTTGCATTTCTCTGATGGCCAGTGATGATGAGCAGTTTTTCACGTGTCTTTTGGCTGCGTAAATGTCTTCTTTTGAGAAGTGTCTGTTCATATCCTTTGCCCACTTTTTGATGGGGTTGTTTGTTTTTTTCTTGTAAATTTGTTTGAGTTCTTTGTAGATTCTAGATATTAGCCCTTTGTCAGATGAGTAGATTGCAAAAATTTTCTCCCATTTTGTAGGTTGCCTGTTCACTCTGATGGTAGTTTCTTTTGCTGTGCAGAAGCTCTTTAGTTTAATTAGATCCCATTTGTCAATTTTGGCTTTTGTAGCCATTGCTTTTGGTGTTTTAGTCATGAAGTCCTTGCCCATGCCTATGTCCTGAATGGTATTGCCTAGGTTTTCTTCTAGGGTTTTTATGGTTTTAAGTCTAACATATAAGTCTTCAATCCATCTTAAATTAATTTTTATATAAGGTGTAAGGAAGGGATCCAGTTTCAGCTTTCTACATATGGCTAGCCAGTTTTCCCAGCACCATTTATTAAATAGGGAATCCTTTCCCCATTTCTTGTTTTTGTCAGGTTTGTCAAAGATCAGATAGTTGTAGATATGTGGCATTATTTCTGAGGCCTCTGTTCTGTTCCATTGGTCTATATCTCTGTTTTGGTACCAGTACCATGCTGTTTGGGTTACTGTAGCCTTGTAGTATAGTTTGAAGTCAGGTAGCGTGATGCCTCCAGCTTTGTTCTTTTGGCTTAGGATTGACTTGGCAATGTGGGCTCTTTTTTGGTTCCATATGAACTTTAAAGTCGTTTTTTCCAATTCTGTGAAGAAAGTCATTGGTAGCTTGATGGGGATGGCACTCAATCTATAAATTACCTTGGGCAGTATGGCCATTTTCACAATATTGATTCTTCCTACCCATGAGCATGGAATGTTGTTCCATTTGTTTGTATCATCTTTTATTTCGTTGAACAGTGGTTTGTAGTTCTCCTTGAAGAGGTCCTTCACATCCCTTGTAAGTTGGATTCCTAGGTATTTTATTCTGTTTGAAGCAATTGTGAATGGGAGTTCACTCATGATTTGGCTCTCTGTTTGTCTGTTGTTGGTGTATAAGAATGCTTGTGATTTTTGCAAATTGATTTTCTATCCTGAGACTTTGCTGAAGTTGCTTATCAGTTTAAGGAGATTTTGGGCTGAGACGATGGGGTTTTCTAGATATACAATCATGTCATCTGCAAAGAGGAACAATTTGAGTTCCTTTTTTCCTCATTGAATACCCTTTATTTCTTTCTCCTGCCTGATTGCCCTGGCCAGAGCTTCCAACACTATGTTGACTAGGAGTGGTGAAAGAGAGCATCCCTGTCTTGAGCCAGTTTTCAAAGGGAATGCTTCCAGTTTTTGCCCATTCAGTATGATATTGGCTGTGAGTTTGTCATAGATACCTCTTATTATTTTGAGATACGTCCCATCAATACCTAATTTATTGAGAGTTTTTAGCGTGAAGGGCTGTTGAATTTTGCCAAAGGCCTTTTCTGCAACTATTGAGATAATCATGTGGGTTTTTCGTTGGTCCTGTTTATATGCTGGATTATGTTTATTGATTTTCATATGTTGAACCACCCTTGCATCCCAGGGGTGAAGCCCACTTGATCATGGTGGATAAGCTTTTTGATGTGCTGCTGGATTTGGTTTGCCAGTATCTTATTGAGGACTTTTGCATCAATGTTCATCAGGGATATTGGTCTAAAATTCTCTTTTTTTGTTGTGTCTCTGCCAGGTTTTGGTATCAGGATGATGCTGGCCTCATAAAATGAGTTAGGGAGGATTCCCTCTTTTTCTGTTGATTGGAATAGTTTCAGAAGGAATTTTACCAGCTCCTCCTTGTACCTCTGTTAGAATTTGGCTGTGAATCCATCTGGTCCTGGGCTTTTTTTGGTTGGTAAGCTATTAATTATTGCCTCAATTTCAGAGCCTGTTATTGGTCTATTCAGAGATTCAACTTCTTCCTGGTTTAGTCTTGGGAGGGTGTATGTGTCGAAGAGTTTATCCATTTCTTCTAGATTTTTGAGTTTATTTGCATAGAGGTGTTTATAGTATTCTCTGATGGTAGTTTGTGTTTCTGTGGGATCAGTGATGATATCCCCTTTATCATTTTTTATTGCGTCTATTTGATTCTTCTCTCTTTTTTTCTTTATTAGTCTTGCTAGCGGTCTATCAATTTTGTGGATCTTTTCAAAAAACCAGCTCCTGGATTCATTGATTTTTTTAAGGGTTTTTTGTGTCTCTATCTCCTTCAGTTCTGCTCTGATCTTAGTTATATCTTGCCTTCTGCCAGCTTTTGAATGTGTTTGCTGTTGCTTCTGTAGTTCTTTTAATTGTGACGTTAGGGTGTCAATTTTAGATCTTTCCTGCTTTCTCTTGTGGGCATTTAGTGCTATAAATTTCCCTCTAAACACTGCTTTGAATGTGTCCCAGAGACTCTGGTATGTTGTGTCTTTGTTCTCGTTGGTTTCAACGAACATCTTCATTTCTGCCTGCATTTCGTTATGTACCCAGTAGTCATTCAGGAGCAGATTGTTCAGTTTCCATGTAGTTGTGCGGTTTTGAGTGAATTTCCTAATCCTGAGTTCTAGTTTGATTGCACTGTGGTCTGAGAGACAATTTGTTATAATTTCTGTTCTTTTACATTTGCTGAAGAGTGCTTTACTTCCAACTATGTGGTCAATTTTGGAATAAGCATGGTGTGGTGCTGAGAAGAATGTATATTCTGTTGATTTGGGGTGGAGAGTTCTGTAGATGTCTGTTAGGTCCACTTGGTGCAGAGCTGAGTTCAATTCCTGGATATCCTTGTTAACATTCTGTCTCGTTGATCTTTCTAATGTTGACGGTGGGGTGTTAAAGTCTCCCATTATTATTGTGTGGGAGTCTAAGTCTCTTTGTAGGTCACTCAGGACTTGCTTTATGAATCTTGGTGCTCCTGTATTGGGTGCATATATATTTAGGATAGTTAGCTCTTCTTGTTGAATTGATCCCTTTACCATTATGTAATGGCCTTCTTTGTCTCTTTTGATCTTTGTTGGTTTAAAGTCTGTTTTATCAGAGACTAGGATTGCAACCCCTACCTTTTTTTGTTTTCTATTTGCTTGGTAGATCTTCCTCCATCCTTTTATTTTGAGCCTATGTGTGTCTCTGCACGTGAGATGGGTTTCCTGAATACAGCACACTGATGGGTCTTGACTCTTTATCCAATTTGCCAGTCTGTGTCTTTTATTTGGAGCATTTAGTCCATTTACATTTAAAGTTAATATTGTTATGTGTGAATTTGATCCTGTCATTATGATGTTAGCTGGTGATTTTGCTCGTTAGTTGATGCAGTTTCTTCCTAGTCTCGATGGTCTTTACATTTTGGCATGATTTTGCAGCAGCTGGTATCGGTTGTTTCTTTCCATGTTTAGCGCTTCCTTCAGGAGCTCTTTTAGGACAGGCCTGGTGGTGACAAAATCTCTCAGCATTTGCTTGTCTGTAAAGGATTTTATTTCTCCTTCACTTATGAAGCTTAGTTTGGCTGGATATGAAATTCTCAGTTGAAAATTCTTTTCTTGAAGAATGTTGAATATTGGCCCCCACTCTCTTCTGGCTTGTAGAGTTTCTGCCGAGAGATCAGCTGTTAGTCTGATGGGCTTCCCTTTGTGGGTAACCTGACCTTTCTCTCTGGCTGCCCTTAACATTTTTTCCTTCATTTCAACTTTGGTGAATCTGACAATTATGTGTCTTGGAGTTGCTCTTCTCGAGGAGTATCTTTGTGGCATTCTCTGTATTTCCTGAATCTCAATGTTGGCCTGCCTTGCTAGATTGGGGAAGTTCTCCTGGATAATATCCTGCAGAGTGTTTTCCAACTTGGTTCCATTCTCCCTGTCACTTTCAGGTACACCAATCAGATGTAGATTTAGTCTTTTCACATAGTCCCATATTTCTTGGAGGCTTTGTTCATTTCTTTTTATTCTTTTTTCTCTAAATTTCTCTTCTCACTTCATTTCATTCATTTCATCTTCCACCACTGATACCCTTTCTTCCAGTTGATCGCATCGACTACTGAGGCTTGTGCATTCATCACGTAGTTCTCGTGCCATGGTTTTCAGCTCCATCAGGTCCTTTAAGGACTTCTCTGCATTGGTTATTCTAGTTAGCCATTCATCTAATTTTTTTTCAATGTTTTTAACTTCTTTGCCATGGGTTCGAACTTCCTCCTTTAGCTCAGAGTAGTTTGATCATCTGAAGCCTTCTTCTCTCAACTCGTCAAAGTCATTCTCCGTCCAGGTTTGTTCCATTGCTGGTGAGGAGCTGCGTTCCTTTGGAGGAGGAGAGGCACTCTGATTTTTAGAGTTTCCAGTTTTTCTGCTCTGTTTTTTCCCCATCTTTGTGGTTTTATCTACCTTTGGTCTTTGATGATGGTGATGTACAGATGGGGTTTTGGTGTGGATGTCCTTTCTGTTTGTTAGTTTTCCTTCTAACAGTCAGGACTCTCAGCTGCAGGTCTGTTGGAGTTTGCCGGAGGTCCACTCCAGACCCTGTTTGCCTGGGTATCAGCAGCAGAGTCTGCAGAACAGCGAATATTGGTGAATAGCAAATGTTGCTGCCTGATCATTCCTCTGGAAATTTTGTCTCAGAGGAGTACCCAGCCATGTAAGGTGTCAGTTTGCCCCTACTTGGGGGTGCCTCCCAGTTAGGCTACTTGGGGGTCAGGGACCCACTTGAGGAGGCAGTCTGTCTGTTCTCAGATCTCAAGCTGCGTGTTGGGAGAACCACTGCTGTCTTCCAAGCTGTCAGACAGGGACACTTAAGTCTGCAGAGGTCTCTGCTTCCTTTTGTTCAGCTATGCCCTGCCCCCAGAGGTGGAGTCTACAGAGGCAGGCAGGCCTCCTTGAGCTGCGGTGGGCTCCACCCTGTTCGAGCTTCCTGGCTGCTTTGTTTACATACTCAAGCCTCAGCAATGGCAGGCGCCCCTCCCCCAACCTTGCTGCCACCTTGCAGTTTGATCTCAGACTGCTGTACTAGCAGTGAGCAAGATTCCATGGGTGTAGGACCCTCTGAGACAGGCATGGGATATAATCTCCTGGTGTGCCATTTGGTAAGACCGTCGGAAAAGTGCAGTATTAGGGTGGGAGTGACCTGATTTTCCAGGTGCCATCTGTCACCCCTTTCCTTGGCTAGGAAAGGGAATTCCCTGACCCCTTGCGCTTCCAGGGTGTGGCAATGCCTCACCCTGCTTCGGCTAATGCTCGGTGTGCTGCACCCACTGTCCTGCACCCACTATCTGACAATCCCCAGTGAGATGAACCCAGTACCTCAGTTGGAAATGCAGAAATCATTTGTCTTCCATGTCACTCACTCTGGGAGCTGTAGACTGGAGCTGTTCCTATTCGGCCATCTTGCACCTGAGACAGCATTCTTCTCCTCCAGAGGACATAGTTAAAGACTCCATCTTGGAAGCAGAGACCAGGCACCTGTTCATGCCTTCCCAGGCACTAGAGCTGTGAGAAATAAATTTCTGTTCTTTATCAAATATTCAGTCTATGGGATTTTTAGTAGCAGCCCAAAACAGACTAAGACACTAATCACTCAGGAGACTGGGACAGTGGCTTACGCCTGTATTTCCAACACTTTGGGAAGCCAAGACAGGAGGATCGCTTGAGCCCAGGTGTTCAAGACAAGCCTGGCCAACATAGTGAGACACCATCTTTACAAAAAATGAAAAATAAAATAAAATAAAATAAAAATTAGTCAGGCATGGTGGTGCATGCCTATAGTCCCAGCTACTCAACAGACTGAGTTGGGGGAATCACCTGATCCCAGGAGCTCAAGCCATGACTGTGCCACTGCACTCCAGCCTGGGTGACAGAGTAAGACCCAGTCTCAAAAGACAAAAAACCAAACCACAGTGTGATATCACCTTACGCTCATTAGGATATTTAGTATTAAAGAAAATAACAAGTGTTGGTGAGGATGTGGAGAATTTGGAAGTCATGCCTTGTTGGTGGGAATGTAAAATAGTTTCAGCTGCTAGGGAAATGGTATCAAGGCTCCTCAAAAAATTGAAAATAGAATTACCATATGATCCACCAACTGCACTTTTGGGAATATATCCAAAAGAATTGAAAAGAAGACCTCAAAGAGATATTTGCACTTCATGTCCATTGCAGTATTATTCACAATAGCTAACAGGCGAAAGCAACCTAAATGTCCATCAAACAGATGAATAAAGAAAATGTGACATATACATACAATGGAATATTATTCCACCTTAAAAGGAAGGAAATTCTGTCCTGTATGACCCTTGAGAACATTATGCTAAGTGAAATAAGCCAATCACAAAAGGTTAAATACTACATGATTCTACTTATATGAAATATCTAAAGTCATTAAACTCTTAGAAAACAGAATGGTGGTTTCCAGGGGCTGTGGGAATCAGGGAAAGGGAAATTGTCGTTCAGTGGCTATAGAGTATCACTGTTGCAAGCTGATAAATTTCAAGATATCCATTGCACTGAAATTCTAGAGATCTGTTGCACTAGCAATCTATGTGCATATAGTTAATATTATTGTACTGTACACTTAAAAAAAGGTCACCATGGTGAATTTTATGTGATGTGTTTTTAACAACAATAAAAAAATAATATGCACCTCAAAGGACAAAAGAGACATTATATAATGTATGTTTCTATTTACATAACATCTCAAAAAGGCAGAACTATGGGAGCAAAGAACATAAGTGATTGCCAGAGGCTTGGGGTAGGAAGAGGGATATGAAAGGAAGTGTTTTACAGATGGAACTCTTCTGTCACCTAAGTGTGGTGGTTACAGGAATCTAAACGTGTTCAAATTCATTCAGTTGTTGGCCCCCTAAAAAACTTCAGTCTTTCTGTCTGTTGATTTTTCAATAAAATCAATAAAAATTAAGTACAAAAATGTATGAATTTGTGCATATGATTTTATAACTGACATAAACATCTTAATAATTCTGTGTCTTATTGGTACTTAGGTCAGCAATTTATGTGCCTCCCATGAGAGAAATCATACAGTCATTTTAAGAGAACTATATAAAATAATGGCCATTTTAGCTTACATACCGCATTCAAATTGCTTTCTATGGCCTCCTTTCAACATTGTTCTTCCTTTACTCATGTTTTTTTCTCCTTTTAGTAACTTGCCATAAATTTGTTCTCATGCTAAACTATCATTTTATACTTTTCCTGATTAATGAAAAAAAGTTTATCATTTTATCTATTCACCTCTTCTAATCCTTTTCCTCGTATCATGTTTAACACCGCCCAGCTTGAAGTCACTTAAATATGTAATTATAGGGTTTTTTAAAATATGTCTTCTCGATTATTTATGAAGATGTTAAACAAAACTGAGTTTGACCTTAAACTCTGCCAGGTCTGCTAATCTAAACCAAGTTCGTTCATCCACATGCTACTTCATTTTAAACTGTACATTGTTTATAGTCCCAAGATTCATTTCATGGTATCAATAACCAAAGGCATGCATTTCCATTTCTCTAATGCATATGCTACCAAATGCTTACCCAAAAGTCCAGATGTTTTATGTCATTTTGTCTATTCATTTGATAATTTTATGAAAAATTTGATCTCACATCCTCTTACTGGCCACCTACGAGGATGCAAACAGCAGTGTGAGTCCATTAGAATCAGTTTGTTCTTAAGATTAGATAATAACTCAGTAAGTAAACAGAAGAAATGAGTAATAAAGTCAGATTCCTTATACAGATAAGCAGTTCTTCAGCTTGGAGTAACAACATGCCTTAAAAAAATGAAAGAAAGAAAAAACAGTAAGGCAGAGAAGTTTCTTATTATGAAAGAATGCTACACGGTTCACAGACACAGTCAGACATAAGTAAAGCCTATGATTAAAAGCCATAAAATAAATTCTGTGATAGATGACACAATGTGGTGTTTGGATGTAGAGACAAAGAAACAACAGAGAAATAGAAACAAAGCTGCACTTTAAAGAGAAATATGAAATGTGAAGACTTTGAGCTAGATTTATGTAATGATGAAAGAAAATCGTTGAAAAGAAAGAGCATTTGGACTCGTTAAATCCAGACATAAATAAAATGGTGTCCCAAATAAAATGGAGGAAGCTCAAAAATGACAAGCTAAAAAACTAAGAAGAAGCTGAAACAGGGAAATTAAAAAATAACTTCAATCTATATGGTGTCTAAAAGTCTGGTATACAAGGGAATATAGATAATATGGTCAAAGATGAAAAGGAAGGAAGTGAAATGAAATAACATAAAAACATGTTTCTATATGTGAGCTACGGGTAACTTGGCCAGGCGCGGTGGCTCACGCCTGTCACCTCAGCACTTTGGGAGGCCGAGGTGGGTGGATCACCAGGTCAGGAGATTGAGTCCATCCTGGCTAACATGGTGAAACCCCGTCTCTACTAAAAATACAAAAAATTAGCCGGGCATGGTGGCGGGCACCTGTAGTCCCAGCTACTCGGGAGGCTGAGGCAGGAGAATGGCGTGAACCCAGGAGGTGGAGCTTGCAGTGAGCCGAGATGGCGCCACTGCACTCCAGCCTGGGCAATAGAGTGAGACTCCATCTCAAAAAAAAAAAAAAGAGAGATGGGTAACCCAATTTATGGGAGGAGAATGGTAACATTTGTCACTAAAAAGGGTAAGTATGTCACGTGACTAGTGAATTACACCGGTCTGATTATGTAACCCTAACTGGATGACCTTCAAAGCCCTTTGCCAAAAAGACTCATCCTCTAGCACCATGACATCTATGCCTAATAACTATCTTATTCATTAAGATAAGGTGCCTCATTACTGCCCCACAACATCTTGCTGGAGAGTTAATAATACAGAGTATCTAATACCTAACACATAATAATGTTTACAAGTGCTAATTCTCTTACTTTTCAATTCCCTTTCCTGGGAGCCCTATCATTATGTACACACCATACTGAGATCATGCTGTGCTCATAACAGTTGTGTCTTTTTCCATATCCACTCTCTGAAATATCTTCTTGTCCCTTGCTTTTTATTTTTATTTTTATTTTTATTTTTATTCATTTTTTTTTGAGATGGAGTCTCACTCTGTTGCCAAAGCTGGAGTGCAATGGTGCAATCTCGGCTCACTGCAACATCTGCCTCCTGGGTTCAAGCAATTCTCCCACCTCAGCCTCCCGAGTAGCTGGGATTACAGGCACCCGCCATCATGCCTGGCTAATTTTTGTATTTTTGTGGAGATGAGATTTCCCCATGTTGGCCAGGCTGGTCTTGAACTCCTGACCTCAGGTGATCCGCCCACCTTGACCTCCCAAATTGCTGGGATTAAAGGCGCCAGCCACCACCCCTGGCCCTTGTACGTTGTTTTTAATTTGGAAAAATGTGATTCATCATAAAGGGCTATCTTCAATGTCAATCTTTTTACCTTGCCAGGCAGAAATGATCACTACTTCTTAACTGTTCCCATAGCACTCTGGTCCTATTGCCAGAATTTCACTTATTTCATGGTTGTCTCTCCCACTGACTCCAAGTTCCCTGAAGGCAGCAAAGGTGTCTGTACTCTGCATATCCAGCATTTAGCAAAGTTGATCATTGATTCGTTTCATTATTAAACACTAATTAAGCACTTATGTTCTAAGCAACATGATCATTGATTCGTTTCATTATTAAACACTAATAATGAAGCACTTGATTCATTTCATTATTAAACACTAATTAAGCACTTACTATGTTCTAAGCAACATAGATGCCAAGTGAAGAAGAAATAGTCACTGCTGTTAAAGAACTCCAGTCTACCTACATTCTGGTGAGAAAAGAATGAATGAGCCAGAGTCACTGTCCTCAGAGAACTCACATCCTAGCCAACAGAAGCTTCTGTAGAAGAATAACTTCAGGTCTGTAGATCATGATACAACAGTTTCTTACAGTATGTAGTAGTGAAACTCTAGACACCAAAGTTATAATGAGATGTGATTAGAAAAAAATGTAATTTGCATGAATTGTTTTTAAGATCAAATATTTTTAAAAAGAACAGATTTCCAGTTAATGAAATAAATACATTTGGATATGACAGAAAGGAAATGCCACTAATTGATATAATTTTCTATATTGATATCTATTTTATATGAGCTTTCAACATAAATTTCACGTTTTGATATTAAAGTAACATAGTATGCAATTTTATCACCTTCATAAAGAGGATTGTATTATTTCAGAATTGTGTGCTTCACTTTGCTTTTCTACACTCTTATTTAGAAATATTGCTATATTTCTGAAAAATATAAATCAGTGTTACATTTTAACTTTTAAAGTCATGAACAAAAAGCTTATTTTGTAAATTAGGACAATATTTAAGATAACTGCTTAGGGGTAGTAGAAATTCATCTTATATAGGTTGTGTTGCTCAAAGGCACATGGAGGTTTTCTTCACAAAAATGAAGAGGGCTGACATAATGTTTCAACTACAAATTGTACTCTCCTATTTAGTTTGCTTACAAGATGAGTATATAACTTTAATCTGCATTTATGGAATTAAAAAAATCTACACAATAAAGTTCTCTCGATTGCTTGTGGTTTTCAATTTAATGAAACTATTTGCAACTCTTGGATAGCTTTCTTCCACTGCACAATTCTCTTTATGTAACTTCTTCCAGCAAGCATGTGGACCGTGCTGAAAAGGAAGGCAAGCCATTCTGCATGCTGGACTACACCAGGCAAAGCACTATTCGAAAGAGCAATTTCCTGTTCCTGAAGAAAACTATGCAGTCATGCCTCCAAGATCCCACCCACTATTATGGTGGAGCCACTACAGTGGGTTCAGCTAAGTGGGATTGAGCAGAAAGAACATTGCAGGACAAGAGCACAATGGATACTATTCAGTCTTAAAAAAAAAGAAGGAAATCCTGTCATTTGCAACACATGGATGAACCTGGGGGACATATGTTAAGTGAAATAAGGCAGTCTCGAAGGTCAAATACCACATGATCTCACTTGTGTGGAATTTTAAAAAGTCAGACTCACAGAAGCAGAGAGTGAGATGGTGGTTACCAGAGGCTGAGGAGGGGAGAGGCTGAGAGATGGGGAGAAGTAGGTCAACAGGAAGAAAATTAAAGATAGATAGAAGGAGTAAGTTCAAGAGATCTAGTATGCAACATGGTGACTATACTAATAACAATGTATTGCATACTTGAAAATGCTTAGAGTAGATCATAAGTCTTCTAACTAGAAAAATGTATATGTGTAATGCATACGTTAATTAGCTTGATTTAGCCAAATTCTACAATGTATACATATATTAGAACATCATGTTCTGATAACACAAATATGTACAATTTTTATTTGTCAATTAAAAAAGGAAAAAAAACACTGGGTGAAAGATTAGGTAAGTGTGAGGACTAGGCCCTCATCAGACCCCAAATCTGCCAGCTCACTTGCTCTTGGACTTTCTAGCCTCTGGGACGATAAGTAACACATTTCCATTATTTATAAATTATCCAGCCTGTGGTATTTTGTTACAGCAGCAGGAACTAAGACAATAGAGAAAATCAGAAAGACCCAGAGATGTGTCAGCATAGTCCAGCCTCACTGGAGATTGGGGAGCATTGGTCAAGACATGATGGACTTACCATCACAGTGGTTATTTCTGGTGTTCAATACATCTGGAGACGTGGCTCCAAGTAGACTTCCACTGCTCCCTATTCTGGTGACTCCACTACATTCATGACACAGCTTCTCTCCATCGCTTCCTCTTCACTTCTACTCTCTGGGTATCTTGAACCCAAGTTCTCAGTGAGGAAGAACCTGACTGGGCTGGGTAATCCCATTTTAGTATGAAGAGCCCTTAATGACTGGTGTTTTGAAAATTTCCAGAGTCTAATTGATTGTGGCCAAAGCAACAGGACCAGATGGCCCAAAGCATGGCAACTTGTGCATAACCAACAGCTAGGGCCACTTTATCCCAAGACATTTACAAGTATGTCAGGTACCTAGAGTTTTACCGTCTGTCTAGTTCACTTGTATAGCTGGCTTTCATCCAATAACTGTGGCATTATTTATTTTACAGCAGGAACTATCCGGGATGCTAGGCTTTGAATTACTTAGTATAGACTGGAAGAAATACTATATTTGATTCAAGAACAAACCACATATTGCAGTACCCCAAGGGAACTGAATCTTTAGGATGACTCTGGTAGTAAAAATAATAACAGAAGAGTATTATAAAACAAGGTGTCAAAATAGAAAAATCTATCAAACTAGGTTCCATAAAAGGGGGTATTTTATTTTAAATCTAAGTCTTTGGAAAAGTAAAGATACAATTGACAGCATTAATACTGTAGTAAATATAAACTCTTGCTTAAGCCTATATCTGCAAGGGTGTGAAGGCACGATTTCTTACCAGACAGAAAAGTCTTATTAAATAAGCAGATCACAAATATACAAAGACCAAATTAAGTCACAGAACAGATGTTCGGGTTTTTGTGGTGGTGTTTTTTGTTAGTTAGTTTGTTTGTTTTGGCCTCAAGTTCCCTCCCAGTACTTAAAGGACGCATCAGAGAGGTGTTCGTTAATCTCATCTTTCTGTCTTTTTTTCTCTCAGCATTCTTACCCCTATCTCTTCCTCTCTCCATCTTCCAATTCCAGTCAATTGATTATTTTGGTTTTCTCCTCGAGAAGGCTAGAGGGGCAGCGTCTGTCCTTTGGGAGAGGATCTTAAGTCCCTTGGAGAAGGAAAAACCTACACTACTATAATGCTCCTCTCTTTGTAACCACACCAGACCAATCTGGGTCAACTTTTATGTAACAAAGTTGTGAGTTGTTTTTTAGTTGCCATGGTCTCCCAGGTTGAAGGTCACATAACTTGAGCATGCCCAGTTAAACCAAGCATGCAATCGCAGAGGGAACCTAAGTACTTGTACCAAGGAACTGAATAAAGAAGGGGACACCGCATGGCAGAACCTGGGATCCAATCAGAACAAGCTTTAGCGTCACCCCATAGCAGGATCCAGTCAGACCACACCTCCTGGCATCGCCTCATTGCAAGAGCCAATCAGATCACACCTCATTACCCTATGCTTATAAAATCCAACCCAAACTCCAGCTTGGGGAGACAGATTAGAGTGTTTCTTCCGGCCTCCTTGCCAGTTGACTCACAATAAAGCTTTTCTTTTCTCAAAAGCTGATGCCATGGTATTGGCCTCTATGTGCATCAGACAGTGAGCCCATTGATTGCTCAGTAATATCTTCTCTTGTGGACATTGATCACCTTCATAGCACACATGCATAGTGTCCTTATGCTCTGCTTTTCTTCCCTGATAAAAAAAAAGACCCCTCCCGGAATGGAGGCTGGGGAGAGAAAGGGAATGAAGGGAGAAGGAAAGCCTGATCTGCCTCGCAATCTTAATGAAAATGAATGGAGAGTAGAATCTGTGAGGCCCTGGCATTGCAATTGCTTCTTTCACATTAAATTAGCTTCGTCTCCCCTAGTGCATGTGTAATTTCCATTAAAGTTGACTCAGTCCCAAACAGGAAAGGGTGACCAGATTATATTATGTTAAAGCCTAGATTCGTGAATGACACAGGAGCTATTGCAAATATATTGGGAATTTCCTTTGGTTTAAAAAGTAAGCCCAGTTGTGAAGTTTCTACAGTTTTATGTATGTGGGTATAAATTTAAGTCAAAGTGAATACCATTGCCTTCATTTGGTGGGTTTTCAATTTAATTTAGTAAAATTTGGATTATAGTAGGAGTTTATAAAACCAAGAGTTTTTATTTTAAAAGGTAAAAATTCACAGGCAGTTAAATGGAAAAAATATAATCCTAAAGTTCATGATATTTTCAAAATCTATCACTGACAAAAAATTGAATATAATGATATTGATTTTCAGTTAAAATGAAAAGCATTTAGAGAAGAGGGATAAAGGAAGTCAATGTGTTAAAGGTAAATTTTCTTTAATATAACAGATGTGAATTCAAACTATACTATAAGACCTAAGTCATTTTTACTGAAGTAATGTCATCTAATACAGTTATTGAGCCTTCTACCATGAAGATGTATGTGTCCTAATTAGACTTAATACAATTTTACTGTTAGCTTTAATTGTGTATTTAATTATATTTCATTGTTAACATCTTTGCCCACCAATCCAATCCAGCTTTCTTATTATCAATCCATCACAAAGCCCTGCCAATTCCAATTTTGAAGTGTCTTTGTCTCTGCTACTAACATCACCTCTACCATCAGGCCTCACTCAGAGATTATTGGCACAGTCTCCAAATTGGTCTTCTTTTCTCCCACACTGGTCTCTGTCCCATCTTTTCTCCACATTGCAGACAGAAGCAGGGGTTCTCAAATGCACACACATGAAGATAAAGACATACTCTTTCTTGATGGTGGCTTACAGTGACCCTATGATCTGACCCTTACCTGCTGTCCCTGTCTCAGCTTGCAGAAGCTCCTGCTCAGTGTGTATTTTTCAGAACCTCACATGGTTCCAGTCGTTGGGCCTAAACATGCATTTAGGACCCTCTGCCCAGAATCTATCTTCTTCCCTCCTCTCTCTCTCTCTTTTTTTTTTTTTGACAGAGCCTAGCTCTGTCACCCAGGCTGGAGTGCAGTGGCACGATCTTGGCTCACTGCAACCTCTGCCTCCCAGGTTCAAACGATTCTCCTGCCTCAGCTTCCCAAGCAGCTGGGATTACAGGCACAAGCCACCATGCCGGGCTAATTTTTTTTTTTAATTTATTTTATTTTTTTTGTATTTTTGGTAGAGACAAGGATTTACCATTTTGGCCAGGCTGGCCTCAAACTCCTGACCTCAGGTGATCCACCCGCCTCAGTCTCTCAAAGTGCTGGGATTACAGGCCCTCCTTTCTTAACGGAATTAACTCCAAGATCCTCAGATCTCAACCCAAGGCCATTTCCTCCAAGAAGCCTACCCCTCCATCCTTCCTTGACTAGATCAAATGCCCCTTCTAAGTTAGTACTGCATGATCTCCTTTTTAGCTCTTGTCAGTTAAACTGCTTTCTTGGTTTCATAATTTTTTTTTTTAGCAAGACAGGATCTCACTTTGTTACCCAGGTTGGAGTATAGCGGCATGATAATAGCTCACTGTAACTTCAAATTCCTGGCCTCCTGGCCTCAAGCAATCCTCCCACCTCAGCCTCCCAAGTAGCCAGGACTACAAGCGTGCACCACTATGCCTGGCTATTTTTTAAACATTTTTTGTAGAAATGGAGCCTTGCTATGTTGACCAGGCTAGTTTTTGAACTGCTAGCCTCAAGTGATCCTCCCACCTTGCCCTCCCAAAGAGCTGAGATTACAGGCGTGAGCCACCACACCCACCTGGTAATTATTTGATTAACTAATGTCTCTCTCCCCTACTGAACTAAAAGTTAAATAAAAATAGGTATCACACCTGCTTTTGCTCACACTAAAGCCTAGAAGAGTATCTGGCACATAATTGGCACTCAGTAAGTATATGTTGTATAAATAACATGAAAATAGCAAAAAGTAAATATAAGTACATTTAGTATATGAATTGAAATATACATATGCAAAATTATTATGCCACAAATCCAACTATTTTAACAATTAAGAGAAAAATTACAAAACCCAGTTTTGGTGTTTGTTTGTCAAAACATTCAAAGAGTTCTTTTACTAAAATATATAGTTTTTCATGCCATCCATGACTATTAAATGATCCAACTATGTGTGTCAACCTCAAACTCCTATGACACCATTTCAACACTCCAAAGTTGTAAAATTTATTGGTTCATGACTCAAATTTAAAGTGACTCCAAATTTTAGCTTTGAGTTTTACAGCTTTTTTAAAAATAAAAAAAATACTGCAAAAAAAAACCCTTAAAATGGAACGTGTTTCTGATGGTAACTATAGTAGGAGAAATAGCACAAATTTAATAAAACATGGAGTCCTGTGTTCTATTTTAAGGTGCCTAGGTGGTTTCTCATAATTTACATTTTTACCTCAATAAATATTGGCATTTGTGAATTTTTCCTTGCCCGGACCATGTGCAAGTTTAAATGTGGTTAAAGATTTGGATAGTTAACTTTTATGGTCAGAAATATTTGATTCTAAATTTGTAATCCTTGGTGCCTTCAGGGAAAGAGACATGTGTGAAAAGTCTGGAATACAAAATTCCATTGCAACACGGAACAGAAATGGAATTAACTCCTTAATTTTCTATGCAATCTTTGAGGAGATTTCCCCCTTGCGCAGTGTACTATATGGCCACTAATAGCTTGACTTATTGAAATAGAAATATTTTGCCTGAGTCAGACATTAGCAATTGGATACTTTGATGATGTAAGTCAGTACTCTTAAAACAAATCATGCTAATGATTCAAGAGCACTTTGTGTTTCTTGCTTACAGCTTATCTGTATCATCTGAAAATAGTGCCTGGCATAGAGTAGGCATTTAATATTTGTTGACTGATAAAATGTATACGCACATCTAACTTCAAATATAAATACTTCTTTTTTGAAATTAATTCTTAATTCAGCTAATCTTAATGGCTGTGCAATGAGTACATCCATAGGTCTTGTCCTTTAGAGGCAATAGAAGCATATTTCGTTTGTATGGAAGAGTAATTCTTTCCAGTGGGTTTTTAATGTCTAAAAGGGCTGTGGGCCAGAATGAAATACAGTTACATGCAATTTAATTAATATTTAGTTTGTTCAGGCCTTTAAATTCAGCTTATAGATATTGATGTTTTATTTATAAATCTCATATTCATGTGTTCAAATACAAAATAATGGCTTTTACTTTTCCTTTGATTGACAGTTTCATTTCTGCTACTTATTTATTTATTACTCATTCTTTAAATACCAAAGATTCAAATAATGATATAGTTACAGCAGTCCCAAACCTTTTTGGTACCAGGGACCAGTTTTTGGGTAGGGGCTGGGAGGATGGTTTCAGGATGAAACTGTTCCACCTCAGATCATCAGGAATCAGTTAGATTCTCATAAGGAGCGCACAACCTAGATCCCTCACATGTGTAGTTCACCATAGGGTTCCCACTGCTATAAGAATCTAATCCCACCACTGATCCAACAGGAGGCAGAGAAAATGCAGTAATGCTCGCTGGCTCCCCATTCACCTGCCACTCACCTCCTGCTGTGTGGCCCTCTTCCTAACAGACCATGGACTGGACTGGCCCATGGCCCTGGGGTTGGGGAGCCCTGACATAATACATACCCACACCTACCATTGGCTTAAGGAATAAAGTATTACAAATGCTTTTGAAGTCCTAGACAACTCCTCCCAAAATGTATCTCCTACCCAACACACCACCACTATTCTGAATTATATTCTATAAACAATACAGTATATTGTTTTGCATGAAACTTTATATAAAGAGGTCATGTTATAGGATGAGCTCTCTAGAAGCAGATGCTAACGTTGAGTTTGGGATGTTTCTGTGGCTTGTCTTTTCACTCTTTTTTAAATACTGGAATTTAAATTTTTTACATTTTTATGTAGTCAAATTTATCACGTTTCCTTCATGGTTTGTATTTTTTGTATTTTCTTTTAAAAACCTCTGTCTAGGCCGGGCGCAGTGGCTCATGCCTATAATCCCAATACTTTGGGAGGCTGAGGCGGGTGGATCACCTGAGGTCAGGAGTTCGAGACCAGCCTGACCAACATGGAGAAATCTCGTTTCTACTAAAAGTGCAAAATTAGCCGGGCATGGTGGCACATGCCTGTAATCCCAGCTACTCAGGAGGCTGAGGCCGGAGAATCACTTGAACCTGGAGGCGGAGGTTGCAGTGAGCCGAGATTGCGCCATTGCACTCCAGCCTGGGTAACAAGAGTGAAACTCTGTCTCAAAAAAATACGAAAACTCTCTCTACCTAAGGGTCATAAAGGTATCCTCCTATATGTTAGATTCCATGTAACCTCTGTGATGGTTAATTTTATGTGTCAATTTGACTGGGCCATGGAGTGCCCAAATAGTTGGCCAAACATTTTTGTGGGTGTTTCTGTGAGGGTGTTTTTGGAGGATATTAACATTTAAATCCATGAACTTTGAGTAAAGCAGATTGCCTTTCCAATGAGGGTGGGCCTCATCTAATCAGTTGAAGGTCTGGATAGAACAAAGACCAATCCTCCCCCAAGAAAGAAAAAATTCTTCAGCTGATGGTCTTCAGACTCCAACTGCATCATTGGCTCTTCCTGCTTGACAGCCCTCAAATAGAAACGTTGGCTTTCCCTGGGGTCTCCCACATCATCACCCCATCTTGTAGATTTCAGACTTAGCCTCTATAATTGTGTGAGCCAATGCCTTATCATCTCTCTCTCCCACCAGATATGTATGTGTGTGTGTGTGGTGTGTATGCACTATCGGTTCTATTTCTCTGGAGATCCCTAACTAATACAATCCCCCTGGAAATAATTTTTGTATTACTATATGTATGGAAGATAAGAATTCAATATTACATTTGTACAATTGGAAAAAATCAAGTGTTTCATCACCACTCATTAAACAGTCCATTCTCGGCTCACTGGTCTGCAATGCTACCTCTGTCAAAATCAGTCCAGTGTAGGAAGAGTGTCTTAATTGATGCAGTTTTAAAATGAGTCTTGATATATGGTACAACAAGATCTCTAGTCGCTCCCGTTTTCTTCTGGTTATTTGGGGCCCTTTTCTCTTCTCTCATACAAATTTTATAATCTCCTTTTCGAGTCTACTAAAAGATGTGTCTTTTTTATTATAACTTTATTGTATTTTATTAATTGAGAGATAATTGACATTATTACTGAGTTTTCCTATTCCCAAATTTATTTAGGCCATAACATTCTTACACATCTGTTTTTAATATTTATTAATAAGTATATTTTTTGTATTTCGTTCAAAGATTCCATTTGTTGCCGGTATATAAAAATATCACTGATTTTTTTTTTAAAAAATAATTGACTTAAATAGAATAACCTTATTGAACTCACTTTTTAAGTCTAATAATTTGCCTGTTGATATTTCTTGGATTTTCTTTGTAGACATCTATGAATAATGTCAGGATTTGTTTGTTTGTTTTGTTTTACATTCTTTCCAATCTTTATACATTTTATTTATTTTTCTTGTCTTACCACAAAGGTTATTCCTGTCACCCAAGATGAAAGAGAAGCAATAATTGAAGCTATTCTTACCTCATACTTAATTTTAAAGGGAATTTTTCCTATGTCTTATCATTAAATATGATGTATGCTGTAGATTTTTTGCTATATACCTTTTAGTAGGTTAAGAATGTTTCTTTCTTCTGTACTAATTTACTGTCTTTTTAAATTTAAAATAATAGCTTTTATTTTATCAAATGCTTTTCCTGTGTCTATTGAGATAATATGGGTTTTTCACCTTTAATCTGTTAATATGGTACATTAATAAGTGTTATTTTTCTGCATCATTAACTTTTTTTTTACTGTTGAAAGATAATACCCTTAGAAAAAAGTGCATAGCTCCTATATGTATGATTTAAATAATAATTAGAAAACAAATACCTGAGCCAGATGTGGTGGCTCACCCCTGTAATCTCATCATTTTGGGAGGCTGATGCAGATAGATTGCCTGAACCTAAGTGTTTCAGATGAGGCTAGGCAATATAGTGAGACTCTATCTCTATTAAAACATAAAATAAAATAAAATAGGTAGGCACAGTGGCGTGTGCCTGTGGCCTGGCTATTTGGAAGGCTGAAGGGCTGAGGTGGGAGGATCACTTGAGCCTAGGACGTCAAGGCTGCAGTGAGCCATGATCACACCACGGCACTCCAATCTGGGTGACAGAGGGAGAGCCTGTCTCAGGAAAAAAAAAAAAAGGAAAACAAGCACCTGTGTAATTACTGGTCGGGTCAAGATTCAGAACAGTGTCTTAAGTTTAGAAGCTGCCTGTGAGCCATAACACCTGCCTCCTACTTCCATGTGCATCACTATCCTGACGCACGTGATGGCCAATTCCTTGCTTGTCTTTATGGTTTGCCACCTATGTATGAATCTGTAAACAACATAGTTTATTTTCACCTACTTTTGATTTCTTTTCATTTATGATTGTTGCATGAGGCTTTAGTTTGTTCATTTTCATTGCTTTTAAGGGCATTTTCTTTCATTCTTGTTTGCAAAATTTTTAAATAAATTACCAATGCATGCTGAATTTCATCAAACACTTTTGTATGTTTGCTGAGATGACCATATAAATTTTTCCTTTAATGTGGCGGAATTCATTAGTTGATTTTTCTCATGTCAAACCAGGTTTTCATTCCTGGAACAAATACAAGTTAGTTATTGTATATATTAGTTATCTATTGCTCCAAAACAAGTTACTCCAAAATGCAACAGCTTAAATAACAAGTATTTATTATCTCATGCAGCTTCTGTGGGTCAGGAATCCAGAAGGTCTCACGTAAGGTTTCAAGTCAAGATGTCAGCCATTGCTGCAGTTCCAAGCTCATCAACATGGCAGTTGGCAGGAGGCTTACACCTCATCATGTGGTCCTCTCAACAGGGCTGCTTATGACATGGCAATTGGTTTCCCCCAGAGTGAATGATCTGAGAGAGAAATTAATAAAGATAGAAGCCACCATGTCTTTAATAACCAAATCTCAGAAGTGACATACCATCATGTCTACTGTATTCTGTTGGTCACGTACCTAATAGAATGTGGGAGGGGATGACCCAGAGGTGGTGAACACTGGGGCCTATTTTAGAGACTGGCTACCACAGTCATATTGCTTTATACTTTTTATGTATTGCTAGATTCAGTTTGCTGATTTTTTTTACAATTTTTTATCTATATTCTTGAGTGACATTGACCTATAATTTTTCTCTCTTGCTATCAACTTTATGCTAACCTTATAAAATGAGACTAGCAGCATTATCTTTTTTTTACTCTCAGAGTTTGTGTATAATATGAGAATAGATCAGAATTATTTGTTCCTTGACTGCCAGAATTCAATGTGAAGCTATCGAAGCCTGAAATTTTCCTTAATTCAATACTTCAAATGTATTGAAAGGCCATTCTGATTTTAGCACCATTCTGTTTTTCTATTTCAATAGTTTGTGTAAATTGTGCTTTGCTAGAATATGTTCATTTCATCTGCATTTTCAAACTTACTGGCATAAAATTGTTCAAATGACTTTTTTTTTAATATTTCTGACTTTTTTAGTAACGTTCTCTTTTTCTTTTTTGATATTATTTATTTGTGTGTTTGTGCTATCACTCTTTTTTTTTTTTTTTTTGGTCTCACGAGAAGTTCGTTAATTTTATTAGGTGTTTTAGAGAATCACTCTGGCTTTATTGTCTCCATAGTGTATGGAAACTATTTAATTAGTTTCTGTTCTTATTTCTATCATGTCCTTCCTTCCACCTTCTTTGTTGCTTTGGGGTTTTGTTTTTGTTTGTTTGTTTGTTTTGCTATTCTTTTTCTATTTTCTTGAATTATTAATTTTTAATAATTAATTTTTAGCTTTTTTCTAATATATGCCTGTAATATACTTTTCCTTTAAATGTTGCTTTAGCTAAATCTCATAAGTTTTGTTAGGTAGTATTTTCATTATTGCTCAGTTCAAACTATTTTTTTAATACCACTGTAATTTCTTATTTAACCCTTGAGATACTTAGATGTGTATTTAATTAATTTCCAAACATATGAAGGTTTTCTTGATGTCTTTTTTTGGTACTGATGTTTAACTTGTATTTTGTTAAGAAATATGCTTATGATTATTTCATTTCTGTGACATTTGTTGACACCTGCTTTACAATCCAGTAAATGGTCAGTTTCTGTGAATGTGCTTATTACATGCAGTATTCAATATATGTTTATTAGATCAAGTTTATTAATCATGATGCTTAAATTATACATATTTTTAGGAATTATTTTCCCATTTGCTCTATCAATTACTGAGTGGCTATATTAAATGCCACATTATGAGTGTGGATTTGTCTATTTCTCTTCATCTGTCAATTGTTAAGGCTAAGTTATTAAGTGCATACAAATTTAAAATTACCAAAGCTACCAGTTGAAATGAACCTTTCATTATTATAAATTATTCCTGTTTATCTTGAGTAACAGAGTTTATCTTCGAGGCTCTTTATTCTAAAAGCAATTTGGTTATCTGGGCCCTCTAATTTTCCAATTATACTACAGGTGAATTCTCCCCTTCCTTCCTTATCAAGGCGCAAGTTGGCATCTTCCCTTCATAATAAGTTTCAGCTTATTATGTTACTTAGTAAAATCATGCTCATCTTTTTCTCCATTTCCCTAAATAATATTGAGCTCCACAGGCCTGATTTTTTGCTTTAAATTACAAGTAAAATTCCAGAGTTGGCTCTTAAAAAAGCAAATCTTCATAATTCACAAAAAGAATCTAAGAGACAGAGGAAGGAAATGTGCTTTCTCCTCTGCAGCTACAGAAGACTGACCGTCTTTGTGTCATAAAACAAGTCCAAAGAATCTGATTCGATGTGGCATTGAGACGTGTGAATATTTATAACTATACTCGCTAGTTCTGTTCTTTAGCCTTATAAATTTATCCTTGGAAGGAAAATATGAACAAAGGCTCTAGAAATCCTTGCCATTTCCTTAAAAGTAATCTCCAAAGAGCCCTGTGATTCTGATGAGTCGTCTTACTCAGTAGCCTGATGCTGTCTTCATGTCATGATTGACGTTTCTGTGTTCCTATATGTTATGAATACTCGTAAGATTGTTCTGTCAAAGCAGCAGAACATTGCTAGCATTTTTTTTCTACCCTCACCTGCATGATAAAAAGAATAAATGCGTGTAATTCTACTAGATGTCTTGTTTAACAGAGAGATTGATAGTCTTATCTCACTTGTGGCTGGGCTTGGGATAGTTCTGGGGTCTGTGTTCTGCCTGCACTAGAGTTTATTCCTCTAGATCGGGTGTACTTCTGTCTGTTCTGATACTTGAGGAAGGGGTGCTAGGGGAAGGGAAAGCCTCTATTTCCTGATTATGCCTCTAATTCAGGTGTTGCTAAACTTTGGCTACTGTCAGAAGCTGTTAGCCTTAAGGGAGTGTTTCCTGTCCACTCTTTATAACCAAAGCTTTTTTCCTCGCTAAGTAAGGGGAAAAGGAAAGGACAAAGGTAGGGCTTCTAGTTCAGGCTAAGGCACTATTTGTGTGGACAACGAAAGACTGGTTTCGTGTGGGACTTTCTATGCACCCAGTATGTTTCCAGCAGTTTTAATTGATTTTTTTCCCATTTTATTTTGTCAAGACTTTTCTTTTTAATGTTTAGGGATAGTTCATATTATACCTCAATTCTTCTCCTATCTTCCTCCCAGCAAGAGAAAAACAAACCGATGTGATTGGCACTGTGTGTGGATTTCGCTGAGTCACCACCACCCTGCCGTGAGGTGCGGATTTCCAGGGCAACTTTCTGTGTCTTTCCTTCTGGGCTGCCTATCCACACCCTGTCACCATCAGCTCTGCTCAACCCCAATGTGGAGGTGTTAACACAGAGGAGAATTTTGTCTCAACACCTTCCCCTTGCTTTTTTCTCTCTCTCACTCTTGCATATGCAAAATCTATCACAGGTCTAGTATTCCAGCACGTAGCAAGCATTCAATAAATCTTTGGTGAATGGGTGACTACAGAAATGATGAACACTATTTCTGAATAAGCAACTGAGGATTTGCCTATTAATTCCTACAACCCTCTGTGTCTGGCAACAGTTTTCCAAGTTCTTAGAGAAGTGTTTGCTCCTCTCTAGTTTGATAACTCTCTGTGTGTACATGCTATTTCTATATCTTATTCATTTATTGAGATGTGAGTGGGAGAAAAGTTCCATGATCTCATAATTTTTCTCTGGAAGTAAAATAATAAACATATACCTTTTATTATAATAAATTATAAAAGAAAATATGGATTGAAAATAATTTAGAACCTTTCTGGAGGGCAATTTGGCAGAATCTAGCCAACCTTTTTTTTGACCTAGTATTTTCACAGTAGGAATTTATCCAAAAGATATACAGGTGAAAAATGGCACAGGAATAGGGTAATTCATTGTAGTATTGTTTGTAATTGCAAAAGATCTGGAAAAAACCATGAATATCCATGAAAAGGAAATTTCTCAGATAAATCCTGATATATCTATACAACTGGATGATACACAGAAGTAAAAAAAAAAAGAGAGAGAGAGAGAGAGAAAGTCCTTTGTAGATTGATATGAAAAATCTCCAAGATTTATGGTTAAGTAAAAAATAATAAGTTGCACAACAGTGTGTATAGTATGCTATAGTTTCTGAAAAAAAGAAAAAGGGAAAACTACATGTATCTGTTTTTACATACACACATTAGCTCTGGAATGATTTGGAAAAATACATGAGAAATATACATTGCTTGTTTCCAGGTGGCAGAACTCCATGCCTAGGTGACTGGGTATGTTTTTTGTAACTTCGAATTTTTGAACCATGTGAATGTATTACCTAATCAAAATTGAAAAGATAGGAAAAAAAAGAAATACACCAAAATGTTAATTATCTTTTGTTGAGTAGCATCTGAGCAACCTTTATTCTCTTTTCATGTTGGTCAATATTTTCCTAACTTTCTACATGCTGTGCGTTACTTTTATAACAAGGAAAGAATTTTAAGAATAAAAATAATCATGCCTGATCATTTATTTACCAGTTGAGTCCCTTTTCCTATGTTCTAAGCATAATTTCTGCTGAGGAATGGAAAGAAAGATTGTGGATTTAAAAGATGTATGCTTGGCTGGGCACGACGGCTCATGCCTGTAATCCCAGCACTTTGGGAGGCCAAGGTGGGCGGATCACGAGATCAGGAGATTGAGACCATCCTGGCTAACATAGTGAAACCCTGCATGGTGGCACTTGCCTGTAGTCCCAGCTACTCCCAAGGCTAAGGCAGAAGAACCACTTGAACCCGGGAGGGAGGAGTTGCAGTGAGCCGAGATCGCGGCACTGCACTCTAGCCTGGTAGACTGGGTGACAGAATGAGACTCCGTCTCAAAAAAAAAAAAAAAAAGATGTATGCTCTTCTACCTTTCTTAACATTGCAAATTAAGAACAGAATACCATCTGTTTTATTTTCTCCCAGCTAAACAATCTAAATCATTCTAATTTTTTGCTTTACTATCTCTAAAGGTAGGTTACAACTATGTATGAAACACAGTACTAAGGCATCTTCACTTTCTTTGTGTCCTCACTTGCCTCAGATCTCCACTTTATTTTGACGAAGTTCTAGACCAAGGAATAATCTAAATATATTCACAATTTTTCCCTTGCACATTAAATCATATGATGATATGTTATTACACCCACATTTTAAAACTTTAAAATTTATGTGAATTTATCTTCTTAGCACTGGGCCATTGTGACTGATTAATATATTTTAATTAATGTGTTTTAATTTTAATTAATGTATTTTAATTATCCTCACATAATAAAATTTGACAAAAAATTATTGTTCTAAGTAACTTAAATCACTTATTTATACAGATACTCCATTTGGCATATGAAGTCTTTGAACTGTAGTTACAGAGGTGACAGTTTAGCCAAATGGCTAGGAGTCCTGCCTTCTTATTTATTTATTTTATTTATTTGTTTATTGGGGAGGGGTACGGGGGCTGGTAAGACAGGGTCTCACTGTGTCGCCCAAGCTGGTCTCAAACTTCTGGCTTCAAGCAATCCTCCCACCTCAACCTCCCAAAGTCCTGAGATTACAGGTGTGAGCCACCATGTCCAGTCTGAGTCCTGCCTTCTTAAGGGAGGCTATGGACAGGCTAGTCCAAGTGGACACATGTAGAAACTTCCTTCCCTCTGAGACCTTGAGAGAGATGAGGGTATAATGCCCAGTGTTGGCAGAGAATTCTGAGGTTCAGAACATCAACATGGTCTCGTCAGTGGTGGAATTACTGCCATAATTAGTAGAACAAGTTGTCTATGCTTGCTGAATGCCAACATGACTGGTGGTATAAAGGCAGCAAGCACACAGTTTGATGCACCTCCAACCAGGCAAATATCTCCTTCAGAGCTTGCCCAGCCCTTGGAGCCTCTAGCACGTCTCCACAAAAAATAAGGAAGGCGCCAGCTGCTACATCCGCTCGCCTGAACACTTATCTCAACATCTTCTGCACCTTGCCACTGGGGCAAACCTAAATAAAAGCTGCTCCAGACTAATCAAAGTCAAAATTCTCACCCATTGTCATCCCAGAACCAGACTGTGTCGTCTGGTCCAGCCCATTCTTAAGTTTAGAAGCCAGAAACCACACCCTGTGGAGTTAGATCATGAACGTGAATTCTAAAATCAGGCAGATCTGAGTTGAATTGGGATTCCCACCACTTACTCTTTTGGTGACCTGAAAAAATTACTTAATGTCTCTGAACCTCCGTGTTCTTTTCCATAAAATCGGAATAATAATGTTTACCTCATGATATAGTTGGGAAATTAAATGTATTTGTATAAAGTAGGACATCCTTCTTAATAGTCAGTATTTCATTAGTTACTTTCCTACCTGGTGGTTAAATTGTAGAGCAGTGTGAATCCTAGAATTAAAAAAACTAAACATATATATTTTATTTAAAGTATTTTTCGTACTTGAACCTGAATAGTGATAACGTTTAGCTGATTGCCACCAATTCTACAACTTTACTTTCAGTTCTGTCTCTTTCTTTCACAAATTATTTTTCTAATGTTTATTGCTCTGTTTTTAGAAGTTTAAAAAAAGAATACATAGAGAACACCTTTTAGTTTCTAAATATAATATTACACTGGCAACCCTTTTTAAAACTGAGTTTGGAGTTGTATTTATTTTCACATTTTCCGAAAATACTCTTCTATTGTGATGTAAAACAAACAAACAAAAATTCAAACCCCAGTTATCTCTTCCTGTAATCAGGTAAATAAAATAGGCTTCTGAGCGACATACAAAAACATACTAAAATATTAATAGGACTGTTTTTCAGATCTGGTTCTTCAAAAGCTAACTAAGGTCAGTTTCCCTGGGAAACAGACTGAAATGGAGATTTACGTACAGTCATTTGTTGAGGAGGGCCCTGGGCCCCAACACCTGTGGGAAAAGTGAAGGAAATAGGATTGGGCTGTGGGAGAAGCAGAGATGTGGTACAACCCCACAGGCAGCTCTGGAGCTGGGAGGGCCCTTTAGAGTTCTCCTGACTTGAGTTAGTCAGTATGGTTCCACCTTGTCAAGTCCTCCTCCTCTATAGGCTGTTCCAGGAAGGAAGGTAGACGGCTCAGCTGAGGGCAATTCCCAGAGAGGATGCCACTGAGAGCTGGGGAGTGGTGGGGATGGTAGGGGTGCCTGACTATTGACCACAACATCCACTGCATGCTTAAAATATATTCAGACTTTCTTAAACTCATATTTTAGGTGTGTATTGCAAACTAATGTCTACGGAAGAGTTAACAGCAACAACCAAATTCAAGGCAGAGTACTTTTTAAAATCGTCAAGAAGAAAATGAAAAGAGAATAAAATACTTGTTCATTGGCATGGAAACAGCCTTGCAGTGAGCAACATAATTGTTTACCATGCCAATTATTTATAAAACAAGAATATTTCCAAATATACATAGCCCTCTTACTATTGTGCTGGTTTTATTAGTGTATGTCTTGAATATTTAACATTAGAATTACATAACTCGCCACTCCCTAATGCCCCAGAAGAGAAGCATAGATTTGATACACATAGCTTCATGTCCAAGGATTATTCATGTAGAATCTCCGACAGTCAAAAGACATGAGGCTTTCAGTGACTGGTGAGGTATTCCATGGTCCAAGAGAGATGAACTTGGGCTAAACCCTCTTGAGGGAATGTATCACTTTCTTAAATTCATACTAAAGAAAAGCAAGGAGGAAAAGCAAGGGGTGGGGGAAGCAGGAATGAAAATCTCTTTTCAATGGAATGTCAATTAATAAATGCAGAAGGAATCACAGAGTTAGAAAACCTACCATTTTGCAACCATCATGGTAATTATTTGTGAAAAAAAGTCCATCAATGGATGCTAAAGCTATTGGTTGGTAGTTTAAGGGGAGCAGGATTTTTACATAATCTCAAAGTATCTCCTTAGAGATTATTAACTACAGAGAAGAACACAGGAACCACAGGGAAGAAATCTGGTAGTCTCCACCTTAACTGAATTTGATTCACCTTAACATCACCAATAATGGGAACCAGGTTTATTTGTGATGCACCAAAAATTATGTCATCATTAATGTAAAATTCCTATCAAAATGTATAATCTTCCATTTAAACATGAGAAAACAATCAAGCAGACCCAAATGTAAAAACAAGCTACAAAATAACTGGCTTTCATTCTTCAAAACTGCCAATGACAAGAAAACAAAGAAAGGTTCAGGAATTGTTCCAGATTAAAGGAGATCAAAGTACATGATTACTAAATACAATGCATAATCCTGATCTGGCTCTTGAATTATGAAAAAAATTGCTATGAAGGATATTGTTAAGACATTTTGAAAAACTTAAACATGGAAGTTACCATAGATAAAAGTAGTATGTCAATGTTAAGTTTCCTGGATTTTATTATAGTCTAATAATGTAAAAGAATGTTCTTATTCTGAAGAAGTATATACTGAAGTATTTAGGGATTAATGTTTATGGTCTCTGTAACTTAATATCTCATTAAGTTCAGCTTAATAATATTGACACTATTAATATTAATTAATGTATGTACACATAAAATAGAGTGATAAATGTGGCCAAATGTTAACACTTGGTTAATTTAGAAAAAAAGTATAAAAAGTTAAAAATAGGTGAAGATATAGATATATTCTAGCTCTGCCCACTGAAATGGCCTGGGAGTAATCTAACACCTTCAATACAAACTGGATCTCTTCCTCTAGGGTCTGGAATTTGGTCCTTAATACCATTTTCCATTACATGTACCCAGAATCCTTGGGAAAAATGACTGATTCTGTGTCTGATGCACAGAAGGTATAATATAAGTCTGGGATACCTTATCAGGTCAGAAAGAAAGAAAATTTTCATATTATAAAGCTGGGTCCAAAGGACTCAATAAACAGCTAAAACAATTAAACATTGGCTAGGATAAAACAATTAGAACATCAAAGAAAATGATATATATGTGAAATAGGTTTTATAGAAAAATTCACGAATTCATAATAGTACTCAAGAAAGAATATTTAGCATTAAGTTTAAAAAAAGAAAGTAATTACTCTAGAATACATGACTGTTGAAACATATTACTTGACTTACCTTGTTATCACATTAGTATTATTGACTCATTTATTGAATCAGTGAAGGAAGATCTGGGTTGATAGTTTTCTTTTTTCTTTTAGTGCTTTAGCAATGTCACTTTATTGTCAATTGGTCTGCATAGTTTCTGACTAGAAGTCTGCTATAATTTTTACCTTTGTTCTGTACATAATGTGTATTATTTTTCCTCCAGCTGTCTTCAAAGTTTTTCTCTTTTTTGTTGGTTTCTGGCAATTGAACATGACGCTTATGTATCTGTGATTCCTGTTTCATTTTGTTTTCTTATATATACTGACTTGTGTTCATTGAGACTCCTAGAGTGTTGATTTGGTATCTCATTAATTTTGGAAAATTCTCAGCCATCATTTCCATATACTTATTCTGCCCTGTTCACTCACTCTTCTTCTTCTGGGGTTCCAAATAGATGTTTGATTTTTTCCCCCACAATGCTTGCATGCTCTACATTTTCTTTTTTGCTCCCTTCTTTGTGTTTTATTTTGGGAAATTTTTATTAAATCATCTTCACATTTAGTGATTATTTAACTGAGTCTGCTGATAAACCTCTCAAAGGTATTCTTCATCTCTGTTAACATGCTACCAATCATTTCCATTTCATTTGTTTTTATAATTTTTATGTCTTTACTGAAATGACTATCTGTCATCGAGGCTGAGGTGGAGTGGCACAATCATAACTCATTGCAGCCTCAAACTTTTGGGTTCCATCAATCCTTCCACCTCAGCCTCCCAGGTAGCCATGACTACAGGCACAAACCACCATGCCTGGTCCACCACTCTATCAATCCAGCTGCTTCAGGATGATGGTGAACACCTGGCTAATTTTTAATTTTTTTTTTCTTGTAGAGACAGGATCTTGCCATGTTGACCAGGCTGGCTTCAAATTTCTGGCCTAAAGTGATCCTCCCACCTCAGCTTTCCAAAGTGCTGGGATTACAGGAATGAGCCACTGTGCCTGGCCAGTCATCACTATCTTTAATTCCCTGACTGATAATTCCAACATCTGTGACATATCTGAGCCTAGTTTTGTTGACTGTTTTGTTTCTTCACAGGGTAGTGTTTCTTATTCTTCTACTGAAAAAGACATCATGTGCAGGGCAGTAGAGACTGAGGTAAACACTATTTATGCCTGGAAATAGGCATACCTCATCTTTACTAGGCAATTGGTTTGGGGAGCTGAGTCAATCTAGTCGTGAGATAGCCTAAGTTTAAGTTTTGTCATTACTACAGTTATTTTCAATGTGCCACTCTCAATTTTAAATCCCTCCGGAATTAACTTGGGTTTAGGGTGTGGGTTTGGGGGCTGATTTACCAGAGGGTTTTTGTTTGTTAGTAATGACAGCTGCAGCCTCAGCTTCAGATTTTCTCTTTGTGCCTGTGTATCAGGGAAGATCTCTTTCCATTCTCATGAACTTCCCTCAGAAGTTGGCTGTTGGTCAGCATGTACTAGCCTTGTAGTGAGGGACATTTTCTATTGTTCCAGTTCAACTGTAGTCTTAGGCAGGAGCTGTAAATCCGGGTGTCTACACGAGTCCTCCTATCCCTCTCGCATCTGGAAGAAACCTCTAACGGGCCAAACCCAAGATATATTTCTGTCCCTACCCCAAAACTAAAGTTGTTTGGTTTTTTTTTCTGTTCCACTCCACCAACTGCAATAGATCATCACCTACCATAGCCAGATAGGGCAGGCTTCCTTTACTCGCTTTCTATCAGTACAAAACTTTCTTCACTAGGTAATTTGTAATAACTGGTCCTATTATATATTAATAGATAATGCATGCATTTGAAAATCCCTGATCTCTTAAGAAATCCTGGCACTCAAATCTCTCTGTCTGTCTGTCTGTCTCTCTCTTTCAATTCAAAAAAGAAGTCATCCTTAGGACATGAAGCTGGGAAATGCCCTATTTGTTCTCTACCTGTGGTCTCTTTCCCTGAGATGATTAGGCTTATGGCTCAAACTCGGAGATGGATGGGATGTCATTTAGAGAGGTTTGATATTTTAAAGTGGTGTCTTTATAATAATTATATAGAAAAGCAAGGCAATGAAACAACCGTTGGAACCACAAAATGAACAATTAAACTCTTGGCAAATCAGAAAAGCAAAGCAAGAGTAATGAATTACTGAACACTACACAATACAGAGCTTGGGTGTAGCCAGACTGTTCTTAGAGCAGCTCTCAATTCAAGGCAATAGATCCCCTTTGATACATCCAGGGATTTCCAATAGGTGAGAAAATGACCATAAAAGCAGAGAGGCTTGAGAAAGAATAACACCATGGCTGTGAAATGCCCTTTGGCATGGGACAGCGTGGCTAAGAACAGACTGAAATTTATGCAGGGTTTAACTAAAATGAATACTGAGCTGGATGCATAATTGGCAAAGCCCAGTGCAAAATGAAAATGCAGGACTTGTTCAAAAAGCAAGAGAGAAACGTACCATAAAAGATGGTAAAATACTATAAAGCTTTTCCTTTCTTCTGCAGTCTCGCTCTCTCAACAGGCCATGGTGCTTTTTATTTTGTCACTTTAAGTAAAGAAAACATCACTTTAAGTAAAGAAAAATTAAAATTGTAAATTATTATCATGGTTTAGCATTCATCTTTATATTGTGCATAGCCGGTTTCAATATAAATATAAGAGCATTTAATTCGTATGCAGAATTGCTGAACTTACACAATTTGTATTTTGTAGTTCTCACACGCCTATGTATTTTGTTCTTAACAGAACAACACCATACAAAATTGACTCAACTGTTGTTATTTCACTTCTTAATGCCTGCATGTTCTACCAACACTTTCTACTTTTGACTTACTGACGTTAAGAAGAACTGAAAGGAAAAGGAGCTATCTTTCCCTTTCTTGTACATCATCCTTTTCAGCAAAAGTAGTTGACTCACATGGAGAAGTAACACAAGTAAGGTAGGATATCATAGAGTTAGTCAGTTATTTGTGTTGCTTGGAACACTACAGCCTTCTTTCAGGATTCAAAGTGAGGCAAGGTTTGAACACAAAGCTTGGCTTCCCAGGGCTGCCAGTGCCCAGCTCACTCAGTCAAGACATATAAAACGCTTACTTATATGTGCTTTGAGTCTCACAGTTCCCATCCATTGAATGTCCACTGGCATTCTGTGTTCATGGGTATCTCAACTCTATATGCAAAAAGGCCAGCCAGTGATGGCATGTGTATTACATGTATTCAGCCTCTGCTCAGGTGCACGCTGCATTTTCCCTTTGGACTTCACTTACAAAGCGCAGATTCAAAGATAACATTATTAAGAACTGCAAGATGGAGACAGAAGAGCATTGACCCAGTGTGGAGCCCTGTGTAATTGCATAGGTCACAGGCCCGTGAAGCTAACCCAGAATGGCTATTTCAGAGGATATCAGGTACTAAGCTATGCAAACTAAGAAAGATAATTTCAAATATTCAGAAAACACTTCCTTTTTTTGGAATGTAAATCTGAAGAAAATGAATTATCAATTCGATTAATAAACCCAATTCAACAAAAAGCCAGTTTCCTAGCATCTTACTATAGCGAAGGAATACTGACTATCCAGGCAGTTTCTCCAGCACTTGGGCCAAGAATCAGGACTCAGTGAGGGCCTCCTAGGTTTGGCTACATTTTTTTGAAATGAGGAGAAAAAAATATACAGAGAACTACAACAAAGACTAACCCCCTCCCAATGCATATTTGCTCCTCCCTTACAGAAATAGAGATACTGATTCTTAGCTGGACATAAGGCTACTGAAAAGAAAGACTACAGCCTCCACAGCAGACTAAGTTTTGTTTTTTTATAGAGACAGAGTCTGGCCACGTTGCCCAGGCTGGTCTTGAACTCCTAGGCTCAAACAATCCTCCCTCTTTGGCCTCCCAAACTGCTGGGATTACAGGTATGAGCTATCATGCCTGGACTTGATAAAATTTTACAATGAGAAGTGAGTGGAAATGTTTCGTACAATTTACAGAACGTATCCTTAAATAGAGTCTATGTGTGGCTTTCCCACCTCTTCCTCCTTCCTGCTGCTTGAAATAAGTATATATATAATAGAGACCCATTGTGGATCATTCAGAAAAGGACAACACACTTTAGAAATCATAGCAACAAATTAGAGGAAGCCTCATTACCTGGACAAATCTCCTGAGTAAAAGATCCCTGAGGCCTCCCCAGAAGCAGAAGCCACCATGCTTCCTGTACAGACTGCTGAACTATGAGTGTATTAGTCCATTTTCACACTGCTAATAAAGACATCCCTGAGACTGGGTAATTTATACAGTTAAAAGGTTTAATGGACTCACAGTTCCACATGGCTGGGGAGGCCTCACAATCATGGCAGAAGGCAAGGAGGAGCAAGTCATGTCTTACATGGATGGCAGCAGACAAAGAGAGCTTGTGCAGGGGAACTCCTCTTTATAAAACCGTCAGATCTCATGAGATTTATTCACTGTCACGAGAACAGCATGGGAAAGACTTGCCCCCATGATTTAATTACCTCCCACTGGGTCCCTCCCACAACATGAGGGAATTCAAGACGAGACTTGGGTGGGGACATAGCCAAACCATATCAGTGAGCCAACTAAACCTCTTTTCTTTATAAATTACCCAGTCTCAGGTGTTTTTGTGTTTTTTTGTTGGTTTGTTTGTCTGTTTGTTTGTTTTTGAGACGGAGTCTCACTTCATTGCCCAGGCTGGAGTGCAGTGGCAGAACCTCGGCTCACTGCAACCTCCGCCTCCCGGGTTCAAGCAATTCTCCTGTCTCAGCCTCCCCAGTAGCTGGGAACTACAGGCACATGCCACCATGCCTGGCTAATTTTTTTGTATTTTTAGTAGAGGTGGGGTTTCACCATATTGGTCAGGCTGGTCTCGAGCTCCTGACCTCAAATGATCCACCCACCTCAGCCTCCCAAAGTGCTAGGATTACAGACATGAGCCACCACACCCTGCCTTCAGGTATTTTTTTAAATAGCAATGCGGAAACAGACTAAAATGGAAAATTGGTACCAAGGAATGGGGCATTGCTATAAAGATATCTGAAAATGTGGAAGTGACTTTGGAACTTGGTAACAAGCAGACATTGGAATCTAAATCTCCTACCTCCAGAATCTTGAGTAATAAATAAGTAAATTAATTTCTCTCTAATCTGTTTCTTATACACAGCAAAACATATAATCTAATGAATATAAGAATAATACTCAAGAAGCTCACGAACTTGAGAAAATTTTAGAGCAGCAAAAAGTCATTTATTAATTCACTCAACAAATTTGAAACTACTCAGTGTCAGGCACTGTTTTAGACATTGAGGATGCAGCTGTAAACAAGATACATAAAGTCTGCTTTCATGAGCTTACCTTCTAGAAGGGGGAGGCATCCAATCCACAAATAAATATGAAATATAGTGGGAGGTGGTAATATGACCACCAAGTAGGATGAGATCATTTAAGGAGAGTCAGGAAATGCTTTTCTAATAATATTATATTTGGGCAGTGACGTGAGGGAACTAGTAAAATTGAAACTACTTTGTTATCTGGGAGAAGAACATTCCAGACAGACATACCAACAAATATTAAGTGGGAAGTGGGAGCAGGATTGACAGTTTTGAAGGACAACGATGCCACTCTGGCTGGGGCTGAGGGAGCAAGGGGAAGAGTGTAGGAGACCAGAGGGCTTAGATGGTAAGGACCTGGGATTTTCCTCTGCATGAATGATTAGAGGGTTTGGGGAAGAGGAATGAAGCAATCTGAGTTATATTTTAGAAGCATTTCTGCAGAGATTAGGTGAGAGGAGGCAAGGGTGGAACCAGAAAGACCAGATGAGAGTTGATGGTGGCATGGATTAGGGTGATGGTTGTGGAGAAATGGTCAGATTCTGGGAAAATTTTGAAGTTAGAGAAGACATGATTTGCTGCTGAATTGAATGGGGGGAAAAGAGAATAGGACTCAGGAATGACTCTAAGATTTGGCCTGATCCATACTGTCTTGATAAATATCCCTCTATGAATTCCAGGGTGCGGATACAGATCTGAGAAAAGGAAAGGCTTTGTACTTCTCATGACACTTGCTGTAGGTTTAACTGCATTCACTATGACCATGTATGTGCTAAACATACATGTATTATTTCATTTAATTTTTACAGCATTCCTATTAGTGGCTGTTATCATCCTCACTTTTATAGATGAGGACGCTGAGGTTTAAACAGGTTGTGTAACTTGCCCAAGGTCATACACCTAGTGAGTGGAAAAGCCAGTATTCAAACTCATATCTGCCTGATACCAAGTCACAGCTTCCAAACCACTCTTCTGTACAGCCTATGATGTTTTTACTCTTCCATCAGTTAGAGCAGGAGCAGACAGACGAAGCCCCACAGGCCAAATCTGGCTCCATCCCTGTTTCTATAGAGCCTGTGAACTAAGAAAAAAAAATTTTTGGAAAAAAAATCAAAACAACATTTTTATAACAGTGGAAATTGATATAAAATTCAAACTTCAGTGTTCACAAATAAAGCTTCGTTGGAACACAGTCATACCTCTTCATTTACTTATTATCTATGGCTGTGTTTGGGCTACCATGGCAGAGTAGATTAGTTTCAACAGAGACTACGTGGTCCACAAAATCTAAAATAGTTAATATCTAGCCCTTTACAGAAAACGTTTGCCAACCCTGGTTTAGAGAATGAACTCTGTTCTAACGTTCATGAAATACCACGTTTGTGAAACATTTCTACGGTAGTTAATATCTCTAAAGTCAGAGAAGGTAATGCTCTGTGAGAGAGAGTTTATTTAGCCAGTTAAGGATTAATTACTCTTGCAGTTTTGTTCTACTGTGAAAGTGCAATACACAATGGGCAGGAACCCAGTGTCAGAGTAACGGCAAATAACCTTTTACCTCTCTCTCTCTCTCTCAAATAGAGACCATTCATATAAGCTATCTATCTCAGAAAATTGTGAGTTCTTGATATTTTGAAATTATTAAAGGATTTGCCTTTAGGAGCTCTTTTTGAAAATGTTCAATTCTCAAATTTCTAGCTTTGAAACTATATCATGCACTGATCTACAAAGGCTAATTGCAATCAAGCTTACTTCTACTGAATGCTGATCGATGGTGAGTAACCACGATAACACTGATCAAGGGACAGCGTTCTATAGTTGAATGAGTCACTCCATTTCTACCAGAAAATAATTACATAAGGTCTAGAAACGTGTCTCTCCCAGTAGAAAGCTTTGTAATGATCTAGTGCGGAGGGAAGTAAAAGTACAAAACAAGATAAGAGCCACATATGAGGGTGTTTAATCTCTGTGCCAAGTACAGAAAGGAACTCTGCTCTATGGTTTTTATCTGTGAATCTAGAAGCAGCTGAGGCGGTGAACCTCAGTGTATGTGTAAATTTCTATCGTTGTTGGCTTTCTCTTCCAATAAAAGCCTTATCTGAATTGAGCTGAAACAGCTTATTTTCATCCATCCCATTTGGGTCCAGTTCCAGAAAGAGTTGAGAAATCTCATCCTTGGAGTAGACTTGAAAAGAGACCCACCTGGATTGTATTTATATGTGCATGGTAATCCCACCTAGACTCCTCTGAGAGCTGGCAGGTTCTCCCCTTCCTTCTGACCATGCCAAGTGACCTCTTACCACACTCAACTATGATAGCTCATATCTAACTTTTCTGTACTGTATTATTATGTATCTACTACATCTGCAACAGATACTTTCTCTGGGACCAAACTTTTGCTTTAAAATGATAGGACCAGTCTCAGAGAGTCACCTATTGTCTGACTCTATTTCCATTGCATTCTTTTTTTAAAAAACACCTTTATTGAGATATAGTTCACGTGCCATGTAATTCACCCATTTAAAGTGTACAATTCAATGGCTTTTAGTATATTCACAGAGGTGCAACCATCACCACAATCAATCTTAGGACATTTTTATTAAGCCCTCCCTTCTAGATCACTTAGCCATCACCAAAAATTCCCCCCATCCCACCCAGCCCATGGCAACTACTAATCTCCTTTCTGTCTCTACAGATTTGTCTATTCTGGACATTTCAAAAAGAAATGGAGTCATCCGTTGTGTGATCCTTTGTGCTTGGCTTCTTTCACGTGGCATATTTTCAAGGTTCATCCATGTTGTGCCATGTGTCAGTACTGTCTTTTAATTGCCAAATGATATTTCATTGAATGATATACTCCATGACACTCTTGAGATGACATTATAGACTTAGAGAACAGATGTTAGGAGTGGTGGTTTGGGGAAGAGTTGACATGACTGGCTATGAAGGAATAAAGAATAACATGAAGGATCGTTGTGATAGAACCATTATGTAACTTAACCGTGGTAAAATTGCATAGAACTAAACACACCTACTTATGCATACACACACACACACACACACACCACACATACACAAGTGAATGTATGCAAATCTGGTAACAACTGAATAAAGTCAATAGTTTGCAGCAGTATAAGTTTTCTGGTTAGGATATTGTACTCTAGTTATGCAAGCTGTTACCATGAAAAGAAACTGAGTAAAAGGTATATGAGATTTCTTTGTATTACTTCCTACAACTGCAGGTGATTTCATAATTTTGTCAAAATAAAAAGTTAAAAAAATAATACTGGGACCTGGACAATAGTTCAAGGATGGCAGAGTAAGAACCTCTGAAAATTTATTTCTCCATAAAAGCAACAAGAACACTGGCAAAAAAAAAAAAACAACTGTCAAATTCAACTTTTCATAACTCTGAAAATTAACCAAAGGCTTGCAAAAATTTGAGTGCTTAGGCAAGAAAAATGGCTGAATCCTGGTAAGAACAGGAGGCTTGATGGCATTTTAACCTACTCTGTCCTCATGCTCCTCTCCCCAGCTCTAGAGTAGCCTTGAAAACAAAGAGAACTGCAATCATGGTGAAAGCTAACAATCTAGAAGCCACTGGAGGGAACAGAATGTTGAAGCCCCATTCCTAGATAATGGTCATTACGTGACCTGTCTGGCAGGTTCCTGGAAAATCTCACTCATAAGACTTGTCTTTATTCGACCCGACTCAGGGAGCACTCACCATGAACAGCATTTTACCCAAAGGTATTTGTCAAAAACAATTAGTGGCAATTATTTAACATTACAGCTGCACGAGGCTTGTGATGATAACAGCTAGGACAAACAACAAGCTGACCAAAAACTTAAAAGGAAATGCGGGAGAATAAGATATTAATAATAAGCTTTGAAAAGCTCTGATATATTCCTGGGAAACTAGAAGGCTACACATATGCACAGGGCTGTGTGCATGCGCATGCCCAGGAAATTGCTGAGATGGTCCTAAACCCTCGCCTCTGGCTAACTATCAGTCTCTGTGCAAGCAGAAAGTGAAATTTGAAGCAGAATTGTAAACTGCCTGTCTGAACATTGGAGGCAAATCCCAATATGCACACAACACCCCTCAGCAAAGGCTGGCAGGCTTGTTGGTTCCAAGAGTTTAAGGAAATCTCTGTACAGTCATTAACTGCCCATTAAGATAACCAAGAAGAGATATCAGTGGTCACACATGAAAAAAAAATCATACTTTGGAGAATGAATTCAGGAAACTCACTAAAAAACAAATAGCAAAAACAAACCCTGAGAATTGAAGGGAAATCTGATTTCCATATTTGTCACATTATATAATTTAAAACATCCCATTTTTAACAAAAAATTGTGAGAAATGCAAGGAAATAAGAAAGTATGGACCGACCACACACAGGAAAAAAGGAGGCAATAGAAATTTTCCCTGAGGAAACTCAGATGGTGGAGTAACTAGACAAATACTTTAAATCAACTATTTTAAATATGCTCAAAGAACTCAAGGAAACTACGTCTAAAAAAAAACTGGAAGAAAGTATGTGAATGTCTCACCAAATGGAGAATATAAAAAAGAGGTAGAAATTATATTAAAAAAATAAATTCTAAAGCTGAAAATCATAATAACTGAAAAGAAAATTAGCTTCTGGGGCTCAACAGAACATTTTAGCTGGCACAAGAGTCTGCAAAACTGAAGACAGTTGATTTCAGATTATCTAGTCCAAGGAACAGAAAGAAAAAAAGAACAAAGAAAAATGAACAGAAACTCAAAGACCTGTAAGACACCATGAAGGATACTAACATACACATAATGAGAATTCCAAGGATGAAGAAAAAGGGGAAAAACAAATGATGGAAGAAATAATGGCCAAACTTCTAAAATTTGATGTAAACCATTAATCTGCACATCCCAGCAGCTCAAGAAACTCTAAGGAGGATAAACTCAAAGAGATACACACCCAGACACATTATAACAAAAGGGACTAAAGGCAAAGACAGAGATAATCTTGAAAGCAGCAAGAGTGAAGAGACATGTCAAGTACAAGGAATCTTCAAAGAGATTAACAGCTGGTTATATATCAGAAATCGTGGAGGCCAGAAGGCAGTGGAATGATATATTCAAAATGCTGAAAGAAAACACTGTCAATCAAGCATTTTTTCAGAAACACTATCCTTCAAAAATGAAAGAAAAATTAAAACATCCTCAGATAAATAAAAATTGAGAGAATATTTATAGCAATATTGTTTATAATATTCCCAAAATAGGAATAACTCAAATGTCCATCAACCAATGAATGGATAGGCAAAAGTGATATATCCATACAATGGAACATTATTTGGCCTGAATGAAGTACTGATATATGCTACAACCTGGTTGAACCTTGAAAGCATTATGCTAAGTGAAAGAGCCAGTCACAGAAGACCACAAATGTGATTCCAGTTATATGAAATTTCTAGAATAGGCAGATCTATGGAGACTGAAAGTAGATTAGCAGTTGCCTCAGGCTGGGGAGTTGGGTTGAGAAGAATAGGACATGATAGCTAAATGGTACAGGACTTTTTTTGGAGGTGATGAAAATGTTCTAAAATTAATTGTGATGGTTACACAACTCCATGACTACACTAAATACTATTGGATTGTATACTTTAAATGGATGAATTGTATGGCATATGAATTATATCTCAATAAAGCTATTACCAAAAAGGGGGAAAAGGACTAAAATACAAAACTCTTAGAAGGAAACATAGGCATAAATCTTTATGACCTTGGATTAGGCTATGGGTTCCAGAAACACAGCAACAAAAAAACACATAAATTGTACTTCATCATAACTAAAATCTTTTGTGCTTCAAAGGGTACCATCAAGAAAGTGAAAAAACACCCACAGAATAAAGAAAATATTTGTATGTCTCAGATGAGGAAATTATGTTCGGAATATATAAAGAATTCTTATAACTCATTAATAAAAAGACTACTCAATTTAAAATAAGCAAATGATTTAAGTAGACATTTTTCCAAAGAAGATATGCAAATATATAATAAGCACGTGAAAAGATGCTTAGTGGCATAGTCACTAGGAAAATGCAATTAAAACCAAAATGAGATACCACTTCACACCCACTAGGATAGCTATAATTTTAAAAAACAGAAGATAATAAGTGTTGGTGAGGCTATAAAATGGGAACCCTCATATATTGCTGGTAGAGAAGTGGAATGATACAACCACTTGGAAAACAGCTTGGCGATTCCTTAGAAACTTAAACATAGAGTTATTAAATGACCCAGAAATTTAACTGATAGCTATGTATGTGTCTTGGTTCACTTGTGCTGTTATAACGGAATACCACAGACTGGGTAATTTATAAAGAAAATAAGTTCATTTTTTGACAATTCTGGAGGCTGGGAAGTCTAAGCTCATGACACCAGCAGATTTGGTTATCTGGTAAGGGCTGCATCCTCTGGAGGGGAGGAACACTATGTTCTTACATCACGGAAGGCTAAAAGACAAGAGAGCCCAAGGCTGTGTGAAGCCTCTTGTATAAGAGCCTTAATCTCATTCACTAGGGAGAGGTCCTCATGGTTCATGGTCTAACCACCTCTTAAAGGCCCCATATCTTAATACTATCACATTGGCAACTCCTGCATTTTGGAGCGGACACATTCAAACCCTAGCAGTTATGTTTTGGTGTTAAAACGTACCATGACTCACATTTTAACCAGCCAGATGTTAGGGGGATAGGGGAGTTTACGAATGATATATCATGAGATCCAGAGGTCACAGCAGAAGAGTCTGGGAAGACAGAAAAGGGTGGGAAGACAGGTCAAATTAGTAGATGTATGATTAATTCAATAGTTATTCTTCTCACCATTTCAGACATTTCAGTGGGGAAAATTTAAATGTTCAACCAGTGATGTTAGAAAGATGTATGAATCAACCGGGGCTGATATGGTTGGTGAGGAAGGGTCTCCCCTGAAGGCGGGAAGCACCTTCCTGAGAAGCAGCAGATCCCTTTTTCTATGGGAACAGCCCATCCTGGTTGACCATATACTGAACTGAGCACAGTAGGAGAATTAAAAGTTAGTATGTGTTAGAAGGAAGCCCTCTATCCTCCTCTTCATATTTTCAAAGAAAGGAGAAAATGTCCACTCAGTAAGAGAGAGAAATATGGGAGGAACCTTCAAGGTTTTCTCTGTCCCTTCACTCACTTCTCCCCAAACCTGGGAAGTAATTTATTTTTGAAAGGACAGAGCATGTGTGGTCCAGTCTTCTCTAAATTTTCTTTGTTGATGAAGGTCAACTACTCCTTGCCCACCTTTCCTGAACCTTTCCAAGGTCAGCAGAGTCCTGTAGAGAAGGGGACTTTTTAGGGATACTGATAATGGCTATAGCTCAGATTGTAATCTTCAGTTAAGTCTTATCAGTAATAAAGCTGGTATTTTTATGTCAGTATGCTTGATTCTAGCATCTATTTCTTATTTGGTTTTGAGCTAAGAGGGAGAACAAAGGTTTATTACTTAATGGCCTGTAAAATTCCCCAAAACTCTTAACAATAGAAAGCCAGATCAATCAGAAGGACAGAGAACACTTGAGTTATTATCTTCTGTCGCTGCTAGAGGTAATGGGAGCTAAGAGGTGAGCAAAGGGCATAATCAGGTGCTGTTATTGGTGCTCTGTTGGGCATCACGAATATGTACAAGGCTCCAGGAAGGTTCTTTGTTCCCCCGAGAGTCATATCTCCTGGGTCAGTAAGATAGAGACTGTCATTTCTTCCGAAGAGTGATGGGGTTGTGGCATGTGACTGAAATATAAATACCAGATTCAGTTAACTTCCCTTCCACTTACTCAACACACATTTGTTGAGCACACATCAGGCACTCATTGCATTGTACAAGGTGCTGGAGATGTGAAGCTGAACATGACAGACAGAGGATCTTGTTCCTTATAGACCTTTCCATCTGCAATGGAAAGCTCTTTGCCTCCTGATACAGCATTTTGCCTCCAAAGTGCAGACTGTTTATCCCTCTTAGGCTTCAGACACCCGGGACCTGGAGGAGGAGACAATCCTCTTTGCTCCCCAAATGCTGTCTCCAGGCTTTATGACTCCTACTGTCCTTCAAAGTTCACATCAACAAACTTTCCATCTGCTGCCCCTCTGTTGCTGGCATCTATCTGTCTTGATCCTCCCCCTCAATCACTGATGACTTTCACACTGGGCCCACTCTCTTCCACGTCTACTCCTGTCTTCATTTTCTGATGACTCCAATGGCCTTGTGGATAATCCATCTGAGACAGGGTGCATCTCTAATTTCCTGAGTGTTTTCTGTGTATTTATCTCCTCTTTTTGCTCTCTCTAAAAGCCTGAAGGCAGTTTTCCTCTATCCCAGCACACAATGAAGAAGCAAAAACTCACATATGCCTCTGCTGTGAATATGAGACAAAAAGACTCTGACACAGGCTTACCTAGAAAGAGAGGGTAATGGAAATGGTTTGCAAAGAAGAGGAAAGCCTAGAAAGAACAGAGTTCTTGAAATGAAAGGGGGCGGGGCGGGGGAGGGCAAGACAGACTCACAGTGGCAAGAACCAGGAAGTGGAGTAGACAGGACTCAGTGCCGAACAAGCATCAAGCGGGAAGGAAGCTCCCACCCACTGGGGACATCCCGTTGTTTCTGGACATTTACTAATGTCCTTGATCAGAAGGTGGAGAACTTGGTCATCTTGTGTAGGGATAGAGGCATGGAGCAAAAACCACATCTCTGGCCAAGGTGGAACTGTGGAGGATCAGATTAGACTGTCCTAAGCCCTGTGCTGCAGTGACATAGCCCCACTGCCACACATTTGTACCATGGCCTCTCAGTCCCTTGACTTCTTGCCTCCAAATATCTCTTCCTTAACCCACTTCAGATACCCACTGTTATGACAACGACCTTTTCATCAACAAGGACCCAACCCTGTCTGCACCCTAATATTCTCTTTCTACCTTTCACCAATGCACGCTTTGCAACCCTCATTAACTTCCTTCTTGTCTCTCTCCTCCGCTGTACTTTGGCAAAGCCCCAATCTGGTTAAGACCAACCATCTGTCTGTGCTGTGCCTGTCCCTGAGTAGCCAAGTGTTGCTGAAGAAAAACACATGGCCCTGCTGAACAGTCTCACTATAAATCTGTAACTGCAGATCTCAAAGGGTACTCAGTACTTCCCAGGATCCTCTTACATCCCTGAAATATTTCCTCTTCCAACTCCAAGCTGGGTATGTAATACCTTCTTTCCCATCAGGTAACCTATGTACAGTTCTCCTTCCTTCACCTCACTTCATCAGACAAGACCCTCTTCAACCCTCCTTCACCAAAGTCACTGTATTACCTGCCCACACCCCACCCCGCTCCTCTCTCTGCCATCTCCTCCCAGTGGCTCTGGACCCTGTCCTCTTTCTTGTGCTCAAGAACTCTGCTTCTACAGTTCCTCTAGATTTTTCCTGCCAGCATCCAAACATGCTGTAATCTGCCATAATAAAACAACAATAACAGGTCAGGTGAGGTGACTCATGCCTGTAATCCCAGCACTTTGGGAGGCTGAGGCGGGCAGATCATTTGAGGTCAGGAGTTTGAAACCAGCCTGGCCAATATGGTGAAACCATGTCTCTACTTAAAAATACAAAAATTAGCTGGGCGTGGTGGCAGGTGCCTGTCATCCCAGCTACTCCCAGCTACTCTGGAGGCTGACAGGAGAATTGCTTTAACCTGGGGAGGCGGAGGTTGCAGTGAGCTGAGATCATGCCACTGCACTCCAGCCTGGGCGACAGAGCGAGATTCAGTCTCAAAAAATAAATAAATAAACAAAACAACAACAACATCTAATTTAGCATCATGGCACCTTTCAAATTCCCCTCTCATTCCTGTGCTCCCTTTCAAAGCACAGCATTTTGAAGGCAGTGATATAATTACTGTTTCCACTTCTTCCTGTCATACCTTGTCTTCAATCCACTCCATCCAGTTTCCGTCCATATCACACCATGGAGATCACTCTTGCCGAGGTCTCTGCTGTCCTTTATGTTGCCAACCCCAGGATCCCATCTCTGCACTTATTATTTTTAAATTTTTGATTTTTAATTTATTAGAGACAGGGTCTCACTCTATTGCCCAGTCTGGAGTGCAGTGGTGCAATCATAGCTCACTGCAACCTTGAACTCCTGGGCTTCAGTGATCCTCTCACCTCAGCCTCCCAAGTAGCTGGGACTACAGGCCTGTGCCACCACACCTGGCTAATTTTGTATTTTTTGTAGAGATGAGGTTTTGCCATGTCATCCAGGCTGGTCTCCAACTCCTGGGCTCCAGCAATCCTCCAGTCTCGGCCTCCCAAAGTCCTGGGATTACAGGCTTCAGCCACCACACCTGGTACTGCATTTAACTTACTCTCCTGCAAACAGCATTGTACACAGTGAACTACTCTATCTCCCCTTCTTCCTTTTGCTTCCAAGGCACACACTGTTTTTGTTATTCTCAGACCTTGCTCACTATACCTTGTCAGTCTTTGTTGGCCTCTCTTTTCTTCCTTTCCTTTAAACAAATGGTCCCTCCAAAAGGGCACAGTCCGAGAAGAAAACATTAGAGCTTCTATTTTTTTCTCTGAAAAAAATAAAGAATTAAGCTTTATGTAATATGTAATACACATTTTATGCTGATGCCCTTTCTTGATTAAGATTTCAGAGAACTACAAATCACATATGCCACACAGGGCATGCTGAGGGAAGAGTGGATTTTCCACAATCAGAGTGGTTACAATGGTATACTGTAGTTTCTGAGTGCACAGTTGCATGGATTTATGGATTACATATTTTTTAATTTTTTTATTGTGATAAAATATACATAATGTGGAGTACCATTTTAGGTAATTTTTTTTTTTTTTGAGATGGAGTTTCGCTCTTGTTGCCCAGGCTGGAGTGCAATGGTGCAGTCTCGGCTCACCGTAACCTCTGCCTCTCCGGTTCAAACGATTCTCCTGCCTCAGCCTCGTGAGTAGCTAGGATTACAGTCACGCACCATGGTGCCCGGCTAATATTGTATTTTTAGTAGAGACAAGGTTTCTCCATATTGGTCAGGCTGTTCTCAAACTCCCAATCTCAGGTGATCTGCCTGACTCGGCCTCCCAGAGTGCTGAGATTACAGGCATGAGCCACCGTGCCCAGCCTTTTAGGCATTTTTAAGTATACAGTTCAGTGGCATTAAGCACATTCACATTGTTGTTTGACCACACTACCATCCATCTCCAAAACTCTTTTATCTTATCCAACTGTATCAATTAAACACTAACTCTCCATTCTCCTTTCGCCCAACCCCCTGGCAACCACCATTTTACATTCTGTCTCTATGAATTTGACTACTCTAGGTACCTGTATGGTGTACAAATCATACAGTATTTGTATTTTTGTGCGACTTATTTCACTTAGCATAATGTCTTCAAGGTTCATCTATGTTGTAGTATGTGTCAGAATTTCATTTCTTTTTGAGGCTGAATGATATTCAACTTTATGTATATGCCACATTTTGTTTATCCATTCATCCATCAGTAGACATTTGGATTTCTTCCACTAATTGGTTATTGTGAATAATTGTGCTATGTAAATGGGTATACAAATATCTGTTTTAGTCCTTGCTTTAAGTTCTTTTGGGTGTAGACCCAGGAGTGGAATTGCTAGATCATTTGTTAATTCTGTGTTGAATGAAGAACTGCTATACCATTTCCTACAGCAGTTGAACCATTTTACATTCCCACCAGTAATGCATAAAGGTTCCAGTGTCTCCACATTCTCACAGTACTTCTATTTTCCTTTTCATTTTGTTTATAACAGGCATACCAATGGGTGCAAAGGGATTTCTCATTGCAGTTTTGATTTGCATTTCCCTAATGATAAGTGATGCTGGACATCTTTTCATGTGCTTGTGGCCATCTATATATCTTCTTTGAAGAAATATCCGTTCAAATCCTTAGCCCATTTTGGGGGTTGTTTTTGCTGTTGTTGTTGTAGAATTGCTCTTTATATATTCTGGATATTAATCCCTCCCTTATCAGGTATATGATTTGCCTTTTCACTTTGTTGATGGTAACCTTTAATGCACAAAAGGTTTTAATTTTGATAAATTCCAATTTACCTATTTTTCTCCTTTGTTGCCTGTACTATTGGTGTCATGTCCAAGAAATAATTGCCAAATCCCTCTGTATTTTAAGAGTTACAGTTTTAGCTATTATGTTTAGATCTTTGATTCATTTTTGAGATTGAGTCTCGCTCTGTCGCCCAGGTTGGAGTGCAGTGGGGCGATCTCAGCCCCCTGCAACCTGTGCCTCCCGGGTTCAAGTGATTCTTGTGCCTCAGTCTCCTGAGTAGCTGGGATTATGGGCGCACACCACCATGCCAGGATAACGGGATAATTTTTGTATTTTTGGTAGAGACGGGGTTTCACCATGTTGGCCAGGCTGGTCTAGAACTCCTGACCTCAGGTGATCCATCTGCCTCAATCTCCCAAAGTGCTGGGATTACATGTGTGAGCCACCATGCCCAGCTGATTCATTTTAAGCTAATATTTTATGTGATGTGAAGGAAGGGGTTAACTTTATGATTTTGCATGTAGATATCCAGTTTTCCCTGCACTATTTGTTGAAGACTGTTCTTCTCCCATTGAATGGTCTTAGCACCCTTGTGGAATATCATTTGACCATATGGTATATGAGAAGGGTTATTTCTGGCACCATTTGACAATATGGTACATGGGAAGGGTTATTTCATATACTGTAAGGTATATGAGAAGGGTTATTTCTCTCTTTTATTCCATTGGTCTATATGTCCGTCCTTATGCCAGTACCACACTGTTTTGATTACTGTAGCTTTGTAGTAAATTTTGAAATCAGGAATTGTGAGTCCTCCAACTCTGTTCTTTTTAAAGATTGTTTTGGCTATTTGAAGTCCTTTGAGATTCCACATGAATTTTAGTATGGATTTTTCTCCTTTTGCAAAAATCACTGGTGGGATTTTGATAGGGATTACATTGCCTCTGTAGATCACATTGAATAGTATTGACATCTTCATGATATTGTCTTCCAATCCATGAACACAGGATGTCTTTCCATTTATTAGTGTTGTCTTTCATTTCTTTCAGCAATGTTTTATAGTTTTTATAGTTCTTTTCCCTTGGCTTGGTTAAGTTTATTCCTAAATTTTTTATTGTTATTGATGCTATTGAAAATAGAGCTGTTTTATAAATTTCCTTTTTAGGTTTTTTATTGTTAGTATATAGAAACACAACTGATTTTCGTGTGATTATTTTGTATCCTGCAACTTTGCTGAATTTACTAGTTCTAATAGAGTGTGTGTGTGTGTGTGTGTGTGTGTGTATCTGTAATCTTTAGCCTTGCATTTACCTTTGATTTTTCCCTTTCTCTCTTGCCTATATATGCAAATAACCACCAGCTCATTTCAGTTTGTTTTGATTTCACAGTGTTTCTGATCTTTGACTCTCTTTAGTCTCCTTGCAATCCAATGTGATCAAATGACATTTGTATCCAGAATGTCTGGGATGGTGTGTGAAGAATTCATTTTCTAAAATAGTCATTTTATCTTGCTTTCCCACTCAAAACTCTAGGAGTTTCATGTAACAGTAGAGCTTCCAGTCTACTCCCCCCCTCATCTCAGAGGTAGCACTAGTAGTTAAAAGCTTAGGCTCTGGGGTCAGGAGGACCTGGTGGAGGTGGAGATGCTGCTTACTAGCTGTGTAGCCATAGTTAAGTTTCTCAGACCTGCTCATTCTTTTTTCAGCTGGAAACTGGTGATCATAATAATAACTCCCTTGTAGGGTTATTGGGAGGCTTAAATGGAATAATGAATGTAAAGCATTTAGTGAAATACTCTCTTTCCTGTCCTCTCTCCCTTTGAGGCCTTTAGCTTGACTGTTTCTCCAAAGACACAGATGAAACTGATCTCCTGCCTCCTCTTATCTGTGTTACTCTTTTGGCACTTACCACCTACTTCCTTGTACTGTTTATTATCTTTTTGTGTGTATCCGTGTTATCTTTCCTACCAAATTGTAAATTCTCCAAGGACTGAGAGATTGTCTTTTTTTTCTCTTCTTGTGTTTGTGGCATGTTGTAATACAATGACTTACGACATGGTAAAAGCTGAGTCAATATTTGCTGTTTAATTGTTTGACATAATGAAATCCTTCGGTGGCCTGATTTCCAACATCTTGAGAACTGATATTTCATTTATTTTATCTGAGTTTTTTTTTCAGTGTTTCAGACTTCCGATATTCATCTTGGTCAGAAGTATTAGTTCCCTACTTCGATTTTTAAAAGCTGACAACATTTAAAGATCACTAACAAGAAAGTATTAAAGATGTCGTTACTTCCTGGAAACCATCTGAGTATATTTCAACCTATGTCTCTATCAAAAGTGGGAAAAACGAAGATAGACCAGGGTGGCCAGATAACATACCCAGTTATATCTGAATGTCAGATAAACAACGAATGACTTTTTCATATAAGTATGTCTCATGCAATAGTTGCTTATCTGACATTCAATTTAATTAGGTATCCTGTATTTTTATTTGCTAAATCTGACAACCCTACCATGAAGCTTTAAGTTTCAGGGAAAAAGGAAAATGGGCATAAGCATTATTCTTTTGGAAATGAGACTATTCCTCTGTACTTAAAACAAAATGTTTCCGTGTCAAAAGAATACAGCTTGAGAGGTCATTATGAAACAACTTTTTACAACTATGACCTTACCTAAGATATGTGATGATAAAGCTAATGAAAGATAACATTAACTGAAATATTGACAAACAATGCTTTTGAATATGAATGAAAACATTGTTTCTGTGAAATGCAATTGTGTACCAAATCAAAGAACTGGCTGGGCTTAAAAATCTTTTCTAATGAGTACGTAAAATTGTCATAGCATTTGCATATCTCTGTCTTCCTGAAAATACTGCTGCTCGGTCTGTTGAAAGCATGACCTTGAACTTGCAGGAAATCTTGAGAAATTATCTGTGGCAAGTCCTACCACAACTGAGAAGAACATAATATAAATCAGAATTTCTTGGCTATATTTACTCAGGATGGCAATGAGAATTTTTATGTGATTGAAGAACTTTTGGACATATTATTCATTATGGCACCATCTTAGTATCTAACTTGTTTTTGAGTCATGAATAGTTTAATACATACTAATCAAAAATGAGTAATTGCAAGCAGTGTTTCTGTGGAGTCAGAGTTAACTTTGGACTTGTTACCAATGTAACCAATGATTTTCATCAATACAGCCGGTGAGTCAATTCATCACATCCTTTACCAAGTCCTTCACTTGGCCCCGGGTAGTGAAACATGGACGTCATCTTGGAAGTAGTAGCTTACTTAGAGCTGGATACTTTACTATAGCTTACTTGATTGTTTTTTTGTAGGAATCTGATGTAATACAGTCATATATCTGGCAGGAATCTGACATAATACCGTCGGTTATAACTCTGAGAGAGAGACAGGAGTCTTCATTTTTAAATTCAATAATATTTATTGAAAGCCCAATGTAGGCTAATCACTAGTTAGAGGAATGAACAAGATAAAGTCCTTGCTATCATGGAGCTTGCATTCTAGTGAGCAAATCAGACAATAAACAAATGATGCATAAACAAGGGAAATTAACCAAGTGGTAGCAGAGAAGTGCTATGCAGATGATTTAATAAGGTAGTGATGTTTTTTTAAGTTAGGTGATGTTGGGGCTCAGAAACAGATATCCCAAAATATGGTGCTTAGACATGTGGAACTGAAGACGAAGCCTCAAGGTCTCTCTGACTATCCCCCCACCTTCTGTCTCTCATCTGTTGTCTCTGTCAAAGCAAAGGATGAAGCTGTTCTCTGAAGTTCCCTTATCTGCTTAAAATTTGGGCCTGTCAAAGAAAATAATTACCTCTGTTGCCTTCCCTGAGTGTATTTCATTAACTGAACTCACAGGGCCCGAAGAAAGACTGAAGTCTGTCAACACACCTGGACAGACTTGTCACAAACCACTGTCTGTTCTGCAGGCCCAACAGACTTTGTCCCAGTCCACTGTATATTCTTCAAGACTGTTGAATTTGCCTAAAAATAATTTGCCACTCCCCTAAAATCTTTCACACTTCCCCACCTCCCTTTCCCCTAAGAGGAAGGGTATATAACCATCCATACCCCATTGTATGGTGAATTAATCACTCTGTGATTCTCCCCCATGCACATGCCTTTTCTCCTATTCATCTGACTTTTGTCCACTGGTTTTCAGGAAGCTGGGCCTTTAGAGGGTGAAGAGAAAGTTTTCTCTTGGCCCCTGCAGTGATTGGGATTGGCCTATGTAGGGTGATGAAATTTAAATGCAGGCCTGAATGAAGGGAAGAAGCCAGTCATGCAAAGATCAGGAAGCAGAGCTTTGGAGCAGAGGAAGTGTGACGGCCCCAAGACAGATGAGCTTGGTGTGCTCCTAAGGAAGACCAGTGCAGGGAGAGGAAGGCTGGAAGGAGATAAGGCTGAAGGTAGGCAGGGGCCAGGTTATATAGGATTTTAAAGAACAGGAATTTATTCTTAGTGTGATGGGAAGACACAAGGCTTTTCAATTAAATATTAAATAAACATATTTTGAAGCTGGGCATGGTGCCTCACGCATGTAATCCCAGAGCTTTGGGAGGCCAAGGTGGGAGGATTGCTTGAGCCTAGGAGTTCGAGACCAGCCTGGGTAACATACAAGATCCCATCTCTACAAAAAATTTAAAAATTAACTAAGTGTGGTGGCACTCACCTGTAGTCCCAGCTACCTGGGAGGCTGAGAGGTAAGAGAATTGCTGGAGTCCAGGAGTTTGAAATTACAGTGAGCTATGATACTGCCACTACATTCCACCCTGGGTGAAAGAGTGAAATCCCATCTCTTAAAAATAAAAAACAAGGTCCAGGTGCGGTGCCTCACGCCTGTAATCCTAGCATTTTGGGAGGCTGAGGCGGGTGGATCCCAAGGTCAGGAATTCGAAACCAGCCTGGCCAACATGGTGAAACCCCGTCTCTACTAAAAATACACAATTAGCCGGACATGGTGGTGGGAGCCTGTAGTCCTAGATACTCGGGAGGCTGAGGCAGGAGAATCCCTTGAACCCAGGAGGTGGAGGTTGCAGTGAGCTGAGATGGCACCGCTGCACTCCAGCCTGGGCAACAGAGCGAGACTCCATCTCAAAAATAAAAAAATTAAAAAATAAGTAAACAAATAAATAAACACATCGTGTATTCTTTTGAGATAAAGGGGATGTTCTAACAATGAGAAAAAAGTAGATGTTTTGAAAGAAAATTGAACAATGGATAAAGTACTTTTTTAAAATAAATCAACCTTAAGACCAACCTTCTAATTATTGTATTACAAAGTATTCATTAAACAGGATTTTCCCAAAAAGTGAAGAATATTACTATCATTTTTTAAAGACTGACATGGTTAAAAAATGATGTGTTAATTTTGAAATCTGATTTAACACTTTGTGATAAAGTAAAGGTCTGAGTCCAATTCCAATTTATTTAGATGCCTAGTTTTAGTGGCTGTCGTAGGGAAGAAATATTTCTTGCAAAGAGGCCTAGATCCCAGTGAAAGAAGTGTATGGCTGGCTCTGCCACTAAGCCATAGACTCGTTTTTCAGTTCCGTTCAGCAACCCTGCAAAGGTTTTCGCTAAAATTTAGCTTAGTTATTTTCCATCCTCCCTGATGTCAAATAATTGTTCTTCTCATGGACATAGAGAATAGAAGGATGGTTACCAGAGCCTGGGAAGGGTAGTGGGGTGTTGGGGTGGGTTGGGAATGTTTAACGGGTACCAAAAAAATAAAAAGAATGAATAAGACCTACTATTTGATAGCATAATAGGATGGCTATAGTCAATAGTAACTTAATTGTCTATTTTAAAATAACTTAAAGAGTATAATTGGATTGTTTGTAACTCAAAGGATAAAGGCTTGAGGGGTGGGTACCCCATTCCCCATGACGTGTTTATTTCACATGGCATGGTTGATATGCATGCCATATCAAAACATCTCAAGTATCCCATAAATATAAACACCTACTATGTATCCACAAAAATTAAAAATAAGAAAAAAATTTTAAAAATTGTTTTTGAAAGCTAGTTGAAAAGTGAGAATTTCTTATATTTTGAATAAATGGATTTTAATTTTACTGAAAATCTTCATTGGGAAGATTTTAAACAAGTTGTTGGGGACCCAAATATGAGATTGTTTATTGGTGGCATATATCATTTTTGACAAATAAAAAAATCTTATGATGATGGAAATACTTTCAAACATCTGTTTCCATGCTCTCACTATAGTATGAGCTTCTTTGTCATTCATTGTTAAAATATTTCTTATCTTAGCAAAATTCTGTAAGTGCAATTAAACTTTTTAAGAAAATGCCAGGTAGCGTATTATTGACAACTATTTGCCATCAAAAAGAGGTCAGAAAATTTGCCCCAAGGCAAAGTGCTGTCAGAGTACACCCACAGGAGCTGGTGGAAGTCAGCGTGGGAATGGTCACTTGGCTGAGGCTAGTTTCTGTATGAAATGGAGAAGGATTAAAAAGATGCTCGGGGGTCACTAAAACAAGATATGATGTACTAGAGTGAAAAGTTTAGCCTTTGAGCAATTGGTGTCTAGGCAACAGCTTAAGGACCCACTCAGTGACAAAAAGCTGATTTTGTCATTTCACGCTAAAACAATCTTTTAAAAACCCAATCAACAACAGAGAAAACCAACAAACAAATAAACAAAATAACGCTTTATCTCTAAGTTCCCCTCCATCGCTAATATAACAGGCAGTAGGTCATAGAATGTTTTTTAGTGTGCCTCTAAATAAACCCTTAACACTGACTTTTGCAACTTCTTTTTCTCCTTATATTTGCTTTCAACATTTATTTCAGTATGACTTCATCTGGATAGAAATGGATTTCACCTGGATTTCATCTTTAGGTGAATAACTCAATTCTGCAGCCCATAGTGATAGCCCTAATGCCAGGGGGCGACAGTGGAAATAATGACCAGGCTTGGGAGAGCAGTAAAGAGAAAGAACAAGTAGCAGATCTTGCCAGGCCACTGTGACATCTTCATTCTCCTCCAGCTCTAATTTGAAATAGTGGCATCATTATAATCGATTCAGGGAAATGTGGTCTCCGTGGGTACTTAGGAGCAGGAAAAAGGGAAAACGAACTAAGCCAAGAGAAATAAAATGTGGTTGTTTTTCTGTACCACAGATACCTTGATTTAAAAACTCTATTTTGCTTCCATTGATAGAATTTTTTACCAAGTTACAAGTCAGAAGTAATCAAATATCCTTAAACTTCAGAATATGATGGACCAAAATTTTCACCAAAGTTATTCTTATCATTGCCTGCTACTGATAATATATTGTACTGATCATTTTGTTTTTTGTGGATTAGTTATTCACAACTCTGGTACTTTATCAAGTTCAGTGTATCAAGCTCTCAAAAGAGATAATTTGTGATTTGATATGTTTACCAGTTATTATCATTTCACAGTTATAAAATTAACAAATGGCAAAGCAGTAACCAAAACAAGAGACAAAAAATCCAATTTTAGAAGGAGGTAGAAGGCTGGGTGCGGTGGCTCACACGTGTAATCCTAGCACTTTGGGAGGCTAAGACGGATGGGTCACGAGGTCAGGAGTTCAAGACCAGCCTGGCCAAGATGCTGAAACCCCGTCTCTACTAAAGATACAAAAATTAGCCGGGTGTGTTGGTATGCTGCCTGTAATCCCAGCTACTCAGGAGGGTGAGGCAGGATAATTGCTTGAACCCGGGTGGCAGAGTTTGCAATGAGCCAAGATCACGCCACTGCACTCTAGCCTGGGCAACAGAGCAAGACCCTGTCTCAAAAAAAAAAAAAAAAAAAAAAAAAAAAGGAGGAAGTAGAGATCTAAGTATATGAGTTAATCATATTAAATTAACAAAAAAAGCAGAGCTGAAATACATGCTTAGAAAGCCAGTGACCACAATATACTATGTACTAAAAGCAATGTAAAGGCCACCACAAACAAAGGCTACATAGGCATTAAAAAAGTTCAATTCTATTTTTCTGCCTCATGTGCAAATATATGAAAGAAAAGGGTAAAAGGGAGGGAATCTTTTTAAAGCATCTAAAAATTATAGTAAATGGAAAAGCAACAGGTTAATGGTGACTTGTACAATTTTCTCTTTTATAAGCATGATTTCTCCTTAAATTTAAAGGTTTAGGTTCGAATTAGTGTCTTTTAACTTGAAGCTATTGAAATGGTAACAACAACAACAAAAAATATGTTCACACAAGATCATTCCTTTAGAATGTTAAAAATATCCTTGGCCTATAAAAATGTTGTTTGCCCCCTGGTGGTGAAATTATTATTATTTAATTTTTTTTAAGTTAAAAGACTTTAATTATGGAGTCTTGGCACTAAACACCCTTCTGTCACAAGCAAAAATAATACAGCATTACATATTTATATATTAGAAGTGGAGAGAGATGAAGCTGGATTGCTGTACGGATTAGCAAAATGAGAATGATTCAATAGTCATATTTAGGAAAGCAAATTTAAATTTCCCATATCTTACCATTTGGAACTAAGTTTTCCTTAATCTATCTCTGTTTGTTTCTGTGTTGGTCATATTGCTAGTTCAGTACTGTAAAGAATGCTGCCTCCTTTTAGTAAATGTAATAACGTATTTATGAGGCATGGAATTTCTATACATAAACTAGACCTTTGCTGGGACCTGTTGATCGTGGTGAAAAGCAACTTTGTACTGTTTTGCCTTGTGTTCCAATTTGGCATCACAAACAATATTAGGGCTCAGCGGCAGAATGCCAAAATCGAGCTGTAAGGCCTGAAAGACTAGATGATGAAGAGGTCTGCAAAAATTTCCTTTTGCAAACTAATTGGAGACTTTGTATATGAGGAAAATGCAATGATTGCTGTGTTCAGGCTGAATTGAGGAGAGTAGAAGAGAATATCTGGGTTGGTTAAAGGAACAAGGACAAAAACTAATTTTGAAATGTTCAAGAGATTTAAGTGAGTTACTAGACAACTTTGAAAAATTAATGATAATCCTGGAACTGTAGATGTTAGAAGAAAGAAATTTTAACATGGATTTTATTGTGACACATTAAAGTCCGGGGAAAGCAGAAAACCTCACTGTCTGAAAATACAGAGCTAAACCAAAGGAAAATGATGACAGCGGCCAACTCTTTAGTGGCTAAATCACTGCATGTGAATATTTTCCCTTCCTTTTGTTCAACTGAGTGCCTGCTCTTAATACAGCATCTACTGTTTAATCTTAAGCTGAATTTAGCAGGGAAATAATGAATAATATGTTTTTATAAAGCTGGAGCAAAAAAAAAAAATTAAATTGACTTTTACAACCAGTCATTTTTTGGTAAAAATAAAACAAAACTTGTCTCCCACCATCCTGGGCAAACAAGTGATTGGATACATTTTTGATGAAGTAGGCAATTACAGCCCAAGCTTGATAATAAATGCCTGTTTTTTTTTTTTTGTTTTGTTTTGTTTTTTTTTTTTTTTTTGAGACAGGGTCTCGCTCTGTCACCCAGGCTGGAGAGTGCAATGGCAAGATCTCAGCTCACGGCGACCTCCGCCTCCCAGATTAAAGTGATTCTCCTGCCTCAGTCTCCTGAGTAGCTGGGACTACAGGCGCATGCCACCACACCCGACTAATTTTTGTATTTTTTTTTTAGTAGAGACAGGGTTTCACCACGTTTGCCAGGCTGGTCTTGAACTCCTGATCTCATGATCCGCCCATCTCGGCCTCCCAAAGTGCTGAGATTACAGGCATGAGCCACCGCACCCAGCAACAAATGCTTTTAAAGACAACATCTAAACATTTAAAAACAGATAAGAGTTATTTATAGAAACCTTAATACAGTATAGATGGAGACTTCCCATAAAATGACAATAACATTTAAACAGCAATTACTATATACCAGACACTAATTATTCCACTTCATTCCCACAAGAACCTTATGATTTGGGGAGTAGTCTGATCCTAATTTTAGAGATGTGGAAACTGAAACTCGGAGATCACCCTAAGTGGTAGAGCCGGGGTGCAAATGTAATCAATCTGGCTCTAGAATCTGTGCTCCTCTTCACCAGGAGATTATTTAAGTAAATAGTACATTATTCAGGGAAGTGAAAACCATAGTGTCAACATATTAGAAATATATTTATTATTTATAACATGAAGAGCATCTATATTTATTTATGAAGACCTTCAAAATGATTAAAATTCAATACTGCAATACAAAAGGGATTATTTTCTAAGGAGGTGCTCCGCCAAAACAATATTTTTCTAACCTTTGTCGACTCAATGTAAGTTTGTGAATGGTGTTTGGATAAATACGTTACTGAGTGAAGATAACGTTCCATTAAAGAACAATGGTATCTTAGAATTTCAAGCTCATATATTTGAGAAACAGCCATATAGGAGCCAATGAGACTATTTTAAGATGTAACGAGGGCCAGAATTTTTAAAATCATGGGGTAAACAGGCCACTAATGATGATTTAAGGAGACATTTGGACTTTGACTATAACACATCGATGTTATATAGTCAATTTTGTTTGATATAGTTAAATTTGATCTTACCCAAAAGCGAAGGATAGACTACCAGATGGTTTATTTAAACCTCTTTGAGTCCTACTGGTCTATTAAATTACCAGTATTCTTTCACCTTTTTCTCCGGAAAGTGGTGGTCATTATGATGTTGAAGTTCTCATGCAACAAGATCAAAACTCCCATCAACCTCTATGTGAGTGACCCACCCAATACTCTGGATTCTCCCTCCTCTCCTCATTGCCAATGGCATATTCTTCCAATGCATCTCAGCCATACATGATCATAGCCACACCTTGAACTGTGGCAGTACCAGAACCTACAAAATGATGACATAAAAAAAATTATGCATGAGCTGATATGCTCCCAGCTCACCTGCATAAGCACCATGATAAAAACAACTAGATGTCTTCATTGGAATCTTCACTTGAATTTATCCTGTAGTTATTTGTGTAACTCCTTATGTTGAACACATAGCTCATTAATTTTCTGCCTTCTTTCCTTAAGACATTTAAGGCTACAAATGTTCTTTTTTTTTTTTTTCCCAAGACAGAGTCTCGCTCTGTGGCCCAGGCTGGAGTGCAGTGGTGCAATCTCACCTCACTGCAATGTCCATCTCCCAGGTTCAAACAATTCTCGTGACTCAGCCTCCAAAGTAGCTAGGATTTCAGGCGCACGCCATCATGCCCAGCTAATTTTTTTTGGTAATTTTGGTAAAGATGGGGTTTTGCCATGCTGGCCAGGCTGGTCTCAAACTCCTGATCTCAAGTGATCTGCCCACCTCAGCCTCCCAAAGTGCTAGGATTACAGGCGTGAGCCACAGTGCCGTGCCACAGATGTTCTTTGAAGTTACTGCCTTCACTACATCCCACAAGCTTTGCTGCAGTTTGGCGATGATATACTTAGATTTGCTTTGCTTTGTTGCATTTATCCATTTTGGGGTTTGTTGAGTGTATTGTATTTGTGAGTGGTTGTTTTTTTCTTTCTGTTTTAACAGCCTTAGTGAGATACAATTGACGTACTACACAATTCACCTATTTAAAGTATATTTAAGTCAGTGTTTTTTTAGTATTTAATATACTAAACCGGGTTATACAATCATTGCCATAATCCAATTTTAGAACATTTTCACATCCCCTAAAAGAAATCTTACAGTCATTAGCAGTTAATCTGTAACCTTATCTACTCCCTATCCCTAAGTAACTACTAACCTACTTTCTGTCTTTGTAAGTTTGCCTATTCTGGACATATCATATAACTGGAATTATACAATAGGTGATTTTTTTGTGACTGGCTTCTTTCACATGGCATGTTTTCAAAACTCATCGATGTCACAGCATATATCCACACTTCATTTCATTATATTGCAGAATAATATTCCACTGCATAGATATACCACACTTTGTTTATTCCTTCTTCAGTTGATGAGCATTTGGGTTGTTTACAAACTTTTTGATTATTGTGAATAATGCTGCTATGAACATTTTTGTACAAGTTTTTGTGTGGCCATATGTTTCTTTTCTCTAGAAGTGGAATTGTTGGGTAATATAGTAACTCTACATTTAGCTTTTGGAGGAACTGCCAAATTGTTTTCCTAAGGGGCTCCATCATTTTGAGTTCCTAGCGGTAATGTGAGAGGGTTCCAATTTCTCCACATGTTCAACACTTTTTCTTGTCTATCTTTTTGATTATAGCCATCCTACTTGGTGAGAAGTAGCATGTCATTGTAGTCTTGATCTGCATTTCCCTGATGACTACAGATGTTGAGCATCTTTTCATGTGATTATTGGTCATTTCCATATTTTTGAAGAAATGTCTATTCAACTTGTTTGCCCATTAACAAAAAAAGGGGGGTTGTTTTAGTTGTTGAGTTGTAAGAATCTTTGACAAATTCTGGATCTAAGTACCCTATCAAGTATGTGGTTTACAAATATTGTCTCCTATTCTCTTGTCTTTTTACTTTGTTGATAATATTGTTTGCAGCATACGTTTAATTTCTGTGCAGTCCAATTTATCTATTTTTTTTCTTCTGTCATTTATGTTTCTGTGTCATATATAAGAAACCACTGGCTAACCCAAGGTCACTAAGATTTACTCCCTTTTTTTCTTACAAGAGTTTGGTAGCATTAACTCATACATTGAGGTCTAGGATTCATTTTGAGATATTTTTTTCATCTGTGGTTTTATGTCTTTCATTACTTTTGTAAAATTCTTGGCTATTATATCTTCAAATATTGCTTCTGCTTCATTCTCTGTCTCCTCTTTTTCTAAGGCTCCAGTTATACCTATCCTGGGTTTATTCATTGTACACATGCCTATTAAGCTGTGTTCTATTTTTTCCATTTGTTTTTCTCTCTGTGCTTGAGTTTAGGTATTTTTTCTTGCTCAGTCTCCAAATTCACTAACCCTCTGTTCTGCTGTGTCCAGGTTGCTATTAAACTGATCCATTGCAATATTCCTTTCAGAAATTACATTTTTCAGTTAAATATTTTCCATTGATTCTTTTTTATGGATTTTAATACTCTTAAAATTCTGCATATTTTAATCCATCTTGTTCATGTTTTCTTCTATTTTATAACCTATGGCTTTATTTCATAATAGTTATTTTAAAGTTCTTATCTAAACTTCAATAGTTGGCTTATCTGTGGATCTTCTATTATTTTTTTTTTCTTGATTGTTGGTCAAATTTTCCTGCTCTTCTCACACCTCATAATTTTTTTTTACAAATGTTAGACTTTTATATTAAAGATCTATAGACAATATAGATGATGTTATTTTCTTCTAGGGATAAACATAGACAAATAGGATGATGTTCTGATTATCTCTGTCTAATCAAGGATGAGCTGGGTTGGGATTGGGGTGCGGTTTCAGTAAGATAGTTCTCTTGTGGTTTCTCTCTCTTCTTCATGTGTGATTCCTCTGGGCTTTTGATCAAGAGCCTGGACAGCTGCTGTTTCCTCTGCTCTGAGATTCAGTTCTGCCTTTGAGAGGTTTTAAACGTAGATCTTCAGCCTCCTTCTCATACAACTTCAAAAATAGTGTAAATGTCTTGAAGGGGGAGAATGCTTGTGTATTTGAGGCAGGATCCTTCTAAGCAGAATTAGCTTTCTATGCAGTAGAATATGGGGTAATTTTACTCTGCCTATCACGCCCAGCTGCTCAGCCTCCTGCACCACCCCAGAACTCAGCGAATGTCCTGTGGGAAAACTGGCTATATGTTTGGGGCTCCTCTATATTTCCAATCCATTTCACAGCTCACATGATGGTTAAACATCTCACTGGTTTCTCTTTTTCTGTGTAAACTCCCTCTGCCCAGGCCAAGCTGGATGAGTCTATGCCCAGAATTAGTACATGTCACCAGGGAAGAAAACAGTGGATACTGTCACTCCCTTAGTTCAGACCTCAGCAAAAGATTTATTCAATTGCACTGTAATTTTTGGGACAATGACTGAATAGGTAAAGAGGCCAAGCTAGAAGTCTAAATATGAATATCACTGTGGTCTTTGCAGGAACCTGGACAAGCAAGAAGATCATCTCAGGGTGGACAAGTGTCATTGGAGCTGGGCAGCATGAATTTTTGAGTAATACCTTATGTCCATGAGAAGTATTATTAATAGAATCCAATTCTGTTTCAGCATGGCCTTAGAAAGAGGATGGGCTATCTTTAGATGGAGTAAGTCCCCGAGGTTCTCAGACAACATAAAGGTAAAACTCAAAAGGGAAATACTAGGCTGTCTGCTACAAGATCGGGGTAAGAATCCCAGATTTGTGGCAATATGGCACCAGTTTCAAAGGTTTTATTGCACTTAATCTAATGATCAAATTAGGAGAAAAGATGAATGTTACTATAATATGTAAAAGTAGTGCTTAAGATCATTAATTTCATCTTATTTCGATGTTTTGTTCATTGAATAAACAGTAACCTAATTTAGGGACTTGGTAAAGATGACGTTCACTTTAAGAAAACTGATATAACCAAAAATAAACTAGGCTGGGGGTGGTGGCTCATGCCTGTAATCCCAGCAGTTTGGGAGGCTGAGGTGGGTAGATCACATCATGTGAGGTCAGGAGTTTGAGACCAATCTGGCCTACACGGTGAAACCCCGTCTCTACTAAAAATACAAAAAATTAGCCAGGCATGGTGGCAGGAGTCTGTAATCCTAGCTACTCGGGAGGCTGAGCCAGGAGAATTGCTTGAACGTGGGAGGCAGAGGTTGCAGTGAGCCGAGATGGTGTCATTGCACTCCAGCCTGTGCAACAAGAGCAAAACTCCGTCTCTAAATAAATAAATAAATAAACTAAAAATCTGTGGTAGGGGGAATGGTGGTAGGGAGGTAGTCACAGGATTCAGTTCAACTAATTGAGTGCTCTCATGTGCTATGCATTGTGCTAAGCACACAATAATAAAGTCCACACAAGAGAATTGTGGTGGAGAAAATAACTTGAAAAGAGCTTGAACAGAAGCAATGCAAGACTAGAAGGTGAGACATTGTTATGGGAGAGGAGGTTTTTAGCCTGTCTTTTAAAACAGAAACATCTCAATTGAGGTCTGTTTTCAAAGGAACCCCAACTGGAGGTGGGCTAAGGTGGATAAACTACATTTCTCCTCCAACTATGATTGAGTCACCATTATTAACTGTTAATTCTACCAGGTCATTTTATGGTATTATGCCTGTAAATCTTAATTCATAATTAGAAGTATACTTTTTGTTTTGGTTTCAATTCCTTTTCTGCTCTACCTCTCTCTACTTACTAGATTTGCCCCTTTTAGAACCTGGTTCAACTTGTCCTGTCTTCTTTGCTGATGGACTAATTAAATGCATGGAAGCCATAATCAATTAATCAGGCTTCAAATATGCTTTTAGTGTTCGATAGCTAGGGGAGAGGAAGACAGTAGCTATTTCAGGGGAAGTCCACGTGGGGCGTTCCAGATGGACGCGAGATGGCTATAACCGTCCCTGTCTCTCAGCCCATGTGGGCGCAGGTACAGCTGCTCCGTGCGCGCCAGTGATTGAGAGGCATTTCACCCAGGCCCAGATCTGGGGCGCCAGGCGTCCAGGCTTCCGGCCACGCCCCCTTCCCGCGGTTGCTAGGAGACATGATGTCACCGGAAGCGAGGCCTGGGATAGGCTGAGGCGAAGGGAAGCCTCACCCACTGTGCAGCCCAGGCGCCGGGCGCTGCCTCTACAGCTGTGTGTAGGCCTGGGGGCGAGGGTCTTCGGAACGTAGCGCTGGCTGCGGCCCCGCCCGCCTACCCACCCGCCCGTCCGGCAGCCGGCTCCCGCCGCCTCCGCGCTCTGTCTGGGGCCAGCCACCTGGCGGGCCGCTCCGGTGCGCCTGCCCGCGCTTTTCACTGACAGGCGCTGTTCCCCACAGCCAGCGCCGCCCGCCACGTCCCAGCTCTCGGCCAACGGAGCTGCGCGGCGGGTGACCTTTCCGAGCCCAGCGCGATGACGGCTCCTTGCTCCCAGCCGGCGCAGCTTCCTGGACGCCGCCAGCTCGGGCTGGTGCCGTTCCCGCCGCCGCCGCCGCGGACGCCGCTGCTGTGGCTGCTGCTGCTGCTGCTGGCCGCCGTGGCGCCGGCGCGCGGCTGGGAGAGCGGAGACCTGGAGTTGTTTGACTTAGTGGAGGAGGTGCAGCTCAACTTCTACCAGTTCCTCGGGGTGCAGCAGGTAAGCAAGGAGGCGCGCGGGGCCGGGCGGAGAGGGGCCAGGGCAGGCGTCAGGCGACCCGGTTCCTCAGAGACAGCCGGACACGTAGGGCAGGGCTTGGTCACCCCGGGCTCTGGCTGCCCTCAGCTCGGGTCACCGGGGTCCTCAGCCTTGGAAGGACGTGTCCGTCTTCCCCAGATCTTTACTCCTGCTTCAACTTTTCTAGTCCCAGCCCCAGTGACAGGCTGGACGGCGCCACTAGCCTAGGGTGGCGATGCCTTCTCTCTGCTCCGGCGTTCTGGGGAAGAGCCTTCCCCCTCCAGCTGTGCTGGAGGAAGAACGAAGAGTGGTGTGGGTAGACTTTTTTTTTTTTTTAATTTAACACCTACCTTTTGCCTTCCTGTCCCCCTGAATGTGAGAAAGAGCAGCCGCTTCTCACCCTAAACTGTCATCTTCCACCGATACTTACCTCATCCTTATTCTTATTTCAGCTGCCTCCCCTCCTCTTCCCTTCTGGGAAAGTAGGAATGCACTGTGGCCAGTGTCTGTGTTGCAAAAGTTTTTCTTACTTTGTACTTCGTCATCTTTTTAGCCTGTTAGGTAGATGTTTGTTTCGCTTTCGCAGTTTAGAAATCTGGAGGAATTTGAAGCGTCTAACCAGGTTGGAGGTGTTAAGTTTTTTGAGCAGCAAAGGACTTGGGATGCGATTGGAAGAGAAGCCCCCGGTCAGTAATGTAGGAATGGGTTTTTTTTTCCCCTTTTCCTTTTGTTTCATTTCGTTTTCTTCTATAGCTTAAGACATTAACTTGTAAAATCCATTTGTTGCTTTTTAGTTCTACCATTGAGGGTGGTTGAGTGAGGGTAGATATCCAGTCTCTACCTGAAGCCTTGTGCGAAGGAGAAGATAACATTTCGCTGATTTCAGGCTTATGGGGTGAAAAATGTACACTTCACACGATCTGATTGAGCCCTTCGTACAATGCTTTGAATAGTTATGGGAGTAAAAAATTAATGTTTACGATAGTTGCCATTCAAGGCACACTTCACATGACTAGATATGAAATGCACATCCCCTTCCCCCATAGGTTATCATAAATGTGGGTGAACTATTGAACTTTTACTGAATTTTAATTTTCAGACATTGCATTTTCATTCCATCAGTGAATATAAAATTGCTGGGTTGCCAGGGTACCATGAGTGAAACAATTTTTTATTTTTGTAAGAGTTATAAAGTATAGGCATTTCACACTTCAGATTCATATGTGCAAGCAACTTTGTAATAACTATATTTATGATCTGTTGCCTGGTGCCCCTCCCTGCTTATAGATACACTATATATCTCATTTTCAAAGCAAATGATGGAGTATGTGTAAAAATAATTAGTGAAGCTCTGATGACTTTTAAGAACTACTTTAATACTGGGAATAATTAGAATTTATCATTGATTACATTCTGTACGTAAAGAGAGTCTTAAACATAATCTATCCAGAAATCTTGAAGATCCAGTTATTCATGAAAAATTAAGTGCCTTTAAGAGAACAGAAATTTAGTAGCAGTTTAAAATTTAGATCATGTAATCTAGCTTTGCATGTGAACACTCATAGAATTTTCATTTATAATTTCATGTAACTTGATTTGCATAGTTAATTAGGCAGTGTGAACAACCAGAGCACTTGACTCTCTGGGCAAAGATGAGAAAATAAAGAAGCATAGATAATCAAGAAGATTCTTTGTCAAGGTAGAATCCGAAAAGAAGGATCCAGAAAATTGTTTTAACCTGTGTTTCTCTATCCAGCTGTATTAAAATTGGAAAGAATGCCAGGAGGAATTTTATTCTGTCCAAGCAGAGAAACTGAATGGAACAAGTTTTTTTCTTTACATTGAATCTTAACTTTGTTAGATGACTTTCAGGGACCAGAAATTTGGTGGAGACAAATGCAACCTGTCCAGGGTCTTTCATGTGTAGTTTTCAAGCCAGAGCCATTTGGTGACTAGCCAAACATGAGGGACCAGAACAAAGTAGGTAGGCTGCTGAAAGTGGTGACCTGGCTCTGTGCACTAATCTCTTCTTGTTCACGCAACAGAGATTTGTTTGGTGCCTATTGGATTTTAAGCATTGGGAGTTGACCTTTATATAAAACAAAACCCCTAAGCTTATAATTCAGTAGGGAGAAACAGACAGTAAACAGCCAAGTAAGTAAATATAAATGTTATATGGTCAGAGCAGGCCTCTGAGAGAAGTTAGGGAGTAAGCCATGTGGGTAATTGTTGTGTTGTAGGCCATTTGGGCTGCCATAGCAAAATGCCATGAACTGGACAGCTTTTCAACAGGAGAACTTGATTTCTCACAATTCTGGAGGCTGGGAAATCCAAGATTAAGGCACCGGCAGATTCTGTGTCTGGTGAGGGCCTTCTGGTCATAGATGGCACCTTCTTGCTGTGTCCTCACATGGTGGTACGGGCAGGGCAGCTCTCTGGGGCTTCTTTTATAAGGACACTAATCTCATCCATTAGGACTCCACCTTCGTGATATAATCACCTCACAGAGGCCCCACCTTGTATTACTGTCACAATGGGGATTAGATTTCAACATAAGAATTTCGAAGGACAAAAACATTCAGACCATAGCATGGTAGAAGGACATTCAAGGAAGAGCAGACAGTAAGCACAAAGGCCAGGAGGCAAGAGCTTGCTTAGCGTTTGAGGAATAGCAAGGCAGGCAGTGTGGCTGGAGCAGAGTGATCAAGGAAAACAGTAATGGGAGAACAGCAATAGGAGACAAGATCTGAGTCATAGGTGGTAAGGGAAGACCATGTAGGGCTTTGTAGGCCATTGTAAGGACTTCGGCTTTTACTTATAAGTAAGTTGGGGGAGGTGGTGTTTGAACAGAAAAGATACATGATTTGACTTGAATTTCAAAATGATCTCTTTAGTGTACTGAGTATAGTCTGTGAGGCATTAGTTACTTAGAGGGATAATTGTGGTATAGATTGGACCTGGGTGGTAGCAGTGGAGGTGGTGCAAAATGGTCAGATTCTGGATTGAATTTCAACATGGAGCAAACAGAATTTTACTGATGGCTTGAATGTGGTATGCGAGAGAAAAAGAGAAACTGAAGATAATTCTAAAGATTTTTGGCTTCAGTAACTGGAAGGATGCAATTGCCATTTGTTGAGATGGAGAAACCTGGACTAGGAGCCTGGTTTGGAGAACATCAGGAATTTGGTTTACGGACATGCTAAATTTGGGGTGTCTGTTAAACGTTGAAGTTGAGCTGGTATGTAGGCAATTGGTTATTCAGGTGTAGAGTTACAAGAAGAAAGTTTAGGGCTGTAGATAGGAATTTGGGAGTCCGAGGCACTTAGAGAGTAACTTGAAGCCACAAAACTGGATGAGTTCACCAAGGGAGTGAACGTAAAAGAGAAGAGAAGAGATCTGGGAGCTAATAAGCCTTGGGGATTCCAGACTTTAAGAGTCAAGGAGCCGGGTGTGGTGGCTCACGCCTGTAATCCCAGCACTTTGGGAGGCTGAGGCGGGTGGATCACGAGGTCAGGAGTTCAAGACCAGCCTGGCCAACATGGTAAAACCCCGTTTCTACTAAAAAGATAAAAATTAGCCAGGCGTGGTGGCAGGCGCCTGGAATCCCAGCTACTCGGGAGGCTGAGGTAGAGAACTGCTTGAACCCGGGAGGCGGAGGTTGCAGTGAGCCAAGATTGTGCCACTGCACTCCAGCCTGGGCGACAGAGCGAGACTCCGTCTCAAAAAAAAAAAAAAAAAAAAAAGAGTCAAGAAGATGGAGGGGAATCAACAAAGAAGATAGAGCAGGAACGACCAGTAAGGTAGGAGGCAAACCAATACAAGGTTCTCTTCAGTCAAGTGAAAAAAGTGTTTCAAAGACAAAGGGATCAGCTGGGTTAAATGATGATGATGATTCAAATAAGATGAGCTTTGAGACTTCACCGTTGGAATTAACCGTATGGCGGTCACAGGCTACCTCAGTAAGAACTGTTTTGGTGAAGTGGTGAGTTCAGTAGTCTGGGTAGATTGGGTTCAGGAGAGAATGAAAGGGAAGAATTGGAGACAATTAATATAGAACATTCTTTTGAGATATCCATATCCTAAACTAGAAGGCAGAGATGGTAGTGACTGTCTGTGGCATCTTCTTTATCCCCTTATCCACCAGGTATAAGATAACTCAGTTACTCTCTAAGCTCTATAATCTGAATAACAGATGACTTAGAACTTGGACCAGACCACCTTATGACCTTGGACAAGTTAGTTGCCTCATTTTTAGGACAGATGGTAGCTTTTTATTTTCTTCATAGTAAGGCACATAGTAAACACCTAAATATTTATTGAATCAAACATTATAAACATTGTAACTAAATGCAAACTGTAATTCCCCAAACAAGTAGTTGCTTGACAGTTTTTACTCAACAGATTTTACTTCTATGTAATCTTTCACAGCCTTCAGGCAGCAGAAGAATCTTCTTCCATGTATCCTTAGATTTCACGTCCATTCTAGAAGTCTAGAAAGGGGTTGCAGAAGTCTTTGTTGGGGGGTATATACAGATGATTTATTAGTCATTCATACCATGTTTAGAATGACTTTAATAATAGGGCACTCCAATTTGGATATTGCATCTTTTCAGAGGAGATGGGGGGAAGATGAGAGAGGAGTGTAGGAAAAAAGATGTGCTATTGAAAGATCTTTCGTTACCATCTTAAATTATAGGTTCCTGCACAGTATTTATATTTTGTGTAACAGCACCTGCTTCTCAGACACCTGTACTTCTTGTGGGGTCAGTGGCAATTCTGTATTTCTTTTTTTTTTTTTTTTTTTTGAGATGGAGTCTTGCTCTGTCGCCCAGGCTGGAGTGCAGTGGCGCGATCTTGGCTCATTGCAACCTCTGCCTCCTGGGTTCACGCGATTCTCCTGCCTCAGCCTCCCGAGTAGCTGGGATTACAGGCACCTGCCACCATGCCTGGCTAATTTTGTATTTTTAGTAGAGATGGGGTTTCGCCATGTTGGTCAGGCCGATCTTGCACTCCTGACCTCAGGTGATCCACCCACCTCGGCCTCCCAAAGTGTTGGGATTACAGGCGTGAACCACTGCGCCCAGCCTCTATATTTCTTTTAATTGTCTTTTGGGACCATGACTTTCCTTATCCTTTGTATACAGTAATTCTAGCCAACAGTAAACACTTCATATTCATTTAAAAAAATCTGTGAATTGAAATAATGACAAGCTAAATTATCTTAAATTTTGTAGTATTTACTTTATGCTGAAGTCAAGATTTGTCTTCATGGTGCCAGTCAGTCATTACAGACTTCTATTTATGTAGCTAGAAAATGTGCTTCATTCTCTTTCTCTCGTGTTTTATAACTAAATCCTTATATTCAAATGAATGCTGAAACTTGGTTAACAGAAGAAAAGCAGAAGAACAGGGATGTGCTTATAAAATATTTGGATTTTAATTTTTAGATAGGAATTAATAAACCTTTTAAGCTCATTCGGCCTGTATTTTCAAATGTACAGATTAGCTAGCCTGTTTAGAGGAGGGACAATTATTGCCCATTCATCCGTGCCCCATGGTTGGGAGGAACTTCCCTAAAAAAACACCACTGATCACTAGACCCATCTCTAACATCTTACCATGGCGGTGTGAGTTACCTTACTGGAGGGTGATTGCCTTTGCTCTGTTTTGCTTGATTAGGAAGAGCTGATCAGTCAGAAAGCTATGAGTAGTGGGAATCAGTCTCTTTGCACCTCTCTGCCCAGACCAGTAAGGCAATTATCCTAACCAGACTTACCCTTGAGCATACTGTCTCAAAGTCTAGAATGTAGAGGAGAGGGCACAAATTGCTAGCAAGCCCATTTGGCCATCACATTTAACCTGTATTCTTCAATAGCTGTATCAGTTATAAAGGTTCATCTCTTGTCTGCCCGACTCCTGTGTCCACTCAGTTTTTTGGATGGGAAAAACCAGTTAATGGGGCCTCCCTAAAGCCCATCACAGTCCTTTTTAGAAATGAAGATGATGATTTCATTCATGAATGATGGTGAATTTGTACTGTGATTATCAATTTTGTCCAGTGATTCTTGCAGTGGAATCCACTGAGCTTGTGGTGTTGAGTGTAGTTCAGTCTTTCTCTGTGGAGTCTATTCCTTTGTACATGTGTGTTGTGTAATAATAGCTTCCCCATTTTTATTGTAGAATCCAATTTTTTTTAATTTGGAGAAAGAGATACACAGAATCTAGAATGGTAGATAACCTTTCAGTCATTTATATTTCTGATGTAGGCATGCATAGCGTTAGAGCTGAATAAGTACTTGTTTAATTGTATACATCTTTGCATCAGATAGAATTATCATAAAATTAGTTTTCTTATGTACACACTCTTTTTGTGATATGTATAGTTTAGTGGAAGATGCCTGAGCCAATTTTATGGGATAAAGCAAGTCTATTGTGAAAATTTTGCCACATATAATCTAGAGCTGATGGAACAGAGACTTTCTTTTAGTTTTAAGTTTCCTTTTTCCTTTTATGCTATTCTCAGTTTTTTCTTTACACTAATTATGAGAACACTCTTAGAATATTGTATCTTTTGTTATTCATAGACAATAGCCTAAGTTGAACTGGGAAAGTGGAATGGCTTCTGCTATTACAATTATTCCTAGAAATATATTCTAAAACGTTATATGGGTTACCAGTTTACCTAGTGATTGGTTTAATGTGGTTAATTTCACAATCATATTTTGTTCAATGTTGAGAATAAAACAGAGGTTGAGGTTATTTGACTTGATTGCTGAGAGGAGAATTTATATGGCAGTTGTAAGTAATGCCAATAAAAGTTGTTTGATAAAATGCCTAGTGTCTGTAATAAACCTTTTCTCAGCTTTGTTATGCTCTCTCTCAGTGAACTGCTTATTCCATAAATGGTACTATGTGACTTTCAGAACTGTTTTCCACTGTGGGCATTATTGGGTCTGTTTAGACAGTAATGATACCAGTTAATTCCACCTAGTTGAAAACAATTCCAAAGCCTTTCTTACAGAGTTATACAAAAATAAAGGAAAGGAATTGCAGTGGAAAGAGAGATTTCTGATTGGATGAAGCAGGACCCTAGATCATTTTATAATGAAGTCACAGTCATATTTTCAAAAATCTTTATTTTCATCAAAACACTTAATTGTAAAAGATGGGCCCTATACTAATGAATGTAAAAATATGATTACATGTTTTAAATAACAGCATAGTATTTCATTTTAAGAACTGAATAGTTGATATTTGAGTATTACTTATATTTACTGAAATTTTTTGTCTAAGCGTGTCATAAGGACCTAATTAGAAATTTAATCTAGAATTTATGTTTCATTTCCCATCTTATGTAATACTAAATTAAGCAAGGTGAGGATTCATTCACCATATTTGATAAGTGTTTCTGATTACATCATCCAGCAACTGAAATCTCACATGTAACCAGGCATATTGCAAAAGCAAGGGCATGCCACGTTCTACATTTTTGTTAGAATATGTGTATAAAACAGTATACTTCATTATCAGATGGATGCCTGTTTTATTGCTACTGAGGCAGTAGGCATTAAGCTCTGTGCAGCTACACAGTTAACTAATATATTTGAGTTGCTTAATATTAAAGCTAATAATCTAAGATCAAGAATTAAAGGACATGCCATAGTATATGCAGCAGTGTTAAAATGGAGAAGAGCAACGTTAAGATGCCACTAAGAGCAAATACTAGAATTCTAAAATGACGTAATTTCCTTGGTTAAACACATTCTGGAATACATACAACTCCTGGTTATAGAAGGAAATAGAATTTTAAACTGTTACATGAAACTCAACTGTGGCCTGTATAGTGAGCAGTAGTCAAAATGAGTTATGACCAGAAAGAAAAAGATCATTGTTGCCATTTACTGGGAAAGTATGAATAGACCATGAAGAAATCTTAGGGTCCGTACACATGAGGAAGGTAGAAACTTCTTATTTCTAGTCAATACTTAAGGACTTTATTTATACCATTAAAACAGGTCAGGTTAAGGAATCTATTCCATGACCAACTGAATTTATACTTTAAAAAGAAACCTCTGACTTTTAGAAAATTTTTTTTAATTGCAAATCTTATTGGCAGTTATTTTCAATTACCACACTTTTCGTTAACAGATAAGATTACTATTTAGGTTCTTTTCTGACTTAAAGTGGTGCTTTGTATTGATAGTTGGTGATTAAGTTTGATTTGCGGAAGTTAACATGTATAAATATATATAATATATTAATATATAAGTATATATAATATAAATATATATAAAGTAGGAAGTCTGGAAATTGTGTTTTAATTATATCATACAATATTTCTTTATGGATCTTTTATATGTAGTAGGAAATAGACTTCTTGTGTGTTTTTTTGTTTGTTTGTTTTGAGACAGAGTCTCGCTTTGTCACCCAGGCTGGAGTGCAGTGGCGCGATCTCGGCTTACTGCAAGCTCTGCCTCCCGGATTCATGCCATTCTCCTGCCTCAGCCTCCCCAGTAGCTGGGACTACAGGCGCCCGCCACCATGCCTGTCTAATTTTTTTTTGTATTTTTAGTGGAGACGGGGTTTCACCGTGTTAGCCAGAATGGTCTTGATCTCCTGACCTCGTGATCCACCTGTCTCGGCCTCCCAAAGTGCTGGGATTACAGGTGTGAGCCACCGCGCCTGGCCAACTTCTTATGTTTAAAGCATTTTAGTTTAGACATTTGATAAAGTTCAAATGACAGCCATGTTGTGCAGTTCTATAGTAGTTTTACACAATCAATGAGTGACTTTTTATATCACACGTTTGGAAGTATATAAGATTTAACTTAAAGTAAATTAGATTGATTTTGCAAGTGTTTATTGTGGAAAGCTTCACAGTTTTTCAACATGCTGCTGTCTCTTAAAACATCACTGAAGCTTCTTGTTTTGAATTGCCTTCAAAGCTTGCTGCATATTCTTCACATTAGCCTCATTAGTAGTAAATCTTAAAGTTGGGTTTGATTTTTGGCTATAGCTAACAGTCATTTGGAGCTAAATTTGGTGACTAAATTAGGTTAGCAAGCTCGGATAAATACTTTGTATTGATAAAAAGATCTGAATATACATTTCATGTAATGCTGATAGACTGCCTTGAGGACTGTTCTCAAAGAAAAGTCCCAGAGAAGTTTTGAGTGATATTGACACAAAGTAATAAATCTGTAGCTTTACAAGGTAGTAGAAAGTATTAGAGCAAATGACTCTTGGACTACTTATTACTTCGTGGGTAGCAATTTTTTTAAAAAAAGTTTGCCCGCAGGATAAAAATGGGTAAAAAAAAAGTGATCTTAATTTTAGAGAAGTGGGAAAATATAGAGCTAGAAGAAAATATTTCAATTATCTGCCTGCTTTTAATATTAAAAACAAAGATCATGATAGTATTCATTATATATTTCTATAATAAAGCAAGTTAAAACCGAGTGGCAGAGGAATTAGAATAATGTTAGAGATAGAGGTAGTAGCTGAGAATACCACTGAGGAAGAAAGCAGGATACACATAGAAACGTATACAGAAAAAATGCATAAATACAAATATAAATGAAAATGGAGTAATATCTCCATCTTGTGGCCTTCTTTGGATATTGCTATTAAAAATGTTGAGGGGTTGTATTTTCACAACTGTAGGCATAAGTAAGAATAAAATATGAGACAGACGAAAACAAAATACGAGTCAGAGAGTTCTTGCAGTATTTTGCAGGGCCTTTTAAGACCGAGCTTCCCAATTGGTGTGCTGCAAGCATGCTGAGATAGTGATGCCCTGCCTTGAGCAGCCTTAACAGTTTCCTCCAGTGTGTCTTACAAATACAATTTTCTGTAACGTGCCATGGTATGAAAGAGGTTGGGAAAGCACTGCTAAGGCATGCAGTTCTGATGCTTTTCTTCCAGGGGAAAATTTATGAGCGAGAGGGTGCAGGTGTGTGTGCGTATGCATTTATATACTTATGTGTGTATAGTAAATATATTTATAAATTTATGAGTGTATAGGCTGAGTATATAAATTTATGAGTATAAAATGTTCAGCTTGTAAAGTATATATATATGGTAAATATAAAAGTATATATGTAAACATAAAATTGTTTTATAAAATGATTCTTATCAAAATGTTTCCTATACTAAAGATCCTTGTTTAGCTCTCGTAGAAACAAAAGTATTGTTAAAGTATGGCCGAGGGAATTTAGATAGAGACGAAATCAATAAGTCTTTGATTAATTAGCATTCTTTACTTGATTACTTAGCCTGGATGTCAGAATGGCCATTAAATGTTACCAAAGTTTACAATAACTCCAGAGTAATACTTTAATGATCTGTAACGATCCACTGTATGAAGAGGATACAGATGACTTTGAAATGTATAAATATTCAAATTCTGGGTAGCCTAAAGAAATATTTTGTGACACTAAGGGATAAGATAATATTTTACATATAAATCATGACTGACAGATATTTCAGATTTTTGACAGCTGACACACTTTTTCAAGCCATTGATCCCTTAGAGCAGCACTGTGCAATAGATATGTGATACAAAACACAGAGGTGATGTTAAATTTTCTAAAAGTCACATTTAAGAATGTAAAAAACAGATGAACTTAATTTTTTTTTTTTTGAAATGGAGTCTTGCTCTGTTGCTCAGGCTGGAGTGCAGTGGCACAATCTCTGCTCACTGCAACCTCGTTCTCCTGGGTTCAAGCGATTCTCCTGCCTCAGCCTCCCTAGTAGCTAGGATTACAGGAGTGCACCACCATGCCCAGCCTGAAATTAATTTTGATAATGTATTTTATTTAACCCAATATACTAAAATATTATTCCAACATGGAGTCACATTTTCAAAAATTACTATTATTTTTTGAGACAGAGTCTCGTTCTGTCGCCCAGGCTGGTGTGCGATGGCACGATCTCAGATCACTGCAACCTCCGCCTCCCGGATTCAAGCAATTCTCCTGTCTCAGCCTCCCAAGTAACTGGGACTACGGGCACATGCCACCACACCCAGCTAATTTTTGCATTTTTAGTAGAGACGGGGTTTCACCATATTGGTCAGGCTGGTCTCGAACTCCTGATGTCAGGCGATCCGCCAACCTTGGCCTCCCAGAGTGCTGGGATTACAGGCGTGAGCCACCATGTCCAGCCAAAAATTATTAATGAAGTATTTCACATTTTAATTTTTTGTACTAAGTCAGCAAAATCCGTGTATGTTTTACATTTATACTTCTAGCACACCTTAATTTGGAAGCCAAATTTTGATTGAAAATACTTGATCTGTATTGAGATTTCATAAGGCATATAGCTAACAGGTACATTCACGTACCCAAATCGTTATAAGCAAAACTTTCCAGTAACTCAGTAGAATATCAGTTTTTCAATTTAAATATAAATTAATTAAAATTTTGGTTTCTCATTTGTACTGGCACATTTTAAGTGCTTAAATATGCCTAATGCTTATTGGATAGCATACATTGGATAGCCTTAGGGAATTAACATTTCTGTATTGTGTAGATATAGCTAAATGTTTTTGGATAAAATCACTGATTATTGTTTTTCACTGACTATTGTTTCCATTTTGTTAGGGACATAGTTTGTAGTTTTCGTATTTTTTTAAACCCAGTGTAGCTTTTGTTGTTTTGTTTTTAGGTTGTTCCAATTGTGCTAGCTATCATATTCCTAGTTACTTATCTATAGTATACATTTTGACCATGCTTTGTTCTGTAAAGGCTATTGGTATAAAGTTCATGCTGTTCTAGGAACATTGGTTGTCTGAACTTCCATGCATAGGCTTGTCTGCTAAGGGTGGTTTCAGGTAATCACTTTAATTAAAGTTGGTCATTTACTTTTGCTAGCTCATCTATTATATTTTATAATTCTTTAAGTGTTATTTATTAACAGTATATTAGGTCGTTAGTGATATTTTGACCAGGAAATCACTGGAGTTCCTATTTTGTAGTTTTAGCTTTCAGGGTGCCCATTCTCCCTATTCTGAAACTCATACATCTTATATATTGCTAGCTATGAAATATTCACTATATTCTTTCCTGTCATCTATTTTGATTATTATAGTATCTTTAATTAAATGATTTAGAATAGAGATTGCTAGGTGCATTTCTATTTGTGTGCCAATCTGTTGGCTCTTTATAATACCAATCAGGGATTCTAACATCACCCTTTTTTACTAGCTGCCTCTGCTACCTTTTCATAACTCCTAATGAGTACACCTTTACTTTGAACTGAATGATTAATTAACGATCTTTTTGCCTTTACCTTTTGTAATTTCATAAATAGCTGAGAAAAAGAAGTAGATTTTACTGTTGACAGTTCTTACACATACTTAGCTCCTGTTATTTCAAATGGACTTGGTACATCCAGGAAATTGTACTGGTGTCCAAGATCTTAAACATTCTATGCTGAGGGAAAAACAACAACAAAACAAAAATTTTAAAACTGACAATAGAGTCCTGAAGTTGGTGGAGACCTCACGAGTTTCTCTTTCCTTATATAGGAGTCTCTTCTGTAGCACTCCCAGCAGATGGTCTTCTAGCCTGTTTGATGGTGTCTAACCATAGGGATTATGAAACAACCTGTTAAGTTTTTGTATAATACTACTCAGTGGAAATTTTATTCTTAAAGCCCAAATCATAATTCTTATCTACTTTCAACATGCTCACTGTCTTCTGGAGTACCCCTGAACATATACTTCTTCTAAATAATTTTTCTTTGTGCCTTAAAATAAAATGCACAAGGGAAATAATTATTTGTTGATTTTCTCCACACAGTAAGGCCTTTTTTTAAAAAAAATACATCCAAACTGAGGGGGCTACTTGTTTTCATTGTCTTTAGATATGTACCAAGGCCACCCTAAAGAAGATGCAAGCCACCATAGTTACAGTTGTCTTGGCACTGTATTAGGCATGATTTGTGGTTACTATATACAATTCCCAGGGTTTATCAAAGTCAGCAATAGGAAATTTATGGAAGATTGAAAAATAAGATGATTTCTTGTATGCCATCTTTGATAATAGAGGCCACAGAATAAACTTAATTAAAAATGTAGCCAGAAATTGCTATAGACTCTTGAAGCAGCACCCCGTGTATAGTTGTGCAGTTTGTGTATCTGCTTCAAACCTGTCATTGTGTTATAAAAATGTTTTAGACTTTGGCATTGTTAAGAATTGCACATAGGTGGTTAAACTGTGAAGTAAATAATTTCTCTTTGATAATTGAAATATTATGTTTCTGCGAGTGGAATTTTAATTTTCAGGCCCATCTTGAGTGTGAGTTTCTCTCTCCTCTCTCTTCACCTCTCCCTAGTGGCTTTATAGATGTTTTTACTCTTTTCTCTGAGACACCTAGGCAAGAACTAGGTCTTATATAGGTGGCTTAGGGCTCCCTCCTGAGGTTACATTGGGGCCATTGCAGATCCAGATACCAAGCCTGCAGGTCCCTTGGCCTGGTCTGGACTGTGGGGCTAAAACCATTGCCTCTTAACATCTCAGATACATAATGTTTTGTAAGTTGTAGCCTCAGGCAGTGTCCTTCTCACTTTCGCATTTTTTTTTCCCCACAGGCGGTGGATTGCCACTGCATCCCCTGATTTCAAGCAGCAAGCCTGGCTGTGATCCCAGGCCTTGGTAGAGTACTTTCAGTCCTCATCACTCTATGGGAGTCAGACTTCTGGTTTCGTCTGCCTACTTGTAGTCATGGAGCCCAGGAGGCTTATAGCTTAACCTCTGTTTATGGCTACAGGTTTTCTTTTGTTTTTGTCTACAGAGATGCTTAACAAGTTTTTGATCATGGCTATATGTTTATAATTTTCTCTCTTTAAATTTTAACATTGGTATATGTTTGGAATGGGGTTTCGGAGGAAGTCCCTCAAATACTTAGAGTGCAGTTTTCATGTTGGAACATTTTTAAAAGCTACATTTATTTTATAATATTATTTTTTAATGTTCATTTTCTTATTATCTGAGAACCTTTTGCCACTTATCATCCAGAACTATGGTCAGGTTGTTTATTCACAGTAATTTAAGAGGCTATTAGGCATTGAAAGAGACAGTCTACCATTCCATCCCTGTTCCTTTCTAGCAACTGTTCCCAGACTTTATTCAAGTCTGGGGGTAAAACAGTCAAGTAGCATTTCTAAAATAATCAAATCCCACGAGGTTTTGAATATAGTGATAAATAAGTCCATTATCTCAGAATGACATATATGTCCCTGTTATTGGAGATACCCAGAGGAGAGTCCTGAACTGTCGTGAAACTATTTAGAAAAATTTGCCAGGTGGGAAAAGAGATATTGAATCTTAGGTGCGTGTCAGAAAAACATGGGCTAGAGAAAATTAATCCTCCTAAAGTTAAATTATATGCAGATAATTTCATGTTGACCCTTTATAAATATATTTCACTCACAAACCTCTGAAGAAGACTTTCTGGGGTAAATAACATTTGTTTTCTTATAATCAGTCTTCAGAGATTCACAAAAGAAAACATAGGACAATGAGGCTAACCCTCACTAAAGACTGTTTTAATAATCAACTTAATGGACAATACTAAAATTTTAGAATTCATTGGATATTAGCTTCATAGAATTAAGCGTGATCCTTAATTGAAGCTTTAAGCAGTTTATAGAGTACACATTTGGAACATACTTTAAATGATATATTTTTAAGGAAAGAAATATGTAATTCAAATTTATAAGAGAAGATAAAGGGCCCTTTCATTTTGGAATCGTAGGATTTAGTCAGTTTTTGTATAATTTGAGGAGCACATCGATTTTTTAATTATTATTATATGCCTTTAATATTGAGTTGTTAATCTAAGAGGTCTTTTGAGGGTAACAACATGGAAAAGAACAGTAGTGTAATGATCTTTTAAAAAGACATTTTTACTTATAGGCAGCTGATGCCTTTCTAACATGGATAACAATACTCTGTACCAGTCCTCTGTGTTTTTGTGACACAATAGAATATGCACAGCTACTTAGATTATGTTAAGAAATTTTGATAATAAAGCCTGCTTTTCATGTTTGTTAATTCATTAGTTCTTTTTACAGTATTACTGTAAAATAGTAAAGAATGAGAAATAAATTCTAATAATAAGGAGTGTATTTGAGTAAATTATGACACATTCTTGGTGTGCTGTGAAATCAGTAGTAATATATGTGAAAACTACATAGCAACATGGAAAATACATACAATGTTAGTGAAAAAAAGCCAAATATCAAGTTGTATTCAGATTTTATTGTAATTTTGCAGGATTATATGTGCACAAGGGCAAGTCAGAAACATGGGCTAATGAGAAGAGTTTGAATTGTGGGACTGGTGGAATTCTATTTAGGGGCAAATATTTCACTTAGAGTTCTGCTAATATTACTAACATATATCCGTGTAGATTATATTACTTTGGAAAGAAGAGTGTTGTACAATTAAAACACATTGGATAAATTAACAAATGTTTTCATGTTTATGAGATAAATCATATGGATATTTTGAAGGCTTTAACCTATAATCTATTGAAGGTTATAAATGGGAAATTAAATGAGGTAATTTTTTTTCAAACAGCCTGGGTTAAATGAAGTAGATTTGTTGTCTATGATCAATAAAAGTGCTTGCAAATATACTTACAGTAAGCTGTGGGTATAATTCTACATTCTGGTAAACACCATGTTATCCTGACCAAGAAAGCTAACCTTGAGGATGAGACCACAGTTTAGTGCCTCTAATCTTTGTATTACACTTCTGAAAGCTTTTGTATATACTGTCTCTCTTTAATTCAAATATTGTAGATACTAATGAACAACCAACTATATTATTGTATTTACTCTTTAAATCCTCATAGTGCTTAAAGGTTTAGAGCTGTACTGTCCAGCACTATAGCCACATGTGGCTATAGAGCACTTGAAATGTGGCTAGACTAAGAACATTAAATTTTATATTGTATTTGATTTTAACTCACTTAAAATTTGAAAAGCTGAGGGAGTATAAAATGTTTTCCCATTAAACATAATTTTATTGTTTGGATAAGACTATATTTCATTTATTTCACTTTAACTATCAGAAATTTGGCTTCCGAATTGATATGTATTGTTAAAAACTATACATTGGGCTGGGCGTGGTGGCTCACACCTAATCCCAGCACTTTGGGTGGCCAAGGAGGGTGGATCACTTGAGGTCAGGAGTTTGAGACCAGCCTGGCCAACATGGTGAAACCCCGTCTCTACTAAAAATACAAAAAATTGTTGGGTGTGGTGGCAGCTGTCTATAAGCCCAACTACTCGGGAGGCTGAGGCAGGAGAATCGCTTGAACCTGGGAGGCGGAGTTTGCAGTGAGCTGAGATCGCGCCATTGCACTCCAGCCTGGGTGACAAGAGCAAGATTCTGTCTCAAGAAAAAAAACAAAAAAAACAAAAAATTTCCCAGCCAAAGTGTTAGCAAGCTGAATCTAGCAACATATAAAATGGATTAAACACCATGATCAAGTGGAATTTATCCCAGGAATGCAAGGTTGGTTTAGTACCTAAAAATTGATTAATATAATATTACATATTTATAGAATAAAGAACGAAAAATATGATCATCCCAGATAGAGAATAAAACTTTTGAAAGACTCAAACATTCATTAATGATGAAAACTCTCAACAAACTAGGAATAGAAGGTAATTTCCTCAACCTAATAAAGAGAATCCAAAAACCTATCTGAATAGACACCTTACCCAAGAAGATATACAAATGCTAATAAGCACATGAAAAGGTACTCAATAGTAGTAGTTATTAAAGAAATGCAAATTAAATCCATAAGGAGATAACATATTATGCCCACTAGCATAGCTGTAATTAACATGAAGGACAGTAAAAAGCACTGGTGAGGATGTGGAAAACCTGGAATACTTATGCATCGATGGTGGCAAGGTAAAATGCAACTACTTTGGAAAACAGTGTGGCAGTTGTTTTTTTGAGATGGAGTCTCGCTTTGTCACCCAGGCTGGAGTGCAGTGGCTCACTGCAAGCTCCGCCTCCCGGGTTCACGCCATTCTCCTGCCTCAGCCTCCCGAGTAGCTGGGACTACAGGCACCCGCCACCACACCCGGCTAATTTTTTGTATTTTTAGTAGAGACAGCGTTTCACCCTGTTAGCTAGGATGGTCTCCATCTCCTGACCTGGTGATCTGCCCGCCTCGGCTTCCCAGAGTGCTGGGATTACAGGCGTGAGCCACCGTGCCCGGCCGTGGCAGTTTTTTTTTTAATAAAAAAGTTAAACTTAACATTCATCTCAGTTCCTCCTAGGTATCCACAGAAGAGAAGTGAAAATATTTGTCCACACAAAGACTTGTACATGAGTGTTCATTGCAGCATTATTCATAATGTTAGCCAAAAATTGGAAACAATTCCAAATGCCTAGCCACCCTTGAATGGATGAACAAAATGTGGTGTATCCATTCAGTGCAATGCTATTTAATATTTGGTAGAAAAAGAAAGAACTTCTGGGATAAACCACAACATGGATGAATTCCAAGAACATTATGTTAAGTGAAAGGATTCAGACTCAAAACAACTACATGTATGATTTCGGTTATTTGAACTGTCCAGAAAAGGCAAATAATATATAGAGATGGAAAGCAGGTGGCTGGGCACGGTGGCACACGCCTGTAATCCCAGCACTTTGGGAGGCTGAGGTGGGTGGATCACTTGATGTCAGGAGTTCGGGATCAGCCTGGCCAACATGGTGAAACCCCACCTCTGCTAAAAATACGAAATTAGCTGAGTGCTGTGGTGCATGCCTGTGATCCCAGTTACTCGGGAGGCTGAGGCAGGAGAATCGTTTGAACCTGGGAGGCAGAGGTTGCAGTGAGCCAAGATCGTGCCCCTGCACTCCAGCCTGGGCAACAGAGTGAGACTCCATTTCAAAAAAAAAAAAAAAAAAAGCAGGGTAGTGGTTTGTCTGGGGATGGGGATTGATTGCACACGGATGGGAGAGATCTCTGTAGGATGATAGAAATATTCTAAGGTGGGATTTTGGTGATGGTTGCACAACTCTATAAATTTATTAAAATGAATTATACTCTTATAATGGGTGGATTTTATGTTATGTAAATGTACCTCAACCAAGCTGTTGGAAAAATAAGACGTTATTTTATGGGAAATTTTCAGAATTTTCTAAATTGAGTCTTATTTGATAGATTAGTCTGTAAAAGAACTTAAATTGTGAATTATGATATATCTGAGCATTTAAACATTTTCACTCTTTGGCCTCTTCATACATACACATGCACACACAGACACAACTGTGTGTAAACTGAGTACACAAGGTTATTTCTACTGTTGCATCTATGCTGTCAGAACTTGGTCTCACTATGTTTTTAGTTTTGATATTCATTAAAATGTAATTTCTTTAGTGTACAGTGTCTTAAAGACTTGTTAATATGTTTATGTCTTTTGATTAGATTTTATACTTTCTAGAAAAGTTCCCAAATAATAATGCTGAAAGCTGAAATTTCAGAAGAAAAAATGATTTTAAATATATATGGCAGACTAATCACCTATCCATTCTCCTTTTAGTAGAACTCCTATGTTATTGGATATTGGGGTTTAAAAAGTACATTTTTCTGCCTTCTTTACAGGTAGTGGTGGCAGATGAGCAGAAGACATGGGTTGGGCTTCTGGTAAAGCTCTTAAAGGGTGACACACCATTTTACCCTTGTTTATTCCTTCTTTTCTGTTCACTGGGATTGGATGAGATGTATGTAGCTACTGTACCAGATATCTTGCAACTTGAAGTGACCTTCAGAAGCTAAGAGGAGAGACATAGTAGTGGCCTGGGTCCTTGTGACCATAACTGCCCCTGGAACTGCTTTACTTCTATTCTTCTTGTATGTAAGAGAAAAATAGACTTCTATCATTTTTTAAGCTGTTATTTGGGGTCTCTGTTTATAAGCAGCCAGTTTCTGATATACCGTTCTTACCTACCTGTATGAGGGGTTGTTCTTTAAGTAATTTTTCTATTAAAATTTTTTATGTAAAAGCAAAGAAAAAGTAAATTTAAAAACATTAGAAGAAAACCACTTTTGATATTTTTGTCTATAGAATTTCAGGTTTTTAATCTTCATATATCTTTTTTATTGGCCTCAGTAACTGCTCATACTGTTAACTGCACCTAAAATTTCTTTTGACTCCTTATGTGAGTTGTGAGTACAGTATGTAAACTGCTTTTTTGTTTTTTATTGTAGTAAAATATACATAATGTAAAATTTACCATTTTAACTGCTTTAAAGTATAAAAACCAGTGACACTAAGTACATTCACAACATTGTGCAACCATCTTCATTATTCATTTCTAATACTTTTCCGTCATCCCAAACAGAAACTCTGCACCGATTAAACAACTTACCGTTCTTTCCTCCCCACCAGCTCCTGGTAACCTCTCATCTACTTTCCTTTTTTTTTTTTTTTTTTGAGACAGAATCTCGCTCTGTTGCCCCGGCTGGAATGTAGTGGTGCAATCTCTGCTCACTGCAGCCTCTGCCTCCCAGGTTCAAGTCATTCTTGTGCCTCAGCCTCCCCAGTAGCTGGGATTTACAGGCGAGTGCCACCACACCCGGCTAATTTTTGTATTTTTAGTGGAGACAGGTCTTCGTTTGACAGGCTGGTCTCGAACTCCTGGCCTCAAGTGATCTGCCTGCCTTGGCTTCCCAAAGTGCTGGTATTACAGGTGTGAGCCACTGCATCCAGCCCCTCTAATCTACTTGCTTACTCTTGAATTTGCCTGTTATAAGCACTAGATATAAATGGAGTCATATAATATTTGCCCTTTTGTGTCTGGCTTATTTCACTTGTCTTCATAATGTCTTCAGGTTTCATTCATGTTGTAGTATATCTCAAATTTTCATTCTTTTTTAAGGCTGAATAATATTCCATTGCGTGTATATACCACTTTTATTTATCCGTTTATCTATTTTTGGACATTTAGGTTTTCAGCTTTGGCTATTGTGAATAATGCTGCTATGACCATTGGTATACAAGTATCTGTTTGAGCCCCTGCTTTCAATTCTTTTAGGTATATACCTAGAGGAAGAATTGCTGGATCATATAGTAATTCTATATTTAACTTCCTTTGTTTTTGAGACAGAGTCTTCCTCTCTTGCCCAGGCTGGAGTTGAGTGGCATGATCATAACTTGCTGCAGCCCCAAACTCCCAGGCTCAAGCAGTCCTCCTGCCTCAGACTCCCAAGTAGCTGGGATTATAGATGTGCGCCATCATGCCTGGCTAATTTTTTAAAAAAATTTTTGTAGAGAAAGGGTCACAATTTGTTGCCCAGGCAGTATTTAACTTTTTGAGGAACCACCAAATTGTTTTTCATAGCTGCTGTGCCATTTTACATTCCTACCAGCAATGTACAAGAGTTCTAATTTCTCCACATCCTCGTCAGTACTTAGTTTTTACTTTTTTTTTTTTTTTATGATAGCTATCCTAATAGGTGAGAGGTAGTAACTGTTGTGGTTTTGATTTGCATTTCCCTAGTGACTACTGTTATTGAGCATCTTTTCATGTGGGTTATTGGTCATTTGTCTTCTTTGGTGAAATGTCTGTTGAAGTCCTTTGTCCACTTTTAATTGGATTTTTTTGTTGTTGGTTGTAGGAGTTATTCATATATTCTGGATATTAATCTATCAGATATATAATTAGCAAATATTTTCTCCCATTCTGTGGGTTGTTTATTTACTCTCTTACTAGTGTCCTTTGATGCACAAAAGGTTTTCATTTTGATGAGGTCCAATTTATTATTTTTTTCTTTTTTTTGCCTGTACCTCTGTCATATCAAAAAATCATCACCAAATCTAATATCATGAAGTTTTTTCCCATATATTTTCTTCTAAGAGTTGTATAGTTTTAACTCCTATGTTAGTCCTTGATCTATTTTTAAGTCAATTTATATATATGATGTGAGGCGTCAAAGAAAAGTAGAGCCTGACAGTAGTTAAAGCAGTAAAAGCAAATTTTAATCAGGAACAGTTGCAGTAGGAGAAAAGAGACTTCGTTACAGAATGAAGCTTAATTCTGAATACAACATGGAAAGTGGAGATTTATAGCCAAGGAACAGGGTCAGTGGATGGAAGATTAGAGGAAACATCAGAGTTAAGGGGGTCTCTGGTGAAACCAATTTGACAAGGTTTTTGCCAAAGGCAGGCCAAGGTAATCAGGTATCGCCTGGGGGTTGGTGGGGAATGAGGAATTTGGTCAGATATATTGAGGGTGATCGGATATCAATGGTAGGGTTTCTGGCTTAACTCTCTTAGCAGAATTCTTGCTAAAATTGGACGATGCAAAGGAGGAGATAGAAGTTCAAAGGTTGAGGCCTAGCTGTGAAGATGGTTTAGAGGAGCCTGACTAGAGTTTAGTCAAGGAGACAGTCTTTGTTAAAGGTAAGGGTTCAATTTTATTCTTTTGCATGCAGATATCCAGTTTTCCTGGCACCGTCTGCTGAAAAGGCTGTTTTTGAATACACATATTATCTCATGTAATCTTTAAAACAGCCCTACTTAGTAAGGCATTTTTTCCCCATTTTACAAATGAGGAAATTGAATTTCAGAGACTTGCCCAGTCTCAGAAAACTAACAACTTGTGGAGCTTATCTGTTAGGCTCAAAGATCATAACTGTTATTTTGTAATTGTTTCTTACTATTTAAATGTTACCTATTCTTAAAGGCCCAGCCCAAATTTAATCCCATTATTAAAGATTTTCTCCATTGCTTGCTCTTCCAATCAGATATGACTGCTCTCAATTCCATGGCAAATTTTTAATAGATTCTTAATTTATAGTACACCGCAAATGGTATGTGCTGAATACATGCCAAGTGAGTAAATGATAGAATTATCATTCAGAATAATCTAACTGGTCTCCATACCATCGTAAACTATGAGTTGAAAGGATGGAAGTAATCAGGGAAAAATGTAATTCTACATTTTGCTTGAGAAAATCATTTGCACAAATATAAAACGGGGAGATCTGGTTTGACTTCAGTAAAGATGAACACTCAGGTTTTAGTTGTTTACATGCTGAATTAGGCCAACAGCATTATGCATCTGCTTTTAAAATTCAACTCTAATTTGCATTAATAAACATAGAAACAGAGAGTGACTTGATCACAGAAAATGAGAAATTTAATGCAATCTCCATCAATGTATTATAAACACTCCTGGTACCACACTTAAGGAGGAATATTAACAAACTGAATTTTTTTTTAAGGGGAGCTACAAATACAGTAGGGTTTCTGGGAATCTTGCCCAAAAAGAAGAACACATTTAGTCTGAAAAGGAAAGGCTAAGGAAATATGTGATCACTGACTTCAAATATTAGACTTAAGAAATATATTTTAAAACTTTTTATGTATAATTTTTCATTTTGAAATAATTTTAGGCTTAACAAAAGGTGGCAAAAATAATACAGTTCTCATATACCTTTCACCTGGCTTTCTCAGATGTAACCTTAATAAATTGATAAAAACCAGGACATTAACACTGTTACAGTGTTATCTACAGATGTTATTCAGATTTTCCAGCTGTCCCATTAACATCCTTTTCCTGGTGCAGAATCACACATTTAGTTGTTTTATCTCATTTATGTCCACTCTGGGACAGTTCCTCAGTCTTTCTTGACCTTGACACTTTTGGAGAATATTGGACAGTTATATTTTAAAGTGTCCCACAGTTTGGGTTTGTCTAATATTTCCTCATGATTAAATTCAAACTATGCATGTTTGTTATAAATACTATGGAAGTGGTGTGCCCTTTTCAGTGTATTGTATCAGGAGGCACATGATATCCATATATCTCATCACAGATGATGTTAACTTTGATCATTTGGTTAAGTGTCTGCCAGGTTTCTCCACCGTAAAATTACTATTTTCTCTTTGTTAATTTCTTTGTAGGAAATTACTTCTTAATGGACAGAACTAGGAAATATATGTGTGTATATGTGTATATAGTTTGTTCAATATCTGGATTTTGTGCCTGTTTTTGTTCACTGCCATTTCTAGCACTTGTTTAGCCCTGTGGTCAGTAGATATTTGTAGCTAATAATATAGAATAGTGTAAAGTTAGACTAGATAACCTAAGGACTTTCCAGCCCCGCAACTCTGTTAATGTTTTGATTCTGGAAAAATAAGCTGGGGAACAAGACAAAAATAAACTCTGAACAGGATTCATAATAAGCAGAATGCAAAAGTCATAGGACTTTTGACTGCAAAAGTCATAGGAGCAGACATATGCAGTTTTGACATATGACTGCAAAAGTCATAGGAGCAGAAAGCTTTGATTATTATCAAAAACAATGAAGGTGTCAAAGGCCTGGAACAAAGTTTGCTGTGGGTAGGTAAGAAAGAGAAGCTTGATAATCGTTTTATCCATTGTACCTTAGCCGGATTGACTTGCAGAAGGTAAAGCCATGGTGAAAAAAAAAAAAAGAAAAATTATAAATAAGGATATCTCCTTTACAGGTATTCTGTCTTTAGTTTACTTTCCATTATTTCTTACTTTATCCAGGTAGACCAGATCCAAGTACATGTATTCCCACTGTAAAACCATATATGGCTTCATATTCTGCAAAGTCACACCCTAAAAATAACAGTACCTATGGGAAAAATAGGGTTGAGGTACAGCGTTCAAAATCTGTGGAACCTTATAAGCACTCATGAAAATAATAATACTTTAAAAAATCAATTAAATCTCCTCTAGCATTTTAACCTGGCATCATAGTTCTTAAAATCCTTTAAACCCTTGTTCTCATGCTTCCTTATTTGGGATATAGATTCTTTAGATCAGTTGAATAAAAATACATATGATTCAGATAAGAGCCCTTTTGAAAATGAAGGAAATGTCTTTGCAGCTTCTTGAGCTGCACTCAGAGATTGATCAGATAGCTTTACATAGTAGAAACCATAGAAGTTCTTGAAGCCACAAAACCAGCTACTACTTATATTAATAGAAGGCACGTCTAATAGATTTCTAGCTGGTTTTTTTTAAAAGATCTTCATATTTTACTAAGGTTTTGTCTTTAATTGCAAGAAAACTTATCTTGGATCATTAAAAAAAAATGAATGTGCCAGGGGAAAAAAAAATCAAGTCGAACTTACATACCTAACTCTGCATTATAAGAATATCATTCCGCTGTTTACTAATTGTATATAAGATCATTCAAATTAAAAAAGTCATAGAGGTAATTAATCTGTAATAATCTGAGTAACCGATTACACCTCAGTGACAGTGTGTTTAGCCAGAGTCGGTATTTCCTATATATGTATTTTTTATAGCCTTAGATGTTTCTGATAACATTGTATAAACATATCACTTACTGAATTTACAGACTCTGAATAAATGGTGGCTTCATGATACAGTTTTTAAAAGTATTTTTACCTTAGGATTCTTGGGTCTTGTATCAGCTCTTGTGGGAAGTTTGTGTATGTTTCCAGTCTTTTCCCTCTTTTTCCTGTGACTCATTCTACTTCTTCATCTACTTTAGTAGTCACTAGCACTGCCAGGTTTTGTGGAATCTTTGACAGAAATGTAGGATTCCTGCCTTTTACATACAGGAAATAATTTGATAGTATTGGAAGACAAAATGTAATCAACTGATAGACTGCCACATGTTGTCTGTAAATACTAGGCCTGTGTGTGCTATTCCCTAGCATTGTCTGGCTTTACTGAAAGCACTTCAAGCTTAAGAAATTGCTGACCCCTGTCTTACTAGGTTCTGAGCCAATCTTTTCACTTGCTAATCGACTTTCCCACTTTACTGAAAGGAGAGGCTTTCAAATTCTATACTTTATCAGTGTATTAGTTCTACAAAATGTTGCTTCAAGAAATAATGGAAATTCTTAAAGAGTTTGCATGTTGTTGCATGTTTCTCTCTCCCTCTGTTCAAATTTCCCTCTTGATGGAGATGTGCTTCTGGGTGACTGGTTGCCAGGAACTTTTATGTTCATAAGTACTTTTTGAATATTGTATTACCTATTTAAAAAGTTAAGAAAAATCTATATATATTTGGATGATGAGGAATGAGATAGATGGAAGAACTTGTGAGGAGTGAAAGAGCTTTAGGAAGAGAAACTATTGAAGCTTATCTAAATTACAAAATAAGTCAAATGCTCCTATATAAAAAACAGACATTCTTATTGTTAAAAAACTTTTTGCTGTTAAATATCATCTAAATATTGGTTTGATGTACAAATGTAGAAAAATATCTTGGGCATAGATTTTTTTTCCCTTGTCACTTTGAAAAGAAATTTACTTATTATTTTTCTGTAGGTTTTTCAAAGAATTTTTATATTAGACAATCACATCAGCTTTCCAAAAGAGAGAAAACACTGATTAGGAACCCTCACTATCCAGGTGGGGAAGTGGGGATTTAAAATAATATAATGTTCATATGCAGGGTTGCACTATAACATAAGCCTCCTGACTCTTAACTTAAATATGTATTGGATGTGTTAAGATGTTTTTCTTTTATTTAATGTGAAAAAAGCTTAATAATTGACTGTTGGCGCCTGGGCATGTATATTTTGGTCCCCTGCACTGGGAATCAATTCTAAACTCAAGTTCAAAATTGGCTTCTGGAATTAGGGTGTTCAGCCTATAAATAGAGAGATATCTGTACTTCTTTAAGCCACACAAGTCTTTTCTTGGGTTTAGTTAGTAATTACTACTTTGGGAAATTATTTCTCCTTTAGAGTTGTTATTTTGATTCATATTTTAGTTCACGTGGATGTCTACAAAATAAGGAGTAAATTCTTGAAGAAAACCTGCTAATAGTTGTTTTATAGAAACTGAGCTTTGTAGATTAATTAGACTATCTAAATTGCAGCTTTTAGCTACATAATAAAAGTTTACTTGCATAGTCATTTTGTGTGTGTGTGTGTGTTTTTTTCATTTCTTAAGTGTGGTAGTTTTCTTTTTAAAAAATTGCTAAGATAAGGTCTTGAATGTTGTTCTGGTATTTAAGTACTGAGTCCTAGGATTCTACTTTTGTGTTTGTGAGAATTGCCGGGAGAGTAAGAGGCCAGCAGTGTGAGTGTCCACCATGTTCTCTACCTACGTACAAAGAAGCCTTAGTATGCTCTGACTCATTGATGAGAGCAAATTGGAGACTGTCACTGCTTTTTGCTTCTGTTGCTTACCATTGGCCCCATTGCCCCTTTACTGATGCTACTTGTTTTGATTGGTTGCTTTTGCAATGTTTGTGCTGTTGTTGTTACGGAAGAAAAGAGAAATAGGGGAGCCTAGTGGGTGGGCCGGCGGCATTCAAGAAGACTTAGAGAAAGGCAGAAGCTGCAGTGTTTGTCTCTTCCTCCACTGATTTTAACATGGCCACAGGAGTCATTAAACATAGCCTCTGTAGCATAAGGAAGGCAGAATTCTCTAGCTCGTTTGCGTTTTGTTGCTTAGTGGGAAGAGCTGAGAAAAAAAACAGAACTGGAAAACATCGCTTACTCCTAAAATGCAAGGGTAACCTTTTCAGACTTCTGTTGATTTTTGATGGGTTAAGAAATACAGTATGTACATATTCCTTTTAACTCTCCCCCACTAATATGGTCTGTTGGCATTTTCCTATTATTTGACTAGCGTCTTAGGAATTATTACTACAAAGATTCAGTGACAAATAACTGGCCAGAAGAAGATGTGGCATGTAATTTCAGATGACAGTGGGATGATGTTGGTACTTTCAGGACCTGTGGGTAGTAGGGAAAAGACAGTGTAACAGTTAATAAATGTTTGTATGGATTGCCTTAGTTTACGACTGAACAATCACATGCTTTTATTATTGGCCCTACCTCATAGAATCAAAGCCTTTTACATATGCCAACATTTTACAATATGTTCATTACCAAATGTTGCATGCCTGGTTGGTATATACTTTTCTAGATTTTGTAGGCTATGTAAAAATTTGATCCTGGTTCTCAAATATGGATAAAGAAGATACATGACTGTATTTTGGAATCAGGAAGATGAATACAGTTTCCAGCAATAAATCTATTACTGTCTTTTGAAAAAAAATCTTATTGTATGGTCCTTCAAGATTCAAAGTTTCTCTTAAAAGTAATAAACTGTAATATAGATAAAGCTGCTTATGCAGCAGCTAATTTATGGACCTCTTCAGTGCATTTTAAGATTTCCCTATTATATTTTTGCCCATCTAAATATGTTACTCTTTCCCTAATTTTCCCATAATTTATCTAGAAGAAACTTGAGGTGAATCTAACTTTTTAAAAAAACCTTTAGGCCAAAAAAGTTGAATAGTAATCAATTCATAGTTTAATGAAGGACATGTGTAGTTTGAGTTTCTGGATAACCTCTCTTCCTTTGAAAGTGTTTCTTAATTAAAACCAGATGAGAGCAGCAAAGAAGGTATTCAGAACACTAAGTAAAATTAATGTGCTTCATGGAATTTGCAGAATTCATCAATACATGTAACAATGATTTATAATTGCATTTGGTCCTAACACTTATCAGTGTAGATCTAACAGAGGGACAGTAAGTAAGATAGCTAGTATGAAACACTAAGGTGAAAGGGTTAATTGGCCTTGCACAGTTCAATTTGCCACTCTAGTGGCACTTTCTATTGTCTGTGTAAACAGAGTTGCTAAGTACTTTCCCGCTAAGCTGCCACCCTTTTATTTATACAGTTGAACCACCAATGAGGAATGGATCAGTTTACCAGTTGTTAGGCCTTTTCTTCCTGCCTTTTCAGCCCACTTCATGTTTTTTCCCCCAGCTATTGCTATATACCTCCCTAATAATTCCTTAGTCTGTGATTTTGGTCTCTCTCTCTCACTCTCTTTCTCATTTATTTATTTATTTATTTATTGCAGCTTATTTTTTTCTCATATTCATTGATTTGAGCATTGGGATATTAATAACCTGGTTCTACTCCTTTATACCTCATTTCTTCTCGCCTCTACTCCCATTTTACCAAGTAAATTCTCAGAACTTGCTGCAACTCTTTCAAATAACTATTTTAAAGTAACATTTAAATAGCTCTTCAAAAATGAAAACATTACATATATAATGCTGAAGTCCTCTTTAACCAGCCTATACTGTATGAGTACCCCTAGTCCACTGTGAGTTAATATATTAAAATATATACTTCCATACCATTTTCATAATTTTATATCTGTGTATATATATTCATAAACATAATATGATATTGTTAGAAATTTACATAAATGATATTCTGGGAACATTTTTTCTTGTTTTTTTCACCCTGCATTGTATTTTTAAGATGTATACATATTACATAAGAAGTATACATATTACATTACATAGAGAAATCTACTTTAAACCATTAATTACTTCATAATATTACATTGTATTTTGCAGTTATCTACCTATTAATGAATATGTAAGTAACATCGTTTTTTCTCCATTTTAAACAATATCACAGTGAACAACCTTATAAATGTTGTCTTGTATATATTGCTACAGGTTTTTAGAGCAGTGTTTTCCAAACAGCAGGTAACGAAGGCAGTGTAGTAAGTTGGAGTCTGTACTTTTCAGAATAGAATGCAGTACAAAGTGTCAGGGTAAAAGGTACTTACTTTTTCATGAAATATATGTAATTGTGTTCTGAGTTGTGATATAAAATGTATTTCCTACTGTAGGTTTCAATAAAAAAGTTTATGGTGTGATACAAAATAAATTTTGTGCTGTGTATCTTAATCATAAATTTTGTGCTGTGCATCTTAATCGGCTCTGGATTATGTACCCAGAATGGGTTAGCTGCATCACGGGTTACATAGTATTTTGAATCTTCCTAGACATAGCAAAATTACTTTCCAAAATGGCCGTACTGATTTCACTCCCCATACCCTAATCGGTATTTGACATTCTAGTCAGACTTCTACATTTCCTATGTTCTTGAGGGTGAAAATTCCATTTTGTTTAAATTTTCATTTTAACTGGTTAGGTTGAGCCTAACTTCCTCATTACTGAAAAGAAAAGTGTTAAGACCTATCTGGTTGGTAGGTTACTATTGAAAATCATATTTCTTTTCCTTTTTTTCTTTTTTCTTTTTTTTTTTTTTGAGACGGGTCTCACTCGATTGCCCAGGCTGGAGTACAGTGGCGTGATCTCGGCTCACTGCAACCTCTGCCTCCCAAGTTCAAGTGATTCTCCTGCCTCAGCCTCCCAAGTAGCTGGGATTGCAGGCACGCACCTCCAGGTCCGGCCGATTTTGTATTTTTAGTAGAGATGGGGTTACACCATGTTGCCCAGTCTGGTCTCGAACTCCTGACCTCAGGCGATCCACCCTCCTCGGCCTCCCAGAGTGCTAGGATTACAGGTGTGAGCCACCGCACCTGGCCAAAAATCATATTTCAAGCTAGAGAAACTTTCATCTCCAGATCTTTTCTAACACTTCTTTTTTCTTTTTTTCTTTTTTTTTTTTAAGTAGTGAGCATAAAACTATGCAGCCTTAGTAAATAATTACCAAAAATAATTTTGTTAACTATGCACATTCAGGTTTTTCACACATTTGTTTTGAAACACAGTTCTTTTACCCAATATGATTAACTTCAGGTACAACTGCATATTTGAGGAATACTGATACAGCTCATTTCAGCAATTTAGATTCATTTCAGCAAAAAGTTATCATTTTCATCTGTTGTATAAGAGAAGATGGGTTCTAGCCAAGTGCTAGGAAATATTTATCCCTTTGCTAGGATCACAATAGAACAATAGAGTCTTGGTATTTAATAGAACATTTGAAAATAATTTTAATCTAATCATTGGTTATGTACCTTCAGCTGGATTTTCTCTGGTAATAGAAATATAGGACTTTCTTCATAGACGGCCATTTTCATTGTTAGTGTGGTTATTAAAACTTAACCTAATAACTGTCAGTTTCATTCATTGGTGCTACATTTGCCTTCAGGAGTCACATAGGAAAGACTGCTGCTGTAATTATGACAGTTCAAATATTGGAAGTAACAAGTTTTCTTCTTTGGTCATAGAAATTTTGATTTTTACAGAATTGATAAACCAGAATACACATCCCATAACAGCCCTGTTATTTAGGTAATGTAAATATAAATATGTATTTATTAATTTCATTTCTGGATTTATTGCTTCCTTAAGGCTTATTCACAAATTATCAGTTTTTAGTATTTCTTTACTTCAGTTAACTATGTGATTTATAAAGTTGTAAACAAAGCTGGAAGCTGATTTGAAAAATGGTGTCATATTTTGAAGGGCCTTTCAGCTTTCTATTCTTTTGAATCAAAGACATTTTATTGGAAAATATTATTGTATTTAGGTTCTCTGGTTCTATTTTCAACCTGAAATACCCTATTTTCAGTTTCTTGGTGTAGAACAGGAAATATATCAGCAACTCCTCCAGTAGTAGTTAGGGCAGAAATAGTTCTGTTTTAAAACCAGTGGGTGATCATCAGTTCATTTTATGTGAATCATGGCTGTAACCTCCTAATCACTCATTTAGAACAAGTAATGTTTTATACTGGACAAATAGGAATTATTTATAGGACCGATTTAACAACCAGTGTTACTCTTAAGGGAAAAGTATTAGATTAATTTAACTTGTAGAGTTTATTTTATCTTCAAGGCCAAATTTTTTTCTTATTTAAATTAATTGCATGTTCAAATATCCTTCAAACTCTGTTTGTCTTCAAATGTGATAAAGCTGCTGCTAATTTTGAGAAGAAAGTTATATTGTTGCATTTATTTTAGATTTAAATACATACTCAAGTAGAAAATTTATAGATTATATATCACTTAAAGCTTTAACTATGAATTCCTCATTAATATTTTTTGTGTAATGTCTTTCTTGATCCCTACCTGAGGCAGTGCTACTCAAAATATGGTCTGTGGACTCATGCTGGTTTGCAGATTGTTTGTTACTTGTTTGCAATAAAATAAGTATGGAAATTGAGAATAAACATTTAGAAAATTTTATAGCAATTTTACATGGTAATTGCATGCCTATGGAATCTAATAACAATATTTGGAGTTATATTTTATATGTCTTTGTTTTGTAATTTCATTCTTTTAGTAATTTATGTTATATTTTACAAAAGTCCCCTTGAAAGCAAAACAAAGACTAGGTCACACTCCATATCAGTAAACCACTACAGTAGAATGTAGTTTTTAATTTTATGCAGATATATACAAAATAAAGAGGATAAAGGAAAAGTGGGGTGAGAGAGGGTGAGCTTAAATTATAGAGTCCAATTTTTGAGTTTTTCTGAGAATTGGAAATTTCTTACATATTTGAAATCTGTTTACATGACACATTCAATCATGTTTTCTCTTAATATCCTCCAGTTATTCCATCAGTTGTAATACCATGAAGGCTGAGCTAAAAGTCTTAAGTTTAGAAAATGATTTAGTTATCTTTAATGTCATATATTCATATTTGTACCATTTGCTCTTTAGTTTTAATGACAGTTTTAGCAGAAGTAATTTGAATTATGATGTCAAACTTCTCATTTCAGAATATTTTCAAAATAAGTTTTAGAAGAGTTTCTGACATGAGCAGAAATTTGTTGTGACAAATTATTATTTTTTTAAAGTACAGCATATTTTATGTTTCTCAAAGGAAGGAGCTTAAAAAATTGTCCCTGTTTTTCATGTATCATTTATTCTAAGCAAGTATTTCTTACTAAAAGATTCTTCAAATTCTGTTTTCAGTTGCTTTTTTGATTTCTCATAGGACTTAAAACTTCTCTTAAGTTGGTCATTATAAATACATAACAAAGAGAAGAATAAGATATGTCTCTTTGTAATGATTTTAACTTCTAAAGGTAAAATATGTTAAGATAAACAATTCGTTACTTGACATAAATAGAAGATATCTAAATAATTATTTATTTCATTGCCAGCTATTACTGAATTGTTGATCAGCCAAATCTAATGTTAAAAGGGAACTATTCACTAGCAGTCATTGGTTTCCTAAATATCTCTAGAGAAATTATAAGTTCAAAGGTGTTATGCTACATGTAAGATTAGATAGTTATTATATATACTCATATATACTTATGTGTCCAGTGTCATATCAGGAAAAACTAAAATACTATTTTATTCAGTATGGTATAAAAGTTTAGAAACCAAAAAAAAATGTTAAAAGATACTTATGTAAGGTGATTGATGTATTAATTAGCTTGATTGCGGTGACTATTTCATAGTGTATACATATATCAGATCATCAAGTAGTATAACTTAAATATATGCAGTATTTAACTGTCAACTAGACCTCAATAAGGAGGGGGAAAGTTTAGAAGGTATATTTCAAAACTATCAGATGGAATAAAAGGCATGTAAGAGATTAGAAATATAGAAAAATTAGGGTATGATTAAAGAACTCTTTGGCTAACAATTTGATCTTTTTTTTCATACCATAATCAGAGAACATACTAACTATGCCTGAGAAAATAATTTCAGGAATATTTTTGTGGGAGTAGCACAGCATGCATCAAGTCAACTCTGTATTCCATTATGGTCCATGTCTGAAAATAAATCTTTGGTCTATCACCTTTAGATAGAGATGCTGACCTGGGAAAGAGTTTGTCAAGGTCTACAAAGGAAAACATTCATTATAGAAGGACAGTAACAAATATTTGAACAGGATTGCAAGTATTTTCTCCCCTCTTGATAAATTTCAAATCCTTAATTTAAAAATGTTTATTAGCCTGTCTTGTAACTGAGAATTTCCTGCTTCTATTTGGTTTCTGGTTCCAGTGCTATTTTTAAATTTTTTGGTTTTTTTAAAGTCATATTTTAATACCTGTTAAGAAATGTGGAATCTTTGTTGTTTTCTACTGTTGACCTCCTTTAACAACTTAGGACAAGATGAAAATGAGAGTATTAATTTATTAGATAATTCAGCTTTCAGAATGATACAATTTGGAAGGACACAGAGAATTTACCAAATGTATAGTGTTCGTTCCACTTTTATTAGATAGTACAAAATTATGTTAATATAAATCTGAATTACATTATTTTTAACTTTGTGTTTGTAATAATTTTTTCCAGTCAAGAAAACTTAGAAACACCAAAATGCTGAGTAGTGAGAAATGCTAATACAAATAAATTGTTAAAAGGTTAATTTAAGAAAGTAACTTAAATACTTGAAACATTTTTAGTTCTCAGTCTTACAAACTATATGTAGGTTAAGGTGTAAAGAAAATCAGGAACTGAATAAATTGGAAACTCAGCAGATAAATATACTTTATGAATCTGAAAAAATTGGGAAAGTGCCAAGTGACAAAATGGGTTAATCACCACATTTCCATCCTACATAATGCATAAACTCATGGTCAGAAGATGGGGTTGGGGGTGGGAATATGATTTCATTGATGTTATATTCTTGAGATATAATACCAATCATAAGGTGCTGTATAGTGAATCATAGAGTAATCACTGTTCCTGCTATTCATAGTTGGCTGAACCATTATTTTATGTACTACTTAAAAAGAAAACATACTGCCAATGCTTTTTAAAATTTAGAATTTTTATATTTGTTAAAATAACCCTATCGGAATTACTAAGACATAGATTATATTATTTATAACGCTTGTACATACCTGAAAATGAAAATACATTGTGAAATCAACTGGCTAAGGAATTGCTAACATTCTTTACACTCAGAGTCCGACTCATTTGAATCACTTTTTGACTCAGTCATTGGTGTTCAGTTTTTCTACATGCAGTCTTTCTCTATGCAGTATTTCTGAAGAGAATCAAGAACCACTGGTGCTGAATTCGTAAGCCACTTTGCAATTATGATGAGTTAATTTATTTTTTATACCTATTTTGGAAATGTTGCTAAATATGTCTGATATCCCCCGCCCTCATCCTCTCTTCACAGTCGTTTGGATTTTAGGAGTTAAAGGATTATTCCAACTCTTTGTCCCTAGGATTTTCCTCCTTTTTTTTTTTTTTTTTTTTGAAATGGAGTCTCGCTCTATTGCCCAGGTTGGCGTACAGTGGTGCAATCTTGGTTCACTGCAACCTCTGCCTCCCGGGTTCAAGCAATTATCCTGCCTCAGCCTCCTGAGTAGCTGGGATTACAGGCATGTGCTGCAACACCCACCTAATTTTTAAATTTTTAGTAGATACGGGGTTTCACCATGTTGGCCAGGCTGGTCTCGAATTCCTGACCTCAAGTGATCCGTCCACCTCAGCCTGGCCCAAAGTGCTGGGATTACAGGCATGAGCCACTGTGCCCAGGCTCCTAGGATTTTCTTCCAACTCAAATACTACAGGTTTTGTGCACAAACAGGGAATGACAGCTGCCTTGTTATTGCCACTTATTATTGCTGCAGCAGCGTTTGTAATATGCCATCAATTTCAAGATATGTTGGCTGGGTGTGGTGGCTCACCCCTGTAATCCCAGCACTTTGCAGGGCCTAGGTGGGCAGATCACGAGGTCAGGAGATTGAGACCATCCTGGCTAACACGGTGAAACCCTGTCTCTACTAAAAATACAAAAAATTAGCCGGGCGTGGTGGCGGATGCTTGTAGTCTCAGCTACTTGGGAGGCTGAGGCAGGAGAATGGCGTGAACCTGGGAGGCAGAGCTTGCAGTGAGCCGAGATCGTCGTGCCACTGCACTCCAGCCTGGGTGACAGAGTGAGACTCCGTCTCAAAAAAGAAAAAAAAAAAAAAGATATGTCATGAATTTAGAGAATTTAAAGTATGGAGAAAATACTCACTTTTAAAGCATAGTGGCTAGGAACTCAAAGTTGGGTTGCCGTAATACCAATTTTACGATCTTGGGTAACATAAGGTCTCTAATCCTTAGTTTTCTCACCTATGAGATAAGAAGCCCTTATCTTATAAGGTGATTGTGAGGTTTCAATGAAATTATATATGTAAAATACACTGCTTAACAAATGTTAGCTAATAGTTTATATTAGGCTTTATAGCAGTGTACTTTTATTGTTGAACTCCTTATGTATTCTTTTACTTGTTTAATCCTTTTACTTTGAGAAAGTGGTAACTTGTAGAGAGGAAAAGATACTGATAAATGTAAATAATCCATTGCAAATGGCTGAGTGAAAATCCTGGAAAATGTTTTAATTGAACTTTATTGATGTAATATAAAACTATTCAAATATCTGTCAATAAAGGGTAGGATTGTATGAAGGCTCATTTTAGAAACTTGAGACTAAGTGACTGATCTATTATTTTAGAAGTTAATAAGTTGTATAGATATATGGCTGTCAAGCTGGAAACAACATGTACTAACTTTCCTTGAACGTTGGTATGGCCTCTGAGGTTTTGGCAGTGGATTGTGAATAGAAGTCATGTGTGACACCTTTGTGTTTTGCCTTAAAAAGCAATACATGAGTACTGCCCCCTACCTGTGTCCTCTTCTTGTGTACTGATAATTGATGAAAACTCGAGTCCGCAGAATTTGGACCCAGAGATTGAAGTATGTGTTGACCTGCCTCACCAGCTCTACACAGCTTATTTCTAGACTATTACTTGAGAAGGAAATCATTTTCTATCATATTTAAGCCATGTATTTTAGGATCTCTTTGTTACAGGGTCTTAGCCTATATCCTAACTGATACCTTTTAAAGAACAGCCAAACAGATTTAAAAGGAACCAAATAGTACTTCTAAATATGAAAAAGGGAATTGAAATAAAAACTCAATGGGTAAATAGGGATGCCTAGAGAAATGGTTGGTTGGTTCCAGGTCTGGGACAGGAAAAACAGAGGATGATCCTAGAACACTGTGGTGCAAGAAAGTAAGGAAGTGCTTAAAAGAATATTGCTTGGCAATTTAAAAAAAGGGAAGAACTGATACATGTGATGGTATGGATGAACCTCAAAAACATTGTGCTAAATGAAACAGCCAGACACATAAGACTGCATATTGTATGAAATTTCTAGAAAAGGTAAAACTAAAGACACAGAAAGTAAATCAATGTTTGCCTGCAGTTGGGTATTGGAACCGGGATTGACTGCAGATAGACATTATAGAACTTTTGGAGTGATGAAAGTATTCTAAAACTGGATTGTGATGAACGTTGCACAGCTAAATACATTTGTTAAAAGTTGTACACTTAAAATAGGTGAATTGTGTGTAAATTATATTTCAGTAAGACTGTAAAAAATTTTGAGAGATACTGTAAAAAAAAAAAAAAAAGAAGAAGAAGAAGAAAAAGGTGGGCAAGGCCGGGTGCAGTGGCTCACAACCTATAATCCCAGCACTTTGGGAGGCCGAGGCAGGTGGATCACCTAAGGTCAGGAGTTCGAGACCAGCCTGGGCAACGTGGTGAAATGCTGTATCTACCCAAAATACAAAATATGAGCTGGGTGTGGTGGCACGTGCCTGTAATCCCAGCTACTCGGGAGGCTGAGGCAGGAGAATTGTTTGAATCCAGGAGGCGGAAGTTGCAGTGAGCCAAGATCGCGCCATTGCACTCCAGCCTGGGCAACAAGTGTAAAACTCCACCTCAAAAAAAAAAAAAAAGAAGAAGAAGAAAGAGGTGGGCAAAAGAACTCAGTAGTTAGCTTGGAGGATCTCTCAGTGGCCAAATCTGGGACAACTTAGATAACAGAATGACGATAGTAAGGGATTTTAACCTGTAGGATAAAATAAATATCCATGAATTTATACCTACATAAATAAATAACCAAACAAGTAGGGGAGAAGGCACAGCTTTTTTTTTAACAGTAGAATCCCAGTTAACAAAGGTTAAGACTGATGATGATAAAAAAAAAAATCACCACTAGATAAACACCCCAGCATTTACTGTTACAGACAAGAATTATCAATGGATGCTCAAATTAGTTGGTAAAAGTATGCCCAGAATACTTAGTAAGTATTCCCACAGAATAAGTATTAATTATATAGGGAAAAATGGTAACTTCATAGGGAAGAAACTTGGCAAATACCACTTTAACCAAGTGAACAGTGTTAGTATTACCAGTAAGAACATATATCAGCATATTTACCCCCAATAGGATGCACAGAGATGGGTACAATATAACTTACATGGTTGTCTTGACCCCAAAAAAGCGTAACCTAAATTTAATCATGAGAAAATGTCAGGCAAACCCAAACTATGGGACATTTCACAACTAACTCACTGGTACTCTTTAGAAGTGTCAAGATCAAGAAACACAAGAAAGACTGAAGAACTGTCACAAATTGGAAGTATCCACAGAGATCTGAAAACCAAATGCAGTGATCTTAGACAAAGTCTCTAGATAATAGTGTTACAGGAAAGGGGTACCTGATCCAGACCCCATGAGAGGGTTCTTGGATCTTGTGCAAGAAAGAATTCAGGGCGAGTCTGCAGTGCAAAGTTAAAGCAAGTTTATTAACAAAGTAAAGTGGTGAAAGTACAGCTACTACATAAACAGAGTAGGACATTTCCAAAAATAGGAGGAACGCGTCCACCCTAGGTATATACTCGTATATATGGGGAGGTGTGTTCTGCTACAAGGGTTTGTGTTAAAGGGTTAATTGTCTTAATTACTATATTTTGCAAAATTGATATTATTATCTTTAAAGCAAAATTAGGAATGACTTTGTTCTCCAGATATCAGGATATCTGGACACTCCCAAGTCTGAGTTTGTTTAGTAAACATTGTTAATTTGTTCCCTTAAATGTAAACATCTAGAGGCTAGGAATGCCTAATTTTCTGGGAATGCAGCCCAGCAAGTCCCAGCTTCATTTTCCTAGCCCTCACTTAAAATGGAGTCACTCTGGTTAGAATGCCTCTGACAGTAGTATTGCATCAATGTGAGTTTCCTGGTTTTAGTACTTGTAGTATGGTTAAGTTTCAGGAAAGCTGAGGTAAGGATATATGGAAACTGTACTATATTCACAATTTTTCTGTAAGTCTAAAATTATTTCAAAGTAAGAAGTTTTATAAAATACAAAATAGACTAGACAGCAGATTAGACTCAGCTGAAAAGAGAGTTAGTGAACTGAAAGAGAAAACAGAAAAAATTATCTTGAATTATCTTGAGATAACAAAGAGATGCAGACATGAGGGACTGAGATATAGAAAATGTGAGAGATAAAAGATATATCTAATTGGAGTTATGGAAGTTGTATAATATTAATAGTAAGAACTAAGAAGTGGCAAGATTGAAAGATAGTGACTGAGATATTTTTGAGAATTGTTATACAATACAGTATTTTCAAGAAGCTAAATGAACCATCAACAGAAACATAATAAAAATGCAGAAGAGAGGGAGAAATTTTTGAAAACAGTCAAAGAGAAAAGACAGATTATCTACAAAGAAATTATAGATTGATGACTTTTCCATAGCAGCAGTGAAGAAAAAGAGTGTATTGTCTTCAGGGCATTGAGGAAAATAACCTCAATACTGGAATTCTAGAATTCTATGCCAAGTGAAGCTGCCTTTCAAGAAAAAGAACACAATGAAGACAGTTCCTGAAAAACAACAAAAACAGAATTAAAAAAAAAAAAAAACCAACAGACTTTTTCTGAAGCAAATACCAAAGACTAAACTTCAGGGAGAAGGAAAATGATTAGCAGATGCAAAGTTTGAGATGTAACGTTGAATAGTGAATAAATATAATAATATATAGATAAATCCTAAGCAAACATTGTATGAGAGAAATACTTAATTTGTAAAGATGGTAAATAGGATAAAATTAAAATTTTGAATCTGGGCATGGTGGCTCATGCCTGTAATCCCAGCACTGTGGGAGACCAAGGCTGGCAGATGGCTTGTACCCAGGAGTTCAAGACCAGCCTGGACAACATGGCAAAACCCCTTCTAAAAATACAAAAAAATTAGCCAGGCATGGTGGCGTGTGCCTGTAGCCCCAGCTACTGGGGAGGCTAAGGTGGGAGGATTGCTTCAGCCCGGGAGGTGGAGGTTGCAGTGGGCCGAGATCGTGCCACTGCACTCCATCCTGAGTGTCAGAGTGAGACCCTGTCTAAAAAAAATAAAATAATAAAATAAAATTTGGGGTAGCAATGGTATATGTTTGATGAGAGTCATCAGAGTTCAAATATTCTAAGGTTTTTATATTTTTCAGAAATATACCATGTCTTTTCAAAAATTTTCTTTTCAAAAATTTACCATTAATTAACTTTAGACAACTTTGTTAAATTTAATATGCATTTCAAATTAACTAGAGTAGCCACTAAATAGAGCATATGACTTCCAAAAATGTGTGGGGAGTAGGGGTGGGGAAAGAATGCCCTAAGGCCTGTGGTCCCTAAGAGTTTAGGAAAACAAATAAACAGAAAACACTCATTCTAAAATAAATAAAGGCAGTAAATAAATAAAGTCAAGAAAGGAAAGGAAAGAAATAGAAACAAAAAAGCAAAAAGACCCTGATAAAATAAATAGGTAGAAAAAATTCATGTATATCAATAAACACATTAAATGGAAATGAATAAAATTATCTAAAGACAAAAATTGAGCCAATGAAAAAATAAATGACAAAATTAATGTACGCTGTTTATAAGAGACATACTTAAAATACAAAGACGCAAAAAGATCAGAAGTCAAGATATGGAAATAAATTAATATGGTTGGACCCAGTGAGTACTTAGAAGTAAGGCATAGACTGCACTACTCAGTAGCACTTCCTTTTATGCATAAGTGTTCATAATTATGTAAAGCAGATTTTTACATAATAGTTTTCTTTGTAAACCTTCCACAACTTGTTCAAACCTTCAGCTTTATTCTATCTAACTTAAAACAATCTTTTAACCCTTTAATCTAGGCAAGAAAAATCCACATTTTCATGCCTTTTTATAATCTTTTACCAAAAGTATATTCTATTTTCCTTACACACCTTGCATGTAAAACTGTTCTTCAGTTATCTCAAGTAGGTGTTACAGTGTTAACGCTTAGCAGCTTTTACTTTTGGTGAAAACCTTGGTAAGTTTGGGATTCAAATTATGTACTGAGCGTGGAGCTAATTCTAAATAGCTGTACTAATTATAAATAGCTGTAGTTAGTGAGACATATGCATATTTCTGTGTACTTGTTTTTATAAAGTGTATTTGATTAAATTGACTTTTACCTGCTATATGATATTATTCTCTTTCTTTATGGTTATCAGGAAGAACCACAAAGAAACGGGTTCTTAGGAGCAAGTAGGATGTTCTTTGGTCACTTGAACAAAACTGAATGTCTTTCAACCAACTGATTGTTCTTCATGAAATACTGAATTAAATGAGGGAACTGCTTATTCTAATTCTTATATCAGTTTAAACCATATTATTTTAAAACAAGAAAACAGAGGATAAGTTCCTACAGAGAAAATTACATTAGAAATTAGAAACCTGGTTTTCCCGTTTAATTGTTATATGATCTTTTTCAATATTTTACTTTTTCTCATCTGTTAAAATGAATAGGGAAATTTTAAATAATGTGCAGGGACAGTAGGAATGATTTTCAATGCTAAATGCAACATAACACACGAAAAAAGTCAGGCCAGGCATGGTGGAGTTCAAGACCCGCCTGGGCAACACGGCAATAACCTGTCTCTACAAAAAAAAAAAAAAAGAAAAAGAAAAAAAATTAGCTGAGCGTGGTGGCATGCACCTGTGGTCCCGGCTACTCAGGAGGCTGAGGTGGAAGGATCATTTGAGCCCAGGAGGTCAGGGCTGCAGTGAACCATGTGTTGGTGCCACTGCACTCCAGCCTGGGTGACAGAGTGAGATAACTGTCTCAAAAAAAAAAAAAAAAAAAAAAAGCAATAAAATAGCAAGTTTTAATTGCATCCTAGATGGATAGAATAGAATTTAGAGTTTAGAGTAAAAATAGAGCCATCTCCAATTTTGAAGAAGCTTTAAGAAGTGGCAAGTCTTAATAATTGGTCAAAAGTCTTATGTTGGAATTTTGAATAAATTACTATACATTAATTCACAATTATTTATTGGTTGCTTACTATGTGCCTGGCACTGTTTTAGGGGCACAGCATTAAACAAAACAGACAAAATGTCTGCCCTTATTGTGTTTACATTCTAGTGGAAGAGAATAAGTGTAAATAAAAAATATGTATTATGTACTAGTTACAATTCTATGGAGAAAAATACAGCAGAGAAGAGGGATAGGAAGTGTGGTGCAAGAGACTGCAGTTTTAGATAAGGGTAGACAAAGGACTCCTCACTGAGAGGGCAATATTTGAGCAAAGACCTGAAGGAGGGAGGATGTGAGTAATGAAGATAAGGGGGAGGACCATTTCAGGCAGAAGGATCAGCAAATGCAGAGGCCATGATGATATGCCCAAAGTGTTCAGGGAACATGAGGGAGGCCTGAGTGTGGAGAAAGTTAGAGGAAAAGTGATGGGATATGAGTTCAGAGAGATAATGAGGCGTCAGGTCCCAGTGACTTCAGATGCCATTTAAAAGACTTTGGAGGATGTGATGTGATTGTAAGAACTTTGGCTTTAAAAAACAAAAGTAAAATGTGTATAACAAAAATTTACCATTTTACCCATTTTAAGTATACAATTCAGTGCTATTAAGTACAATTATAATGCTGTGCAACTATTACCTATCCAAAATTTCCAAAATTTTCTCATCACTCCAAACAGAAACTGTACCCTTTAAGCAATAACCACCCTTTTCCCCTTCCCCCACACCAACCCCTGGTAACCTCCAATCCACTTTCTGTCTCTATGGATTTGCCTATTCTAGATATTTCTTATAAGTGGAATCATAACAATATTTGTCCTTTTGTATCTGGCTTATTTCACTTAGTATAATGTTTTCAAGGTTCATCTTTGCTGTAGTGTGTGTCAGTACCTCAATCCTTTTTATAGATAAATCATAGCCATTGTATGTATATACTGCATTTTGTTTATCCATTTATCTGTTGATGAACATTTGGGTTGCTTTCACCTTTGGCTATTGTGAATAATGCTGCTGTGAACGATGATGTACGAGTATCTGTTTCAGTTTATGCCTTCAGTTCTTTTGGGTATATACCTAGAAATGGAATTGCCAGATCATATGGTAATTCAGTGTTTAACTTTTTGAGGAACTATCTTACTGTTTTTCACAAGCAGTTGCACTGTTGGAGCCCACTACCAATGTATAAAGGCTCAAATTTCTCCACATCCTCAAAAACACATTATTTTCCTTTTTAAAAATTATAATGATTGTAGTTGTGAAGTGGTATATATTGTGGCTTTGATTTGCATTTCCTTAATGGCTAATGATGGCATATTTTCATATACTTCATGGCTATTGTATTATCTTCTGTGGAGAAATATCTATTAAAATCCTTTGCCCATTTTTTTGAAATTTTACTTTAAGTTCTGGAATGCATGTGCAGAACGTGCAGGTTTCTTACATATGTATACATGTGCCACGGTGCCTTTGCCTATTTTTTAATTGGATTGTTTGTCTTTTTGTTGTTGAGTTGTAGGAGTTCTTTATGTATTCTGGATATTAACTCCTTACCAGACATATGATTTGCAAATATTTTTCTCCTTCTGTAGTTTTCACTGTTTGTTTGGAGGCAGGGTCTTCCCTCTGTCCTCTGGGCTGGAGTGCAGCAGTGCAACTTTGGCTTACTGCAGCCTCAACCTCCAGGGCTCAAGTGATCCTCCCACTTCAGCCTCCAAGTACCATGCTTGGCTAATATCTGTAATTTTTTTGTCGGGACAAGGTCTCACTATGTGGGCCAGGCTGGTCTTTAACTCCTGGGCTCAAGTAATGCTCCTATCTCAGTCTCCTAAAGTGCTGTGATAATAGGCACCCGGCCTTAGTTGTCACTTTCTTGATTGTTTCCTTTAATGCTGTTTGTTTTCTATATCTTACATGTTTTTATTCCCGAATTCTTCAATTACTGCCTGTTTTTGTATTTAGTTGATTTTTTAAATGGTGTACTATTTTGATTCTGTTCTTTCCTGTTATTTTCTTAGTGGTTATCTAGATTAAATTAAACTAGGTTGTTACAAGTTTAAGATGTTAATTGTAATTCCTAAGATAACCACTAAGGAGTTTGGCTTTTGATCTGAGTAAAATGGAAAACCATTGGAGGCTTTTAACTGCATCTGTTTTTTGTTTTAATCTCTATGCTGTGCTGAAAATAGACTGTTAAGAGAAGGTGCCAGGCAGGGGCTGAAGTTGGGAGATACGTTAGATTTTGTAATAATCCAGGCAAAAAATCATAGTGGCTTGGCCCATTGTGGTAATGGTAAGGGTGTTAGTATTCAGATTCTGAGTATGCTTTTGATAGTAGACCCAACAAGACTTATTAATGAATTGAATGTGGACTGTGAGAGAAAGAGGAGTCAAAAGTGACACCAAAATTTTTGGGAGATGGAGTTACATTTGGAGATAACATTACAGATTTTAGGAGATCTGTATAAAATGGATTTCTCTCTTCTTTTTTTTTTTTTTGTTTTTGTTTTTTTTGAGATGGAGTCTCCCTCTGTCGCCTAGGCTGAAGTGAAGCGGCACTATCCCGGCTCACTGCAACCTCTGCCTCCCAGGTCCAAGTGATTCTCCTGCCTTGGCCTCCCGGGTAGCTGGGACTACAGGCACCTGCCACCAAGCTCAGCTCATTTTTGTATTTTCAGTAGAGACAGAGTTTCACCATTTTGGCCAGGCTGGTCTCAAACTCCTGACCTCAGGTGATCTGCATGGCTTCCCAAAGTGCTGGGATCACAGGCATGAGCCACAGTGCTTGGCCGGATTTCTCATCAGTGTTTTAAAAATGTATTCCACATTCAGGAGAAACTAAAACATCTCGAGGATATAATATGTTCAGTGTGGCTGGGCGCAGTAGCTCATACCTGTACTCCTAGCACTTTGGGAGGCTGAGGCAGGCAGATCACTTGAGGTCAGGAGTTCAAAACCAGCCTGGCCAACATGGTGAAACCCCGTCTCTATTAAAAATACAAAAAAAATTAGCCGGGCCTGGTGGCAGACACCTGTAATCCCAGCTACTCAGGAGGCTAAGGCAAGAGAATTGCTTGAACCCGGAAGGCAGAGGTTGCAGCAAGCCAAGGTCTCACCACTGCATCCTAGCCTAGGTAACCGAGCGAGACTCCATCTCAGAAAAAAAGAAAAAAGTTCAGTATGTTGGATTTCTTGGTGTTTTGTTTTCCTGTTAAACTATCAGGATATTTAGTGGAGTTGAACTAGAAAGGCCAATTCCTCATACCTTCCATGCATTCTGTACTGAGAAACCGGGCTGTTGAGAGTAAAGATTGTTAAATATTAAAAGAGCATAAACTGGTAAAAGGAAGAGAAGGAAGGGTAGGAAGTAAAGAAGGAGAAGGAGCTCTGTTATATTCAAAATGTTCTTACCAAATGAACAAAGCATGTTAATAACTTTTAGAAAGAAGTTCAACAGCAAAATTTTTCTGCAAAAAAAATAGTGATTTTTTTTTCTGCCAAATCTGACGTTTAAATATATCAGAAAAACCTCATCCCTTCCATTTATATGAAATGCCTAGAAAAGGCAAATCTGGGCCAGGCGCGGTGGCTCACTCCTGTAATCCCAGCACTTTGGGAGGCCGAGGCAGGTGGATCACGAGGTGAGGAGATCGAGACTGTCCTGGCTAACACGGTGAAACCCCGTCTCTACTAAAAATACGAAAAATTAGCTGGGCGTGGTGGCACGCACTGTAGTCCTAGCTACTGAGAAGGCTGAGGAAGGAGAATCGCTTGAGCCCAGGAGGCGGAGGTTGCAGTGACCGAGATCGCGCCACTGCACTCCAGCCTGGGCAACAGAACGAGACTCCGTCTCAAAAAAAAAAAAAAAGACAAATCTGTGGAGACAGGTACAAGGAATCTTTTTGGGTTGATGGAAATATTCTAAAACTAGATTATCGTGATGTTGCAGAACTATATAAATGTACTAAAAATCACTAAACACTTAAAACAGGTGACTCTTATGGTTTGTAAATTATACTTAAATAAAGCTGTTAAAAATACATAAATACCAGAAAGAAAGAAAAAAACCTTCATTTCTCAATCATTTGGATTAAAATTTTATTAGTATTATATGGAGAAATTTTGGTTGAACTTTTTAACTCCATTATAGTTTTAGTTTCAGGTTTCTACTTATATGTTTCTGTTTTAAAATAGTATATATTTAATACAATGGTATTCTCAATTATATGCTTCTAATAAAAAGCCAAATCCTTGGTAAAACCAGTGTTAGGTAGCATATCTTATATGAAACTGAATATTACAGTAAAGCCCAGTAGAGAAATATGTGAATGGACAGAAGCAGGTATTATGAGCCTGTTTTAATATAAGAAAGGTATTTTGCTTAATAATAGTACATTAAGTTTGCCGTCACTTAATGTACCATCACTTAAAGAAAGTGGAACATTTCTACATGTACACATATATGAAAGTAAGCACATTTTTAAAAAAATATTGAGAAGTATATGTACCAAACTGATGATAATTACTTCTGTTGAGAGAATGAGGCTTTGAAGAAGAATGTATGTATTTATTTATTCATGTGTTACTTGTGTAATTGACAGAAAGCAAAGTATAAAGAGACTAAATAACTGAAAAGGAAAAAAGATGAGTAAAGCCTAAATAATGGCCGTGGTGATAGAGAAGAAAGTAAACACATGAAAAATGTTTAGTTGCCAATTTGATATAGTACAGAACTATTGCAAAGATCAAATATGAATGGGTAAGTAGATTATACTAAATTAACTCAGTGGAGCTATAACATTACTTGACCATAAACATAAACATTACTTTATTAAATTTATGAAGTAAAATGGAAACTTTTATATATACTGACAAAAGGAAGGTACAATATAATATGTACAATTTATTTACAGCAGTAAAAACAAATAGGATAATAGAGGAAAAGAATTAAGATGACAATGAAAGTATTAATGATAAAGTTAAGTGAATAGAGGAGGCTTTATTCTTCCATGCTTTCTTTAAAGGGTTTCTGAATAATCAGAAATAAGAAACAGTGCTATAATCAGGGATTGGCAAAATACATATGGTTAAAGTTATTACAAAGAATTCTGGTCAGGCGCAGTGGCTCACACCTGTAATCCCAGCACTTTGGGAGGCCGAGGCGGGTGGATCACGAGGTCAGGAGTTCAAGACCAGCCTGGCCAAGATGGTGAAACCCTGTCTCTACTAAAAATACAAAAATTAGTCAGGTGCGGTGGCGGGTACCTGTAATCCCAGTTCCTTGGGGGGCTGAGGCAGGAGAATCACTTGAACCCGGGAGGCGGAGGTTGCAGCGAGCCGAGATCGCTGCACTGTAGCCTGGGCGACAGAGCAAAACTCTGTCTCAAAAAAAAAAAAAAAAATCTAGAAATAAGAATTGTCTGAAAAGAAAAATTTACACCTACTTGTGTGTGTGTGTGTGTGTGTGTGTGTGTGTGTGTTATGTATAAACTGTTGGAGGCTTTTAACTGCATCTGTTTTTTGTTTTAATCTGGCTGCTGTGCTGAAAATAGACTGTTGAGGCAAGGTGCCAGGTAGGGTCTGAAGCTGGGAGATATGTTAGATTTTGTAATGATCCAGGCAAAAAATTATAGTGGCTTGGCCCATTGTGGTAATGGGAGAGGTGTTTTATATATAAATAAAAATTATATTTATATAATTTATATACATATGTTTATATATGTACATAAATATGTATTTATATATGTATGTGTATTTATGTGTATGTACATAAATTTATATGTGTATATATAAGCAGCACTCTTGAAAATAATACCTCTAGTGTCCTCTTATTTAATCTATTAACTTTCAAACCTATGGTTAATTAATAATTTTTTTCTAATTAGACACAGTTATTTTTGTCATGATAGTATGATGTAAATGTATTTCCGAAAGTTTATGTGTTGGAAACTTAATCCCTAATGCAACAGTGTTGAGGTGAGACTTTTAAAAGGTGATTAGGTCATGAAGGCTCTACCCTCATGAAAGTGTTAGTGCAGTTATGGTGGGAGATGGTTAGTTATTGGGGTGGGTTCCTGGTAAAAGGATAAGTTCAGCCCTCTTCCCTTCTTTGTCCCTCGTGCTCTCTTGCCCTCTGTGTTCTGCCATGGGATGATGCAGCGAAAGGCTCTTGCCAGAAGTGGGCCCTTTGACTTTGGACTCCTCAACCTCCAGAGCTGTAAGAAATAAATCTCTGTTCTTTATAAATTACGCAGTCTCGGGTATTGTTAGAGCATCACAATACAAAGATAATGAGATTGGCCTGTATATACTGACATGAAAAGAATTCGAAGGTAAAATAAGTTTTTTCTTTAAATTTTTTAAAGTAGTTTTTAAGAATCAAGGTATTACATCTACATATTCTGTTACAACAATGCAAAACAGATGGACAAAGACACATGAATTTGTTATTTTCTATGTTAGCATGTGGGAGAGAACATAACACAATATGTGAAAATAGCTTACTTTATAAGCGTAAGCATATGGAGATGCTAATGTCAAAAAGAAAATGCTTTTCCTAAAATTTGGTTTTTAAAAAACTTAGTAAAAAACAAAATATTGTTTGATAAAATTTTAATAAAATACGATAGATTTTAAGTGTTCTCATTACAAGAAAAGTATATGAGGTAATGAAAATGTTAATTAGCTCTATTTAGCCATCCTACAATGTATGCCTGTTTCAAAACATCATGTTTATAAATATATATAATTTTTGTTATTAGAAAAATGAATCAAAAGGAAAAAATTTAATATAATACAGAAATATGTAAAGTAAAAGGTGATATTTTCATCCTTTGGCCCTCAGTCCCATTTGTCAGAGGTAATACTTTAAAAAATTTTGATGAAATTTCTGTATACACTGTATCTCCATTATTTCCAAGTTTGCTTACATAAATTTTACCTGAAGAGGTTTGCCCCTCATATAATTTTTACCTTAAATAGTAAGATGTAGAGTGTTACTATTCTAAATCATCTGTAGATTTAAGAATTTCTATGTTCCAGTAAGTAAGTTAAAATTGGGGAAAACTAATTTCAGGTAAATTGTTTATCATTTGTTCCTGCAATGTTATAACGGATTAAATTTTTATTTTATATCAGTGATTCTGAACTGGGGGCTGTTCCCCCCTGCCCAGGGACATTTGACAATGTCTGGAGACATTTTTGGTTATTAGAACTGGGGGGCTGGGAGTGGGTAATGCTACTGGCATCTGGTGGGGTGCTGCCAAACATCCTATAATGCACAGAACAGCCTCCTACAGCAAGGAATTACCTGGTTCAGAAATGTCAATAGTGCCAAGGTTGAGAAAACCTGACTTAAAGGAAAATGGTTAAGAGTGAGGACTACCCTGGCACACTGCTCGGGTTTTGTATCATAGCCACACTACTAACTGTGTGACTGTGGGTGGTTATTTAACCTCTTTGTGCCCAGTTTCCTCATTATATTATAATAATAGTAGTACCTATCTTACAGGGTTGTTGAGAGGCTGTTTAATACATTTATTATGTGATAAGCTTAGATTTGTACCTGGTACATAGTAGGAATGTTGGCTGCTATTGTTTTATTGTTTCTCAGTAAAAACTAAAATCTAACCAATTATATAACATCAAAAGGATGGCCAATTAATAAAGATATCTTAGTAATTTGGGGGAGTTTCTAAACATGGTTGTTGAGAGTTACTAAGTTAACTCTATATTTCAGCCTACTATTTCCTATACAAACTGTTTTTTTAATATTTGAAAAATTACGTTTGGGGCGATGCTGCCTCTTTGTAGAGCAGTAGCCCTTCGACTGAGATATTATTTCATTGGCCTTTTCTCCTAGATTCTGTAGTTGTAGTTTTTGCCTCTTTGAAAGTTTCAGCTCCTGCAACATAGTGTTAGATGCTTATTCTGATCTTTCTTCACTTCTAGGCTAGTGAAGACATTTTTGGGAAGTATCATTATGACTACATCCTGAGAGTACAATGAGAGTGTCTGATTTATGAAATCTAGGTTATTTTTAGAGGCAAGAGAAAATACTTAATTTAGTCACATCATAATTTTATTTCCTCTTTTTATAAAGTATTATAGTGTACTGTAAAATTCATTAATCCCGAGTAAGTATTTGTGTTTCTCATCGCTATTCCTCTCAGTGGAGTAATTCATGAACTGTACTTACATTAAAACACATAATTTAACTAAAGGTTTAATTCAAAATATTTTTATATGCCTTGCAAATATAAAAATGCCCAGAAAAAATTTTAGATTGAGAGACAGTGTACAGTGCTATTTTCTAGAAACATATGGCAACTTTTTTATATAATTTGATTTAAACAATAAATAGCAAAGGTTAAACAGACAAACCCATTTATTAAACTAACAAAGGAAAGTGTGTAAGTGGTGAAGAATACATAGTTGGTTTTTTTTTTCCTCTTCTTTTTTTTTTTTTTTTTTTTTTTTAAAGTTCAGTTTTAGTTTTTTACCACTTGATGGCAGTGATGGAGCTAGAGCTCTACCCTGAGAAGGTTAGGGCAAGAACTCATTATGAATAACAAAAGCGTAGGTACAAAGGAAATCCCTGACATTTTAATATTATTCACATTTCTAGGTGATATTACTTATATTGCAAGTGACAGTAATAGGGGGAAAAGCCTCTAGATGGAGCTTCAGTACTTTCTAAGGGAAAACATTTCCTGTATCTTTCCAAATGCATATTTTATATTATTTTACATAATATATTAAATCCAGAATGGATTTTTACAAAATAATATTTAAGGGTGAATTTATTTCAGATGTAATTATGGAAATTAATTCACCAAATTACCTAATAATTTGAAAAAATGGCTATTTAAGTATCTTACATTTTTAAATCATTATTAATATTTGTTGAAAAGTATGTTAAACTTTGAGTCAAACATTTCTATCTAGTATAAATGATTTGCATATCTAACAAGTTAGTAAAAGATATTTAATAAGAAGTCAGGTGCTTAAAATCAATATTGCACTATAATTAAATCTGACCATCTATATTATTATGCCTAGTATCATTCAACATTTGAGTTCCCAAGAGAACATAACTATTACTCCAACTCAATTGCCCAACTAAAAAAATTAAAAACTAGGAATTTTAATGTAAAATAATTTTTTAAAGAATATATATGTTCTTTAGTAAATATTCTTACTTTCTTCAGTAATGTTTTCCTTTTACAGTCAAGAGAGTCTGTTATCACTATATATTGAAGGGAAGTTGTCATTATTAGTAGAAATATGATGTTAATGTTCTTAGTGCACTGTTGATTTTAGTGTCTACTTCTTGAATAATAAGAAAACTTGAAACAAGAACAATAAGTTTTCTGAGAATGACCCTGTATGGTGAATTTAAAAAAAGAAAGAATAGTGATTTTTCCCAGCTGGCCTTCTCAGGAGGCTGAGGTGGGAGGATTGCTTGAACCTAGGAGTTTGAGACCAGCCTGGGCAATATGCGAGACCCTGTCTTTATTATCGATTGATTGATTGATTGATTGAGACGGAGTCTTGCTCTGTCACCCAGGCTGAAGTGCAGTGGCGCAATCTCAGCTCACTGCAAGCTCTGCCTCCCAGTTTCAAGTGATTCTCCCACCTCAGCCTACCGAGTAACTGGAATTACAGGCGCACGCCACTATGCCTGGATAATTTTTGTATTTTTTTAGTAGAGATAGGTTTTCACCATGTTGGCTAGGCTAGTCACGAACTCCCGACCCCAGGTGATCGCCTGCGTCTGCTTCCCAAAGTGTTGGGATTACAGGCATGAGCCACCACGCCTGCCTGACCCTGTCTTTAAAAAAACAAAAAGAATAGGAAGCTTTCTTACTTTTCTACTAGTACACAATTACCTAGGTTAATTTTGATGTCTCATAAAGCATTCAGTGAAGAAAAAAAAGCTATTGTTTTAAGTTGTCTGTTTTTATGGACTCAAAATATTGGAAGCCTTGTAATCTTTGGTTTGAAATTGACATGAGATAATAATTGTTTTATGTTGAAAAAAGGTATAACTGAAAAATTATATGAGAAGCATGAAAAGTAGTTTTTGGGGGTTTTACTTATTTTCAGTTTCATGAATGAATGTTTTATTTATTCTCTATTGAGACAAAAACCTTACTAAAACAGAGTAGTTGCCAGTAATTTTTTATAATTACACTTAACAATAATGTTGGCAACAGTTGATTTTCTATTTGGCTAAGCAAATATGGTCTAAATTCATTTCAGGATGTATAGTCAGCTAAATTTGCAGCATAATTTGCTTGCTAATCACCTCAGTAGTAACAGTCTCCCAGAAAGCCATGTGTTGCTTTATTTGTTCCTTATCTAATTAAATTTTTTGGGACTTTATTAACAAAGGGACACATTTCAAGAACATCACATAAATGTTCAAGCATTCTTTTATTAATACTTTCTAAACTTATATAATTGCATTAAATTAGCTTTTAATTGTGTAACAAAGTGAACTTGTAAAAGTATGGCCTGTTTCTCAGGGGTAGGAAAACTCCACATTAAGGAACTATTATGCCACTACAAATATTTATTAGTGGTTACCTTGTAGTAGTAGTTACTAATGAAATAAATTTATTTAAAATAGTTATGGGTAAGTTTCGACTTAATTTGTAACTTGAGTCTCTCTGGACAAAGGGAAACTGATATTTTCCATTTCTGTGAAGCACTTGCACTATGAAGGAATGGTTTATATATCAAGTTAATTTTACATTGTTAAACTTTTTTTTTTTAAGGGAAAACGAATAAAGCACAAAGCTGTTGTTTGCTATAGAAACAGTTTAAACTGTCTTTAATTTGGTAGGAGAAAAATTTCTCTATTTTATAATCATTTAGGTTGCCAGATTAAGTTTTCTGCTTTTTTAACCAGTATATTGGCATTGTGTAGTGTCATCTGTAGTATTTTAGGCTTGTCTAGATTACTTTTTTTTTTTTTGAGATGGATCTCGCTCTGTCACCCAGGCTGGAGTGCAGTGGCATGATCTCAGCTCACTGCAACCTCTGCCTCCCAGGTTCAAGTGATTCTCCTGCCTCAGCCTCCTTAGTAGCTGGGATTACAGGTGCGTACCACAACGCCCTGCTAATTTTTGCATTTTTAGTAGAGACGTGGTTTCACCATGTTGGTCAGGCTGGTCTCGAACTCCTGACTTTGTGATCCGCCTGCCTTGGCCTCCCAAAGTGCCACCTCGCCTGGCCATCTAGATTACTTTTTTTTTTAATCTATCTGGCAGCAATGCCAAGTCTGAATTAAAGCATTTCTGCAGCTTCTCCATCGGAACTTTCTGCTGTTTCTAGCACTTTTATGTTGTGGAGATGGCTGCTTTCCTTAAGCCTCGTGATCCAACTTCTGCTAGCTTCCAACTTTTCTTCTGCAGCTTCCTCACCCTCTTGTCCTTCTCAGAAATGAAGAGAGTTAGGACCTTGCCCTGGATTAGGCTCTGGCTCAAGGGAATGTTGTGGTTGGTTTTATCTTGTATCCACACCACTCACACTTTCTCCGTATGAGCATTAAGGCTTTTTCACTTTCTTATCATTCATGTGTTCACTGGAGTAGCACTTAATTTCCTTCAAGAACTTTTCCTTTACATTCATACTTGCCTGTTTGGTGCAAGAGGCCTAGCTGTTGGCCTGTCCTGGCTTTCAACATGCCTTCCTCACTAAACTTAATCATTTCTAGCTTTTGACTTAAAGTGTGAGATATGTGACTCTTCCATTCACTTGAGTACTTAGAGATCACTGTAGGGTTATTAATTGGCCTAATTTCAATATTGTTGTGTCTCGGAGAGCAGGGAGGCCCAAAGAGAAAGAGAGAGATGGGGGTACAGCTGGTCGTCGGATCAGTCAGAACACATACAACATTTATTGATTAAATTTACCAATTTATATAGACATGGTTCGTGACTCCCCAAAATAATTACAATGGTAATATCAAAGATCACTGATCATAGGTCACTATAACAGAGGTAATAATAATGAAAATGTTTGAAATGTTGCGAGAGTTACCAAAATGTGATACAGAAACAGGAAGGGAATACATGCTGTTGGAAAAATGGCACCCATACACTTGATTGGCTCAGGATTGCCACAAACCTTCAATTTGGAAAAAGATACAATAGCCGCAACATGTAGTAAAGCACAATAAAGTGAGGTGGATTGTGCCACTGCACTCCAGCCTGGGCAACAGAGTGAGACCCTGTCTCAAAAAAAAAAAAGATTCTGTGGATGACTACATATTTTTGCATTTGTAGACTACCACAGGAGAAAATTATATGACATGGAAAATTTGACTAAGAACATTTTTAGTACAGGACACTAATTTAAGCAAAAACTGAAGCAAATTTGAATGAAATCAACCCAGTTCTAAACACTGGTCATCACGCAAAATGACACGCCAATAAATACGCAACTAGATTAAAAGTGTGCTGTGATTATATTCCATGAAATATCAGTCCTCCTTAACTCTCCCAATTACCAAGTTAACTCCAAAGGTTTCGAGGACTGGTTTACCTAGTTTGTCAATAGAGGGCAATCGCTTATTGGCCGGGTGCGGTGGCTCACACCTGTAATCCCAACATTTCAGGAGGCCAAGGCGGGCAGATCACTTGAGGTCAAGAGTTCGAAACCAGCCTGGGCAACATGGAGAAACCCTGTCTCTACTAAAAATACAAAAATTAGCCGGGCATGGTGGCAGGTGCCTGTAATCCCAGCTACTTGGGAGGCTGAAACACAAGAATCACTTGAACTCTGGAGGCAGAGGTTGCAGTGAGCCGAGATCACACCACTGCACTCTAGCCTGGGCAACAAAGCGAGAGACTCCATCTCAAAAAAAAAAAAAAAAAAAAAGAAGAAGGGGGTGGGGGGAGGGGGAAGGGCAAGGGAGCAATCACTTATTGAAGCATGGATACTTCCAAATAGAATAGGACATAACTCTAGTTCTGGAAATGACTCAAAATCATCCAATTGGTTAAAAGCAGAGAACGATAAACTATACCCAAATATATCCAAAAATTATTTCAACAATTTATTTCTGGTTCTCATAGGTATGTAATGCGAAGGAAGAAAATTGAACCCTCATTTTAAAACTGGTTAGGTACAGTTATTTCATTTCCTTTCCTGGAATCTTACTTTTTTTCCTGTTTTTGTTTGTTTGTTTTGCATTAGTCAGAAAACACTTAACCCAAATATACATACAGATTTTTAAACTTTAACTACTGAAGATGAGCAAAAGTTTAAAAATATTGCCTCCACTGTAACTGATAAGGTCTGACTTCCTGCTGGGACAGATACAATTTGTTTGGCTACTCTTCTGAATTAATTAAATGAGTTTTACTGGCATCTCTATCCTAGAAATTCTCCAATTGGGAGGGAGTGAAGCATGAAGCTGAGATAAGTGGCAAGCATTTTTAAAAAGAGGTACTTTTAACTTGTCCCAAGCTTTTTTTGAACCTTAACTGGGTTCCTAATGTCCAGTAGTCTCCCGTTATCTGTAGGGGATACGTTCTAAAATCCCAATGGATGGCTGAAACTATGTTTTTTCCTATATATTCATATCTTATGATAAAGTTCAATTTATAAATTAGGCACAATAAGATTAACAGGAATAATAATAGAACAATTACAACAATATACTATAATAAAAGTTACGTGAATATGATCTCTCTTTTGTCTCAAAATGTCTTAATATTTTCAGACTGCAGTTGACCATGGGTAACTGAAACCTCAGAAAGTTAAAGCTTGGCCAAGGGAGCCTGTGCTATATACTACAGGTTACCAAACACACTCTGCCTGGAATTAGAAATTTCCACATTAATTTCAATAATACTGACTTGAAGATTTTTGTGATATTATATCTAAGTACTTCTTAGATTCAACATTTTATTTACTTTGCTCCTAAAATTATTTTGTGCAATGATTTCTGGCATTCTTGCAAAGTAGTAAATATACAGAAATTCAAATATTCATATTTGATAGGTACTTTAACATTCAAGACTGCAAGTTGGGCCAGGCGTGGTGGCTCATGCCTGTAATCCCAGCTACTTGGGAGGCTGAGGCAGGAGAATCACTTGAACCCGGGAGGCAGATATTGCAGTGAGCCAAGATTGTGCCACTGTACTCCAGCCTGGGTGACAGAGTGAAACTCCATCTCAAAAAAAAAAAAAAAAAGACTGCAAGGAAGGAAATAAGGACTGATTAGTATTAATACTTTTATTATATCCCATATTTTTGAATCATGACATTAGAGAGGTATCTGAGAAATCAAACTATGTATTTGCCTTGCTTCTTTGTCATTTCTGCAAAGGTTGAATGATAAATTATTAGAAATAATTTGACTACAATTTTGGTCAAAAGTCAAATGTAACAAATATACTGAAATAAAATATTTCAGTTATTTTCAGAGATAAGAACTATGAAACACTTCCTGAGGGATAATGATCAGGAAATAATAAGCAGCTATTACATAATAAAATTCATCTGAGGAAACAAAAGTCATATACAATTCCTGGCTTCTGGAGCTGCTAAAATTCATAGAAAAGATATGCAGTATCAAATTATAACAGACTCTTGAACAACAGAGGGGTTAGGGGTGCCGATCCCCCAGCACAGTGGAAAGTCCATGAATAGCTTTTGGCTCTGCCAAAACGTAACTACTAGTAGCCTACCACTAACATAAACAATTAACACGTTATATGTATCATATACTGTATTCTTACAATAAAGAAAATGTTATTAAGAAAATCATAAGAGAAAATATACTTACTATTCATTAAGTGGAAGTGGATCATCATAAAGTTCTTCATCTTTGCATCTTCTTATTGAGTAGACTGAGAGGAGAGGCTAGTCTTGCTGCCTCAAGGATGGCGGAGGCAGAAGAGGTGGAGGAAGTGGAACGGGAGTCAGGAGAGGCAGGCATACTTGTGTAACTTTTATTGAAAAAAATCTGAATATAAGTGGACCCTTGCAGATCAAACTCCTGGTGTTCAAGGGTCAGCTATGTGTATTCTGATATAGATTTTTTTAATTACTTGCTAATTTGCTTCTTAAATTGGCTTCTGTTTCTCAACATCATGCACAGGACATTTTGCACATGACATCACATGACATTTTGCACATGACATCATGCACATGAAATTTTGTTTTACTATGACAGAATACCACAGACTGGGTAATTTGTAAAGAAAATATACTTCTTTCTTACAGTTCTGGAGCTGGAAAGTCCAATATCAAGGTGGGAGCATCTGGTGAGGGCCTTCATGCTGCATCATCCCATGGCATGAGAGAGAGCAAGAGATGAAACTGGCAACAAGCCCTTTTATGCCATTAATCCGTTCATGAGGGTGGAGCCCTCATGACCTAAACACCTCCCATTAGGTTCCTCCTCCCAACATTGTTGCATTAGGGATTAAGTTTCCAACACATGCTTTCAGGGGGACACATTCAAACCATAGCAGGATCCCATTTTATTGATAGATACTACTTTTGATGGATATTTAGGTTGTTTCTAATTTGGGGCTATTATGAGCAAAGTTTCTATGAACATCGTTGTACATATCTTTTAATAAGCTTATATATGCATTTCTGTTGCGTATGTACTTAGGAATGAAATTGCCCTATCATTGCTGGGTTTGTGTATGTTCAGCTTTAGTAGATACTGCCAAACCGTTTTCAAATGGTTATAGTAGTTTATCCTCCCTCCAGCAGTGCATTGGTGTTGCAGTTGCTCCACAGCCTTAACATTTGGGACTAATTATCTTTTTTATAAAAATAAAATATTTATAAAGATACATTATCTTTTATATTTTGGCCGTTCTGGTAGGTATGTAGTGGTATCTCACTTTGACTTTAATTTGCTTTTTCTCTGTAATTAAGGAAATTGAATACTTTTTATATATTTAATGGCCATTTGGATATAAAATGTGTAGAGATTATAAAATATTTTTATGTGTATCAGCACTTTGGGAGGCTGAGGCGGGCAGATCACGAGGTCAGGAGATTGAGACCATCCTGGCTAACACGATGAAACCCCATCTCTACTAAAAATATAAATATTTAGTTGGGCGTGGTGGCACACACCTGTAGTCCCAGCTACTCAGGAGGCTGAGGAAGGAGAATCGCTTGAACCAGGGAGGTGGAGATTGCAGTGAGCTGAGATCGCGCCACTGCACTCCAGCCTGGGCAACAGAGCAAAAAAAAAAAAAAAAAAAAAAGAGGAAAAGAAAGGAATTTGAATTATTTTATTCAGCAGTTAGTATGATTTTGATTTTGCATTTATCACTTCTCAAATTACTAAATTATCAGTTATTTTGTATAAAGTTGGAATTTATGAAGAAACACTAGTTTGGAGAGAAAGGGTTAAGTTAAATGTAGAATTAATCACTATTGATCCTCTTTTAAAGAACAGCTGGGCAAAATTGTACAAACTAGCTTACCAGTCCTATCTCCATTTCATGTACATGTCCATTTTTCTCTCACTGTGACCTTTCAGACACCTCTGATGAAGGATGTAAAAGATCTCTCTTACTATCAACTTGTACCCTCATGCCTGTTAATTCAAAGAATTCCTCTCTCAACTTTTATTGGCCGTGACATTTTATATATGGCCAAGATCTATAACATTTATACTCAAATACTTTCATCTTACAACCAACCTACAGACTTAGACCTACATGTATCCTCTCCTTTTTCCTGCTAATGGTGTCCCCTCTTTGAATGCTGGCTTTTCTCCCATATTTTGGATTCTGTCCCTTACTCTACCCCTTCCTGCTCTGGAAACATACTGTCAGTGCTGCTATCTGTCACCTATATTTAAAGTCCTCTCTCAACTATATCTTTCTCATCAGTATTTATGTAGATATGTTTCTTTAAAAAGAAAAGAAAGTCTCTCTCAGCCACGTATCTTTTTCCATTCAACAGCCAAATTTCTTGAAAATTTCCCTTCATTTTACACCACTCTTCTTAGGTATCTGTACCCATTACTCTAGCAAAACAGCTGTTCCCAGGATTCCCAGGGATTTTCATAATAGCTGGTCCAGTTGATAACTTTTAGTATTCATTTTACCTGACATCAGCAGTACTGACAATGCTGACATTCTTCAAAGCTCATTTAAGCCTTCATATATTACCACTCTTCTGTTTTTCTTTAAGCAATATCCTTCATGCCTATTTGACTTTTCTTCATATACCAATGGCTTCTACATTTATATATGTCTAATACAAACTACTACTTTGAGTTTCAGACCTATGTATCCAGATGCTTAACTGGCAGTTCCACTTGACTATTTCAAAAACACCTCCTACTTGGCAAGTTCATTGTCTTCTCTGGCCTGCGGATTTTCTTCCAGTGTTTTCCTATTTCTGCAGATGTTATCAGTATCCTTGCTTATGCAAGTCTGTTACTCACAAGTTGTCTGTCATTTACAACCTTACCCCCAATCTAATTCATCAAAAGTTCTCACAACATTTTTTCTTTCCTGTTTATTTTTTATTTTCCAGCTTTATTGAGGTATAATTGACAAAAACAGTATATATTAAGGTGTACAACATGATTTGACTAATAACATTTTTTTACACTCGATTCTTTCTCCTTTGCAGATTATCCAAGACAAATTCACTGCCACTCTTCCACAGTATTTTAATTCTCTCTCCCCTGTGATTATCCTAGACTTATCCAATCTCTCTTACCTGTGCCATACTGTGATTGATACAATTAGGAAGTCACTGGGACCAGGAAACTACCATGATCAGTTAGCCACTGCAGCTGCAGTGGGAACTTAAAACAATATATAAATGGAAAGAATTGGTCTGTCTTCCAGAGAATTACAAACCATACTATGAAAAACTTAAAAATTTTCCCTGACAATCTTTGAAGAGAAAGTCAGTATGGAATGGAATATTACATGTCTATTTATATGGAGATAAGGATACATCCTTAAAAGGTGAATTAATTTCAGAGATGTAAAGAAAAGCATCCAGTATTATTCTATTACATTTACTGGTTTGCACTTTTATTTTGAGAATTTATCAGTCTTTTTACATGCTGTAAAAATCTGCTTATTAAAATTGGAGGATAATATGAAAAAAAAAAAACCTTTATGTGATGAAAACAATGGATTAGTTTCAACATTTATTTTTCCATGCCAGTGTCTTTTCCTGTTTTGCATAGTGTTGAAAGCTAATAACTATGTTTCCCAGATCCACTTGCAGCAAGTATTCTGGATATAAGGTAGATTTGGCCAATGAGATGTACTTGTGTATGTTTTAGAAGGTGGAAATGAGATAGAGGCCATGCTTCTGTTGCTTTTGCTTTTCCCTTTACAGATATGGGTGCCTATCCATTTTTTTTTTTTTTGCTGATGTGGCATGGATTTGAAACCAACATTTGCGGTTGACCACAGCCATCTTTCTCACTTTCCTGACTATATGCAGGGTAGAAACATAACATTGGGAAATTGGACTAGGCAGTTTAGCAATAGCAGTCACTGAAGCGTTTAAGAGATCCTGCTTTGGGCAGGGGTACTATGCTCTGGGTTGACTTTCAAGGGTAGAGCTACTGTGTTTGGAAAGGAGACAGCCAAGAACAAGATTATCTGGCAGGAACCACAGCAGAAAGAAGCCCTGTAAAGGCAACTGGAGCTCTGGGATTAGGGATCAGTCTGTGTCTGAAAGGAAATAAATACACAACAGTATTAGGTGAATGACAGATTGTAATGTTCCCTGTGTCACATTTAGAACCAGCTGGGCTGAGCTTTCAGATGAGTTCATTTGACATTGCTATTGGAAGGTACAGTAGGCAGAAGCAGAGGAAAGGAAGGAAGGTAAAGCAAATATGTGACCATTTTCCAGATAAGAAAGCTGAGGTTTAAGTAACTACTGAGGCACCCTCTGTCTGGTATATTTATTTTAATTATGTTTGCTAGGGAATTATCTACTTTACTTGCCTTTCAAAAGAACTAGCTTTTTTCCCTTTTCTGTTTTATTAATTTCTGCATTAATGTTTACCCGTTTCTTCTTCCTACTTTGTTTTGGTGTATTTTAATTGTTCTTTTTCTGTTTTCTTGGCCTGGGTACTTGGTTCATTCATTTTTAGTTTGTCTTGTTAGCTGCATGCATTTTCCTCTGTGTAGAATTTCATTTCTCATAGATTTTGATGTAAAATATTTTCCCTTTCATTAATTTCTAGGCTATTTGTAATTTAAACTTTTATTTCTGTCTTGAAAAAAAAATTTTTTTAACTTGTCAGTTGCTGAGGTGTTTAAAAATCATTTTTGTCTCTGATGGTTATTTTATTTGATTATTATTTTTAAATGTAGTCTGTACTATCTCTAAGTTTTAGAATTAAGACTTCCTTTGTGACCAGACTTATTGCTCATTTTTTAAATGAACCATGAATATAGGCTTGGTATTGTATGCTTATATTTCTTTTTCTTTCTTTCTTTTTTTTTTTTTTTTTTTGAGATGGAGTCTCGCTCTGTCGCCCAGGCTGGAGTGCAGTGGCACAATCTCGGCTCACTACAAGTTCCGCCTCCCAGGTTCATGCCATTCTCCTGCCTCAGCATCCTGAGTAGCTGGGACTACTGGCACACGCCGCCACACCCGGCTAATTTTTTGTGTTTTTAGTAGAGACGGCGTTTCACTGTGTTAGCCAGGAAGGTCTCGATCTCCTTACCTCGTGATCTGCCCGCCTTGGCCTCCCAAAGTGCTGGGATTACAGGTGTGAGCCACCGCGCCCGGCCGCTTATATTTATCTTATATATATCTTATATTTGTAAACATAAACACCTCAAAGTGTTTTAAAAATTATTATTCAAATTCTCTATAATTTTGCTTATTTTTTGTTTACTTACTATGTCAACTCTGGTAAAGGTATATTAAAGTATTCTGCTGTGATTGTTTTTATCAAGTTCTATTTAGGAGTTTTGCTGTTATGTGAATGAATTTGGAGTGTTTAGAACATAAGGGTTTATGACTGTTTTAACTTTTCAGTGGATTAGACCTTTTATCATTACTTATTACCACTCTTTGTCCTATTACTTGCTTTTGACCTTTAATTCCCATTTTCCAATGTTAATATCAACACTATTGCTTTTCTTTTGTTTGCGTCTGTTTTTCTTCATCTGTGTTTTCTGCCTTTTTGGTTTTGTTTCAAAGTTAGTTTGTTGATCAGTTGTATTTTGATAAGGGAGCTCAGTATATGTATAGTTAATGAGAAACAAATGCTTGATTTTGTTTTTCCTCTCGTCTGTAGTATGTGTTATACTTCTTAATTTTTCTTTTGTTGGCTTAGTAAAATTTCTATTAATTTGGAAATTTTTATATGCTTTTCTGTTACATAGTGGTTACCTTCTCATCCTTAAAGATGATAATAAAACCTATACTTTTCTATTAATAAATCTAAATCAAATAACAGCTTTTACTTTACCACTTACTTACCCTTCTTGGTCTGCTTCCTCTTCTTTTTTTCTTTTTTGAAAATTCTAGGCCACTATTAGGTTGTCTCTTATGGCATATTTCTTCTGTTTTAAGAATACCTACAGACACATATATTACAAATCACAAATCATAATACTTTTGTATTTATTGTTCACTATTTATACTTTTTTATTATGAAAAACTTAAAACAAACAGTAGTAGAGAGAATAGTTTAATGAATTCCTATATTAATCATCACTCATTTAATAATTATCATTTTCCTATATTATCCTTTTTTTGAAGGATTTTAAAATGAATATCAGACATTATGACATTTTATTCCTGAGTGCTTCACTGTGCATCTCTTTAGATAAAGAGATATTAAATACCCAGGATACTATTATCCCATCCAATATAATGAATAATTCCTTAACAGCGTCTAGTAGCAGTCTTTATTCAGATGTCCCTAGTTGTCACAAATCTGCCTTTTTACTCTGGTTTAATTTGAATCAGGGGCCATACAAGTTCCATACATGACATTTGGTTGTTCTATCTGTTTTTTTTTTTTTTTTTTTTTTTTGAGACAGTGTCTTGCTCTGTCGCCCAGGCTGGAGTGTAGTGGCGCGATCTCGGCTCACTGCAAGCTCTGCCTACCGGGTTCCCGCCATTCTCCTGCCTCAGCCTCCCGAGTAGCTGGGACTACAGGCACCTGCCACCACGCCTGGCTAATTTTTTTTTTTTTTTTTTTTTTTTGTATTTTTAGTAGAGACGGAGTTTCACCGTGTTAGCCAGGATGGTCTCGATCTCCTGACCTTGTGATCCGCCCGCCTTGGCCTCCCAAAGTGCTGGGATTACAGGCGTGAGCTACCGCGCCTGGCCAGTTGTTCTGTCTCTTAAATCTCTTTATTATAAAACTGTCTGTCCTCTCTCTCTTTCTCCCCCTGCCATTGACTTGTTAAAGGGACCTCCTTTTCAAGATAAATCAGTGGCAAGATTTAGTCTAAGATCTAGTTACCAGATTATAGAAATGATGATTTTGTTCTGTGGATAGTTGGTCTGATGTTCCTGCCAACTCAATTCCCCCAGTAATTAGATATCAGAAGCAGCTGTCTCTTGAAGCTGCAGTCTTTTGTTTATCTATATTTTGGAGAACGCTTACTTTTTTAATCTTATGGAGAGGACAGAGGTGTATCCAACTCAAATAAATGTGTTATTAATCTAAATTTATTTAGATACTAGTTTAAAATAGGGGACATAATGTATTCCTAAAATAAAGGAGCAGAATACATCCTTCTACTGTGCTCGAAATTATTTTCTTATTTGTCAAGAAATCATTCTTATTGACCTTGACTCTCAAAGAATAATAAATGTTCTCTTATCAGCAACCAGGATTTGGTATAGATTAACCTTATCACTGGTTAGTATATATAGTTTAAGGCTAAGAAAATCAATTAAAGTTATAATCTTACATAAATTTGAATACATCTCTCCAAAGGCAGTTGACTTTAACAGTGATCTATTATGGAGAAACCCAAAGCCTCTCCCTACTTCTTTTGTAACATATTGGCCATAGAAGCCCAGACTTAAAATTTATCATGAAGTAAACTATATTATTGTATTTATTATTTTTATTTGCCCTGGAAAATTAGTTTTTATTTTGAAACTTATTTCTAAAGCATTTTCTTTTTTCTATTTATTTTAAATTTTATATGCATCTGGTATAAAATCCTATAATCCTGAAGATACTGTGATGAATCCAAGTTTCCTGCCTTATCCTCCTGATCCACTCACCAGAGACAACTTCCTTTAAATCTCTCTATTATTTAGTCCTTCTAGTGGTGAATGCACTTGTATACACACACGTTTGTTTTGGCTTTTTTGCTGCTTTTTTTTTTTTTTTTTTTTGAGAGAGGTTTGGGGTGGGGTGAGAAAGCTGTGTTGACTGCTAAATTTACATGTGAAGGTCAGAGTAAAGAGGGCAAAGTCATTAGTAAGAGTTTAGCTTGAGCTTTTAATCAATAAATCAGATACGAAAATGACCCAAAGACCTAGTGAGAAAGATTACATGGAATTACAGTCAAGTACTGCTTAATGATGGGGATACATTTCGAGAAATGCATCGTTAGGCAATTTTGTAGTTGTTCCAGCATCATGGAGTGCACTTTCACAAACCTAGATGGTATAGCCTACCATACACCTAGGCAACATGGTATAGACTATTGATCCTAGGCTACAGACTTGTACAACATGTTACTAAATACTGCAGGCAATTGTAACACAATGGTATTTATGTATCTAAACATAGAAATGGTACAGTAAAAATACAGTAAAAAGATTTAAAATGGTACTCCTATATAGGTCAGCTCCATTATAATTTTAGGGAACCACTATCATATATGCAGTCCATCATTGACCAAAATGTCATGCACTGCATTGACTGTATTAACTTTGAGGCAGTTGGTCTTGATTAATAACACTATACAAATTAAGGGTCCCAGATGTCAATTAGAGTTTGAAGTTCCTAAATATAATTTGGATGAATGTTGTCTTCCTTCCTCAGTGAATCTGATAGCCAGGTAGATTATCTTCCCTTCAATTTAATACCCCTGAGTCTTTTTCAAGGGAGTAGAAGTTTCATTAAGAAGAGTTTACTTTGAGCGGGCCGGGAGCGGTGGCTCACTCCTGTAATCCCAGCACTTCAGGAGGCTGAGGTAGGTGAATCACGAGGTCAAGAGATCAAGACCATCCTGGCCAACATGGTGAAACCCCGTCTCTACTAAACATACAAAAATTAGCTGGGCGTGGTGGCACGTGCCTGTGGTCCCAGCTACTGGGGAGGCTGAGGCAAGAGAATCTCTTGAATCTGGGAGGCGGAGGTTGCAGTGAACTGAGGTCACACGACTGCACTCCAGCCTGGCCACAGAGCGAGACTCCGTCTCAAACAAACAAACAAACAAAAAACAAACCAAAAAAAACCTGAAGAGTTTCCTTTGGTCAGATCCTGGATAAGATCTTTTGGTTTTGGTTTTGGTTAACTAGCCAAATATTTTTCTACTACCTGGCACACCTAAAAATGTGGGTATCACATTTGTGGAGACACTGTATAAATAGAATGAGTTTTAGATTATTGTCAATCCATTGATTAAAATCAGGGTCAGCAAACTACAGTCCTTGGGCCAAAAGCAGCCACTACCTGATTTTGTAATAAAGTTTTATTGGAACACCACCATACCCATTTGTGTATGTATTGTCTGTGGCTGCTTTCTTACTACAATGGCAGGATTTAATGGTTGTAATGAAGACTGACCCACAAAGCCTAAAATATTTACTGTCTGTCCCTTTACAGAAACAGTTTGCCAATCCTTGGTAAAAAATAAAATAAAAAATTTCGCTTGAGTCACCTAAGGCAGATTTTTCAGTGCTATTACGTAGCAAAACTTAGGATAGCAACCATGGAAGGTATAAAGTTAGGTTGAGATTTTTCTTCTTCTTTTTTTTTTTTAAGTGTGTTTATAACTGTAAATTTTCTTCTGAGCACTGCTTTTACCACATCCTACGTTTTGGCATGGTATGTTTTCGTTTTCATTCGTATCCTTCTCTAGAGATTTGTTTTTTACTTTAAAAATTAAATATCGTGATTTAATTTTATTTTTCCTTAATCCTCAGTTGTTTTAAATTAGAAAAAATAGTTATGATTAACTATTAACATTAATGAATTAAAATCTTCCAGAAGGAATGAATCCAAAAAGAAATATCTAACGGGTAATGAAACCCTGATATTTTATGGCCTTTCCTATTTTAGTCTCAAACATTCTAAACATAAAGGAAGAAAGAGCTTTTCAGTTTTATTCTTTTAAAAAGAGTATAGGCTTCTCTCCTGCTAGTGAGGATGGTCTTCTAACACATTCACAATTATCTTAGAGACAACATAATGGCACGTTCATTCATATTACAGTAGTTTCTAATTTCCTTTTTGATTACTTGTTGTTTAAAAATGTGTTGTTTAATTTCCACATACGTGTGAATTTTTCAAATTTCCTTTTGTCATTGATTTCTGATTTCATTTCATTATGGTTGGAGAAGATAACGTAGTATGATTTCAGTCTTTTTAAATTTATTGAGACCAATTTAATAGCCTAAAATAGGGTATATCTTGGCTAATATTCCTTATGCACTTCAGAAAAATGCGTATTCTCTTTTGGGGTGGAATGTTCTATAGATGTCTGTTAGATGTGTCTAGTTGGTTTATACTGTTGTTCAAGTTTTCTGTTTTCTTACTGTTCTTTCTGATTGTTCCAGTCATTATTAAAAGTGGAGTATTAAAGTTTCCGTTATTATAGAATTGTCTATTTCTCCTTTCAGTTCTGTTAAATCTTTACTTCATGTATTTTGGGGCTCTGTTAGGTGCATGTTTATGTTATTTATATTGTTATATCTTCTTGATGGATTGACCTTTTTGTCGTTAAATAATGTCCTTTGTCTTTTGTAACAATTTTTGTGTTAAAATTGATTTTACCTAATATTGGTATAGCTACCAGCTCTCTTTTAATTACTGTTTGCAAGGAATATCTTTTTTCATCCATTCACTTTTGATCTATTTGTATCTTGGTTCTAAAGTGAGTCTCTTATAGACACCATGTACAGTAAATCCTCTCTTGCCATCATCAGTAGAGTCTTAGAAACTACCACTTGCAGTAAGTCTTTAAATAGCATCATTTCCTTCAATGCTGTTTCATTATAGCATGAAAAAAAATTTTCATTATATGTCATTTTACTTAAAGTTGCAGTTTCTAAGAACCTGTCAGTGACCTTAAGTGAGGACTTGCTGTGATGGATCATGTTTGTTTTGAATTCATTCTGCCAATATCTGCATTTTAATCAGACAGTTTAACTCATTTAATTTTAAAGTAATTACAGATAAGGAATGACTTACTTTTGCTATTTTGCTATTTGTTTTCTGTATATTATATGTCATCTTTGTTCTCCAGTTCTTCCATTACTACCTTTTTTGTATTCAGTTTTTTTTCTAGTGTACTATTTTATTCACTTTTCATTTCTTTTACTGTAGATCTTTATATTCTTAGTTTTTGCCATGGGAATTACAGTTAACATCTTAATTTATAGCAATCCAGTTTGGATTAATACCAGTTTAGTTTCAGTCACATAAAAATATTTTGCTAGAATGTGAGATGCAAAAAGGAAAAATTTTAAATTAATTTTACAAAGAAAATAAAAAATGTTGCTCCTATAGCAAGCACTGTTCCCTATTCCTTGTGTTGTTTATTGTCACTCTGCACTCCAGATTACATTTTTATGTATATAATGTCTGCCATAGACATAGATTTATATTATTTGTTTATGACAGATTTATAATTACTGCCTTATGTAACTGTCTTTTAAATCATGTAGAGTAAAATTGAAGTTACTAACCAAAATGCATTAATAATGACTTTTATATTTATCTATGTAGTTACCTGTTTTAGTCTGTGCTGCTATAACAAAATACTTTATGCTGGGTAATTTATAAACAACAGAAATTTGTTGCTCACGGTTCTAGAGACTGGGAAGTCCAAGATCAAGGTACAACATATTCACTGTCTGGTGAGGGCCCCTTCCTCATAGATGGTCCCTTCTATGTGTCCTCCCAGGGCTGAAGGGCAAAAAAGGGACAGCTCTATGGGACATCTTTTACAAGGGCACTAATCCCATTTGGCCTAATCACTTCTTAGAGGCCCCACCTCTTAATACCATCACATGGGGGATTAGATTTCAACACATGAGTTTTGGAGGGATGCAAACATTCAGACCACAGCATTATCTTTACCAGTGTTTTTTATTTCTTTGTTGTGATTTGAATTACTGTCTAGTATCTTTTTCTTTCAGCTTGAAGGACTCCTTATAGCATTTCTTATAAAGCATATCTACTAGCAATGAATTCTAATTTTTTAACTGGGATATCATAATTTATTTTGTTTTTGAGGGATAGTTTTGTTGGATATAGACTTCTTGGTTGATAGATTTTTTTTTTCATGTTAATTTACTACCATCTAGCCTCCATAATCTCTGATGAGAAATTAGCTGTTAACTTTATTGGAGATCCCTTATACATGATAAGTTGCTTCTTTTGCTGCTTTCGGGACTCTTTCTTTTAACATTTTGATTCTAATGTTTCTAGGTGTGGATCTCTTTAGTTTTCTCCTACTTGGGGTTTGTTGAGATTCTTAGATATATAGGTTTATGTCTTTCATCAGTTTTTGAAGTTTGCTGTCATTTTTTCTTCAAATATGTTTTCTGCCCCATTTTCTGTTTCTTCTCCCTTTTGGAGATCCATTATGTGTTTGTTGGTACTTTTAATAGTGTTCCACAGGTCTCTTAGGCTTTGTTCATTTTATTCATTTTTTTCCTTTCTGCTCCCCAGATCAGGTAATCGCTATTGATCTAAGTGTTCATTGATTGTTTCTTCTGCCTACTCAAGCCTGCTGTTGAGCCCCAACTAGTAAAATTTTCATTTCAGTTATGTATTTTGCTAGTCCAGAATTTCTGTTTTGTTTTTTTAAAGTCTATTTTTGTTGATATTCTCAATTATGTGAGACATTATTCTCATATTTTCCTTTAGTTCTTTGAACATACTCTTTAAGCATATTTAAAATAATTGATTTAGAGTCTTTGCCTAGTAAATGCAATATGTGGACATCCTCAGGGATAATTTCTATTAATTTTTTTTCTCTGAAGACCATACTTTCCTGTTTCTTTCCATGCTTTATAATTTTTTATTGAGTATTAGACATTTTAGATATATATAATGTGGCAGTGGTATTTTCTACTTTCCTAGAGGTTTTTGTTGCTGCTTATTATAGTTGGTGTTGTCTAGTGACTTTTCTGAAATAGACACTTTTGTAAAGTTCATATTCTGTGCTGTGTATGGCCACTAGAATTTCTCTTCAGTTAGCTTAGAATCTCTGGTCAACTAATGATTTGACAGATATTTTCTTAACAGTTGGAGCCAGAAGTATATAGTCATGCATTGCTTAATGACAAGGATGCATTCTGAGAAATGCATCACTTGGCAATTTTGTCTTTATGTGAATATCACAGTGTATTTATACAAATCTAGATGGTATAGCCTACTGCAAACCTAGGCTATATGGTATAACCTATTGCTCCTGGGCTACAAACCTGTGTAGCATGTTACTGTACTGAACACTGTAGGCAGTTGTAACACAAAAGTATTTGTGTATCTAAACATATTTAAACATAGTAAAAATACAGTATAATAGGTACAAAATGTACTTGTATAGGGTATTTACTATGAATACATCTTGCGGGAGTGGAAGTTGCTCTGGGTGAGTCACTGAGTAAGTGGTAAGTGAATGTGAAGGCCTAGGACATTTCTGTACACTATAGTATAAACACTGTACACTTAGACAACACTAAATTTATTAAAAATATGTGATCTCTTCAACAATAAATTAACCATAGCTTACTATGTAACATTTCTACTTTATAAACTTTTTAACTTTTTGTAATAACACTTAGCTTAAAACACAAACTCATATATAGCTGTATAAAAATATTTTTATATCCTTATAAGCTTTTTTCTATATTTAAAATTATTTAGTTTTTTTTTTTTACTTTTTAAACTTTGTTGTTAAAAATTAAGACACAAACACACATTAGCTTAGGCCTACACAGGATCATGATCATTAATATCACATGTCATTTAATTGGAAGGTCTTCAGGGTCAGTAACATGCATGGAACTGTCATCTTTTATAACAATGCCCCTTCTGAAATACCTCCTGAAGGACCTGCTTGAGGCTGTTTTACACTTTATTCCTTCTATAATTTTTTTTAAATTTCCCTCTGAAATAACCATAATAGTATAGTAAATACATAACCCTGTAACATAGTTGCTTATTATCATCAAATATTATGTACAATACATAATTGTATGTACTATACTTTTATACAGCTGGCAGCACAGCAGGTTTGTTTACACTAGCCTCACCACAAACACATGAATAGATACATTGCACTGTGACATTAGGAAGGGTAACATGTCACTAGAAGATAGGAATTTTAAAGCTCCATTGTATTGTATTCTTATGGGACCACCATCATATATGCGATTCATTGTTGATGGAAACATTGTTATGTGGTGTATGACTAAATATAAATGAATAAATAATATATATAGTTCCAGTGTTTGCCAGTAGACTGTGTATATCTTGGGGCCATGCCTTCCACACTCAGTTGGGCAGTTTACATCTTTCTTAGCTTCAGTTTCTGCTTGTGCAGAGCCTGAATATCAGCCAGAAGTGAGAACTTAGAGCCTTCTCAAGTCTTTCTGAGCATGTGCTCTGTCCTGGGCATGCACATGGCCATCTAGTTTCCAAGGAATATGTAGGAGCTTTGAAAGCCCTTAGTCCCCAAAGCATGTCACTTTTCAGTCTGTCTGCCCAAGCTTTTTGAGAGCTTGTTTGGAGGTTCTAGCAGGGGAGCACAGCTACTTGTATACCCTTGACTGAAGACTGGTCCTCCTCTATCAGGGATGGTTGTCCTCTTGGACCGAGCATGCAGCTTCGGGAGGGGCACACATGGAGCAGTGAGGGAAGAAGGGGACACCCGCCTAGCCAGCCAGATCAGCTGAATCAACCCTGGCGATCAGTGGGGTGACAGATGTCGCAGCCAGATCCCCCTCACATCCCCAAGCTTTTTGATAATCAATTAACCTTAGCTTACTATATAACATTTCTACTTGATGAACTTTTTAATTTTTTATCTTTTTGACTCTTTTGTAATAACACTTAGCTTAAAACAGCTTTATAAAAATATTTTTGTGTCCTTTCAAGCTTTTTTCTATACTTATAGAAACAATTTATTATATTCATTGTTTGCCTCAATTGCTACCCCTTACCCCATTCAGCACTGGCTAATACATTTGCCTGTAGGCCAGGCATGGTGGCTCATGCCTGTAATCCCAGCACTTTGGGAGGCCAAGGAGTTTGAGACCAGCCTGGGCAACATGGCAAAACCCTGTTTCTACAAAAAATAAAAATCAAATAAATACATTTGCCTTTAAATGTTTACGACAAATGGCCTATCTGCTCTGGCAGAGTTCTGAGTGTGGCAAAATAAAAGCAAGCCCTTTACACAGTTTAAGCCAACAGAGAGGTCAAAACAAAATAACCACAGCTCTTTGAGAACAAGGTCAACTCTGATCTCTCTGGCACCAGGAACCTAACCAAGGCCTTAGGTTGGCATCTTTAAGACACTTAGTGAGAATCATCTTTCTCTTAAGTGCTTGCCTAATTGCTGTAAATTTTGACAGGTTTTTAGAGATCAGATAAAGTTGATTCTGACATTTTTTTGTCAGGTTATTTTCACTGTTTCTCTGGAGGGACGAACTTGGAGTTCCCTAACATGCTGTTTTTTGCTGACATGCCATTGCATTGTTTCCATTTTGATAAGCTTACATTATTTTCAGGGTTTGTTGTTGGTGTTGTTTTGGAGACAGGGTTTCACTGTGTCACCCGGGCTGGAGTGTAGTGGTGCAATCGTGGCTCACTGCAGCCTCAACCTCCTGGGCTCAAGTAACACCCCCACCTCAGCCTCCCAAGTAGCTGGGATTACAGGCACATGCCACCACACCCAGCTAATTAAACAATTTTTTTTTGCACAGATGGGGTTTTTCCATGTTGCTCAGGCTGGTCTCAAACTCTTGGGCTCAAGTGATCTGCCTGCCTCAGCCTTCCAAAGTGCTGGGATTACGGGCGTGAGCCACCACACCCAGCCTCAGAGTGTTTTTTCGTTTTGTTTTGTTTTTGTTTTTTTTCCCAAAAGTGATGATACATTTCTTCTTCATAGAGGTCACCTGACTGTTAAAATAATTCATGGTTAGCTTGCCAAAGAGCCATATCACATTTAGAAGGGAAAGAATTCTAACAGATGAATCCAGTAGATCTAATATGAAAAGAGTTAAAGATAGCCACTTCACTCACGTGCTGTCAAAAAATTTTCACTCCAAGCTGGAGAGATAAAACATCTAATCCAGTGAATATGGGAGATGAATGTTCTAACATTCAGGCCTCTAATAGAAATGTGATATCAAATGTATTAGACAAGCCAATACGTACCAGGGTTTTTACCTTTAAAGCTCCAATGGAACATATTCACATTGTAGTTATGTGGACATGTTCCATATAGTTTATCAGGTCAAGGATGTAATAGTTGTTCTCACTGCCTTCCCAAAACTGTCTCATTGGGAAGTTACTCAGCCCAAATCTGAACCTAAACAGCCAAAATAAAGAGATCTGATTCTGAAGCAATATTTTCTGAGTTTGAATTCATCGAGTACCTAATATTAAATAAATACATAAGCTAGTTTGAAGTACAACTTATCTAGAGCATGTCTTTGTAGATAAGAAAATCTTCATGTTTTTCACCGTATCTACTTGAGGTAGAATTTATTGGCAAAATAACTCAACTGGATAGATTCTCAAGAGGAAAATAGTCAGGCAATATTTGTGTATAAGAAACAGAGCCCTGTTCCTTAGAAGAGAGCTGTCTGTATCTGTAGCTGGGTGAAAAACAACATGACATTGGTGAACTGTGTATCCTAAGGTGTAATAATCTGGGGGACCAGGAGGATGAGCCAAGAGGGTGGGAGATAAGGCTAAAAAAATTGGAAAACACCAGTGACAAAGGCACCTGGTAGCTGCTCAAGGGTTTAGAGTAGGAGAGCCGTCTGACCACATTTACATTTGGGGTACATATGGTGGCAGAAAAATGGAGGATTGGGGGATCAGAATGGTAAGACTGGAAGCAGGGAAATGCCTTAGGTTACTATTAGTTGTTTTTATTTTTAAGTAAGAAATGTTCTGTAGTGAACATGTATTAATTTTGTAATAGAAAATACATAGCTATTATTTTGTATGAAATATACTTGTGGAATGGTTTATTATATAGTCCCAATTTAAAAAAATCTACAATTAAAATCCCAATTAGAGATTGGTTATTCATTTGACACTTGATGTCTTTGCTCAACAATAGGATTCATCACAGATTTTCATTAAATAATCATTTATTTCTACCACATTATCTGTAGTCTATGTAGGGAACATGTCAATTTTATTAAGCAAAGTAGAATGAAAATTACAACCATGTTACCTGCAGTACTTTAGTTAATTTTTATAGCTCCTCAGCCTTCCACAAGTCACAAAAATACTCACACCCTGGGTAACATACTAGTCTGGAGCAACAAGCCCCAGAAAACTGATAATAAAAATAATGGTTTATAAAGACAAGCCTGACAGACTAATTATAGCCTCACTTTGTCTCTCTCCAACTCTATTTAAAAACTATTGATAATATTTAGTCCCAGGTATATAGATTTTTTGTGTTGGTTTGGTTTGGTGTTTTCATCATTTGAACTTCTTAATAGTTTTTGGAATTAATTAGACAGTCAGCTATCAAATGAGAGACATTTAGTAAGCAAGTTTACTATCATTTTGCCCAATATTAATATGTTATTTTAATACACTTTAAGTTTAATACAGATCAAGTTTTAAACCCCAGCCAGGCGCGGTGGCTCACACCTGTAATCCTACACTTTGGGAGGCCGAGGCTGTTGGATCACTTGAGGTCAGGAGTTCGAGACCAGCCTGGCCAACCTGGGGAAACCCCATTTCTACTAAAAATACAAAAATTAGCTGGGTGTGGTGGCGCATGCCTATAATTCCAGCTCCTCTGGAGGCTGAGGCACAAGAATCTCTTGGACCCAGGAGGTGGAGGTTGCAGTGAGCTGAGATTGTGCCGCCGCACTCCAGCCTGGGTGGTAGAATCAGACTGTCTCAAAAAAAGTTTTAAACCCTACTTGACAGTGTATTCTTTGTTATTATTATGCATTTTATACTGGCCATGTAAAAATGATGTTGTCTGATTTTACCTGTGCACACAGGATTATATAAAATGTAATTTTAATATCCACTTAATCTAAGTACTGAACCACGGTAACCTTTTAAATATATTTAAACTATACAAGTAATACATAAATATTGGGCAAATTTATTTGTATGAACCAGACTGAGGAGGCTGGCCAACATTGAAAATACCCTTTAAAGTACTAAGTAAATAAGTATAGTATATTTAACTCTTTCTAATGATAATAATTTTTGATAAATGCTAATTTAACTCCCTTCAGATAGGCATGCTTTTTGACATGTGAAAGTGAGATTCCATAGGTTGTTGCTGAGATGATAAACTCAATATAAATAATAGAGAAACCATATGGTTAGCCCGGGATTCAGAAATTGGCTTTAACATTTGCCAGTAAATAAAGAGTTTCTTTGAAGGCACACCGATGTATTAATTTTTAATTTGTTTCTTTTTGATCTCTTAATTACTGAAAAAGATTTATTGGTTAATTTTAGGAAGGCAAGTGTTTGAAAAGTTTCGCCAAATACTGTCTTCTTTAAATGACTGTATGGTAATGAAAAGTTAAGAGGAGAGCCAAATTAGATTGAATAATTGTTCAGTCATGTGGGTCAGGCTTGTTGCATAGCCTGGTTGTTAAGACTGATTGCTCAAATTACATTGCCTGGGGTCCTGCACTTGGTTGGCTGTCTTCTCAGATCTTAACAAGGTTCTGGGAATTTCTTTTTCTGACAAAGTTTGCTTTGTATTTTCCCCTCCCCCTACCACCTCCAGGATGCATCATCTGCAGACATCAGAAAAGCATATCGTAAGCTTTCACTAACTTTACATCCAGACAAGAATAAAGATGAAAATGCAGAAACTCAGTTTAGACAAGTAAGTGAAATATGCTATTATATATATATTTTGTGACAAATGTATTAACATGTCGATGGTAGAAATATTCACTTATATATGGAATATTTTCATTTGAAAATGAGGTAGTAGTTTAAAATATAGTGTATATTTTTTTTCAAGTTTCTACAAAATGCATTTTTACTATTTTGTATTAGCATCTCTAAATTCTTGGAGGGTCATAATTGTCATAATTTTCTTGTCTAAATTACAGCTTTTGCTTCTAAATGCACATTTTAAGATAAGTATTACTTTTGTAACTGTCACAAAGATTTATTTTGATATCAAGCATTTTTAATCTCTTAAGGTACTACCAAAACATAGTGTTACTTATAAAGGAGATTTCATCTGTTTATTGTATATATAGGCACATAGGATTTTCTGCATGTGTATTGTAGTGCCTTCACCCTCCTATGTGATTTCTTATAGTTGAGAGTATTTTTATTTTAAAGTAATGCTTTTATTTTAGTTGGTGGCCATTTATGAAGTTTTAAAGGATGATGAACGAAGGCAGAGGTGAGTGTTCATTTCTGCTTTTGAATTAAGATGTTATAGTTTCATGCTACAGTTTATAAAGAATTAAGTCTTCTTAAACATTTTATTATTATGTTAGCATTTTATTTTTGTTCCTTCCGAGAAATGCAGTGTTTTAAAAATGTGTGTTTGAAGCAGAGTTAATTTTATTGAAAGTATTCACTAGATTGATTTGATACATACAAGCTTCAGGATTTTGAGTCATAATGTTAGCAAGTCCGGGCTTCCTTAATACGACTTTTAACATGAGTGTTTATGCCCTGGGAGATACAAATACTGCCTGAATTCAAATAAATGTCCATTCCTTCCCATATGTCAGTAATAGCTCCTATCTGTGCCTGATGCTTGGTGCTTTTCCCCCCCATTCCTTAAATGTTTGAATTAGACTGTAGTGATAGTCAAGTTAGTACTCTTTCTTGATATTTCCTCACTCTCAGAATAACCCAGTTATATAAGCTTCTGTAAGCCTGTAGAAGAAAGAAAACTTTGCCTCTTGCATCTATTTCTTTTGCCTCCTTCCCTTCCTTTACTCTGCTCCGGCAATTCTGCATTCAGGGTTAAACTTCAGAGTGGAGGTAGCCCCTCACTCTAAGACTTCTCTGTGCCCCTTTCAGAAGACTGGCAATATATTTATGTAGTAGTTTATAATGCCAGTGACTTAAGAGGAGATTACACAGAGGCCCCTTTCCTCTACTCCTACAGAATGTATGGAATGTAGACATCATTTCAGCAGCCTTCTAAGTTTTTTAAGTCAGACCACAACACATACGCACACACACACACATAACTAAAACAATAGTTTCACAAGATATTTCTTATTGCATGTTAAACACATTATTTTCTATTCTAGGCTAGACTAGTCTTTTGGTGTTTTTTATTTATTTATTTTTTAAAAATGTTGGTTGTGGTTCACTAAATTCATTTCATGAGACACTAGTGGACCACAATCCAAAATTTGAAAATGTTCTACGATACAAGAGTACCTGTAAAAAACAAAACAAAACAACACCTGGCTATTTGACATTTAGGCAAAAGCCAGCCTAAATATCTGTGTCCTTCACTAGGGGGGTAATACATCTCCAGACAACCCTATAAATTGTGCTATGTTACATTCTGAATCTTTCCTCAAATGTATTATCTGGAATTAGTCTGTATCCTAAAATGTTAGCTACCATTCTTGATTCTCATCTTAACCGTTTAATTTGAATACCTCTGCTTGTCAGATTGCAAAGCACAGGGATTCAAGATCTTCTCTTAAAGTGTTCTTCACTTTATAACAAGGGCTGGCATTGGTCCAGATACCATAGCAGACATTCCTCTGGTTTGAGATAATCCATAGTGTTGAAAGAGTCCAAGAAGCGTGTTGAAAGAAGTTTTGGTCATTCTGTGCATATTTTCTAGTTGGTTTCTCTGTGAGCCCTAGTTTTGTTTCACACATCAAGAATGTGCCTGTAAAGGTAGCTTTATTTAGTTTTCTAATATTTTTGGCTTGAGGTTTTTTTCTTTTTGTTTGTTATCTTAAAAGTCAATAAACTTTGTAATTTCTTTCAGTTACCAAAATTATTTCTATCTTTTCAAAACAAATCACTTCTCATATATAAATTGTTTCTTCATTAACATGGAATCATCTATTAATAAATAACATCATCTCTTCAGGATTAGTTCTCTCATTTATTTTAGACAGTTGATAGAAAAAATGAATGTGACAGTTACACAAACAGCTGTAGTATTTATACCCCTTGAGGCACAAGTAACTCTTTGGTAACTGGTTTTCCTTGAGGCAAAAGTCTTAACTAATGAAGCTAAGAATCACTCCTCTAAAGCTTGTGCCTGAGGCCAGGTGACCTATGAGTATTTAAACATACAGGAGACAGACATCTCTGCAGACAATTACTTAATGTTTATAATTCCTTTAGGAAAAAAAAGAGCACAGTCAGCATTATCTTCTAAAAGAAGATTATCTACATATTGATATGAAAAAATGCATTTTGGTATCACAGTTATTTACTATAAATATTCATTAAATAATACTTTTAAATGTGTAACCTTCCAGGAATTGGTAATTTGGGAAATTGTCATAGACATGTTTCCTATTTATTTCCCTTTTATATAATTGTGTTTTCTCTGAAATCAGATGCATTATTTGAATTTTGCTGGAAAAGGGAATAGCAGTTAAATTGATAAATTAACAAACCAAATAACTTTTAGTTAAAAAAAAAAAAAAAAAGGAAAGGCTGGCTGGGTACAGTGGCTCACATCTGTAATCCTAGCACTTTGGGAGGCTGAGGAGGGCAGATCCCTTGAACTCAGGAGTTGGAAACCAGCTTAGGCAACATGACAAAACCTCGTCTCTGCAAAAAATACAAAAGTTAGCCTGGCGTGGTGGCACATGCCTATAGTCCCAGCTACTCAGGAGGCTGAGGTGGGAGGATTGCTTGAACCCCGGAGGCGGAAGTTGCGCACTGTGCTTAGCCTGGGCGACACAGCAAGACCCTGTCTCAAAAGAAAAAGCCAGTTTTGTTTGATTTTTTAACATCCTTATTTGGGTATAATTTGCATACAATAAAAGTCACCTGTTTTAAGTGTACAGTTAAGTGCTTTTTAGTAAATTTACAGGCTTGTGCAAACCATCATCACAGTCCAGTTTTAGAACATTTACATCATTTCAAAAAAGCTTTAGCCCATTTGCCGTAGTTCCTCACCCTGATCTCCAGCTCCAGGCAATTACTGATCGATTTAGTGTATTTATAAATTTGTCCTTTCTGGACAGTTCGTATAAATGGAATCATGCAATACGTAGTTTTTTGTATCTGGCTTCTATTAACATAAGGTTTTTGAGATTCATCCATATTGTAGCATATACCAGTAGTTCATTCTTTTCTATTGCTGAACAGTATTCCATTGTATGGATATACCACTTACGTTTATCTATTCACCAGTTGATGGACATGTGGGTTGTTTGCAGTTTGGGGCTGTGATGAGCAAGGCTTCTATGAACATTCACATAAATCTTCAGATGGACATATGTTTTCATTTCTCTTGGGTAGATTCCTAGGAGTGCAATTGTGAATAAACGTTTAAGCCTTTTTCTCCCCCAAGAACATATATAGCATGAAAATACAGTCATGTACTGCATAATGGCATTTGACTCAATGGGGGACCACATACACAATGCTGGCTGGGCGCAGTGGCTCACACCTGTAATCCCAACGCTTTGGGAGGCTGAGGTGGGAGGATCGCTTGAGCCCAGGAGTTTGAGACCAGCCCTGGCAACATAGCTAGACCCTATCTCTACAAAAAATAAAAAAATTACCAGGGTGTAGTGTTGCATGCCTGTAGTCCCAACTACTTGGGTGGCTGAGATGGGAGGATTGCTTGAGCTACTTGTGATGCTGAGATGGGAGGATTGCAAGGCTGCAGTGAGCCATGATCGTGCCATTGTACTCCAGCCTGAGTGAGAGAGTGAGACCCCATCTCTAAAACAACAACAACAGCAACAAAAATACCCAGTGCTAGTCCCATAAGATTATAATATGGTATTTTTACTGTACCTTTTCTAAGTTTAGATAGACAAATACTTACCATTGTGTTATAATTGCCTACAGTGTTCAGTACAGCAACATGCTATACAGGTTTGTAGCCTGGAAGCAGTAGGCTACCATATAGCCTACATGTGTAGAAGCTATACAACATAGGTTTGTGTAAGTACACCATGATGTTCACACAGTGAGGAACTTGCCTAACAGTTTGCCTAATTATGCATTTTTCAGACCCAGTGACTGTCATTATTAAAGCATGCCTATAACAGGTTTTCCTGGTTATTGTAAGAAAACCTAGCTTAGCAGCCTTCTCTAAACTCTTTAGCTAACTTGTTTTGGGAAATAGTAGCCCAGCTATGTTCCAACAAATTTTTATGAGTGCCCTGAATGTTAGTTGAGGTAAAATACTGAGTACTAGTCATGACATTTATATACTAGATTGCGCTTTAGTAATATTAACATACCTACTTTTGTTCAAAATCTATTACGAATTTTTAACCAGTCTTCTTTTGCTAACCCAGTTGTGCAACTTTAAAATTTTTTGTCTGTTTCATGTTACTATATTTATAAAAGTTGAATGTGTTTTTTAGTTTACTAAATAACGTTTCATTTACAAATGCTGTTAAACGTATAGTTATTCAGCCTTAATATGTTAAACTTTTATAAATTTATTAACTAGTTATTGTAAATTTGATTACAGGTGTGTTAGAATCAAAATAACCATTAGTCTGAGAATAGGAAATTTATTTTGGCACCTTTCCTAAATAAAGTGCAGTGTACCACAATTTTTGGCATATATATATTTTTTTCAAAGAAGAATGACAGCAATTAATTTAGACATGTTTTCTGTTTATAATCTTTGTACAAGTAGTTTTTATTCAGTTTCAAAATGTGACCTAAGTGGAAATTATGTTATTATTGTTTTAAACTAAAAATTCAAGCTTTGTAATACAGAAGATTCATAATTAGGCACATGCTAGAATTATTTAAATATTCATTTTCATAATATACAGATTTTTAATTTTAGTTTCATAATTACTATTTTATATTTCAAAAAATTGTAACGTTTTAAATTTCTGTACATTTTTCTGCTGGTAACTTGAAAAAATTTTAGATTTGTTTTTCAGTGTTTGTATTAGCCTAAATATGTTTGATGAATTGCAGATTATAGTATAAAACTCACTAATGAGTATGTAACCATTATTTTATGTTCTTGATGTATATTTTAAGAAAATCAAGTGAAATAAACACACATTAGGCCATATGTTGGATATGTGGAATTGATTAATGTTTTCATTTCCAAGAAAATGCCATTATAATTTCCTATGATTTTTAGCATTAGTGATATTTTTTATCATAGAGATTTCTTTCTTTATATCTTACAACACATACATTTATACATTCTTAATCTGGCTTTAATAAATAGTTGAGAACAGTTTGTATGAATCCCAAATACAGAGCATTTTAACAGTGTTATATGTTTAAATATAGAAAAGCCTAATACAGTGATGTTTTAAATTTTATGTGTTGTCAACACAGTATTTCTTCTTAAATAACTTATGAAAAGTGTCTGTGTGTACTTTGGTAAGAAATGTATTTTCAATGTTTCATCAAGAAAGCAGTGATTTATCTTTTAACAGCATATATTCTAAAAAATGAACTATAATGGAAGCTATCTTTCCTTAAAATGGCCAGTCGTGTGAGCTATAATATAGTTCATTGATAGTAAAATCAATAGAGCATTGATTCTAAGCTTAATCCTTAGAGACTGTTGTTTAGAGTGACAGACATAGGCTAGTAAATATCTAGTTCTGTTTAATGTGTTCAGTGCATGAGATTTTGCTATCTTGAATTTGTACACCAAATACAATTTGTACGTAGGGTAGAAAATAGTAGCTATTAACAGACACATAGCACTTTCAGTTATGATGGTGATAAAATATTTGATAAGAGATTCTTAGCTATGAGTTCAGCTGTTTTCTCTTCTGCTATAGTTTAGTTATACCCAAAGCAAATTTAATACTTAAGAGTGCTATTAGGGAATTGTCTCCATTTTCTTAGATGTTCTTTATCAATAACTATACTTTTTACCTGAAGTTATTTCATGGGAGAGGTTTGCTGAAAATGATGATTTCTATATTCACCTTTTTTCTCCCTCAACAAATCTGAAGTAGAATGTGGATTGAGAATAGATTCAGGACTTAAGGTTGATTGGACTTCATTTGAATGTTGTAATCTTATGTTAGAGCACTTGAAACCTTTTTACCTATACATTTTCTCATTTAAAATGAATCAGTATTTATAAGATAGATTTAAACATAAATTTTTGATAACATGAATGATAGTTTTTATGAAGTCATATTATTATATCTTGATGTTAATATTCAAGAATTTCGATAAACATTGAAAAAGAATAGCACCAAATTTTTCTGGTGTAGCTACTGCCAAACCATACATTACTTTGTAGACTCTTGTATATTACACAATTTGCTTTTTAAGAGTTTAGTACTAATTAATGTCCTTTGCTTTCAACATTGGTTATTCCAATTTGATGATATTGTTATTAATAACCTAAGTTGATCAGAAGGTCAGGTTTTCTAGATTTGCTAATAAAATATATTTTACATTTATATCTGATGTTTTTCTACTGAAAAAAGAAGTTGCCTGTAATAAATCCTCTGCTTTATTTTTTTAGCATATCTCCAAGGTATCAATTTAATAACTATCAAAGTAGCTACTGCAGTTGTTGCATTTAAATTGATTTACATGTCAAGACTGGCAGTTTAGCAGCTGCGCTATTATTCCTAGATCGGTCAATTTACTTGAGAAAAACCTACTACCGAGTTCTACTGACCTGCCTGACAATATAGGCCCTATTTCTATTCCTGTAATTAGGCCTGCGACTAACTCAGAATATTTTTAATTAAAATATTTTGGTCAATGTGTTGCACCAAATTAGGCCTTTCAGTGAAGATTTAATTCTGGAAATAGTGTGATTAGAATATTTAATGAGTTGTGTTCAATTAACAGGTTGTGTGTGTTGAACACACAGTGTTTGTATGTGACCATTTTGAGTTTTACAGTCATAAATGTTACTCCTTATTTTTAACCTCAAAGATATTTGTTCAATGATTGTCTGACAAGTAAATTTAAATTGAGTTGAAAATTTATTTTAAAGTAACTTTTTTATCCTGATAGTACCAAGAAAGCTGATTTAAAATGCATCAGCTTTTTAAAGGACTAGGAAAGCTTTTACTTGTTAATGTTCTTCTCTTCCAGCAAAAGCCAAAAATGAGGAAATTGCCACTTAATTGTTTACAAATAAACAGTTTTATTGAGAAATCCAACATAAACACTGGTTGTTACCACATCTCTTTTTAATTTGGGAGTTTTTTATTTTCTAAAGGAATATAGCAATACAAAATTAAAAGACACTCAATTTTATAGGCTTTTACCTCATTAAAAAGCTTTGATAAAATCATGTGTATAAATACTTCAGCCTTGAGCCACCGTAGTTTAGGGGTAGACATAAAAGCACTGACTAGAAAATTTATTCTGAATTTGATTCAATTAATATGTAATTCACGGTAACAAACAGCTCTTATCTTGATCTTTCTCCTATTGAGATCCTCCTTTTTGTTGCTGACTTCAATGGTAGAGTCTTTACTATAGACTAGTAGACAGGTAGACTACACGTAGCTCCTTTAGTTTAGATGTCACTCCAGGAGTCACATCTTTGGGTGCTGTAAAAACATGAGATCTGGTATCCACAGTATATTACTGGACACTTTTTTGAAGGGTGTCAGTGACTAGAGCTATCTACAGTGCTTTGAATTTACTCGATATTATAATGCTGGGAACGTACATAAACATTATCTATTTTGGATAATTTGTTTTCTTTTTCCTTTTTGTAATATAGGCACAAATAGTTTTTTTTGTTTTTATTTTAAACTCCCCGTGAAAAACTGTTATATTTGTACTGTAGGTATGATGATATTCTGATCAATGGACTTCCAGATTGGCGACAGCCTGTATTCTACTACAGGCGGGTGAGAAAAATGAGCAATGCTGAGCTGGCATTACTCTTGTTCATTATTCTCACAGTGGGTCATTATGCTGTGGTTTGGTCAATCTACCTGGAAAAACAACTGGTAAGTGTTAGTAATAAATCAAATGAACTAGCCTCCTTAATTTTATATGGAATTTTGGACATTTATTTTTCAACTGATGAAAATTTCTGTTTCTCTCTGTATACTTCTCATTCTAATAGTTTTATACTCAATGTTTGACATATTTCTAAGTCAAGAAGAACCCATGAAATAAGAAAATATTCTTCTTTTAAAAAATGTGGCACTTAAGTTTGTTATAAAACTTTGTGAAAGCCCAAATATCTAGCTGGGAATTAGAAGGTAGAGCCATGTTTTCATTATCACCTTCCAAATAGAAATATTTTTTATTTAAGACTGATTTTAGATTTTTTTGTGTCACAGGCCTTTATATAATGAATGTTTACTTTTAAAATGTTTTAGGTAAATAAATAAAATTGGAAATGAATATAATATTCTAACTTCAATTGGTTAAAAAAATTATTACACTTTTCTTGGTTTAATATGCTACTCTATAGTTTATTCTTTGGGTTTTTATTTATATGTTAAAGATAATCAAACATATTTATCAGTATTCATGAATTAGCATCTGTTTACTCATTCCTTTTGAAGTGACATTATTAAAGTTGGATGAATGAGAAAAAGTGAGTTGAATGCTTTCTCTTCTTAGAAAACTTTGATTGCTATGGAGATGCACATGACTGACAGTCCTGAACTTCATGTGTGTTTAAGGCCTGGATACCATGGCAACAGTTATTGTGAAAGATTGATGATTTTACTTAATCATGTTGGACCCTACATACATTTGCATAAATGTTCCTCTATAATGTTTACCCTTCACAGAAGAGCCTAGATAACATTTGAAGTGTACATGTTAATGATAACCTGTAACCATAATTCTTTCCACATTAAGGATGAACTACTAAGTAGAAAAAAGAGAGAAAAGAAAAAAAAGACTGGCAGCAAGAGTGTGGATGTATCAAAACTCGGTGCTTCAGAAAAAAATGAAAGGTGAGAGCATATAAAAATACTTTATAATTTGAAGCTGTTTTAAAATACATCTTTAATATGATTCAACTTCATATGTATGTCTATTTACATGTGCTCTCATTTATATCTGTGGTAGTCTTATAAAAGACTAATAATGTGCCATTGTTTATGAGACAAGTTCTAATCTTAAGCAAAATGTCTTCAGGTTTTTTCCCCCATATAAAGTGTGACTATATATTTAAATAATCCCTCAAATTCTTCTAGTTTGAAATTTTTATACTGAACTTTAGAAACAAAGTACTATTAGACGGACCTATCACTTAGCTCAGGAGTGACAGTATGTAGAGAGGCAGTGATATGCAGTACACTCAAAAAGATACCACCATTTCTTCTATTGATTCATAGAAAGGAATAAAGGGTTTAAATAGTTCACACAGCAGGGCATGAACTGGGATCAATGTGGGATGGAGATCAGAGACTATTCTGCCTGTCATCTATTCTGATGACATCAGTGAGTAATGCTTCAGTGAACTGCAAATGACATTAATTTTTATGTATTGGTTTGTTTATGCTACAGTCTTCATATCTGGTTGTCAGCACTTGGGAACACTCTGATGATGGTTAGTTTTTTATAGCTGAAGTAATCATAAGGCTTAAGAATTCGTTGTACAAAAGTGATGAAAAGCCCAGGTTAGAAAGAAGGCTTTTGTTTATCTTTGTAACTTGATTAGGAGCCTCCTTCCCCAAAATCTTAGCCTAGATTCTCTTACATGCTATATATATTGCATTTGTTGTGACTACTGTATTTCATGATGGAGTAAGTCAGTTATAAATATTTCAGTGCATACTTTCTTCATTTTTTTTGTTGAAGTAGCCATTCACAAAAGAATTCATGATCTTTATAGAATTATTTTGCCTCCCAACTTTCTCTGTATATTCCTCATATGTTGTATGGTGTTCTTTTTTCTCCCTCCCTTTAGATTGCTGATGAAACCACAGTGGCATGATTTGCTTCCATGCAAACTGGGGATTTGGTTTTGCCTTACACTAAAAGCATTACCTCACCTCATCCAGGTAAAATGTACCTCTTTTATATAACATTAGATCTTTTATTTTTAATCACTCATGAAATAATTTATGCCCATGTCGGCTCTCTGAATGCTGATATGCAGTGGATGCTTTATAATGTTGATTGAGTAGGATTTTTATAAGTTAAACCTAATTTAGATAATTCTAAGATAATTTAGATATGTTTCTGTAATTATCTTTTATAATGGTTTTAGATCACCTTAGAGTCCCAAGATGCTAGAAAAAGAAAAAAACATACTATCTTTAGTACAGAGATAAAAGCAATAAAAATTTAATCCACTGTTATCATTAAAAGCATAACCAGTAAAAAGGAACAGTATTCAAGTAGCTTGCCACCCATTATTTTAATAGCATTTAAGTACATAGTGTTAAAAAAAAAAAAAAAAAACTTTACATGAACATCTGTATAATTGTACCAAAATATATATTGCTTTCCATTTTATTTGCAAATTTAAGAGGAGTGAGGACATTTTGTCTTATACAGGTAATGAGTTTCTGTTTCTATTTAGTCTTGATTAAATAATAAAATGTGGATATGTATCATATTTAGATGTCAGTTTCTTTTATTTTTTTACATTTAGTATACCAAAGCATATTTTATTAAATTATTGCTTTGTTAATTTTGATTTTTGCATCAGGTTTGAAAATCCCCAACACATAAATATTTGAAAGTAAATAAAACACTTTTTGGTGTACAGATTTTGAGGTTGAGATTGTAATTTTTTGGAGAGAAATGTTTTATTTTAGAAAATAAGTGTTTATAATCTAGAGGACCAGATAATATTCTAATTCAGTTCTACCCACTTTGTAGTTATATATTAGAGCTATTTTTCCTGATTTTTTAAGGAAGCTAATGACTACAACTTCTGCATTTTCCTTTATTTTTCTCATAATGAAAATTTTATATTTAAAGGGGATATTGAACCAAAATACTAGTGTGCTTCTTTTTATCCTTTGAGAAATTACCAGTTCTTCCATCAAAATAGTTCATCTTAATAGTTATTGCTTATAGAATCTTATATTTTGTTTACAGTTAATAGAGAAAAATTACAGTATTTTGGTAATTTAAAAGGTTTGTTTTTAAGTTGTTTAGTGTGTTATATTGTTTGCTTGAAAAAATACTCTGCAATGTTTGTATGCTGTCTGTAAGACTTAATGAGGGAGGGAAAGTCTTTATCACACTGGTATGTTTATGAGAAAATGAGGCAGAAAATATTTTTAGGGCAGATTTTCTTATTTTTTGAAGTCTGATTATTTTTTGCCAACTTTAGAATCCGTGCAATAGGCAAACCAGAATATAGATGAGTTAAAAAGTATATTCATGAGGCAGTATAAATAGAATATTACATAAGATATCAATATTAAACACTTCTTTGTAATTTTAATCTAATTTGAAATAAAATTTATTTGGTAAAATTAACATATTTCTTGTTTAGCATGCAGGGTAATTTGCCAGACTAGAACCAACATATTGTTATGGCTTAGATTTATAATTTACTTTAAAATACTTGCCTGTGATAGCTGTTAATTCATGTAATAGATTGATTGTTTTGCCTCATCATAAATTTGTAGAAAATATACAAAAATGAGGAATTTTACAGAAACTTTTTAGTTTCTTTAGAAACTCTGCTTTTTTTAACTGATCACTTTGAATTTTAAAGTTTTTACTTACTTGATGGTATCTGCTGGCCTTTCGGTTTTGAGATGCTAGGCATTAGGGTTCCAAGACCTTTTAAATCTAATTTTTAAATTTTATTCTAATTATTTCTTCTTGATAAATGGATTTCAAGAAGAAAATTAAGATGATTTTCCTTTTTAAAGGAAATATTTGATATTTTTATTCTGCTGTGGGGACCTTAGATTAGTGTTTCTAGTGGTCACTAACAAAATAATGTAATGCAGTAGACTCTTTCAAATATATATTATAATACTTTAGAAAGTACTTTAGATTGATTGCTTATGAAATACATTAGCAAAACAATACTGTTCAGTTGCTCTCAGGATTAGATTTTTGTCGCTTTTTGTTTTGTAGTATGTGATGACCTTTGTATTAATTTTAGATCTTCTTAAATACGATATTTATGAAATTTACAACAAGTCTTTTTCACCCGAAGTTATCTGGATTGGTAATTGGAACAGTGGTCAAAAAGGAGCCCTGTTAAGGCTCTAAGAATAAAAAATGATAGGTACAACCTTAAACTTTTAAAACGTGTACTTTATGTACCACTCTTGTGATATAGGACCATTGTTTTTTTATTTTTATTTTCTTTTTTTTGAGACGGAGTCTTGCTCTGTCGCCCAGGCTGGAGTGCAGTGGCGCGATCTCGGCTCACTGCAAGCTCCGCCTCCCGGGTTCACGCCATTCTCCTGCCTCAGCCTCCCGAGTAGCTGGGACTACAGGCGCCCGCTACCACGCCCGGCTAATTTTTTGTATTTTTAGTAGAGACGGGGTTTCACCGTGTTAGCCAGGATGGTCTCGATCTCCTGATCTCATGATCCGCCCACCTCAGCCAAAGTGCTAAGATTATAGGCGTGAGCCACTGCACCTGGCCATTGTTTTATTTTTAAATAAGAGTCCACTGATTGAAGTTTCTTGTACTCTTTCTGGCATAAACTATACCGATAATCTTGCTTTCTTTAAAGAAGAGTCAAACTAGAGTCTTGTGAAACAGTGTAATTGTATAATCTTTGTAGATATATATGGTTTTCTCCAAGTCTTTCATAATTGGCTTTCTGACATCTAGTTAACTTCATTTTAATTTAATTTAATTTAATTTTTATTTTTTAGAGACAGGGTCTTGCCATGTTGCTCAGGCTGGCCTCATACTCCTGGGCTCAAGTGATCCCCCCACCTCAGCCTTCCAAGTAGCTGGGACTATAGGCACACACCTCCAAGCCAGACTTTTTTTTTTTTTTTTGGGAGATGGGGGTACCCTAGGTGGGACATTAAAACAGCATTTTTAACAACTCTTATTTTGAGCTTGCCAAAGCATTCAACTTGGTTTTCATAGAAACAATTCTTATTTCTTACTCATATCTCATCCTTTTTTAGATGGTAATTAATTGAATCATGTAATTAGAATAACAAGTATAACTACCACTAGGAGGTTTAAGAGTTAACACACGCAGCTCTTATAAGTATACAGTAAATTAGTTAAGCACATGTAAGTTAAAAGAGTTTTACTTTTGGCGTAAATTCCTTGAATTTTATGAAAAGTTAATTAAAACTGAGCTGCAAATATTTGATGTCTGTATATAGCTATTGGTTAAGAAGCAGGGTCCAAGCTAAAAGTGGGAGATTCAGAGGCTTCCAGCAAGTGACCTTTACACTGGCAGAATCTGTACCCAAATCTTGTCATAGCAATAGTTCTTCAGTTTAATTTCTTTCCTTCCCATTCATCCTCTAAATACCCATTCCTTTGCTACGCTTCACATACATAAGGTCGTCTGGTAAGATTGGGAAAGTGGGATTTCTGGCTCACCTGTGCTCCCAAGTTCGCTTTTATTACTTAGCATCTAAGAGCCCTAAGAAAACTCCTGTTGCCTGCTTAGTATACCTAAATTATTTTCTATTTCCTCCCAAACAAAATTACAAATGCAAGTAATTATTTCCACATTTGATTCTTAAGATGTCTTTTGGTCAGATGTTTAGAAAGACAGTTCAGCCAGTTCAATAAAAAGATATTAAATGTATATCAGAACAAAGCACTACTAGGGACTACAGAGATAAATATGCCTTCTCTAGGACCTTAATGTCAGGTAGCAGTTATAACACATGAATTTAAATAACCATTCTACAATACGGTATATATGCTTCACATTTTAGTATGAACAGTGACTTCTGTAGATAGTCAGAGAAGTAAGGTTGTCTCTATTTGGGATGACCAAAGAAAACTAAAAAGAGTAAACACTTGAACTGAGTATTGAAAGATGAATAGACACTTAACAGTTAAGTGCCCACTTTGTATACTAGGTGGTATACAAAGATAATTTTGTAGATGCAGTACTTCCCATAAAATCATACTGTGTTAAGGCTAAAAGCATCCTAAGGAAAACATTATACAACAGCCTTTTTTTAAAGAGGGTATCATGCAGCCCATTACTGTCTTCTCAGACTGTATTCCAGGTCTGTAGATTCTGAGTATATCTATTTAGGAATTTATATTATAACAGGTAAATCTGATATGACAAGTCTAAAAAGAATATTTAGACAGAATAAAGTTAACTGATAAGACAACAAAGTGTTTCTTTGATTACACACACATCTGTGAAAGATCTGTGTACATTGTTAGGAATGGTAGAAATAAAGTACATAAGGACTGTGAAATCAGCAGAAAATAAATGAAGTGGTTCTGTGATTAGGCAAGATAGAGGTAAAAGTATCTCTTTGATAGTTCCCCTTGCTTCTTTGTAAAGGTCCTTATTACCTCCAGAGCACTGGATTTTGTTCCTTTCCTTTGCTCTGAGAAGGATATTGGGAGAATTATAAGAAGTGATAGAAGAACAAAGCCAAACAGTGAAAAGCTATTATACTTAGTGGATGTTAAATATTTGATAATATTAAATTAATATCAGACATTTCCCAAGTGGGTCAGTATTCAAGGACAAGATGCATGGATATTTCTATATTTAGTCAAATGTACGCCCCATGTAATCTACATAGGCAGAAAAGGTAAAAGTCAAGTGAGAAATTACAGGAAAAGAATATGGTGTTTGTAAATTGATGAATGAATGGAAGGCTGGTGTGTGTGTGTTTAGAGAGATGAGAGAACACTGGAGAGGAGTGAAATGGATGACTACATACAAGGAAGCAGGGGGAGCTTCAGGAAGTGTGTTGAGATAGCTAACAAAGCAAGTAGAGTGATCCCCAGAAGATGTGGGTATGAGTTAGTATATAACAAGGAACTTGGACTATATCAACAGAGGGCTTAAATCCTTTGAGGCAAGAATTTAATTGTAACATTTAAAATATAGCTCCCGTGACACTTTGACATCTTACCAGTCTGTTTCTGCTCTCCTGGTGGGTTTGAAGAAAGTACACATTCTCTTGGAATCTGACAAAAACCAATCTTCTTTGTTGGTTGTGTTCGGCTTGTAACCCCAGGAAATTTTTGTAACCTCCAAAATGCCCTTCTTGGGTATTTTTAAATTGATTATATGTTCTGTAACCTGGAAAATAGCAAGTAGTTGGTGACATATAATCAGTGCTCTGTGCATATTTTCAATTTAGCTGTTATAACTTAGTTTATTTTCGCAACTGTTTCAGAACCTTAAATATTTGGGCCCATAATAATTTAGATTGTTCAGACCATCAGTTTCTCTCATAAAATCAGGAAGTGCCACATATCCCAAGTGATTACCAGTCTAAATCATAGACACAGTTCTCTGCATTTTCTGAGATCAAACAGGTCTTCAGCAGTCAGAACTTAATTTGCTTGAGAATTTGTTTGATTTTTCTAGGAATTCACCATTCAAGTTTCTCTCTGACTCATATATTACATTTCTCGGTAGCATAATTTATAAAATATAAAACTCATTTGGTTGTGCATTGCCTAAAGTTGTAAATTTTTTACCTTTTTAAGTTCCAGTCCCATCTTTTCTCATTACTAACAGATCTAACAAGAACACCAGTCAAATAAAAATTGTCATAGGAAGTTTCCAGCATGCATATCCCCACCCCCATCAGGATGTATAGGTTGCCTAGGAGTAGTGGCTGAGAAAATAGAGGAATCTTCTCTGTACAGCTCTGGCTTTTACCTAAAAAAAAAAAAAAAAAGTTGCCTAAGAGTAAAGGGAGTACTATACTTTATACAACTGTCTATAAATGGAAGCATCCTCCCTCCCAAGAAGCTGCTTCTCCCATGGAGACTACAACTGTGGACAAGCCTGGAGGTCACCCTCCCTGACAATTAGGGCCCTTCCTTTCTAGCCCCTTCGCTTCTGCTTGCTAGGACTCTGTCAGAAACCAAACAAACAGAACATTCACAGCTAATTAGCAGGAAAAAAAGCTTCTAAAAGGCTATGAGGCATTTGTTTCAAGCTGAGTCGCCTGCCCTTCTACTTAGAGTTAAACAGATTTTCCAAGGGATGAGGCAGCTTGCTTTTAATACTCTAAAACTTTTTAAAACTTTTCAGACACACACACATACAGAAACCTGACACAGGAAATACATAAACAAATGAAAATAGATGGAGAAGTTCATCTGAATTTTTATAAGCTGAAACTACTGCTACAGGACAAAGGGATACAGGCAAACTGGAATGACCTTACAACATAAGACAGAGATTCCTTACTTCCACCCTCTGAAAGTAAATCCTTGCATCTTATGCAAGTACTCAGAGATCCAAAGACAGACTATAGAGTTTTGTAAGTTATTGCTAGATGTAGAAAAGATAAAAAGCCACAAAATGTTAGGTAGGATGTTAGCAACATATAGTCTCATCAATTCCATATTTTATAGATGAAAATACTTAAGACTCAAATTGGTGAAACAATTTCCCCAAAGTGACACAACTAGTTAATGGTAGAAATGAAACTGAAAGCAGATGAAAATAAATATTAAAATATAAGAAAAAAATACATAAGAAAAATAAAAACTAAAAAAGAATAAATTTCGCCCCAGGTCGATAACTAGAACTTTATAGTATAAGCTGTGTAATCTTAAACTCCCTGTCAGAATGTTCAGGCTGATTATAATTACACATTTTCCTCAACTTATCGATTGCATCCTGATAAGCCCATCATAAGGAGAAAATACCCTAAGTTGCAAATACATTAAATATACCTAACCTCCGGAAACTCATAGCTTAGCCTAGCCTACCTTAAACACGCTCAGAACACTTACGTTTAGCCCACAGTTGGGTAAAATAATCTAATACAAAGCCTATTTTATTTTTAAAAAGCGCTGAATATCCCATGTAATTTACTGAATACTGTACTGAAAGAAAAAACAAACAGAATGATTATATAGACCCTGGAAGTATGGTTTCTACTGAATGCATATCACTATCTCACCATCATAAAATGGAAAAGTTGTTCTGTTAAACCATCATTAAGTTGGGGACATCTGTAGGACATAAGTTGTAGGATTCTTACATTGAGTTAGGGCTGAATAAATGGCTTCTACAGTCTCTTCTATCTCTTGGAACAAATGGAAAAAATAGTTTTTAGGCTGTGCATCTCCTTGAATATTACAGTCTCAGACCAGAGGAAGACAGTAGCTTCTGGTTTTCTGTTTTATTTTTATTACTTTTTGTGGATTTAGTCTTATTATAGTTCTGTACAGAAATTTTGACTCTTATCAAAATGTACAATTTTACAGTTTTTCTATATTTTTCATTGTAATTTTATTGCATATTATATGTAATTCTGAGATTATAGTATAAGTCAATGGGAGAACAAAACAATATAGAGCATTTGATTTTGTGGGCAGATTTTCAGAAATGTACTTATGGTATTTTCCTACATTGAAGGTTATTTCTAAGCCTCAAACGAAAGAGAAGATTTGGGCTATCAAACAATGAAAAAGAAATAGAACATCCTCTATATTGTTTCTAGGTATCCTTCCTCATAGCTCTTCCACGTTCCTTATTCCCATCAGGACAGGTGGTATTTCCCTCCCCCTACCACTGTAAATCAATGCCTGCCCCGCCTGCCCGCCTTCCCGCCTTCCCGCCTTCCTTCCTTCCTTCCTTCCTTCCTTCCTTCCTTCCTTCCTTCCTTTCTCTCTCTTTCTTTCTCTTTTTCTCTTTCTCTTTCTTTCTCCCTCTCTCCCTCTTTCTCTCTTCCCCCCCTCTTTCTTTCTCTCTCTCTTCTTTGTCTCTTTCTCTCTCTCCATCTCTCTCTTTCTTTCTTCCTTTTCTTTCCTTCCTTTCCTTCCTCCTCTCCTCTCCTCTCCTCTCCTCTCCTCTCCTCTCCTCTCCTCTCCTCTCCTTCCTTTCTTTCCTTTCTTTTCTTGTTCTGGGCTACATGTGCAGAATTTACAGGTTTGTTACATAGGGAAACGTGTGCCATGGTGGTTTGCTTAATACCCATCACCTAGGTATTAAGCCCCATATGCATTATTAGCTATTTATCCTGAAGCTCACCCTCTTCCCACCCCACCACAGGCCCTGATGTGTGTTATTCCCCTTCTTGTGTCCACGTATTCTCATTTTTCAGCTCCCACTTATGAGTGAGAACATGCAGTGTTTGGTTTTCTGTTAGTTTAATGCCCTTGTTTCTTAAGCTTTTCTTTGGATTGCTTAATATGTTGATGTTTATATGGAGAGATAAAAGTGAACCAAAACATTATAAACAGTGCCACCTTAGCATGTTCTCTTATCACTTAATGAACTATGTCAAGAATGTTAAAGGGTGTCCGGGTGCGGTGGCTCACACCAGCACTTTGGGAGGCCAAGGTGGGCGGATCACCAGAGATCAAGAGTTCGAGACCAGCCTGGACAACATTGTGAAACGCCGTCTTACTAAAAATATAAATATTAGCCGAGTGTGGTGGCAGGCACCTGTAGTCCCAGCTATTTGGGAGACTGAGGCAGGAGAATCGCTTGAACCCAGAAGGTGGAGGTTGCAGTGAGCCGAGATCTTGCCTCTCCACTCCAGCCTGGGTGACAGAGCAAGACTCCATCTGAAAAAGAAAAAAAAAAAAGGTTTAATGTAAGGATATTCCCTATCTCACAGCTTACTAATCTTGGAAATATTGTATCTTCAGGCTTAACTAAATTATCATCATTATGAAGCCTTCCTTCATCAGGCCAACTGAAAAATTCTCATTGTATGTTCTCCATACTAACTTTACAGCATTTACTATTTGTATTAATCACGGTAGACTGATAGACCTTAGTCTGTTTCTGGCATATGCCTCATGTCTGTCACTGGTTGATAGGAAAGTGGGCATTCTGGTCTACCTAACCATTCAGGAGCTCAGAGCAATGATGTGTTCACCACCTTCTTAGCTGTATCCATCTGGAACATGTGGCCTCCTTGCTCATTATGACAAGAGGAGAGAGCTGGAGGATTTGCATGAGTTTTTCTGTGAGTTGGTTTGGAAATGACACATGATATTTCCATCCACAGCCCATCCAGAACTAGTCTTCTGACCCCACCTAATCTTAAGAGGACAGCGGAATATAGGGAAACAGAATGTTGAGTGAGCACCACTTTCTTTGCCAGTAATTCATTCAACAAACTTTATTTATTGATTGCATTATTTACTTTGTGCCGGGGCAGGGGTAGGGGGTGAAAGACAACAATTCCTGTTCTCACAGAGCTTATATTCTATATTCCATATTTTAGTTAATATTTATAGTTATTTTTACATATTCCTTAAGGGAAACTGTTGTATCTTATATAATCACCACATATCCTAATAATGTACAATACATATAATAATGGTTCAATAAATAAGCATAAATATCCCTGTTTAATGTCTTCTTGTGCAGGAGCCTATGCTCTATAATTACGTACAAAGAACACTCATACATTATTTAAGTTAGCCATAGTTTAAATGTAAAACCTGTCCCCTGTTTGATGTCTATGAAGGCAGGTTTTGAGCTCTTCAGGAAATCTTAAATATTGGCCAGGGGCGGTGGCTTACGCCTGTAATCCCAGCACTTTGGGAGGCCGAAGCAGGCAGATCACCTGAGGCCAGGAGTTCAAGACCAGCCTGGCCAACATGGCAAAACCCCGTCTCTACTAAAAAATACAAAAATTAGCCAGACGTGGTGGTGGGCACCTGTTATCCCAGCTACTTGGGAGGCTGAGGCAGGGATAATTGCTTAAACCCGGGAGGCGGAGGTTGCAGTGAGCTGAGATCATGTCACTGCACTCCAGCCTGGGCGACACAGCGAGACTCTGTCTTGGGGAAAAAAAAAAAGAAAGAAATTTTAAGTACTAATACAGTTGCTTCTAGAATAAAAACTTTTGCTCATGGTTCCATTCATAAGGATTATAAACTCCTTGAGAATAGGAGTTCTTTCTGTTTGGAAAAATGTAAACTCCATAATTTTAATACAGTATTATGAGGCAGGCAGTTCAGAGCCCTAATCAATTGAAGTAAGCATTTAATTATTCATTAAATATTTATTAAGCTTCTGTAAGTGCCAGGCAGTGTACTAGGGCTATAAGGATGGATTAGAAGTTTATATCCCCAGGAAATCTAACTTTCTGTGTAGGTAAACTGGAGTTTACTCTGGACCCAAATAAGTTTTTGTGCTTATTTTTCCCATTAAACGATTTTATTATAATTTTATTCACTTGAATTCACCCCCCCCCCATGAAAAATGGGAGGGAAAAAAGGTTGAAAACAATTTATCTTATTCATCCTCTTTTGAATGCTTGGATTCAAAAGCATACCTTACAGAATAGCCATACCTTAGAACATACCTTAAAGAATAGCCACGTGGTTTCTTCTTGAATACTATCTCCAAAATCAGCCGATTTCATTTTCAGGTAATTTTAATTATTAGGAAATTCTTATATATATATATATATAAAATATATATATATATTTTCTCTATATTATATATATTTTATATATATTATATATAATATATATTTTATATATATAATATATATTTTTATATATTATATATTATATATTTTTATATATTATATATTATATATTTTTATATATTATATATTATATATATATTTTATATATTATATATATTTTATATATAATATATATTTATGTATATTATATTATATATATTTATATATTATATTATATTATATATTTATATATATTATTATATATAATATATTTCATATATATTTCATATATTTCAGACAGAGTCTCACTCTGTGGCCCATGCTGGAGTTCAGTGGTGTGATCTTGGCTCACTGCAACCTCCACCTCCCAGGTTCAAGCAATTCTCTTGCCTCAGCCTCCTGAGTAGCGGGGATTACAGGTGCCTGCCACCACACCTGGCTAATTTTTTGTATTTTTAGTACACATGGGGCTTCACCATGTTGGCCAGGCTAGTCTTGAACTCCTGCCCTCAAGTGATCCGCCCACCTGGGCTTCCCGAAGTGCTAGGATTGCAGGTGTGAGCCACCACACCTGGCTTCTTCCTCATATTGATCCAAAGTCAAAACTTTCATCTCTGGAATCATATGCAGTAGTTTACAACATTCTTGCCTGTAATAAACCTTGAGATATTGTATGGTAGTTATGAAGTTATCCCCAGTCTTCTTATCTCTAATCCCTTATAAAAATAGAGTTTCAAGCTGCCTCCCTATTTAATCACTTTCCTTTTAAAGTCTTTCTATTTGTCAGTGCATCTTAAAGTGTGATACCCCAAACTATACACAGGGATGGTTGAAACAATGTAGAGTTGTTTAGTAAAGTAGAATTGCTTGAGTTCATAGATTGTTAAGGAAGTAATGTTTCCTGGAGTGGGCATATTGTAATTTGATTTCAAAGCATAGGTAAGATATGAAAAAAAAAAAACATGAGGAATGTTTAAATAAATGCTTAGAAATGGAGCAAAAGGAAGATAAAAATAGTGACTGAAACTAGGGAATGTAATGAAAGTCTCAGATTAAGTAGAGTAGGTTAGGGTGATTGGGTGGATTGCAGTCCTCAGATAAGTGAGGATTTGGATTAAATGTGTATTTCAAAGAGGAAGTTTTAGTGGGATTATGTCCCATAGCAGGAAGAAGAAACATTAACAGGGAAAATGTTCAAATTTGGCAGGACTACTAGGGAGAGGTTGCTATTATACAGCAAAATGAAGTGAGAAGGATGCAATTAAAAAGGTCACATAAGCAAGAAGATACAGGATTTGGCAGGGGAATTTTGGTGAAGTATGAAGCACAAAACTCATCCTTTGTGTTGGAAAACAAGATCCTTGTCAAATTGGTAGAAGTAATAATAAAAATAGCTAACATACATATAAGGCCTAACTGTGTAGAAGATATCATTCTAACTGTTTCCCAGGTATTAACACATTTAATCTTCATAACAGTCCTATAAGTTAGGTACTTTTGTTATCCCCATTTTATGAATGAGAAAATGGACCCACAGAGAAGTAAAATAATTTTCTGAATGTCACATAGCTAGTAAGATGGCAGAGCTGAGTTCTTAATTCAGATAGTCTGGCTCCAAATCTGTCCTCTTAATCACCATATTTCACTGTGCTATACTGTGATGATTGATTTCAGCCTACTTTCTTTTACCTCTCATAAATAACTAATCTGTGCCCTTCTTTTCTTGCATGTGCCACATTTCCTACTCCCCTCAAGGAGCCAATGCCTTCCTGACCTTTTCTTCTTCCCTACTATTAAAACCTACTCTGTGGAAAGAAGCTAATAAGCTCATTCATTCATTCACACCAAGGTATAAATGACTCATATGGCTTAATATAAAATAATACTTCTTTAGGGTTGACTTTTTTTAAGGGGGGTGGGGAATGTTAAGGGCTATAAAACCTTAACCCAAAACCCTGTTGAAACTTAAACTATATATGGGCATGGGAGGATGAGTAAGTTGGTTGCATGGCCATCTGTGCTCTTCTAGTAGTACCATTGTTTACCTGGCCTAGGGCTTGTGTGAATCCTCATAGAAATGAGGTAGGAACATAAAAGTGGGGATGAAAAGAATTAAGAGATCTTTTACTATATTAACAATACATCTGTATTGTATTGATTCAATGATTTTAGGAATACCAAATTCTTATTAGGTGGAAGAGTTCTGATAGAACCCCAAGAGACACAGACCCCCAGGAAAAAGCTTTAATTTGGACACAGTCGTAGACGAAAAGAGTTTCTAGGGTTTAAGTATTTATGTATTTACATCTGAGTCAAAGTAGTGTCAAAGATTTTGTTCCTTTATTTCTTGCAGAAATAAAGCTCTCTCAGATGGGTCTATGATTTATCTGCTCTAGGAATCTTATGGTCTGAGAATGTTACCCTAGAGTTATTCTTGAAACCCTTCTTTTTCTTATTTCACCTTAGTTAGTCATCAGGCCCCTTCATTTCTTGCTTTATTAGGTTTCTCACATATTTCAGTCTAGTTCAATTCGGTAAATACTTATTGAGTACCTGCTTTATGGCAGATACTGTGCTCTGGGCATGTAAGTATCCCTTTCTCAATTTCTCATCTGGAAGAGAATATAACATGATACAAGCAGTTATAGACATGTTTAAATATAGAAGTAGTGTACAAGGGAGAATTACACTGCCAGAGAAGGTCAGAAAAACTTGCAAAGGAGATGGGGCTTGAATGGGTTTTCAGGGATTAATAAGAGTTCATCAGAATAATGCCAGGGAAGTACAATATTGTAGCCAGAGGGCAAAGCAATTGCACAGACATGGAAGCACAGTGTGGGCTGGCAGCTGTTAATACAAGTGGTATTCCTATAGACTATCTGAGGTTTGAGCCAAGGAGTGTGGTAAAAGATCTGTTTTGCTTATTTTCATTGTCGGGATCTCATATGCCTAGAGCATCAGCTTGTTTATTTTTATGTATGTCATTATTTAAGACCTAGGTTTTTTTTTTTTTTGGTACACCACTAAAGCCTTACCTGTGTGCCACTCATTGAGACTTCAGTCACTGTATCTTGACACCTAAGTATATGTATGCAGTATGTGTCCTCAGTCCTCAATCCTCAAGACTTCATGGTAATGGTTTTTATACTCGTCTCTAAGGGTGGTAAAAGGAGGAGTGGCACCTTTCACTTTTATATACATGCTCGTATAAGTTTTATAATCAGATTTGAAGATAATTTTGAATATCTATTGTAGTTAAAGGGCTAATATGAAAATAGCAGTAGTACTTTGTTAGTCACAGTAATATAATTTACTGTGCCAAATCAGTTCAGCAAATGAGTTTTTCTGCTCTCTGTATATGCAACAGTATATTATGAAAATAGCATACAATGGAAGAAAACAGGAAGAGGATACCTCCTTTCCATATCTGAGAGAAAAAATAGTTTAAAATTATACTCATAAAATTTCTCATTGTAACTGGCTCTCCAGGAGAGAAAAATCATAGAGAAATGTTTAATTTCTGCTCATCATAAAATTTGAAAACAAAAAGAAAGCCTACTTATAAAATGAATATAATGCTTTAAAGTTAAGTTACATGGAAAATATTATTGAAGCACACTGATTTTTATGTTAATTTATGTATAACTTTTTTTCTTAAGGATGCTGGGCAGTTTTATGCTAAATATAAAGAAACAAGATTGAAGGAAAAGGAAGATGCACTGACTAGAACTGAACTTGAAACACTTCAAAGTGAGTTTTAAACATTAGTGTTTTAACAATGTCATATAAAATTAATTATTTAAATGTGAATTATCTTTTAAATTCAGCAGTAATTAAATTTTCTGGTTTTCTTTTTTTTTTTTTCCCACTCCCTAGTGGAGTCACTTGTACTTAATGTATTTGACATGGAACATCCTACATTATAGCATTACTTTACCACCCAAAGTTTGATATCAGAAGGAAGGATAAAATCAGCTTGAGTCATGTAACTCCTCAAATCTAGGGGCATCCAAAGTCTGCAAAGCCCTAAAATACTTCAGTACTATAATTACAGTTGATATTTAGTGCTAGTTTAACCAGTTAATCACCCAACTTTCTGTGTAACAGTTGTAGTTAGGAAACCTGAAAATACCAATGATTTTTGTTTTGAAAGTTTTTGTTTAATTTGCAATATTGTTATATAGTATGAACAACTTTGTATAAATTATCAGTATGTTGAAAAGAAATCTTCCATTGAACACAAAGACAGTTCTTGCTGATTTTAGGAAAAGTTGAACATATTATGTAAAAAGGTATTTTCTCAGCCGCAGTCCTTTTGTCTATTTTTGCCTTATCTACATCTTGGCTCCCACACATATATACTGTGTCTCTTTGCATTTCTTTATTTTTATTCCAAGCACTTAATACTACTTTAATTTATATATTAGTTTTGTTTACCATCTGATTTCCAACCCCCCACCCCCAGTAGAATGTAAGCTCCATGAGGGTAAGGACTTTATCTGTTTTGTTCACTGTTGTGTCCCAGGTTGTAGGGATTTGGGTGTGGTCATTTTAGGGGGTCATTTTTCAGTCTATCACAATCCTTCAGGTGTCTGGACAGCTTTAGAACAGAGACTGTTCATCTCTGTGTCTGTAGCATCAAACAGGGTCCTGGCACATAATAAATGTTCAGTAAATGGATAGATGTATGAATTCATGTAATGCCATGAATATTAATGAGCATCCACTGAGCACCTAGCCATGTAAAACACCATCTCAAGAAGCACATAATTTAATTCAAAAAGCTTCAATACTTACAAATACAAAATAATATTCAGATCAACTATATAATTGTTTAAAGTAGACTTCTGTTAAGAAGGAGTAAGAATGATAGAGGATTATTACATGCCAAGGTTGACATATGTGTTAAAAAGTAGGAGTGTGCAAATGAAACTCTTGTCATTTTTATATAATTGTTATTTTAGGAAAAATTGGTAGATTACAATTTCTAAGCCTTTTCAGACTAATCACAAGGAGAAGAAAAATTACATTTATAAGAAAAGAGAAGAATATCGGCCAGGCGCAGTGGCTTACGCCTGTAATCCCAGCTCTTTTGGAGGCCGAGGCGGGCGGATCACCTGAGGTCAGGAGACCAGCCTAGCCAACATAAAAACCCCGTCTCTACTAAAAATACAAAAATTAGCCAGGCATAGTGGCGGACACCTGTAATCCCATCTACTTGGGAGCTGAGGCAGGAGAATCACTTGAACCTGGGAGGTGGAGGTTGCAGTGAGCCAAGATCACGCCATGGCACTCCAGCCTGGGTGACAAGAGTGAAACTCTGTCTCAAAAAAAAGAAAAAAGAAAAATATAAAATTAGTCCAAAATTTACCTGTAGAGGCAACGTGAATACACTACATTTGATTGCTCTCATGGACACAGCTTATCATTTCTATGTAATTTTTTGTTAAAAAAAATATTATAATTTTGGTAGATGTGTTAGAATTATTTAGTAGTAACAAGACTAAGTATATACACTACCCCTTTTGAAATTAGGTTAAACATGAAGTGTTTATCACTATACAAAAGCTCCTTTCGGAGTTAACTATTTTTCCAAAATTGTCCAATGACTTTTGTTCTGCTTAAGAGTTTGATGTAATTCTCAAACAGATTTAATAGTCTCCTCTTGGCCGGGCACAGTGGCTCACACCTGTAATCCCAGCATTTTGGGAGGCCAAGACAGGCGGATCACCAGAGGTCAGGAGTTCGAGACCCACCTGGACAACATGGTGAAACCCCATCTCTATTAAAAATACAAAAATTAGCTGGGCATGGTGGTGTGCGCCTATAATCCCCACTATTCGGGAGGCTGAGGCAGGAGAATCGCCTGAACCCGGGAGGCAGACATTGCAGTGAGTCGAGATCGTGCCTGGGTGACAGAGCAAGACTCCGTCTCAAAAAAAAAGTCTCTTTTAATTTTGTCATTGTCTGATTATGTAAAAATCACAAACTAAAAAACATATAAATATCTGAAAGTGAAAATGTGTAACAGTCTTGTAAAACATTTGAAAATTCATCACTAGCTTATCAGTTATTGAAACTCAGAATGGAATAATACCAGAAAGCATATTAAAAACATTCCTCATACTATGCTGTGAATAATAAGATTGTTATCTTGCATGCTTCTTTTATCAGTGGTATATTTAGAAAAGGTGATGGTATCAACATTAAGAATGTTAAAGAACAGTCACATTTACTGTTAACAATGTCAGACTGTCATGTATTTTTTAATATAGTCTCTAATGGTTACATGCAAATAATATTTTAATTAATTTTATTAACTTCATTACAGTATTCTGCATTGTATACTTTAGAATTAATACATAAAGGCCCCAAATCCCCCAATGTGCATTTCATTTGCCCCATCCTTCTTAATTTTAAAGACCATCATCAGAATATCAAGTTCATAATAACATTTCCATCTACTTAATTGAGTAAATGCATCTCATGTAGATTAGCAATAGCTGTTTTATGCTGCCTGTTTTTCATGACCTAATTGCTAATCTGCCCTCATCTGCTTTACTGCTTAGATTGTACAGTATTCTCTGAGGGCTGCACCAGAACTACTTTGAGTAGGGTGTGATAGTCTTATTAAAATGGCATTTTAGATATGGGGGGCAGTGAAAAGGGTGATTTCTTAAAAATAAATATCCTTCTGAGAAGTCTTTCTGTAAAAAAATTGTTGATATATATTTGGGAAATTTGGGGCACTTTTTATTATAAACTTTTAATCAATTTTGTGGTTTAGGTTTAAATAAGTTGAATACTTATAAATATTAGACTTTTGAGGGTTAATGATTTTTTACACATTCTCTAATGATATGTTTTATTCTAAATTAATAAAAGAGAATTCTATGTACTAAAACAGCCCATATCGCATGAGAAAAAGACATGTTTGACTTACTTTATAAAGAAATTATAAAGGTCACAATTTGAATAGACAAGGAAAGGAAAGGATAGAAGTAAACTCGATTATTTCCTTGACCCCTTTCTTTGTACCTTCTATGATTTTAAAACAAAACCAGAATTAAATAATCAAAACTCTACTGCCAAGTACTTCATTTAAATATGGAGAAATAGTTCCCAACATTAGTTATGTTTTTCTTCTTGTTTTGTGGTCCTTGTTGCATGCCCCAGAAAGGGACTGAAGTAAGGGTGCCTCAGGGACACACCCTGTAGGATGAAGCACTTAGCGAGAAAGTGGGGGGACAGAATGTGACTTTTCAGTGTGGCAGGATGAGAAAATTTAGTCACCTTCCTTAAGACTAAAGGAAGAGTGATTTTCTAGAAAACTCAGGTTCATGAGGAAAGTAGTTGATTCAGGGGTTGGTAGGGAAGAAGGAAAAATAGATTGAGAAAGAGCAGCCGCAGTTTAGGTTAGAACACTTTGCCTGTGGTAACATAGGGTGCTCACGGATGGGAATATACTCTCTGAGATAACTTATGCGGAGGCATGTAACTGATCACTAGCTCCAGCATATCTGAAAACATGACCTAATAGAATCTCTGTACCTTATGCCATTTCATATTATAAAACCTAAAATCTAATAGGAGCCCTTGTTCCAAAACAGTTTATATGTAGGCAGATAATATCTAAAGAATATAGTATTTTATCCTAGGTACTTTTACCTAGGGTACAGTATAATATCCTAGGATATTTGAATACCAATGGAAGTGTGAAATTTTAAAATCATACAACTCAAATATAAATTTACAATTCCCTTAATATTTCAAATCATAATGCTGTGTATGTACAAATATAATGCAGTCTTAGTTTCCCCATGGCAATGATTCAGAAAATTTTTATCCAATTGAATATATAAGTGTTTATGGCTATAGATTAATTAGTCAAATTTCTTTATCTTTTTTTTTCTTTTGCTTTTTTTTTTTGAGATGGAGTCTCACTCTGCCACCCAGGCTCAAGTGCAGTGGCGCAATGTTGGCTCACTGCAACCTCCGCCTCCCAGGTTCAAGTGATTCTTCTGTCTCAGCCTCCCGAGTAGCTAGGATTACGGGTGTGCACCACCATGACCGGCTAATTTTTGTATTTTTAATAGAAACGGGGTTTCACCATGTTGTCCAGACTGGTCTCGAACTCCTGACCTCAGGTGATCCACCTGTCTCGGCCTCTCAAAGTGTTGGGATTACAGGTGTGAGCTGCTGCACCCAGCCTATTGAAGAAAATTTCTGAAAGTAAATTTTGTGTAGCCTAAGTGTACTGTGTTTACAAAGTCTACCATGTTACACAGTAATGTCCGAGGTCTTCACATTCACTCACCAATCACTCACTGACACCCACAGCAACTTCCAGTCCTGGAAAGTTTCCAGCTCTGATCTCTTTCTGAGACAAAGCTCCTAGGCAGAGGGGTGGCCTCTGCGGTTCAGCAGACTCAGCTTTGAGTTCCAGCCTGCCAGTTTTGGAGAATCCAAACAGTCTGGACTAGGAAGGGTCCCCCCGCAATGCAGGATACCTATTCTACCAAAAGGCAGCCGGACTGCTTGTTCAAGTAGGTCCCTGATCCCATTCCCGTCCTCAACAGATCAGAGCTCTGTTCGTAGAACTCTGGCTGGAGTGGCTGAAGCCCCCACAGGGAGGTCCAGCCCAGTGAGGAAGAATGAATTGGGGTCCCGCTTAAAGAAGCAGTCTTGCAAGTCTTGGCAAGGCAGCTGTGCTGCATTGTTGGGGGATCCTTTCTCATTTGGACTGTCTGTATACTCCAAAGCCAGCAGGTTGGAATGGCCAAGTCTGCTGAATTGCAGAGATGGCACCTGCCCCTTGCCCCAGGTCCTGTCTCAGGTAGACTCCAGCCTGTTGCTGTTGGCCAGCTGTAATTCCGAGCCCCAGTGGGTCTTAACTCGTGAGGTGCCATAGAAGTGGGGCCTGCAGAATGATGCTGCTTGTCTCCCTGGATTCAGCCCCCTTCCTAGGGATATGTACAGATGAATTGCCTGCCTTGCCAGGGATCCCAGGGCTGGAGTATGTAAAACTCTCAGCCTCTGTGTGTGCCTCAGTGGCTGCTCTGCCAAGACTCCACATAGCTCTGTGTATTGTACCCAAGGACTTCGTGGCATAGGCTCTTGAGGGGATCTCCTGATTGATGGATTGCATAGATATGTGAGAGAAGTGTGGTTTCCCAGGTGTGGTTGCAGTCACTCACTGCTTCCCTTGGCTGGGGTTGGGGGTTCCTTTAGCTTCATGCCACTCTCTGGGGGGCCATCACCCCACCCCGCTTTTCTTCATTTTCCATGGGTCAAGTAGTTTTCCTAGTCAGTCCCAATGTGAGAACCGGGATATTTCAGTTGAAGGTGCTGAATTCACTCACCCCTTTTGTTCCTCTCTCTGAGCGTTGTAGACTGCCGCTGCTTCTAATCAGCCATCTTCTTTTTTTTTTTTTTAGTAAGTAGAAGGAATACTCTCTAAAGTAATGTTAGGAAGTATAGTATATTCTGGCCTGGCCAACATGGCAAAACCTCGTCATGTACTAAATATACATGTACTAAAAAATACAAAAATTATCTGGCTGTGGTGGCACATGTCTATAATGCCTGCTACTTGGGAGGCTGAGGCACAAGAATTGCTTGAACCCAGGAGGTGGAGGTTGCAGTGAGCCAAGATCGCGCCATTGCACTCCAGCCTGGGCAACAAGAGCAAGACTCTGTCTGGAAAAAAAAAAAAAAAAAGTATAGTATAGTAAATACATAACCTAATAACATGCTTATTTATTATAATCAAGTGTTATATACTGTGCACAATTGAATGTGCTATACTTTTATATAACTGGCAGTGCAGTGGGTTTATACCAGCATCACTACGACACATGAGTAATGCATTGCGCCATGACTTTACAGTGGCTCCATTATAATCTTATGGGCCACCATCATATATGTGGACCATTGTTGACTAAAATATCATAATGTGGTACATGATTATATTTCAGTTTGGAGAGGATTGATATATTTACCATTGAGTATTCCAAATCTATGAATATAGTATGTTTCTTCATTAATTATTTATATCTTCATTGATTTATTTCTTCAGTCTTTTGTAGTTGTTAGCAAATTAAATCCTGTGTGTGTTTTGTTAGGTTTATACCTGCTTCTCTTTATTTTGAGTGGTTATAAATGGTGTTGGATTTTAATTTCAGTTTCCGCATGTTCACTGTGTGTAAGAAATTCAATTGATTTTTGAATGCAGATATTTGTTTTGCTAACTTGCTGAATTTACTTATTAGTGCTAAGATTTTTTAATGTAGATTCCTTGGATTTTCTGTGTAGACAGTTATGTCATCTGACCGTGGGGACAGATTTACTTCTTCCTTTACAATCTATGCATTTTATTTCCTTTTCCTGCCTTATAGTACTAGCTAGAATTTTGGTACTATGTACAACAAAGTGTGGTGGGAGTGGGCATCCTTGCCTTATTCCAAACCTTAAGGGGAAAGCATTTAGTATTACACCGTTAAGTATGATGTAAGCTGTAGGTGTTTTGTAGATGCTTTACATCAGTGGTCCCCAACCTTTTTGTCACCAGGGAACGATTTCGTGGAAGACAGTTTTTCCATGCACCTGGTGGCAGTGGGGGATGGTTTTGTAATGAAACTGTAGTTAGATTCTTATAAAGATTGTGCAACTTAGATCCTTGAGAATCTAATGCCACTGCTGATCTGACAGGAAGCAGGGCGCAGGCAGTAATGCTTGTCCTCCTGCCGCTCACCTCCTGCTAGGCGGTCTGGTTCCTAAGTCCATGGCCCAGGGTGTTGAGGACCCCTGCTGTACATGAAGTTAATAAAGTTTCCCTCTATTCCTAGTTTTCTGAGCATTTTTTAAAATCATGACGGGGTGTTGAATTTTGTGAAGTGTTTTTTTTCCTCTATCAATAATTGTGATTATGTGATATTTCATTTTTGGTGTATTAATACGATATATTACATTATTGGACTTTGAATATTGAACCAGCTATGCATACTTGGAGTAAACACCACGAGGACATGGTATATAATTCTTATTGCTGAATTCTATTTGCTACTATTTTGTTAAAGAATTTTACATCTATATTCATGAGAGATACTGGTCTGTAATTGTCAGTGTCCATTTGTGCTGTAACAAAATACCTGGGAAATAACCTGAGACTGGCTAATTTATAATGAACAGAAATTTAATTCTCTTCTTGATGCTGGGGAGTCCAAGATCAGGGCATCAGTACGTTTGGTGTCTGGCAAAGGTTTCTGTCTGCTTCCAAGATGGCACCTTGTTGCACATCCTCCGGAGGGCACAAACACATGTCCTCACAAGGAACAGAAGGGGAAAAGGGGTTGAATGCTGTGTGAAGTCTCTTTTGTAAGAGTCTTAATTTTTTCAAGAGGGAAGAGCCCTCATGACCTCATCACCTCCCAGTGGCCTTTTCCTCTTAATACTATTGCATTGGAGGTTGCTTCCACATAAATTTTGGAAGGACTCAAACATTGAAACCATAGCATTTCACTTCTGAACCCCCCCCTTCCAAAATTTATATCCTTCTCACATACAAAACATATTAATTAAATACCAATAGCCCCCAAAGCCGTAACTCATTCCAGCATCAACTTTAAAGTTTAAGGTCTATAGTCTTATCTAAATATAATCTAAATCAGATATGGGTGAGACTCAAGGTGTACAATTCATTCTGAGGCCAATTCCCCTCTACCTGTGAACCTGTGAAATCAAACAGTTTCTATGCTTCCACATTATAATGATGGGACCGGCATAAAATTGATATTCTCATGCAAAGAGGGAGAAATAGGAAAGAATAAAGGGGTAACAGTCCCCAAGTAAGCTGAAAACCCAATATGGCAAGCACCATTAATTTTTGAGGCCTGAGAATAATCAACTTTGACTTCGTGTTTCATCTTCCAGACACAGGAGAGTAGAGGTTGGGTCCCCAAGGCTCTGGGCAACCCCAGCACTATAATTTTGTTGGTCACAGCCCACAGAGCAGCTATCACAGGCTGGAGTCTCATGCCTGCAAGCTCTCCCAGGCTGAAGTTGCATGCTGGTGGCTCTGCAGTTCTGAGGTCTTAGTGGTGGCCCCACTTCTATTGCTCCACTGGGCATTTCCCTAGTTGGGGCTGTCTCTAGCAGCCCCACCTTTGTGGCATTTCCTTGCCTGGGCCCCAAGGCTCTATGAGGCATCTGTTGAAATCTAGGTAGACATGTCTCCACAACTCACGTACTCTGTGCACCTGCAGAGTTAGCACCACATGGATGCCACCAAGGTTTACTGCTTGTGCCCCCTGAAGTGGTGGCCTGAAGTGGTGGCCTGCATGAGCTGTACCTGAGGTGACTGAGGAACATTGTGTCTGAATGTGTGGGAAAGAAACAAGACATCCTGAGCAACAAGCCCCATGGTTTCACAAGTGTTTTGGGCCCCTTTTTTGAAACTGTTCTGCCCTCAAGGACCTGGTGCTCTGAGCCTGCTATGAGAAGGGCAGCACAGATAATCTCCAAAATGCCTTTGCGGTCATTCTTCCATTGTCTTGATGAATAGCATCTGTCTTCCTTCTATTCATATTAAATCTCCTTATCAAATGTTTGCTTGGCGACACCCTTGGCATTCTCCCTCAAGCATACTTTAAAACCTGACCAGGCTGAGAATTTTTTAAATCTTTAACTTCTGCTTTCCTTTTAATTACAAATTTTATATTTAATTTGTTTCTCTCTTCTTGCATTTTACTATAAGTAGTCAAGAGAAGCCATGAAGCACCCTGAACAATTTACTTAGAGATGTCATCCACAAAATAACCTAGCCCATTGCTCTTAAGTTCTGCCTTCCACAAAGTAATAGGACACAAAACACAATTCAGCCAAGTTCATTGCTACTTTGCAGCAAGGGTGGCCCTTCTTCCAGTTTCCAATAAACTGCTCCTCATTTCCAACTAACGCCTTATCAGAATGGCCTTTACTGTCCATATTTCTACGAGCATTCTGATCACAACCACTTAGATCATCTCTAAGATGACTGAGGGTTTCTCTACAGCTCTCCTCTTCTGCAGAGCTCTCACTGGAAACATGCTTAATGCTTTAGCATGCACTTCAAAGCTATTCTGGCTTCTACCCATTACCCAATTTCAAAGCCACTTCTACATTTTCAGGTATTTGTTATAGTAGCACCATCGGTTCTCACTACTACTTTCTATTTTAGTTTATTTTGTGCTGCTATACAAAATAACTGAGACTGGGTAATTTATGATCAACAGAAATTTATTTCTCACACTTGTGGAGTCTGAGAAGTCCAAGATCAAGATACCAGCAAGTTTAGTATCTGATGAGGCCCTGGTCTCTGTTTCCAAGATGGCACCTTGTTGCTGCATCCTCTAGGGGAGATGAATGCTGTGTGCTCACATGGCAGAAGAGATAGAAGAAAGGGGACAGCATGCTGTGTGAAGCCTCTTTTGTAAGGGCTTTAATCCTGTTTATGAGGGAGGAGCCCTCATGACATAATCACTTTCCAAAGGCTCCACCTCTGTGCAGACTGTTTCTACATGAATTTTGGAGGGGACACAAACGTTCATAGCATTAGCTTTCTCTTTTTGCATTATCTTTGTGTTACCTTGGTATTGGTAATGCCAGCTTCATATAATGAAATAGGAAGCTTTCTCTCCTCTTCTGTTTTCTTTTTCTTTTGAAAAACAGAGTTTTGCTCTTGTTGCCCAGGCTGGAGTGCAATCGTGCAATCTTGGCTCACTGCAATCTACACCTCCCAGGTTCAAGTGATTCTCTTGCCTTAGCCTCCCAAGTAGGTGGGATTACAGGTGCCTGCCACCATACCTGGCTAATTTTTGTATTTTTAGTAGAGATGAGGTTTCACCGTGTTGGCCAGGCTGGTCTCGAACTCGTGACCTGAAGTGATCTACTTGCCTTGGCCTCCCTAAGTGTTGGGATTACAGACGTGAGCCGTCGTGCCCAGCCTTCCTCTTCTATTTTCTGAAAGAGAATGTCTAACACTGGTATTAATTCTTGAAATGTTTGGCAGAATTCTGTGGGGAGATCATCTGAGCCTGAATATTTCTTTCTTTGGAGTATTAAAATAACAAATTAAATTGGATTTATAGTTATAGAGCTATTTAAATATCTATTTCATGTTTCATTTATCTGTTTCATGAGTGAATTGAGATAGTTTGTGTTTTTTGAGCAATTGGTCTTTTTCATCTAAGTTGTCAAATACATGTATCTAGAGTTGTTCCTAATATTTGTTTTTTATCCTTTTGATGTCTACATGCCCTGTAGTGATTTCTCCTTTTTAATATAGGTAACTTTTGTCTTCTGTTTCCTTTGTCAGATTCGCCAGTTGTTGATCTTTTCAAAGGATCAGTTCTTTGTTTAATTGATTTTCTCTATGGTTTTTGTTTTCAATTTCATTGATTTCTGCTCTTATTTTTATTACTTCCTTCCTTCTGCTTGCTTTTGGATTGTTTTGGTCTTCTTTTTATAATTTCTTGACATGGAAGTTTAGATTATTAATTTGAGGCTTTTTTTCTTTTCTAATGTCAGCATTTAATGCTATACATTTCCCTCTCAGCACTGCTTTGGCTATGTCTCATATATTTTGATTTTATTTATTATTATTTTTTTTAACTGAGTCTCACTCTGTGGCCCAGGCTGAAGTGCAGTGGTGTGATCTCGGCTCACTGCAACCTCCGCCCCCTGGGTTCAAGCAATTCTCTCACCTCAGCCTCCTGAGTAGCTGGGATTACAGCACTTGCCACCATGCCCGGCTAATTTTTTTGTTTTTAGTAGAGATAAGGTTTTACCATGTTGGCCCAGGCTGGTCTTGAACTCCTGACCTCAAGTGATCCACCCACCTTGGCCTTCCAAAGTGCTCGAATTACAGCTGTGAGCCACTGCACTTGGCCACATATTTTGATATATTTTTATTTGACTCAGCTCAGTATTTTTTTCTTGAGATTTCCTCTTTGATCCATTGATTATTTAAAAGTATATTGCTTCGTTTCCAAATGTTCAGAGACGTTTTTGTTATATTTCTATTAAACATTAATAGTTTAATTCCCTTTTCATTAGGAAGCATACTCTGTATGAGTTAAATTCCTTTAAGTTTGTTCAGGTCTGTTTTATGGCCCAAGATATGATCCATCTTGGCATATATTCCATGGACATTTGAAAAGAATGTGTATTCTGCTGTGGTGAATTGGAGTGTTCTATAAATGTCAGTTACATCCGGTTGGCTGATGGCATTGTTGAGTTGTATATCATTGCTTATTTATATATTTAGTTATGCTATTAATTATTGAGAGGGGGTATTGGACTTTTTGACTGTAATTATAAATTTGTCTCCAGTTCCGTCAGTTTTTGTTTCACATGTTTTGCAGCTCTGTTGTTTGGTGCACACACATTTAGGATTGCTATGCCATCTTGGTGGATCTTTTTATCATTATATAATGTCTCTCTTCATTCCTGGTAATTTGTTTTTGCTTTATAGTCTACTTTACCTTACCTGATATTAATATAACTACTGCTGCTTTCTTTTGATTAATGTTTGTATGGTATATCTTTCCAATCCTTTTACTTTCAGTCTACCCATATTGTTATATTTGAAATGAGTTTGTTATAGATAGCATATATATATATATGTAAAAAAGATGAAAAACCATGTGTTTATATGTTTGTGTGTGTGTATTAAATGGTTTGTATATTTAAACTGTTTATATTTAATATAGTGATTGATATGTTAGGGCTTAAGTTTGCCATTTTATTTTTTATTTTCTATTATTTCTCTCTATCATTTCTCTTTTTTCTCTATTACAGATAGAATTTCTCTGTTATAAATAGCATATATATGTAAAAAAGATGAAAGACCGTGTGTGTGTGTGTGTGTGTGTGTGTTAAATAGACAATTTGTGTATTTAAACCATTTACATTTAATATAGTGATTGATATGTTAGGGCTTAAGTCTGCTATTGTATTTTTTATTTCCTATTTTTTCTCTCTTATTATCATTTCTTTGTTTTCTTCTTTCTGCCTCCCTGTGGCTCAACATTTTTTAGAATGCCACTTGAATTTATTTTTAATGTTTTTTTAAATATATTTCTTTGTATCACTTTTTAGTGAGTATAATAAGTATGTTATATATACATAACATCACAGTCTACTGGTGTCAGATTTTTGCTATTTCAAGTGACATATAAAAACCTTACCTCCCCTTAAATCCCTTTACCTTCTTTATTTATAGTATCATTGTCTTGAGTATTTTCTTTATAACACTGAAGGTTATAATTTTGATTTAGTGGTCAGACATAATTAGAAAACTCAAGAGCAGGAGGAAAGTCTATTGCGTTTACTCATATTTTTACTCTTTTGTCCTTTCTTCTTTCCTTGTTGTCCAATATATTTTCTTTTATGATTTATTTTCTGTTTATAGAGCTTCTTTTAGCCATTATTGCAGGATAGGTCCACTGGTGACGAATTATTTTAGTTTTCCTTCATCTCAGGATGTCTTGGTTTCCCCTTCATGCCGGTAAGATATTGTCACAGGATATTGACTTCAGGTATAACAGTTACTTTCTTTCAGCATTTGAAAAGTGCTGTGCCACTTCCTTCTGGCCTCTATGGTTTGGGGTGAGAAATACACTGTCATTTGAATTGTACTTCTACTACAGATAAGGTCTTGTTTCTCTGTTGCTGCTTTTAAGTTGCTGTTCAGAGTCCCAAAACTTCCCAGGGCGGTGTTCTTTTTTTTTTCTTTTCTTTTTTTTTTTTTTTTTTTGTCTACTTTGTTTTTCAGATTGGGCACTTTATGTTTTTCTATCCTCAGATTCACTGATTCTTTTCCCTGTTTGCTTCATTCTGCTGTTGAGCCCATCCAATAAGTTTTTAACTTCAGTTAGTGTACACATCAATTCTGACATTTCCATTTGGTTCTTCTATATGTCTTCTATTTTTTTGCTGAAACTTTTTATTTGTTTCAAGAGTGTTCATTATTGCTTGTCATATCATTATGACATGGCTGCTTTGATAACACAGTCAAGTAATTTTTTATTTATTTATTTTTTTGAGATGGAGTCTCACTCTGTTGCCCAGGCTGGAATGCAATGGTACCGTCTTGGCTCACTGCAACCTCCGCCTCCTGGGTTCAAGCGATTCTCCTGCCTCAGCCTCCTGAGTAGCTGGGATTACAGGCATGCACTACCACAGCTGGCTAATTTTGTATTTTTAGTAGAGACAGGGTTTCATCATGTTGACCAGGCTGGACTCGAACTCCTGACCTCAGGTGATCTGCCCACCTTGGCCTCCCAAAGAGCTGGGATTACAGGTGTGAGCCACCATGCCCAGCCAAGTAATTTAAATATCTCTTTTATCTTGTTGGCATCTGTTACCTTTTGTCATTCAAATTGAGGCATTCTTGGTTCTTGGTGTAACAACTGATTTTTGATTTAAATTTGGACATTTAGGGGTATTATGAAACTTTGGACCTTATTTAAGTCTTCTGTTTTAGCTGGTCTTCTCTGGCAGTACTCTAGCCATGGAAGGGGTAGTGCTGCCTGTTACTGCTAGGTAGAATTGAAGTCCAGGTTTCCTATGTGGTCTGTTTAACAGATGAGGAACGGAGCGTTTGTGGATTCTCAGGTGGGTATAGATATTCCTGCTTGCCTCTAGGCCTCCACTGAAAACCGCTGCCTGGAAGGAGGAGCAGGAATACCTACTTACTGCACCCCACTTGATCTCCACTGACATTATATGGGGATGGCTTTGTTACCATTGGGCAGTTGTGAAAGCCCTGATTCTTCAGTAGGCTTCCTTTCTTTTTTTTTTTTTTTTTTTGTAGGGGGGGATATGGAGTCTCACTGTTTCGTCCAGGCTGGAGTGCAGTGGCGTGATCTTGGCTCACTGCAACCTCTGCCTCGCAGGTTCAAGCGATTCTCCTGCCTCAGCCTCCCCGGTAGCTGGGATTACAGGCACACACCACCATACCTGGCTAATTTTCATATTTTTAGTAGAGACAGGGTTTCACCATGTTGGCCAGGCTGGTCTTGAACTCCTGACCTCAGGTCATCCACCCCCCCCCAGCCTCCCAAAGTGCTGAGATTACAGGTGTGAGCCATCACACCAGCCCACTAGACTTCCTCTGTAACCACACTGCCTGATAGAGGAAGAGACACCTATTACTTCTGGGTGGTTCTGGAGGTTCAGGCTACCCATATAGTCTCCACTGACTTTATTAGCAGGAGAAGGATCCGCCTTACCTTTTAGCCTTCTCTCTCACATCACCCTGGTGGGGAGGTTGGGTGCCTCATTACAGGCTGGCAATGGCAGCAGCCTAGGTTTCCCATTAGTCTTTGCTCTTATGCTGGGTGGTGGGATGGGGGTAACACTACTTTCTGTCTTGTTTGCCTGTATTAGAGTGGTTATTGTCTAAAAGCTTTATCTTCTAGACAAAAGATAAATGCCTATGCTGTCTCTTTTTTGACCCTTTAGCTAGAGAGAGCAGGCTTTTGTTTTTGTTTTGCCTGTATGTGTGTGTCTGTGCCTGTTAGTGTTTCTGGGTTGCTAGTTTCTGCAGCACCAAGTCTGAGATACATAAGAAACACAAAGAAAACTCGTAGAACTGACCACTGTGGGTATTCTTGAGTCCTGCAGTACCTAGCTGGTCAGGCTTCTCTCTTAACTTTCAAATTCTTCTTGTGTTTGTTGTATATATAATGGTTACTATAAGATATGAGTAAACAAATAACTTGTTTACTCTTTTATCTTTTTTATAATTCTTAGTGAGAGGAATGTGGAAAAGTTCTCCATTTTTTCTGAAATGGAAGTTTTATATTAATATCTCATATGGTTGGGATCTGTGCTCCCACCCAAATCTCATGTTGAAATATAATCACCAGTATTGGAGGTGGGGTCTGGTGGGAGGTGATTTGATCATGGGGGCAATGTCTCATGAATGGTTTAGCAAATCCCCTTCGTGCTCTTCTTGAGACAGTGAGTTCTCATGAGATCTGCTTGTTTAAAAGCGTGTAGCAGCTCCTCCCTCTCTCTCTCGTTTCTGCCCCTGCCATGTAAGACACCTGTTCTCCCTTTGCCTTCTGCCGTGATTGAAAGTTTCCTGAGACTTCCCCAGAGGCAGAAGCATTCACACTTCCTGTACAACCCGCAGAGCTGTGAGCCACTTAAACCTCTTTTCTTTATCAGTTACCCAGTCTCAGTTATTTATAGCAATGTGAGAATGAACTAATACATTTTGAAAAAAGATTTTTTTAAAGCTTATTTATTTATGTATTTTTTAAACTTTCAGGTTCAGGGGAACATGTGAACCTAAAAGTTTAGAAAAATAAATAAGCTTTAAAAAAGCTTACATAGGTAAACTCATGTCACAGGGACTTGTTGTACAGATTATTTCATCACCCACATATTAAGTCCAGTACCCAATAGTTATCATTTCTACTCCTCTCCCTCCTCCCACCCTCCAACCTCAAGTAGACCCCAGTGTCTTTTGTTTCCTTCTTTGTGCTCATAAGTTCTCATAATTTAGCTCTCACTTGTAAGTGAAAACATATGGTATTTGGTTTTCTATTCTTGGTTTAGTTTGCTAAGGATAACAGCCTCCAGCTCCATCCATGTTCCTGCAAAAGACATGATCTCATTCTTTTTATGGCTGCATAGTATTCCATGGTGTATATGTACCACATTTTATGGCTGCATAGTATCCCATGATGTATATGTACCATATTTTCTTTATCAAATTGCTAATTGATGGGCATTCAGGTTGATTCCATGTCTTTGCTATTGTGAATAGTGCTGCATTGAACATCTGTGTGCATGTGTCTTTACGGTAGAATGATTTACACTCCTCTGAGTATATACTCAGTAATGGTATTGCTAGGTTAAATAGTAGTTCTGCTTTTAGCTCTTTGAGGAATCACCATACTGTCTTCCATAATGGTTGAACTAATTTTCACTCCCACCAACAGTGTATAGGTGTTCCCTTTTCTCCATAACCTTGGCATCATCTGTTATTTTTTGACCTTTTAGTAATAGTCATTCTGACTGGATAGAGATGGTATCTCATTGTGGTTTTGATTTGCATTACTCTAATAATCAGTGATATGGAGCTTTTTTTCATGTGCTTATTGGCTGCATGGATGTCTTCTTTTGAAAAGTGTCTGTTTATGTCATTTGCCCACTTTTTAATGGGGTTGTTTGTTTTTCTCTTGTATATTTATTGAAGTTCCTTATGGATCCTGGATATTAGACCTTTGTCACATGCAGAGTTTTCAAAAATTTTCTCCCATTCTGTAGGTTGTCTTTTTACTCTGTCGATAGTTTCTTTATGCTGTGCAGAAGCTCTTAAGTTTAAATCTCAGTTGTCAATTTTTGCTTTTGTTTCAATTGCTTTTGGTGTCTTTGTAATGAAATCTTGGCCCATTCCTACATCCAGGTTGCTATTGCCTGTGTTGTCCTCCAGGTTTTTTATAGTTTTGGGTTTTATGTTTAAATATTTACTCCATCTTTAGTTGATTTTTGTGTATGGTGTAAAGAAGGGGTCCAGTTTCAATCTTCTGCATATGGCTAGCCAGTTATTCCAGCACCACTTATTGAATAGGGAGTCCTTTCCTTATTGCTTGTTTTTATCAGCTTTGTCAAAAGTCAGATGGTTATAGGTGTGCAGCCTTATTTCTGGGCTCTCTGTTCTGTTCCATTGGTCTATGTGCCTGTTTTTGTACCAGTACCATGCTGTTTTGGTTATGTAGCCCTGTAGTATTGTTTGAAGTAAGGTAGTGTGATGCCTCCAGTTTTGTTTTTTTTGCTTAGGATTGTCTTGGCTATTCAGGCTCTTTTTCATTTCATATGAATTTTAAAATAGTTTTGTCTAGTTCTGTGAAGAATGTCGTTGTTAATTTGATAGGAATAGCATTGAATCTGTAAATTACTTTGAGCAATATGACCATTTAAATGATACTGATTCTTCCTATCCATGAGCATGGGATGTTTTTCCACTTGTTTGTGTCTTCTCTGATTTCTTTATTTGAGTTTTGTAATTCTCGTCATAGAACTCTTTCACCTCCCTGGTTGGCTGTATTCCTAGGTATTTTATTCTTTTTGCGGCAGTTGTGAATAGGATTGCCTTTCTGATTTGACTCTAGGTTTGGCTGTTGTTGGAGTATAGGAATGCTAGTGATTTTTGTACATTGATTTGTATCCTGAAACTTTGCTGAAGATGTTTACCAGCTAAAGGAGCTTTGGGCCGAAACTATGGGGTTTTCTAGATATAGAATCATGTCAATTGCAAACAGGGACAGTTTGGCTTCCTCTCTTTTTATTTGAATGTGCTTTATTTCTTTCTCTTGCCTAATTGCTTCAGCTAGGACTTCCAATACTGTGTTGAATAGAAGTGGTGAGAAAGGGCATCCTTGTCTTGTGCCAATTTTCAAAGGGAATACCTAGTTTATTGAGAGTTTTTTTTAACATAAAGGGGTGTTGAATTTTATTGAAAGCTTTTTCTGTATCTATTCAGGTAATCATGCAGTTTTTGTCTTTAGTTCTGTTTATGTGAAGAATCACATTTATTAATTTGCTTATGTTGTACCAACCTTGCTACCTGGGGTTGAAGAATACTTGATTGAGGTGGATTAGCTTTTTGATGTGCTGCTGGATTCAGTTTGCAAATATTTTGTAATTTTTGCATCACTGTTAATCAAGGATGTTGAACTGAAGTTTTTTTGTTGTTGTGGCTCTGCCAGGTTTTAGTATCAGGATGATGCTGGCCTCATAGAATGAGTTTGGGAGGAGTCCTTCCTCCTCAGTTTTTTGGAATTGTTTCTGTAGGAATGATACCAGCTGTTTGTACATCTGGTAGAATTCAGCTGTGAATCCATCAGGTCCTGGCCTTTTTTTAGTTGGGAGCCTAATTTATTACTGATTCAATTTTGGAGCTCATTATTGGTCTATTCAAGGAATCAATTTCTTTCTGGTTCAGTCTTAGGAGGGTGTATGTGTCCAGGAATTTATCCATCTCTTCTAGGTTTTCTAGTTTGTGTGCATAGAGGTTTCTGTAGTAGTTTCTGTTGGTTATTTTTACTTCTGTGGGGTCAGTGGTAATGATGACACCCTTCATCATTTCTAATTGTGGTTTTTGGGGTTTTCTCTCTATTAGCCTAGCTAGTAGCTTACCTATCTTGTTAAATTTTTTTTTAAAATCCATTCTTGGATTTGTTTATCTTTTGAATGGATTTTCTTGTCTCTGTCTCCTTCATTTCAGCTCTGATTTTGGTTATGTTTTGTCTCCTGCTATCTTTGCAGTTGATTTGTTCTTGCTTCTCTAATTCTTTCCGTTGTGATGTTAGGTTGTTAATTTGAGATCTTTCTGACTTTTTGATGTGGGCATTTAGCGCTATGAATTTCCCTCTTAACACTGCCTTAGCTGTGTCCCAGATATTCTGGTATGTTGTATCTTTGTTTTCATTAGTTTCAAAGAACTTCTTGATTTCTGCCTTTATTTCATGATTTATCTAAAAGTCATTCAGGAGTATGTCATTTAATTTCCGTGTAATTGCATTCTTTTGAGCAAGTTTCTTAGTCTTCTGTTTTTATTGCACTGTGGTTTGAGAGTGTGTTTAATACGGTTTTGGTTCTTTTGCATTTGCTGAGGATAGTTTAATGTTCAATTATGTGATCAATTTTAGAGTATGTGCCATGTGGCAAGGAGAAGAATGTATATTCTGTTGTTTGGGGGTAGAAAGTTCTGTAGAGATCTATCAGATCCATTTGGTTCACTGTTTAGTTTGGGTCCTGAATATCTTTGTTAATTTTCTGCCTCAGTGATCTGTCTAATACTGTCAATGGAGTGTTGAAGTCTTCAACTATTAATGTGGGTGAGTCTGTGTCTCTTTTTAGGTCTCTAAGAACTCGCTTTATGAATCTGGGTCCTCCTGTGTTGGGTGCATATATATTTAGGATAGTTAAGTCTTGTTGAATTGAACCCTTTGCCATTATGTATTGCCCTTTTTTTGTGTTTTTTAATCTTTAAATTAGGATTGCAACCCCTGCTTTTTTCTGTTTTCCATTTGCTTGGTAGTTTTCCCTTCATTTCTTTATTTTGAGGCTAAGGGCATCGTTACTTGTGAGATGGGTCTCTTGAAGACAGCATGCCATTGAGTCTTGTTTTTTTATCCAGCTTGCCACTCTGTGACTTTTAAGTGGGGCATTTAGCACATTGACATTCAGGGTTAGTATTGATATGTGTGGATT